>NC_000004.12:143296381-143921381 GCF_000001405.40 Homo sapiens | reverse complement strand
GTCACTTCCTTAGGCTGTCATTTGGTTCACACAAACTGGAAATCTGGCTGCTTCTTAGATGCCTTGGGAAGAAAACCCAAGAGCGCGTGATGCACTTCATCACTGATACTGAGAATGTTTCAAGTCCAGCCTGTAACTGCCAGCTTGTTTTGTTGCTTTAAATCAAATACTCAGCCTTGGGAAAAACACTTAGCCTTGAAATATCTGCCTGAAGAATTGTCAGTTCTGTTTTAACAGCCAGATCACCTTTTTGGTGTGTATTCGGGAAGAATGAGTCTTTGTCTAAAGTCAATATCTGCTTTCAGAGAAAAAAAAAAAAAGAGAGAGAGACAGAGACTCCATTGAAGGGATTTAAAAAACACAGCTCAGTTGGGTCAAAATGTTGTTTTAGAAACAGTTGCCCTTGTAACAAAATTCAAAAACACTCTTACTCAAAACACTGCATTCAAACCCATGTCCTGCTGATCTCTCATATGTAAAGTATAGATAGATAAACTCATCTCAGTTCATGTCCTTTGCAGGGACATGAATGAAGCTGGAAAGCATCATTGTTAGCAAACTAACACAGGAACAGAAAATCAAACACCGCATGTTCTCACTCATAAGTGGGACTTGAACAATGACAACACATGGACACAGGGAGGGGAACATCATACACTGGGGCCTGTCGAGGGTGGGGGTCTAGGGGAGGGATAGCATTAGGAGAAATATCTAATGTAGACGATGGGTTGATGGGTGCAGCAAACCACCATGGCATGTGGCATGTGTATACCTAGGTAACAAACCTGCATGTTCTGCTCATGTATCCCAGAATGTAAAGTAAAATAATAAAAAAAGAAACTCATCTCAGCTTCTGACTTGCACAAAAGAAAAGCTTCCTGTGGTTTGTCTGCATGTTCTACTTCAACAACCAAGCTGACAGCAGAAAGTGGCAACACAGGGCAGTAGCATTTTTTAAAGAAAAGTTTGAAATTTGAAAGAAAAATAGGATAAGTGAAGCGTAAAAGCAGAGCCAAAGGAACTGAAGGAAAAGTTGCAGTATCAACTCTACTGGACCGGAGCCCTCCGTACCTTTCAAATTGCCCTTCTTGAAACAAATGCTTACACCTATGAATAAATATTTGTTTACTTGCTTTAATCTCCAATTGTGCAGCCAATAGAACCTGACTGAGCTCTCCCCAACTCTTCCCACTTTGAAATCTTCCTCTGTGTTCTCTCCTACATCCCACCTTTCATGCCCCACTACCACTCTCCCATTCCCTACTAGTCAGATGGTCTTAGGATGACTGTAGGTCCCCAGGGCCACAGAGGCCCCTAGTTAGGTGGAGAGGGGTTATTAGCAGGTTGGGAGACCTGCAGGGATGACCAAGCAGGTGGAGAGGAGTGACCAGCTTATTATTCATTCATTCATTTATTCAACAAATATTTATTTAGAGTCTATTTTCTGCCAGGAATTATTATAGATTCTGAAGATACAGAAATAAAAACATAATCAAAAATCCTTCTCTCCTGGAGCTTACATCTAGTGAGATAAAGAGTATATAGTATGTTAAATGGTCATGAGTACTACAGAAAAAATTAAAGCTGGGAAGTAAGAAAAAGATTGTTACGGACTGGTTGCAATTTAGGTTAGTCAAGGGAGCTATCTTTAAAGGGTGACATTTGAGTAAAGATCTTAAAAGAGACATGAGCCAAGAAATTATATAGCAAAGGAGTATTCCAGAAGGATGCATCAAAGCAAAAAGGTCCTGAGGTCTGACTTGTTGAAGTAGCAGCCCAAAAGACAGAATTACTAAAGGGGAGAGTTGAAGGAGACAAGGTCAAAGAGGTAGGAAGGACTGATCATGTAGGCCCTTGGCTGATTTTCTTAGTACAATGTGGAACTATTAGAGGATTCTGAGCAAATAACTATTGTGACTTGACTTATATTTTTAATAGATCTGGAATGGACATGCATTTTCATTTATGACTTGCCTATTCCCGTTAAGTTCCTAATAAAGGTAAAGGGGAAAACAACTGAGGACTAGACTACTAGGAAGGAGTTATTAGGTGGAGAGACACTCGTATTGTTGTGAGATAACAAAGGCAACAGGAGTCAGTGCTATAGATGTCCTATTGCTCAAGAAAGAAACTTCAAAGAGAAATGTATTGCTCTTCCATGACCAGGTATGGAACTTCAGAATGAATGTCTGAGTATACAACATTGTAAGCAGAAATCTGAGTCTCAAGAGAAGAAAAATCTCAGTTTGAGCACCTGGCTGCCAAGCTCTGACCCATCTTAGGAGAACTTCATCATGTAAGAGCCTGGATGACATCGCTGGTGTTAAACCCTATGGATGATCTTAATCATTCTTACTTGATCTCTCTGCAGTATTGAAGACTGTTTTTCCATTCTTAAAATCCTCTTTCCTTGTCCTTCTGTGACTTTAGGAACACCTCCCTTCTCTGGTATTTCTCATTTCTCCAACACCATTCCTTCCCTGGACCCATTATGGCCACTCTTCTTCCTATGCTTTGTTCAGTTCTCCAGTGCACATTTTAGCCCTATTTCCTCTCACTCTTGCTAAACTTACTCTTTCCCGTGATTTCAATTATCATAGATATTTGGACATTTACTCCACTTGAATATTCCATAGTCTTTCAAAGCCAGCATATTCCACATTTAGTCACCATATTTACCCCTTCCACTATTCTCTTCTCTTTTTATTTGTTGACTCTTACTTATCCTTCAAAATTCATATTACATTATCCAGAAACTCTTTGCTGGGGGCTCATCTCCAGCTGTTTACAGCCTGGTCTCAGACCCTATATTCCAGCTCTAACAGCTTTCACTTTGCACTTACCTCCACCATGGTATTTGTTACACTGAGAGGCAATTATTTGAGTAGGTGAAAAAATATTATATTTTAAAAACTATTTTATCGGGCTGTAGAATTTATCCGGAGTACAGAGACAACTGATTTTTCATTAAAAAAGACTTTTGTTATAAAACATAGTCAATAAAGAGATGTATTACCCTGCTTAATAAAGTAGGAGAGTACCTTTCTGAATCAGAAATTTGGGTTTAAAAAGAAAAACTAAGGAATATTCTGCTTTTCCTCAACAACTGAGGAAGAATACAGGAAAAGCCAGGAGGATGGAGTCCTGAGGAAGTAAGAAAAAAAGGAGAAGGAATTCAATTCTGAGGAATGAATCATAGCAATACAGTGACATGCCAGGACCAAGAAGAGAGCTGACCGAGAGGGGATTCCCTATGAAGATGGCTTGCAGGCTTCAGACACAGTGTTGTTTTCTCCTCTCTGCTGGAATTCCTCTCTGTTGTCTCTAAACCCTTAGTAAAATTATTTCATATATGATAGTCTTGTGTTAGCTGTCCCTGGGAAGGAATGAGAAGAGGCTCTGTCCATGAATCCCATGTAGGGCAAAGTGGTGGGCAGTGCACACCCTGGGCCAGGGTTCTGATAAAAGAGGTGATTGAGGAGAGGTCTGGAAACAGCTTTTGGAAGAAGATAATGTGGCTCCCCCAGTATGTTAGTCCATTTTACATTACTATAAAGGAATACCTGAGGCTGGGTAATTTATAAAGAAAAGAGGTTTAGTTTGACTTATGTTTCTACAGGCTGTACAGGGAACATGGTGCTGACATCTGCTTCTGGTGAGAGCCTCACAAAGCTTCCCAATCATGGTAGAAGGCAAAGGGAGAGCTGGTGTATCACATAGCAAGAGGGAGCAAGTGGCTGGGGAGGAGGCATCACATTCTTTTAAACACATGGGGAAAGGATTCCCTATTTAATAAATGGTGCTGGGAAAACTGGCTAGCCATATGTAGAAAGCTGAAACTGGATCCCTTCCTTACACCTTATACAAAAATTAATTCAAGATGGATTAAAGACTTAAATGTTAGACCTGAAACCATAAAAAGCCTGGAAGAAAACCTAGGCAATAGCATTCAGGACATAGGCATGGGCAAGGACTTCATGTCTAAAACACCAAAAGCAACGGCAACAAAAGCCAAAATTGACAAATGGGATCTAATTAAACTAAAGAGCTTCGGCACAGCAAAAGACACTACCATCAGAGTGAACAGGCAACCTACAAAATGGGAGAACGTTTTTGCAACCTACTCATCTGACAAAGGGCTAATATCCAGAATCTACAATGAACTCAAACAAATTTACAAGAAAAAAACAAACAACCCCATCAAAAAGTGGGCAAAGGATATGAACAGACACTTCTCAAAAGAAGACATTTATGCAGCCAAAAAACACATGAAAAAATGCTCATCATCACTGACCATCAGAGAAATGCAAATCAAAACCACAGTGAGATACCATCTCACACCAGTTAGAATGGCGATCATTAAAAAGTCAGGAAACAACAGGTGCTGGAGAGGATGTGGAGAAATAGGAACATTTTTTACACTGTTGGTGGGACTGTAAACTAGTTCAACCATTGTGGAAGTCAGTGTGGCGATTCCTCAGGGATCTACGACTAGAAATACCATTTGACCCAGCCATCCCATTACTGGGTATATACCCAAAGGATTATAAATCATGCTGCTATAAAGACACATGCACACGTATGTTTATAGCGGCACTATTCACAATAGCAAAGACTTGGAACCAACCTAAATGTCCAACAATGATGGACTAGATTAAGAAAATATGGCACATATACGCCATGGAATACTATGCAGCCATAAAAAATGATGAGTTCATGTCCTTTGTAGAGACATGGATGAAACTGGAAACCATCATTCTCAGCAAACTATCACAAGGACAAAAAACCAAACACCACATGTTCTCACTCATAGGTGGGAATTGAACAATGAGAACACATGGACACAGGAAGGGGAACATCACACACCGGGGACTATTGTGGTGTGGGGGGAGCGGGGAGGGATAGCATTAGGAGATATACCTCATGCTAAACGATGAGTAAATGGGTGCAGTACATCAACATGGCACATGTATACATATGCAACAAACCTGCACATTGTGCACATGTACCCTAAAACTTAAAGTATAATAATAATAAAATTAAAAAAAAAAAAAGAAAAGCTACTCCTGCTTGCTTCTGGTTGCATTTGCATGGAATGTCTTATTCTACCCCTTTACCTTAAGTTTATGTGAGTCCTTATGTGTCAGGTGAGTCTTATGGAGGGAGCAGATAGTTGGTTTATGAATTCTTATCCATTCTTTAATTCTGTATCTTTTCAGTGGAGCATTTAGGCCATTTATATTCAATGTTAGTATCGAGATGTGAGGTACCATTCCATTCATTGTGCTATTTCTTGCCTGTATACCTTGTTCTGTTGTTGTTGTTGTTTGTTTGTTATTGTTGTTGTTGTATAGGTCCTGTAATATTTACGCTTTAAAGAGGCTCTGTTTTAATGTTGTTCCAGAATTTGTTTCAACATTTATAGCTCCTTTTAGCAGCTCCTGTAGTGCTGGCTTGGTAGTGCCAAATTCTCTCAGCATTTGTTTGTCTGAAAAAGACTGTATCTTTCCTCCATTTATGAAGCTTAGTTTCAGTGGATACAAATACTTGGCTGATAATTATTTTGTTTAATGAGGCTGAAGATAGGGCCGAAATCCCTTCTAGTCTATAGAGTTTCTGCTGAGAAATCTGCTGTTAATCTGATAGGTTTTCCTTTATAGGTTACCTGGTCCTTTTACCTCACAGCTCTTAAGATTCTTTTCCTCATCTTAACTTTAGATAACCTGATGACAATGTGCCTGGGCAATGATTTTTTGCAATGTATTTCCCAGGTGTTCTTTGCACTTGTATTTGGATGTCTAGGTCTCTAGCAAGGCCAGGAAGTTTTCCTTGATTATTCCCCAAAATATGTTTTCCAAACTTAGATTTCTCTTCTTCCTCAAGAAGGCTGATAATTCTTAGTTTGGTTGTTTAACATAATCCCAGATTTCTTGCAGGCTTTCCTTGTATTTTCTTATTCTTTTTTCTTTGTCTTTGTTGGTTTGGGTTAATTTGAAAACCTCGTCTTCGAGCTCTGAAGTTCTTTCTTTTGCTTGTTGGAATCTATTGCTGAGACTTTCCAGAGCATTTTGCATTTCTATAAGCGCATCCATTTTTTTCCTGAAGTTTTGATTGTTTGTTATTTATGCTATCTATTTAATTGAAACTTTCTCCCCTCATTTCTTGTATCATTTTTTTTCACTTCCTTAAATTGGGCTTTGCCTTTTCTGGTACCTCCTTGATTAGCTTAATAACTAACCTTCTGAATTCTTTTCCACGTAAATCAGGGATTTCTTCTTCATTTGGATCCATTGCTGGTGAGCTAGTGAGATTTTGGGGGGGTGTTAAAAAACCTTGTTTTGTCATATTACCACAGTTGGCTTTCTGGTTCCTTCTCCTTTGGGTAGGCTCTGTCAGAGGGAAAGTCTAGGGCTCAAGGCTGTTCTTCAGATTCTTTTGTCCCACAGGGTGTTCCCTTGATGTAGTACTCTCCCACTTTTCCCAGGGATGTGGCTTCCTGAGAGCAGAGCTGTAGTGATTTTTATCCCTGATTTTTATCCCATGCAGGTTGTCAGGGAAGTTGAAGTCACAGGCCTCACCCAGCTCCCACATAACCCAAAGGGCTGGTCTCACTCCCACCATAGCCCCTGCAACAGCACCGAGTCTGTTTCCAGGCAGTGGGTGAGCAGGGCTGAGAATTTGCCCCAGGCTACCAGCCTCCCAGCTGCAAAAGCAAGTAGGGCTTTGGTACTTCCCCACCTGTAGAGTCTGCACACTGGATTCATGCCCTCCCCCAAGTTCTGGCTAGGAGACTTCTCAATCTGTTCAAATTGTTTTAAAGTTCAGCTGGAAGTTTCCTTCTCTTTGTGACCATTTCCCAGTGCCTCTGGTAGCCCTCCTCAAGGACCCCCGTGAGGCAAGGCAGAAATGGATGGCTAGGGAACCCAGTGAGCCCACAGGGCCTTACGCCCTGCTTTCTCTAGCAGTGTATGTCACTTGGCTCTCTAAATTGACTCAGCTCCAAGTAAGGTCAAAATCTTCTCCTGTGATCTAGACCTTTAGGTTCCCCAGTGAGGATGTGTGTTCAGGAGCTGACTATTCCCCTTTCCCACTTCCACAGTTTGCAGTTTGGGCTCCCACAGCATTTGGGGTGTCTCCTGAGACCTGCAGGAGCAATCCGCTTCTTTCTGAGGGTCTGTGGGTTCTCTCAGTGTTCCTGATTTATTCCTGCAGTCAAAGTTCATGATACAAGCCTCCACACGCTGCTTTGTCTGTCCAAGTGGGAGCTGCAATCCAGTCCTGCCTCCCATCCACCATGATCTCTGGAATACATCTGAAATGTTCTATGTCTTGATTTGAGTGACAGTTTCACACATATACTCATGTATGTGTGTGTATATGTGTGTATATATATATATGAGTTACACACTTACAGTTTGTGAGTGTTACATTTTAATAAAAATAAATCTTAGAAATGACTACATATTTGTTCCTTTTCTTTTATCAATATACTTCCTCTAGTATTCATATAGAGAACCAGGGCTAAATTCATCTTTACAAAGGTAAATCGCAGAATGAATTGATATCCTAGACATTGAAAAGAACAAATGTGAGATTAAAATTTCAAACAGTTTTGAAAACTACTACATTGTGTATTCTTGCACTATCTCTGCCTTTCTTGATATCAGACCATTGCTCATGCTGTTTTCTCTGCTTAAAATGTTCTTACTTCTCCCGTGACTTGTCTACTCATCCTTTAGGTCTCATTGCTTGCTCTGGAAAACCTTTCCAGAACCTCAACCCTGAGTTAGGTACCCCTCTTATGTACCCTTATAACACCCTTTGCTTACTACTATCATCCACTTGACACTCCATAATGCAATTGCCTTCTTAATTTATTTGTTTCCAAATTAAGCTGTCAGTTCCTGAAGGGAAACTTGAGTTACTGAAGGTTGTGTCTTCCACACTTGGCACAGTGCCCGGTAGGTGCTCACAAATCATTGGTTGAATTATTATTTGGATGTAGAACAAGCTGGACCTATCAATTCTCAGCAGAAAGATTATGTATGATACCTGATTCCAGCAGTATAGCACGATGGACTTAGAGGCAACTGGGAACAGTTTTCCACTGTCTACATCACCATTGTAGTGATGAGAGTTTCTCACTTCTGGGGTTTCTTCAACGCACATCACATCTCATTATAATTTTAAAGAAAGGAAACTGAAAACTGGGTTAAAGAAATCTCATCACTAGAAGGTGTTGAAGAAGACTCCTAAATAAATTAGATTTCCAAACCCAAATGCCAAAAGCTTAGAAAGAGTATAAATGAATGCGATGGATTGTGTTTTTGCTCCCAATTATTAGGGCCCTTCCTGTAAGTGTTTTATATATCCTCACCATTGACCTATGACTTGCAGGACTTCCATTTGGAAGAATTATATTTACTTGTCCCATTGAGGTCAGCTTGGCCACTGATTTACTTTGGCTAATAGAATGTGAGAAAAAAACCATAACACAGTCTGAGAGGAAGCATTAAAAGCCATTCCTTATCTGGCCTTTTTCCCCCAGTTTGCAACAAGAACAGCATATTCCAAATGGGGGTGGCTCCTTCAGTCTGGATCCTGGAACTTGTCACCGTCATAGACCAAATGTAATGTGAGCAGGAAATGAACCAGTGTTGCTGCAAGACACTGAGATTTTGAGGCCTTACCACAGTAGAACCTAATCTAAGAAATGGAAGCAAGCATCAAGTGGAGCACTTACCAGACTCAAGAAAGCCTATTTGTCCCAAGAGACAGCCAGTCCTTAGCTCTCATGAATTGTCACAATGTAGAACTGCACGCTAACTCTTGCCAGATCTTCCTGTAAGAGGAGCCAAATTTTAAATTAAATCAATTCCTGATTTTTAATTAAAATATACCTTCTTTTTAAATGTTGGCGCTAAATCCATACGTTTAAAAAACACTTAGGGCAAATCAAATCAAGTAATAACTCATAATCTCTTTTCCATTCCATAGTTTGCTCATACATAAAATAAGAATGCGCTGGCCCGGCGTCGCTGGGCTTTCCTCAAGGGGTCCCCGAGCAGCGTCGCAGAGCGGGCCGACTTCCGGGAAGGAAGTGACCAGCGACTGAGCGGCGGCCGGCGCGTTTAGCGCCCTGAACATGCGGCAGTCCCTGCGGGCGACCCCAGGCTCCGGACAGGCAGCGGCGGAGGCGGCGGCTCCGGAGGGAAGGAGGCGGCGGCGCCGGCGGAGGTGGCGGCGGAGGTGGCGGCGGAGACGGCCGGCGCCCGGCGCGGAGCCCTAGCGAGGCAGTTCAGCGCGGCCTCGGGCCTGGTCGAGAAGGATGCTGTCCCGACAGAAAACCAAAAACGAAGTGTCCAAGCCGGCCGAGGTGCAGGGGAAGTACGTGAAGAAGGAGACGTCGCCTCTGCTTCGGAATCTTATGCCTTCATTCATCCAGCATGGTCCAAAAATTCCAGGACGAACTGATATCTGTCTTCCAGATTCAAGCCCTAATGCCTTTTCAACTTCTGGAGATGGAGTAGTTTCAAGAAACCAGAGTTTCCTTAGAACTCCAATTCAAAGAACACCTCATAAAATAATGAGAAGAGAAAGCAACAGATTATCTGCACCTTCTTATCTTGCCAGAAGTCTAGCAGATGTCCCTAGAGAGTATGGTTCTTCTCAGTCATTTGTAACGGAAGTTAGTTTTGCTGTTGAAAATGGAGACTCTGGTTCCCGATATTATTATTCAGACAATTTTGTTGATGGTCAGAGAAAGCGGCCACTTGGAGATCGTGCACATGAAGACTACAGATATTATGAATACAACCATGATCTCTTCCAAAGAATGCCACAGAATCAGGGGAGGCATGCTTCAGGTAGCTTAACATTATAAATAATATAGTAGTTTATATTTATTGACATGTCAATTAAAAAGATGTTCTTTTCTAGATTTTCTTGGGACACGGACAAATACTACTAGCGAAATATTTTTCCACTTTGCTCGTCCTGCTTAAGCCTGTGTGCAAATAGTTGTTAATCTACACTGAATGGAAGAGTCCTTGTGACCATTTATTTTATTAACTCATGTTATATAAACTTGGTACTTATCTCAAGGCTGTCTAGTCTCTTAATGCTGTGACCCTTGAAAACCTAGAGAATTTAATGTCTCCAGTTGGGCTGAATTTAGGTTTAGGTTTGGTAGAATAATGGGAAGGGTAAATCTTCAGAGACACTTGACTGAGTCCTCAGAGACACTTGACGAACTTGGGAAAGGAAAGAAGAATAGGAACAACTGGGCATGGTCAGTGATACCCTGAGCAATCACATTACTTCGCTAGATCCTGCACTTTTTCTCTGAACAAAAAGTAGTTCAAGAATTATTTCCTGAGTTGATCAAAAAGACTTATAGTCATATGGTTAATTATGTGTTGAGCATGTCTTTTTATTATTTTTGTAACAGACAAAAAATATTACCATATAATTTAAGAAAAGAAGGTACTTTCCATATCTCCTGAGTTGGAGATACTTCTGAAAGGAGCAGAAGAGATGGGAGAAATGTACAGTTCTACTTTATTCCTGAAGTCCTGGTTTTACCAGATAAAATTAAGTGAGAGGAAAATTAAACTTTCTTGTCCGATTGTTTTTTTCTACCAAGTTATAGACTTTAAATTTTGGCAGGATAAAAATAAAATGTGAGACAGATTTACTTTTTGGCTCACATAACTTCAAATAAGACGACTTAAAAATGGTTTGGAGCATTAGTATTTTGACTGTAGAAAAAAATTATTCATTTAGTATTAACTGTTTATGTGTCTAGCGTTTTCCTTGGGTCTGTTGGTCTCTGCTTTCTGGTACCTTATTTGTCTAGTATCTTATTTGTGGAAACAAAACCAATCTATACACAATAGTCACAGAACAATTGTTACACTTTGTGATACTAACTGTAAGTGCAACAGGGAATCAGAAGAGAGATGAGTATAGGCTGGAATACTTAAAGAGATGATTGGAGGACTTGGAGTGGGCCTTGAGCTTGGCCTTTAGATTAACAGGGGCCAGAAGAAGGACATTTTACATGGAAAATTGGGAATAGCACAATGAAAACAGAGTAGGCATGGTTTAAATATAAGGAACAGTGTAGTTCTGCCTGGTTTGAAGAAATAAGATGTAAGGTCGAGTGGAGATTTGTGGTTCAACAATAGGCTTAGATTTGAGTCAAGTGGAAGCTCTTGCACATTTCAGAAAGACAAGTGATTTTATGAAAGCAGTGTTTAAAGATTAGTTTTGTACTAGAATTAAGGGTAGATTCCTAGAGAAAAGAGGATTGCAGGTACCAGTGGGTACCAGTGGTAATAGGAAAAGGCAAATCTAGGATGCTTTGGAAGGAAAAATGAGAATTAGAGTTTAGGAGAAAGCAGATCACTGAAGTTTTAAAAATAATGTGGAATAGTTGGTAAGAACAACTTATTTTATGAAAGCTGACATCGGAGTCTCACTGGAACATTGTAGAGGAGAGGTTTTCTAGGCATGTGGAAATGCAGTAAGAGGCATGGGTAAAAGCACCTTTTAGTTTTTAAGGAATTAGGTTAAAGAATTAGCTGCATGCTTGTGTTTATTTTGGTTATTTCTGATATACAGTTCTGAACCTCAGGAGTAATTTGTTATCTAACTAAAATAGTAAGTTTTAAAAATAAAGCTCATTTATATTTTCTTCTAGAATAATAACTGCTTATTACGGGAAATTTGCAAAATGCAGTAACGTAAAGGCAAAGTACCTGTCCACCAGAGATCCTCTTAGTATGTTATTTTCTTCATCTTTTTCCATGCCAAATTCTTTTTTTACATGGATGTGATTATATAATATTTTGTACAGTTTTCTGTTCTTTTTACTTGAATGATTTTCTTCATGTTGTATACTTTTTATGAGTGGTTTTAATGACTGCATAATCTTCCATTTGGTGCATATTCAGTGGTTAATGAGGACTTGACCTATACTTCAGAAATTTGGAAAGAGGAGAAGTGGGACATGCCCAAATTAATGGGACTTGGCCACTAACGGGGTTTGAAGGACAAAGGAGAGGGAAGAGTCAGATAGGATTAGCATAGCACATGACTGCCTAAGAGATGCTCACAAAAATAAATGGCTGAATGAGTGAATGAACCCAGCGGTTTTAAATCTGGAGGCTTAAGACAGTTTTTGGTAGCTGAGGGAGAACAGAAATAGCTATGTTTACTGTTAATATAGAATATGTGTTATTCTTTGCACTCACCTTTCCCACCTATATTGCAGACGCCACTGATAGCTTGTAATACTTTTCTACCTGAGGTTTAAGTATGTAAACATGAAGAATTAATAACAAGTTAAACTCTTGTTTTGAAAATCTAATTTGCCAAATATAATTGAGGAAATACTATAAGAACTAAATCTCTACTGATCCTCTCTTAGGAGCAATTTGACATAATATTTGTAAGTTTAAAGACAGACTTTAAAACAACTTTCCGGTCACAACTTCAAAATAAAGTACAAGTTAATTGCAAAAAAATAAATAAATAAAAATAAAATAAAATAAAATAAGAATGCTAATATCTGTTCTGCCTCTCTAACAGGGTTATTTTGAGTGTTAGATTTATCTTACTTGTAGTTGTTTTTTTATTTTAAAAAAATTTTGAAATGATAAACTAACAAAGGTCAGGGAAAGTTCTTAGACTACTCTGGCAAGGCAGGCTGGACAATTCTAAGGCGATGAGGTACCAAGGAGGCTAGTAGTATAAACCACAGTGCCTCAACTTTCCTGCCCCTCCCCTGTTCTCCACTCCTCCATGCAAAACATGAAAAGCACACTTCTCCACTGGCAGATCAGACTAGCATGCAACCATCTTCAGGAATAATCTAAGCCTGAAATAGTTGAGAGGTAAGTAATTGACAAAAATGAATGGTTCTCTGTCATGAAACAAGCAAGGTATAAGTTTGTGTTGATCGATCCAAGTTGCCTTTCCTAGATTATAACATTGAACTTCATCCTTCTTAACTACGTCATAGAAATGACTCGGGCAATTCAAAAAATAGCTTAAAGACATGTAGTATCAAGAAAATTGGATAAGTTTTTTATGTTTGATTAAATGCCTCAAAAGTACTTGTTTTATTTTATGCAAAGATTCAAAATTCTTAAAAGATGTGGATTTGTCTAATAATTTGCATGATATAGCTCATAGGTAGAATTTTATGATAATTATGAATGTGTACTTCAGTAAAAATATTTCTGAAAAATTTAAAGAAGATTAAGGAATGCCTGAAAGAGAAAAATGTAATCTGATGTATTTTTTTTGTTGTTGCATTTACGGGGCTCACATTTTTTCCTTCCATTGTGCAGATACGCCACTAGAGAGCACTGTACGGCACTGCTTCCTCACACCCTGTGTGAGGTGCTGAATCTGACCTCTGATTTCCTCATTGAGAACCCTCCAGGTTTTGACTTACTTTAATAGGGCCAGGTACTCTATAGGGCATTGTGCCAGATGCTGGAAACAGAACAACAGAGACAGGACCCACAAATACAAAGGAACAGATTGTTCACAACAACCTGAGACAGGTGTTAATAAACAGGCCTGTGTCAGCACTACAGGAGTTTAGAGAATTGCTAACGATGTGATTCTGCAGGAAAGGAAAGTGGGAGGTCATGGAAAAGAAAGCACTCTCAGACTCTGACCAGTCCAGGCTGAAGAAGGTATGAAAGCTGAATTTTAGGCTGAGTTTCCTTTTCATTTTCCCCTTCCTGCCTTAGCAATGGACCTCCATACTGGAGGGAACCTGAAGCTAGGATATGACATAGGTTACCCGCAGGATATATAAAAAATGATCAGCCTATACACCCAGGACTGCCCGTGAGAAGTTGCTTTCCTCTGCACTGCAATATTCATTTGTCATTTATTGATTTGAGAAATATTTATTGTCAAGTGTGCCCCAAGCACTCATTGGTAAATAAGATAGCCATAGTCAGGGTGTGTCCACTTAAAAACTGTAGTCCAGTGGAGACACAATGATTGCAACGTAGTGTAATAAGTCCTGTGATAAGGGAAGAAGATGGAACCACACAAGTATAGAGCAGGGGCACCTGACAAAGACAGGAAGTCAGGGAAGGCTTCGTGGAGGAAGTACTATTCAATGAAGACCCTAAGCAGAATTGGAGGCCACCTAAAAAGGAGTAGGTGTATTCCAGGTGAAGATAGCACAACCCAGGAAAAAAAGAATCCAATAGGATTTTATTTGTGTATATACAATTTTCAGATCTTGCTGTTTTCCACTTATCCATTTTATCCTGAGTCTCCATATCTTTATTTTTGAAAACATGATTTTAATAGTTGCTCTAATAGTCCATCGTAAGAATAGTGACATTTATTTACCCATTTTCAGAAATAGCATTTTTAAGACTCATGCTAATCGCTCTCCCTTTGTCAATATAAAATCATGTGAATTAATTCTTACTGCTTATATGAATATCAACAACATTTCCTTTACTTGGTTGACTCTTGAGCACAATTCCTGCAACCCAAACTGATATCCAGCCATAACAAACACTGAATTTATGGAAGGTATTAAATTATTATGTATTGTTTAATTTTAAGTTTTTAATAAAATTTGCTGCAGTTGTTTTACATGAATTGGCAGGGCCTTAAGAGGCACTCTGGATTCTTTTCCTGCTGCTCAGATTACCCCGTCTGTGTCATTCATTCTTCCGTCTCTCCCAAGTCTGCATCTCCACTCCCTCCATCCATTAGTCCCTCAATCTCAGGCTCCTCCCTCTCTGGGATGCTCTGCTGATACTTATCTCCATCTTTTATCCAGTAAATACTTTTTTTTCTCTGTGGTCCAGTTTCCTGAATCTGCAAACATTAGCTTCATAAATGATTTTTTTAAACCACACTTTGGGTAAATATGTAAGTATGATATATGTGGCAAATTGCTTACATAGCAAATTGATTTTCTGGGTCAGGCAGGAAAGACTTTCACAAAAATCTTACAGGAAGTAAGATGATTTAGATGGAGTATCCAGTCACCTTCTGTTGAACCATTTCAGACCTAATTTATATTTTTTGTTCTGTCTCCCTTTAAAATTGAGCTTCCTCACATTTCCATACCTTTCATTTTAACCTACTTTAATGATAAGGTTTTTGGTTTGTTGGGTTTTGTTTCTGACTGTTTTCATTTATTGTCTTGGTATTCATTTATGCTTACTTAGCAAGGTATATTTCAGACAGAAACAGCTCACTGGTTTCATAGCTGCACAGCACTAGCTCTTCAGTTCAAACTCTATTTTCACTGAAAGATTTGTTGCATCTCATGTCTCTTACATTGCTGTGTGACTCACCATGAGTTTGGGAGTCTTTCAGAACCTCAGAACACTCAAATGATTTAAATTTCTCAAATATGTTCATTTCACATATAGGAAGTCACTTTCATCTGGACCACCGGGTCTTGACATTAGAAATGAGAAGGTCTATGGCTCCACAACAGCTACCTCAGCCTGGCACGTGCCCTGGCCTCAGAGATTCACAGTCCAGTTCTTTGTCCAGTTGGGTGGCTCCTGTCTACCACCTTACCATGCCCACTTAACTGATGCAAAGTTAATATCACAAGTAGCCACCTGTTCCTTGCAGTGAAAATTGTACTTACCACTTTCATAGCCCCAAGATATCCATGTATCTTTATTAACAGGCGCTTAACAACTTGCATCATTTAAAATGCCTCCCCTGCCTATCAGCTGATGATGGCCACAGGAAGGTGGGCCTGGAAGATAACAGCTAGCAGGCTAAGGCCAGACACTGACACTTGCAGTTGTCTTTGGTAGTTTTTTTGCACTAACTTCAGGAGCCAGCTCGTGATCTCAGGATGTATGGAAAAATAATCTTTGTATTACTATTGTCAGGTAAGTGATTTTATTTCATCTTGGTTCTGTTATATTGGGTATGAGATCATAGAATAAAATGTAAACTACCCTATTTTAGTTCTATCTTATTTAAATGCATAAATGAGTAGTATTTCCTCTTCCAGTCTGGTGGATGGATTTTACTGGAACTCAGCTACCAATGTGGGGGAAATGGCACAAGGGAGCCCAGTATTTATGGCCGAATCCAGTTTTCTAGTATGAGAAGCTTACTTCAATTCTAAGTCTAGCTAGAATTAAACTAATTTTATCAAATGCTATGAGAAATAGCTCTCTGTGAATAAATGTATTGCTTTGTTTGAGTTATAAGGAGATTCATTTCCAAACTAAAGAGTTATTAACAAAGGTGTTATATGGCTTTTAGTTTTAAAAAGGTATAATTTCCTATTTCTGCCAAATGGTGAGAAGCCAAAAGCATGAACACTGAAACCGTGGGGAGTTGTTCGCTTCTCTGTGGGTCCATTACTAAAGTGTCACATAGGAAGAAACAAAAACAAAAACAACTCTTACTGGCTTAGATGTCATGTGAATTTTAGGAGAAATTTAAATCCATTAAAATAAATATCATAGGGTCATTATTAAATTGTATTCAATAATTTGAATTTAACTTAGTTTAAATTTAATTATTAATTTAGTGTATTAAATAAACATGATTTTGGCCTCTTTCTGAGAATATTATAGTTAAACATCCTCTCAAGTGCAGTGCTTATGTGTTAGCAATACTAGTGCCCAGCACACAGGGGGCAGGCAGTTGCTTGAAACATTCTGAGTCTATTAGACATTGCTGTAATCCAAGTGAGAGCAAGTATCAAGGATCTACTGAGCATACAGTAGCATACAGGGAAGAGAGGATCTACTGAGCATACTCTGTAGCATACAGGGAAGAGAGATCAGCATTTTCTAAGATACCCTAGGGGAGGATAAAATAGTGCAATAGTTAAGAGCACAGGCATGAGGAACACACAGAACTGGGTTCAAATCTAGTTTTACTTCTCAAGGCTGGGGAACATTAAGGCAAATTATGTGCCCACATTTTTATGTGTCCTTGTCTTTAAAATGCAGGCAATGTTGGCACTTGCCTTATAATAATTGCGTAAAGATTAAACAAAATGTTTAATGGAATACACTTACTGATGCCTGAAACAAAGTAAAATGTTAAGCTTACTATGCATTTTCTATGATTAGAATTAACTATCATGATTAATAAGTATTAATAATATATTATTAAAATAAGCAGTAGCTATCAGTAGTTACAGACTAGGGAACAAACCTACGTATGTGATTGGTGATTTCTGAAAAGTCAGAGAGAAAAGAAAATTACAGAAAGAAAACAGAAAACAAACATAGCTACTCTAATTTTTTAAGCAGAAAAGTATGAAAACATTTAGTTTGAAGAAAAAACAAATGAAAGGGATGTAGTGTAATATTTGTATATGTATTCATATATTTGAAGTGCTATTACACAGAAAAAAAAGATGTATTCTTTGTGTTGCTCCATGGGGCAAACCAAACTGGATGTAACTCAAACAAAATTAGACACTGCATACTCTACTGGGGGGTGTGCCCAGCATTTGGGAAAACTCTGTGTGACTTACAAGTGCCCCAAATTTGGAAAGGGTTCCTGGCAAAGAAATGATTTTTTTTTTTAATTTCTACAACTACACAAGCAGATAGTGAATTAAAGCCTTAAATGGCACTTAATAAAGAGGTCACTGGGGCAAGATGACCCTGAAAGCTACAATGGTCTCCAGTACCCAAGCTGTTATCATCTTCGTAGCTTCAGAAACCCTCCAAGGAAACTCTCTTGATGTGGCTACTTAATAGTATAACAGAAAGGTGTAAGATCAAGTTTTTCCCCCATACTGATTAGCTGAAGACTAAACATGGTGAAGTCTTTTTCTTTTTTTTTCTTTTTTTTTTTTTTTTTTGCTATGAAAAAAAGACGATTGCCTTGCTTTCTCCAGGAATCTTAAGAATAAAGCCAATATTTCTAATTCTAAACTTACCAGAGATCTTCTTCCAAATGGAGAACCATTTTTTCTAATATGACTTGATTCGCAGTCCCTGAATTCCTGCACTCATTTGATGATTCAGTCATTACATGTCAGATTGTGAACCAGACACTGAGCCCAGGGCAGGAAGAAAAATGGGCTCCCATGGAGGATACACGGAGGTTGGGCACAGTGGATGGTGGGAGGGAACGCAGATAATAAATGGAACAACAACTATCTTATTAAAATAAGATAAAAACAGTCAAAAATAATACAAAGCATATAAAACCAGGTAAGATGATAAACATGAATGCCGAAAACTGCTTAAGAAAAGGGTAGCAGGGAGTTATTTTCTGAGTAGATGACATTTATGCTAAACGTGGAACAAGGAGAATGGAGCCAACCCTGAAAATTCTGGGAAAAGAGGACAGAAGGCAGAGGGAAGAGCAAGAGCAAAAATTCTGAAACAGGAGGTAAGTTAGTGTTTTCAAGGAAAAGCTGGAGCTTTTATCTGAAAATCAGATTCTGAAGCTAAGAACCAATTTGAAAATACAGTACTATATCACTTCAACTAGGAAATTATGGCATAAACCAGGAGTCTCCAAAAGCTTTTTTGTGTTTACTTAAAAATTCATACAAAATTTGCATTCTAGGTCATAATATACTAATTTAATTGGAGGAAACAAAGGGACTGGTGTGATATCATCATGCCTACTTTATTCAGCCGTGTATCCCCAGAATCTAGCACAGTTCCCGATTGGTATTTATAGTAGCATATTGGTTGAATAAGCAAGGAAGGAGGTGAAGGGAGGGAGAAGGAGAGATAAGCAGAGAGGGAGAGAAAGGAAGAAGGAAAAGGAAAAAGGAAGGAAAGAAGAGAGGATGGAGAGAGAGAGGGAGGCAAGAAGGGAGAAGAGAGAAGGGAAAGGAAGAGACAGGAGGAAGGGGAGGAGGAAAGGAAAGAGGAAATATTTGTTTTCATCTGGTTAGACACAGTGAGTGCTCCGCATAGACAGATCATTATTGCCCTGTGCATCTGACTCATACCACAGCAGGTACATCAGTCTGAAAAGCACATGTTAAGTGAAGAAACAAGGCATCTCTTTTTTTTTTTTTTTTTTCAGGGATCCAAGAAGAGAGCCTTGCTAGCTGTCTATTTAATTGGCACAGGAAAGAGTTACAGGAACTGTATGCCAGGGAATACATGACTATAAATTCTTTAAAAGCCAAACCTGTGTCTTTGCTTATGTGTCCCACACATTGTCAGCCACATAGTAGGCAGTCAGTATCAACTACTCAAAATGACAAATGACAAATGACCAGAATTTTGTGGCAGACTAGTTTAGCCATGAAAAATCATTTAACACCCGTGGGCCTCAGTTTTCTTGTGCCTTTTCAATAAAGCGCCGAGTAGATGGTATCTACAATCATTTTTCATCTGTAAACCCCAATGAATCCCCAAAATTCAGCCTGAGATGAGCTGGACTAGTTGCCAAATCTATAGATATCTTTAGCTTGGTGTGAAATAGGGTTTTTAGAGAGAAACAGACACCCACTGTGAACTCCTTTGCAGAAAAGGTCTGAATAGAGGGGAAAGTAGGGATGGTATCTCAAACTTACTTCGTAGTGATTTTAAATTAGGAAATTTAGCTTCACATTCTTGTGATAAATTTCTTTTCACCTTGGTTTCTAGAAGATTATTCAAAACATCTATGAGACTATTTGAGAAGTATACTTTTGAGGAATTTCCCCCAAGTTATCTTTACAGATTATATTTTGACACCAACTGCAAATGTAATATCTTTTGCTCAAAAAAAAAACCCAATCCTTCTTATATGGTGCTGACAAAATCAGGCTGGACCTACATTTTTACATCATAGATTTCCAGCCATTATTATCATATCCACATCTTTAGTAAGTACCTATCTGTGTAGTTTTCTGTGATAAATGAACTAAACTAAAACTAAAGCAAAAATGTTGAAAAAAAAATTCCGGGTGTATCTCTGAGTGTTGGGATTGTAAGATTTTATTTTTTTTTTCTCATTTTAAATACTTTCTAAATTTTCTGCAAAGAGAACCATATAATATAATCAGGACAAGTTTTAATATATTTTAAAAAGTAAATCGAACAAACACAATCTCTGCTTTCTAAGAAGTCTTTCATTTTTGTACGTTGGTCATAGACTATGACTATACAATTTATTTGTGATATTTATTAAGAATTTCTGTCTAACCCAAATTATTATATGTAAGCTCTGGAAAAATGATGTCATCTTTGTTTGTAGTGTACAAAGTTCTATAAACAGTTATTTGATCAACTTTGGTATTTCCATCCCTAGATTTATATACAGCAGGTTAGGTTCCGTACATAGGCAGGTTCTGAATAATAAAAACCAACAGTGATATAGCACTCACTTTGTGCCATGCACTGTTCTAAGCGATTTACATACACTTAATTTTTAAAATTGTAGTAAAATACACATAAGTTTACCATTTGAACCATTTTAAAGTGTACAATCGGTAGCATTTAATGCATTCAAAATGATGCACACCCATCACCATTATGTAGCTCCAGAACATTTTCATCACTCCAAAAGGAAACCTCTTACCCATTAGCAGCCACTTCCAATTCCTCCAGCCCCTGGAAACCACTAATTTGTTTTCTACCTCTACAGATTTACCCATTTTAGATATTTCATATAAATGGAATCATATAATAGGTAGCCTTTTGTGTATGGCTTCTTTCACTTAAAATAATGTGTTTAAAGTTCATCCATATTGTAGCGTGTATCAGTATTTCATTCCTTTTATAATAAATGTTATTCCATTGTGTTGGTATATCACATTTTGTTTATCCATCCATCATTTGATGAAAATTTGGGTTGATATATCACATTTTGCTTATCGATCCATCATTTGATTAAAATTTGTGTTGTTTCCACCTTTTGGCTATTGTGAATAGTGCTGCTATAAATATTCCTGTACTAGTTTTGTTTGAACCCACTTTTAATACTCAAAGATGTATAGGGGTAGAATTTCTGGGTCATAGTAATTTTATGTTTAACTTACTAAGGAACTGCTCAACTCTTTTCCACAGGAGCTGCACCTTTTGACCTTTTCACCAGAGTGTATGAGGTGCCAATTTCTCCACAATCTTGCCAGAAATTGTACTTTTTCATTTTTTTAATTATAGCCATTTCAGAGGGTATGAAATGGTTTTTCACTGTGGTTTCTTGCATTTTCCTGATAACTCATGATGCTGAGAATCTTCTCATGTAGTTGTTGGTAACTGCATTTTGCATATCTTTGGAGAAATGTTGGTTCTAGTCCTTCACCCATTTTTAAATCTATTTTTGTCTTTCTGTTGCTAAGTTGTAAGAGTTCTTTCTATGTTCTGGATAAAGAGTCTTATCCGATATACTATTTGCAAATCTTTTCCTTCATTCTGTAGATTTTTGTTTTTACTTTTGATAGTGTCCTTTGATGCACAAATGTTTTTCATTTTCAAGTCCAATTTTTTTTTCTTTTGTTGCTTACGCTTTTGATATCATATCTGAAAATGATTGCCAAATTTAAAGTCATAAAAATTTCTCCCTATGATTTCTTCTAAGAGTTTTGTAGTTCTTCTCTTATATTTAGATCTTTGGTTTATTATCAGTTAATTTTTCTGTATGATGTATGATAAGAGTCCACCTTTATTATTTTGCAGCTGTCCCAGCACCATTTGTTGAAGAGACTATCCTTTGCCCATTGAATGGTCTTGACACCCTTCTTGAAAGTTAATTGGCCATGGATATATGAGTTTATTTCTGGAGTCTCAATTCTATCCGAAGAATATGTCTGTTCTTGGGGCAAAATCACACAGATTTTATTGCTGTTACTTGGTTAGAAGTTTTGAATTCATGAAGTGTGATTCACTGAACTTTGTTCTTCTTCCAGATTGTTTTAGCTATTTAGATCCCTAACAATTTCATAGAAATTTTAGGATTAGGTTTTCCATTCTTGCAAAAAAAAATTATGTGCATTTTAACTTAATCTGTTCAATAATTCTATAAGGTAGAGACTAATCCATGTATAATGATGGAACAAAAATATAGAGATCAAGTTAATTTTGCAAGGTCTCAGGTAGTTGCTAGAGGAATCAGTTTGAGCCTAGGCAGTTCCACTGCAGAATCTGTGCACTTGGAGAATATGTTATGTTGCCTGTACCATACCTAGTGATGTTCCAGGATTGGCTCCGTTACTCTTACAACATTGTCACTCAGTGTTCTGCTTGTGCTTTCACCAAGCTGAAGACTTTAATGAAGGTTGACGGTCTGTCTTCCTCACGTGGTGCAGCTAAGGAACTCTAACTGTGTGGCTGTTATGTTAGCCTTTTGCTCCTTTTTATATGGGCTATAGAAAATGTTTTTAAATTCTGGAGGCCTCCTTTTGATGTTATCACTTATTTCCCAGTCATCATTATATTTTTTAAAACCAAAATAGAAGGAAATAAATACAAAACATAAAACATGAATAGTACAGCTATTTGAGGCAACTGAGAATAGAGATCATGGCACTGAAATTGCATTTTGCTAGGAAAAAGACCACAAAAGTTCTCCCCTTGCTACCTTTCCTGAACTATTCTGCTAGATTCAGACCTCAGAAACATTGTATCAGGAAATACAGAAATGTTCTTTCAAAATGAGTGTATGGGAATATGGGAATGCCTAATAAAATCTGTCTTCATTGATTCGTTAGCAAAAAATCATATAAATCCATAGCTTGTGATTGCAAGCAGATATATTTCAGATCCTTTCTGTGTTTGTTTTTTGCTTTCTTGATCTATCACAATTGGAGAAAACTTAAAATTTCTCAATGGTATTGTATTTTTGCCAATTTCTTATTCTGCTTTATGTTTCTCGTTGCTATATTATTGGGCTAAAATGGTCCATAATTACTTAAGAATCATTGTGAAATATATTGCTTAATGACACAAGTAAATCTTTTTCACTGTTTGTAATGTCTTTGCTCTTAATTCTACTTTGCCTAAGATTAATATGGTTATTCCTGTTTGGTTTTATATGTATTTATTGATTTATTTTGAAGATGGAGTCTCGTTCTGTCGCCCAGGCTGGAGTGCAGTGGCACGATCTCAGCTCACTGCAACCTCTGCCTCCCAGGTTCAAGCAATTCTCCTGCCTCAGCCTCCCAAGTAGCTGAGAATACAGGCGCACACCACCACGCCCAGTTAATTTTTTGTATTTTAGTAGAGACGGGGTTTCACAGTGTTGCCCAGGCTGGTCTCCAACTCCTGAGCTCAGGCAATCCACCTGCCTCGGCCTCCCAAAGTGTTGGGATTACAGGCATGAGCCATTGCACCAGTTGTAACCTATCTCTTTTGACTCAATCTAAAAGTTTCTGTCTTTTAATACAAAACCATAATCCATATGAATTCATTAATTCACAACTGACATTTAGCATCTTATTTCTGTTATCCTATTTCATATTTTATGATTCCTTGTTTCTGCTCTTTTGATATATATACTATGTTTTATTTGCACTTATCCTTTCATGTGTTTCTAAAGTATATAGCCTACTTGAAATTGTCCCATTAGCTAACTTTATGTTTTTGAAAGCATTCTCTCTCAGAATTCCCATTTTAGTGGTTCAGCACA
Source organism: Homo sapiens (assembly GCF_000001405.40). Classification (NCBI taxonomy): domain Eukaryota; kingdom Metazoa; phylum Chordata; class Mammalia; order Primates; family Hominidae; genus Homo; species Homo sapiens. Next base: position 143,897,804 of record NC_000004.12, on the reverse strand, counting down.
CATATAAAGTCTTAGACTTTCTGGAGCTAGATAAGCTGGATAAAGGTGTGCATGAGCCACTGGTCAATGGCTTGTGCAGGCCGTGAGTGCATTTCAGGTATTTCATATGCTATTGATCTGGCAGCCAGGTATTCACATAGGGTATAACCAGGTTCATCAGGCTCAAAACATAATCAAGTATTATTGAGACACTGTTAATGTGCACTACAACTCACAGCACACAGACTCACACACACACTTGTCTGAAATAAAATTCCACAAAATAATACCTTCCCTTATTCTGTGTGATGTACTTTGATATATTCTCTCCTATTTTATACAACTTAATTTTTTTTAGAGACAAGATTTTGCTCTGTGGCCTAAGCTGGACTGCAACGGCACAGTCATAACTTACTTCAGTCTTGAACTGCTGGATTCAAGTGATTCTCCAGCTTCTGCCTCTCAAGTAGCTGAGACTTCAGGTGTGCTCAACCACACCTGACTAATTTTTTTGTTATTTAATTTGTAAATACGGGGTCTTCTTATGTTGCCCAGGGTGGTCTCGAGCTCCTGGCCTCAAGCAATCCTCCTGCCTTGGCCTCCCAAAGCACTGGGGTTACAGGCACGACCCACCACACCTAGAATACAACTTAATTTTTTTTATTATTATTATACTGTAAGCTTTAGGGTACATGTGCACAATGTGCCGGTTAGTTACATATGTATACATGTGCCATGCTGGTGTGCTGCACCCATTAACTCGTCATTTAGCATTAGGTATATCTCTTAATGCTATCCCTCCCCCCTGCCCCCACCCCACAACAGTCCCCAGAGTGTGATGTTCCCCTTCCTGTGTCCATGTGTTCTCATTGTTCAGTTCCCATCTATGAGTGAGAACATGCGGTGTTTGGTTTTTTGTCCTTGCGATAGTTTGCTGAGAATGATGATTTCCAGTTTCATCCATGTCCCTACAAAGGACATGAACTCATCCTTTTTTATGGCCGCATATTATTCCATGGTGTATATGTGCCACATTTTCTTAATCCAGTCTATCATTGTTGGACATTTGGGTTGGTTCCAAGTCTCTGCTATTGTGAATAGTGCCGCAATAAACATACATGTGCATGTGTCTTTATAGCAGCATGATTTATAGTCCTTTGGGTATATACCCAGTAATGGGATGGCTGGGTCAAATGGTATTTCTAGTTGTAGATCCCTGAGGAATCGCCACACTGACTTCCACAATGGTTGAACTAGTTTACAGTCCCACCAACAATGTAAAAGTGTTCCTATTTCTCCACATCCTCTCCAGCACCTGTTGTTTCCTGACTTTTAATGATTGCCATTCTAACTGGTGTGAGATGGTATCTCATTGTGGTTTTGATTTGCATTTCTCTGATGGCCAGTGATGATGAGCATTTTTTCATGTGTCTTTTGGCTGCATAAATGTCTTCTTTTGAGAAGTATCTGTTCATATCCTTTGCCCACTTTTTGATGGGGTTGTTTGTTTTTTTCTTGTAAATTTGTTTGAGTTCATTGTAGATTCTGGATATTAGCCCTTTGTCAGATGAGTAGGTTGCAAAAATGTTCTCCCATTCTGTAGGTTGCCTGTTCACTCTGATGGTAGTTTCTTTTGCTGTGCAGAAGCTCTTTAGTTTAATTAGATCCCATTTGTCAATTTTGGCTTCTGTTGCCATTGCTTTTGGTGTTTTAGACATGAAGTCCTTGCCCATTCCTATGTCCTGAATGGTAATGCCTAGGTTTTCTTCTAGGGTTTTTATGGTTTTAGGTCTAACGTTTAAGTCTTTAATCCATCTTGAATTAATTTTTGTATAAAGTGTAAGGAAGGGATCCAGTTTCAGCTTTCTACATATGGCTAGCCAGTTTTCCCAGCACCATTTATTAAATAGGGAATCCTTTCCCCATTGCTTGTTTTTCTCAGGTTTGTCAAAGATCAGAGAGTTGTAGATGTGCGGCGTTATTTCTGAGGGCTCTGTTCTGTTCCATTGATCTATATCTCTGTTTTGGTACCAGTACCATGCTGTTTTGGTTACTGTAGCCTTGTAGTATAGTTTGAAGCCAGGTAGCGTGATGCCTCCAGCTTTGTTCTTTTGGCTTAGGATTGACTTGGCAATGCGGGCTCTTTTTTGGTTCCATATGAACTTTAAAGTAGTTTTTTCAAATTCTGTGAAGAAAGTCATTGGTAGCTTGATGGGGATGGCATTGAATCTATAAATTTCCTTGGGCAGTATGGCCATTTTCACGATATTGATTCTTCCTACCCATGAGCATGGAATGTTCTTCCATTTGTTTGTATCCTCTTTTATTTCATTGAGCAGTGGTTTGTAGTTCTCCTTGAAGAGGTCCTTAACATCCCTTGTAAGTTGGATTCCTAGGTATTTGATTCTCTTTGAAGCAATTGTGAATGGGATTTCACTCATGATTTGGCTCTCTGTTTGTCTGTTATTGTTGTATAAGAATGCTTGTGATTTTTGTACCTTGATTTTCTATCCTGAGACTTTGCTGAAGTTGCTTATCAGCTTAAGGAGATTTTGGGCCAAGACAATGGGGTTTTCTAGATATACAATCATGTCGTCTGTGAACAGGGACAATTTGACTTCCTCTTTTCCTAATTGAATACCCTTTATTTCGTTCTCCTGCCTAATTGCCCTGGCCAGAACTTCCAATACTATGTTGAATAGGAGTGGTGAGAGAGGGCATCCCTGTCTTGTGCCAGTTTTCAAAGGGAATGCTTCCAGTTTTTGCCCATTCAGTATGATATTGGCTGTGGGTTTGTCATAGATTGCTGTTATTATTTTGAGATACATCCCATCAATACCTAATTTATGGAGAGTTTTTAGCATGAAAGAGTTGTTGAATTTTGTCAAAGGCCTTTTCTGCATCTATTGAGATAATCATGTGGTTTTTGTCTTTGGTTCTGTTTATATGCTGGATTACATTTATTGATTTGCGTATATTGAACCAGCCTTGCATCCCAGGGATGAAGCCCACTTGATCATGGTGGATAAGCTTTTTGATGTGCTGCTGGATTCGGTTTGCCAGGATTTTATTGAGGATTTTTGCATCAATGTTCATCAAGGATATTGGTCTAAAATTCTCTTTTTTGGTTGTGTCTCTGCCCGGCTCTGGTACCAGGATGATGCTGGCCTCATAAAATGAGTTAGGGAGGATTCCCTCTTTTTCTATTGATTGGAATAGTTTCAGAAGGAATGGTACCAGTTCCTCTGGAGTGGACCTCTAGCAAACTCCGACAGACCTGCAGCTGAGGGTCCTATGTGTTAGAAGGAAAACTAACAAATAGAAAGGACATCCACACCAAAAACCCATCTGTACATCACCATCATCAAAGACCAAAAGTAGATAAAACCACAAAGATGGGGAAAAAACAGAGCAGAAAAACTGGAAACTCTAAAAAGCAGAGCACCTCTCCTCCTCCAAAGGAACACAGTTCCTCTCGAGCAACGGAACAAAGCTGGACGGATAATGACTTTGACGAATTGAGAGAAGAAGGCTTCAGACGATCAAACTACTCCAAGCTACAGGAGGAAATTCAAACCAAAGGCACAGAAGTTGAAAACTTTGAAAAAAGTTTAGACGAATGTATAACTAGAATAACCAATACAGAGAAGTGCTTAAAGGAGCTGATGGAGTTGAAAGCCAAGCCTCGAGAACTACGTGAATAATGCAGAAGCCTCAGGAGCCAATGTGATCAACTGGAAGAAAGGGTATCAGTGATGGAAGATGAAATGAATGAAATGAAGCGAGAAGGGAAGTTTAGAGAAAAAAGAATAAAAAGAAATGAACAAAGCCTCCAAGAAATATGGGATATGTGAAAAGACCAAATCTGCATCTTATTGGTGTACCTGAAAGTGATGGGGAGAATGGAAACAAGTTGGAAAACACTCTGCAGGATATTATCCAGGAGAACTTCCCCAGTCTAGCAAGGCAGGCCAACATTCAGATTCAGGAAATACAGAGAACGCCACAAAGATACTCCTCGAGAAAAGCAACTCCAAGACACGTAATTGTCAGATTCACCAAAGTTGAAATGAAGGAAAAAATGCTAAGGGCAGCCAGAGAGACAGGTCGGGTTACCCACAAAGGGAAGCCCATGAGACTAAGAGCAGATCTCTCGGCAGAAACTCTACAAGCCAGAAGAGAGCGGGGGCCAATATTCAACATTCTTAAAGAAAAGAATTTTCAATCCAGAATTTCATATACAGCCAAACTAAGCTTCATAAGTGAAGGAGATATAAAATACTTTACAGACAAGCAAATGCTGAGAGATTTTGTCACCACCAGGCCTGCCCTAAAAGAGCTCCTGAAGGAAGCACTAAACATGGAAAGGCACATCCGGTAACAGCCGCTGCAAAATCATGCCAAAATGTAAGGACCATCGAGATTAGGAAGAAACTGCATCAACTAATGAGCAAAATCACCAGCTAACATCATAATGACAGGATCAAATTCACACATAACAATATTAACTTTAAATGTAAATGGACTAAATGCTCCAATTAAAAGACACAGACTGGCAAATTGGATAAAGAGTCAAGACCCACCAGTGTGCTGTATTCAGGAAACCCATCTCATGTGCAGAGACACACATAGGCTCAAAATAAAAGGATGGAGGAAGATCTACCAAGCAAATGGAAAACAAAAAAAGGCAGGGGTTGAAATCCTAGTCTCTGATAAAACAGACTTTAAACCAACAAAGATCAAAAGAGACAAAGAAGGCCATTACATAATGGTAAAGGGATCAATTCAACAAGAAGAGCTAACTATCCTAAATATATATGCACCCAATACAGGAGCACCCAGATTCATAAAGCAAGTCCTGAGTGACCTACAAAGAGACTTAGACTCCCACACAATAATAGTGGGAGACTTTAACACCCCACTGTCAACATTAGACAGATCAATGAGACAGAAAGTTAACAAGGATACCCAGGAATTGAACTCAGCTCTGCACCAAGTGGACCTAATAGACATCTACAGAACTCTCCACCCCAAATCAACAGAATATACACTTTTTTCAGCACCACACCACACCTATTCCAAAACTGACCACATAGTTGGAAGTAAAGCTCTCCTCAGCAAATGTAAAAGAACAGAAATTATAACAAACTGTCTCTCAGACCACAGTGCAATCAAACTAGAACTCAGGATTAAGAGACTCACTCAAAACCGCTCAACTACATGGAAACTGAACAACCTGCTCCTGAATGACTACTGGGTACATAACGAAATGAAGGCAGAAATAAAGATGTTCTTTGAAACCAATGAGAACAAAGACACAACATACCAGAATCTCTGGGACACATTCAAAGCTGTGTGTAGAGGGAAATTTATAGCACTAAATGCCCACAAGAGAAAGCAGGAAAGATCCAAAATTGACACCCTAACATCACAATTAAAAGAACTAGAAAAGCAAGAGCAAACACATTCAAAAGCTAGCAGAAGGCAAGAAATAACTAAAATCAGAGCAGAACTGAAGGAAATAGAGACACAAAAAACCCTTCAAAAAATTAATGAACCCAGGAGCTGGTTTTTTGAAAAGATCAACAAAATTGATAGACCGCTAGCAAGACTAATAAAGAAAAAAAGAGAGAAGAATCAAATAGATGCAATAAAAATGATAAAGGGGATATCACCACCGATCCCACAGAAATACAAACTACCATCAGACAATACTACAAACACCTCTACGCAAATAAACTAGAAAATCTAGAAGAAATGGATAGATTCCTTGACACATACACTCTCCCAAGACTAAACCAGGAAGAAGTTGAATCTCTGAATGGACCAATAACAGGCTCTGAAATTGTGGCAATAATCAATAGCTTACCAACCAAAAAGAGTCCAGGACCAGATGGATTCACAGCCGAATTCTACCAGAGGTACAAGGAGGAACTTAAATTTTTAGTGCCAGTGACAACCCACTGGACTGATTTCATAGCCCATTACTAGAGGAATGCACCATCTTGACTGCAGGTTTGAATTTTCTCAGAGAATCTCTGTAGCACTGTTGATTGGGTTTCACATCCAAAGATTCTAGTTATGCTAATACAGGGGCCAAGCAAACTATAGCCTGTGAACGGCCGGCACCCTAGTTTTGTATACCTTACAAGTTACAAATGATTTTTACTTTTTTAAGTACTTAAAAAAATCAAAATAGGCCAGGTGCAGTGGTTCAAGCTTGTAATCCCCTCACTTTGGGAAGCTGAGGCGGGTGGATCATGAGGTCAGGAGATCAAGATCGTCCTGGCTAACACAGTGAAACCCCATCTCTACTAAAAATACAAAAAATTAGTCAGGCTTGGTGGCGGGCACCTGTAGTCCCAGCTACTTGGGAGGCTGAGGCAGGAGAATGGAGTGAACCCGGGAGGCGGAGCTTGCAGTCAGCCGAGATCAGGCCACTGCACTCCAGCTTGGGCGACAGAGCAAGCCTCTGTCTCAAAAAAAAAAAAAAAAAGAAACAAAAAAAATCAAAATAATAATAATAACATGTGGATATTATACGAAATTCAAATTCTACTGCCCACAAATCATTACTGGAACATAGTCATACTCGTTTATTTATGCTTTGGTTTACATATTGTCTGTAGCTGCTTTTGCACAGTGACAGAGTTGAATATTTGTAGTAGATGGTCCACAAAGCCTAAAGTAGTTATGGCCCACAAATCCTAAAGTAGTTACTCCCTCTCCCTTTACATAAGAAGTTTACTAATACTTGTACTAAGGGCTCTCAACAGACAATTTGAAAAACTTAAGTTTTAGACTAAAGATTTCCAATCTAAATTCCTGTGGAGCTTTCTGAAGCTGCCAGGTAGAGATGGGAACAGGTTGTGAGGCTGCAGGCCAAACACTCAGGCCAACTTCCACCAAGCAGTTCAACTCTGTCTGTTTCACACACTGATGAGCTTATCCTTGGAAAGTGATTAAAGTAAAATTAAATGCGAATTGAGGGAGGAAGTGAGGGAGACTGTGGCTCTAAAACAAAACCCTAAGAAACACCAACATTTAAGATGGCAAATGATGTTATTTCTAAAGTCGTTCAGGCTAATATCCCATACTGTAGCTGTTCACTTTATAGATAAAGGTGACACTAGAACCATAGACAATGTAAGAATGGACCTTGAAACTCAGGAAGATGAAGTTTACATATATTAATCTATATTACCAACTGGAGCAGTTGTTTTCGCCGCTGGCCGCACATCAGAATCCAATGCCTGGATATCACAGATGATTCTACCATGCAGTCAAGGATGAGAACAAACTAGTTTCATTTCTGCAATTTTGTATTGTTCAACCAGAGAAAGGAAGTACCAGTGGTGTGAGAACTTTGGGATAAAGTTTTTGTTTTCAATTGAAATTATTTTCATTCAGCCCAACTTCCTTAAGCCCAAATTTAATGTGTGTGAAGTTCAGCTACAGAAATACCAAACCTTAGACTAAAGCGGACACAGGTAAAATATGTGAAATCCTCTTTTGTTCTGAGGATTCTTTAGTAGGCAGGAGTGACCAGATTGGAATATGCTTGGCTGGAAAAATTAAGATTCAAGTTAACAAACTGTTAATAACCAGAACCATCTGTTCTTCCGTAATGTGGATTTGCCACTGCAGGTCACCCTACAATGCTATGTTAGAGGTACAACACTCCTACCCTCAGGCTATAAACAAGGTGAATTATCATCTTTATATCTCTTCATTTAGCCCTGATTTGCTGAAGTGAAGGCTTGCTTGAGAATTGGTTGCATTATAATTTGGTGAGAATTTAATCTCTCAATGACAACTTACTTGATTCTCTCATTCTCTTTCTGCTACATAGATCACAGTAGACCTTGGCAGACAGTTCTGTAGTTACACAGGTCTGAATTCAAAATCCAGCTCTGCCACTTGGCTGCTGTGTGAACTTAAGCAAGTCGGGCAATGTTTCTGATGTTTTTTTTTCCTCCTCCACAAAGAATAATTAATATATAACAATAGGGTCTCAGCTAGTTGTTTTAAAAATGGTTAGAGAGATGTGTGGAATGAAGTAAGTGTGCAGTAAGTGTTAACTACAAATATTATTATCTTAGACATACAGATTTCCATGATTCATGAATGGTGAAGCATCTTAGAAGACATCCATTCCAGGCCAGGCATGGCGGTGCGCACCTATAGTCCCAGTTGCTCAGTAGAATGAGGCAGGAGAATTGCTTGAGCCTAGGAGTTTGAGGCTAGTATGGGCAATATGGTGAGACCCTATCTCAAGAAAAAAGCAAAACTTTTTTTAAAGTTTAAAAAGAGAGACATCTGTTCCACTACTCTCATCTTAGAGGCCAGAAAACTGAGGCTCAGATAATTTCAGAGACTTTCACAGATCCCCCAACCATTTGGTGGCAAAGCCAGGAATAGAACTCTGCTCTCCTTTCCCACTGGGACAGTGGACAGAAATTCATCTTGATTTCCATCTGTCCAGGCTGAAGAATGTGCACTGGCTGGAATGACAGAGTGACCAATTTTTTTCTCCACCTCTGCTGTCTCAGCAATGGTTTGGGACAGTGTGGATGACCAGAAGCTGGATAGTACAGAGCGAGGCTAAAAAGTTCAGGCTTCCTGAAGGGAAGCTGCAGTCCTCCTAGGCCACAACACCTTCGAGATAGAATAAATACAGCACCCTTCTCTACCAAGTTAGGAAAGGAAGAAGTGTTACCAATTAGTTGTATGGGGACTGCCAAAGCACGCCATTCTGAAGATGAGCAGAAACTGGCTCATTCCATTTGGCACCTAGCACACTAACTGCACCAGTTAATAGGCCACGCTTTTCTCCAGAGCCATTGGCTGAAGAGTTCAAATAAAAAGTATTGAGAATAGGCTATCCAAAACAGTAGGCTCAGATGCTATCACACAAAGCACTTTATCCTTAAGTTCAATTTTTCTAAATTGTAGTTGGCTGCTTTGGCTTAATAAAAACCTTCCAAAAAAGAAAAATGAATGGCCACAGACAGTATGGGTATCTAACTATATTATCACAACTTGACCAAGATTGAACGTGCCAATCCTTTGGTTCAAGAGCCAAACAAAATCGTTCCCTTAAAATATTGCTTCATGGGAACAGTCTTCTTCAAACATCTTTTAGCACAGGCAAGATTCCCATTTATACGTTAATTCTGTCCAAGACAATGAGATTGGGCAGAAAAGGCATTGAGTTGGAAGTCAATGGATATGAGTTTTTGTCCCAGTTTTACCACAAATTAGCTGAGCATAACTTCCACAGATGCATTTATCAAGTAGTTTTCATGGTCATTGCAATGCCAAAAAACTGTAGCATTTAGAAAATTTAGTTTTCAGACTTGGAAACTATTTAAGGCATTTCATATGAAGGGTGTGTCCTTGTAAGAGTTTGCTTATGCAAGATAAGGCTTCTTTCAGCTGCAAGTCAGGAGCGAACCAAAACTCAAAGCAGCAGCTGCATGAGCTGACTTTATCACATCTTGACAAGAGCTCAGCCACTGGAAGTTTTGGCATACAGCGAAACTGAAGCGTACTTATACAATATCACACTTTATTTTTATTGTTTCTAATAGCATTCCAGGTTAGAAATGTCAATTATTTGGGAAAGCTGAGTGGTCTGGTAGATAAAGCATGCAGCAGAGAGCTAGGAGGCTGGCTATTTCCAGTCGTTATCCTAACATGTCTTGGGCCCCCAAGTCACCCCACCTCCATGGTACAATGGGAACTGTGGCAGAAGTCCACGCTCTCTCCCCCAACACATGGGGATAAGAGACAAGAGAGGTGAAATGTTCTGGAACATATCCGATGTTATACAAGTATAAGCTGTGAGATGATCCAAACGCAAATATTGAATATTTCATTTTCTAGAAAGTATACCAATTCATTCCACCCTTCTCAAACCTAAATTACAGAATTCAATTCAGGTCACACAGATTTACTTTGTACTAAGTACCATAGCAAATGCCATTTCAGTGCCTGAAAACTGAAAAACATAAATTTAAAGTAGGAGTTTGAGGCCTCACTAATATGACAAAACATACCTTTATATTTTATTTTGCACTAATTTGCCACTTAATCATTAAACTCTTATCAATCTGAGAGATTTGCCAACACTTGCCTGCTAGGTGCCCTAAGCCTCCACATCAATGCATGTTATACTCCCCTTTCTCCATATGTTAGGCCCATGCTATTTCTTTATCCCTCCTCCTCTGCATCTTCACCTAAAACTCTGCCCATCCTTCAGGGTTCATCCAGTGATTCATTTGCAAGTAGGCATGGGGTAAGGTCTTCAGAGTATGTTTCTCAGAGGCCCATGCAGCTAAGAAAATGTGCAGTGTTGGCACAAGGTCTGTCTATTCCTGGGTAGCCAGATGCTGGACACATCTTTCATAACACCACAAGGTAAATATACTTCACTTGTAGAGAGAGGTGAAATTTTGCAGGTATAGACTGGATGTGTTCCTGCCAGAAGATGTGAAGGGATTAAGAAACTGACTCTCATCTCCGTATTGCTAGAGCAAAACATAATTTCTCATAGTGGCTATAGTATAAGGACACTGAGGGGTAAGAGATATAATCTAAGTAATACAATAAATTAGTGTGGAAAAATCATCAAAATGAAGACTACATGGTTTTTACTAAAATTCTAGCTTTTAGGATGTCCAGGGAGCTCAGGAATTTAGCTGTCCTTTTTTGTATGTACAATATGCCCCAATGCTTGCTGACTAATGTACTAAAACATTAGAGAAATCTTGCTGACAAGATCTCAACCAGTCAGCGAGATCCGGAAGGTGAGACTAATATTGAGGGCCAGCAGAATTAAGTCTCAGTTCTGCTGCTTACCAGATATGCTGATCTGAGCTAGTCATTTAATTTTTATGAGACCAAATGTCTATCTGTAAAGTCGGCAATTTGGATTAGATGTGCTGCAAGTGGTTTTCTAGCTTAAATGTACCTTCTGAATTCAACAGGACAATACTTAAACTGACCTTTAATCTAGGAATGACACAAGTAGATTTTTGAAAGCTACTTTAGCTACAGAAAGCTGAGAGCACCAAAGGCAAAGAGATAAAAATAACAGGAGAGCCTTCCCTTAATCCAGTCCCTAAGCAGTTTTGGCAAACTAAAGTTTGTTGTTCAATGGTTACGAGTTTGCTTCAATGCTTTCTACCCAGTTTACTGAACTAAATAGTATATAGCTATAGTAAAAAGTCCTATTCAAAAACCATCTTCTCACAGATATTTTGCAGCTTTGCAGAATTGAATATGTCCACAGACGTCTATTAGCTGGTTAGGGTCTTAGGAATCTAGGAGAGCCAAGTAGTTGTGTGAGCTGTTGTTATCAAATGTAGTTTTGAACATTCTTGGTGATTTTAAGGGATCATATTGTGGAAATTTGGTTTCCTTACCTTGAATTTTGAATGAAGCTTTAGAATTTGAGGATGTTTCTTTGGTTTCTCCTTCCAGGTAAGTGATTTTTTTTTTTCAACCAGATGCTGGTTTATTTAATTTGAAGGTATTGATGAAATTCTTTAAATTGCCCCCATGTGATTCTACTCTGGAATAACTACGAAATTATTTAAAAGTTAATTAATACAAGAAAATATGAAAACTCATTTTTATGGGAGCTATTGTTCCTTCAAGATGACACTGTTTTGTAAACTATAGACTTCCAGTAACAAGCCTCTGTGCCTTCTTCTTACCACTAAGCATGCATGGGTATTAATTCCTACTGAAAGACTTATGCTATCTTTTTTCCAGAAATGGAAGAAAAATGAACTATGAAAAAGGTCATTTTATAGGTCAGCTACCATTATGAGATTGTTGAGGAAATGATATAAAAAACAATTTTTATCAAATTATCTTTAGGGAATTTATATGTTTATTTTCTTACTATGTTGACTTAGGTGACTATAAGAAGTTGTATCAGAGCAACTGATTCTGGTGAATTAAAGCAAGTATTTCTAAGAACATAAGTGGCAACTTTCAGTCTCAAATCAATTTGGCCACCAATCAGTTTTTGTAAGGGTACAAATAGGACATAACATGCTCAGATGGGACTTGGATAAAGTGTATACAATTTTACATCGAGGAAATTGTGTCAATGTGTTACCTTCAATGTTAGAAATTCCCAAGTTCTGACAATAGTTCAGAGCCTTGTTAAAAGCCAGAGTGGAGGCATGTAGATCCAGCTGGAAAGAGAGGCATTATGGTCTAAGTTAGGACAAATTTTAAAGCCAGTGTTAGGGTCTGAGTCCAGCTTTGTATACTTGAGTACAGTGTTTGATCTCTGGGGTTTCAGCCTTCACTTCAGAACAAAATTTCCACCAAGTGCTCTTTTACTGTGAGCAGTAGCTGTTGAAGAAGAAAGAAACTGTTGAAGAAGAAAGAAGTCTACCTATTTGCTAGAGTGTTAAAATTGTTTTGATAAAGCTCAAAACTTATCTAAATAAGCTCTCTCTCCCTAAGCATGTTTTCATTTTTATAAAACAGTTACATATACTTTGCTTAAAAATTTAAAATACTTTTCACCTCCTCTGACTTCATTTAAAATTAAAATAATTAAAGTGCCAATTTTAAGAGATGTTAGCTCCCATTATTGGTTCTTTGCCATATTCTTTTGACAATCTGCTGTAATTTTCTGCCCCCTTTAAAGCCTCAGGCTATAGGGCTTCTCCACCAAAGGAATGTTAAGAAGTGATAAGGACCTTCTGTGAGCAGAAGTGGCTTGTTTGCAAAGGGACTGCTTATCTTGGCCACTCTTGAACACAAGATGGGACCCTCTACTGCAAAGCTCTGGCATGTTTTTTTTTCCCCTAAGTTATCCTCCATACTACTGACAGTGATTTTCCCTAAATAAAAAACTGCTTCAAACCATTCATTCTCTTTCCACTGCCTTAAAGATAAAGTCCAAATTCTAGAACATGGCCCACAGCATTTGGTGCCTCACCACCTCTTCAACCTCTCATTTGCTGTTCACCCATTTCTGTATTCCTCTCCTTCTCACACCTTGTGCTGCAGCCACATAGATAACTTGCAGTTTTTGTAACGTGCAATGATGTCTCAAATTCCAAGGCATTGCTGGTACCACACAGCCTGCCTGGTAAAATCCTAGACTTCTTTCAAGATAAATTCAAAGACACCTCCATGAGGTCTTTCTACCTCTCCAAGTAGAGTTGACCGCTGTCTCCTTTGTGTCCCCACTTCCACCACCATCCTAAAATACTTATTATACTTAGATTAATAATTGTCGCTCTTACTGCACTGGAATTACCCTGAAAGGAAAGGCCATGTATTATTTATCATTGTCTTCCTAGTACATAGCCCACAGCCTATACCTCCCACCCCAAAAAAAACCTTTTGTAAATAATTGAACAAATTAAGAAACACCCAAGGCCCCCAGTAAACATCAAGGCCTAAGGAATGCATATCTGGATTCTAAATAATCATAAGGTTTTACAACACCATGTTAAGCACCAGGGACTTCAGAGAGCTTTTAGTCTAAATCTTATTAGAGAGGCCAGCAAAGACCTCCAAAGGAAGTGGCATTGAACTGAGACTTGAAAAGCCAGTAGTTAGGCAAAGATAGGGAGGGAAATATTTCAGACAAAGGGAGGAGATGGCACAAGATTTAGGACACGGAAAAGGGTATGGTGCAGTCATAGAGAAAACAGATGTGCAGAATGGCTGGAGCCCCAAGAGGGAAGGGAAGGGCGAAGCAATGAAGATGTGAGGCAAGCAGGACTGGACCATGCAGAGTCTTGCAGGTGTTCACAAAGAAAATTGCAGCACCCTCCCATAGACTGAAAACACCTCTCTACCTGAACCCCTGGAATTCTGACTCAGGTAGTCCCTAACATCCTGCTGAACAGTTAGGAAACTTGGAGGAATATGTATATTTGTACTCAGTCAAAACTACTAGATGGCATTTACAGACTATGTTTTGTGTATTTTTATTTTTTACTTTTTGTTTTTTTTTCTTATGTTAGCAAAAGTATGCTTGCTATTGAAATGTTGAAAATATTTCATTGGTCTTAAAATGATGCTTATTTTTCCAGATGCTTGCATTCATTCTGCATGTGCTATTTTGTCATTTGGTTTAATTTATTAAACAATTTTATTAATTAAATTTATTAATTATAAATTAATTTATAATTAATTACATGTTATTATTAATTATAAATTTATAATTAATTACATGTTATTATTAATTATTAATTCATAATTAATTACATGTTATTAATAATTATAAATTAATTTATAATTAATTACATGTTATTATTAATTATAAATTAATTTATAATTAATTACATGTTATTATTAATTATAAATTAAATTTATTATTTAAATTATTATGTTCCCATTCAGATGCAATCTGAAAACCCATTTCTTCTCACACTGCTATATAGAAATAACTGAGACTGGGTAATTTATAAAGAAAAGAGGTTTAATTGCCTCATGGTTCTGCAGGCTATACAAGAAGCATAGTGCTTCTGCTTCTGGGGAGGCCTCAGGAAACAATCATGGCAAAAGACGAAGGGAAAGTAGGCACGTCTTACATGCCTGGAACAAGAGCAAGAGAGAGAGTCGGGAGAGAGAGCCTTGGAGCAGGAGCAAGAGAGAGTGGGGAGGTGCCACACACTTTTAAACAACCAGATCTTATGAGAAATTACTATGTCCACGACAGCATCAAGGGGGATGATGTTAAGCCATGAGAAACCAGCCCCATGATTCAATTACCTCCCACCAGGCTCCACCTCCAACATTGGGGATTACATTTCCACATGAGATTTGGATGATGACACAGATCCAAACCATACCACTCACCTAATTCTTTCTCCATAAGAATTTGTCCAAGCATTTATAACAATTAACATTTCATTTAACATCTTTTATGAATAAAGCACTATTCTCATGCTGAGAAAATTCAAAATAATGGGATATGGAAGTCTTAGGAACAAGTTTTATGTTTCAGAAGAGCCCATTTTGTATCCACAGGGATAAGAAATGTGCACCCTAAATGTAAGTGGATTACACTGAACTGAAAGGTGTAAAGAAGGAGTGGAGGATTAAAAGGAGAAGCATGGAGAGGATGAAAGTTAGAAATGGAAGTGACAAGCACACCTGAGTGAAGGATGAGAGCTCCAGCTGCCTTTTCCAGTTGTATTCCCATGTAGCTGAGCCAAAGGCTGATCTCAAGTTTATTGTTACATGCCCATTTAAGGCTTCTGGCCATTAACACTTTTGATTTTTTTTGGCTTGTTATTTTATTAGCTATTTTCATAACACTTTCATAGCTAAACCTATTTTACTCAGGTTGTATGCCTTTTCAAAAATACAATAGATGGTCCATATTCCATTATCTACAAATAAGCCGAAGCTCATATCTAACATTTATTAAGAGAGATGGATTATTTTTGTTCATTAGTTATCTTTGTAAATAATTTTTACATACTTTAATTGACTCATAAAGATGTTTCTTTCTGTAATTTTAATATTTGTTGAACTTCAAAATCCCTATCACAAGGTTATTGTTTAAAAGCATTGGTTTTTATATTATCTTAAAAGCCATTATACCTGAATGCTGAACAACTTAGAAACATTCAGTAATTGTTTTGCATGCTATTTAGTGAATTCATATGGCAATCGTTTATACACACATGATGGAATCAGGTGGCAGGCCAAGTTAAAGAGCAAGGCCAGAAAAGAACTTAAAAGAGAAGAGAAAACATAGACAGTTTAGGAACAATAGATCATGTCTTCTCCATGATTTGGAGGTAAACTGATTACCTATCAGCTGATAAATAGAGAAAGGTTTTAGAACTCTTTCCTTGAGTAGACTAATGAGAGGTGTCAGAGAAGATGTTTTCTGTTGTTTGTGTGCTCTCCAGGAAACTTTGAGCATTCAGCTGAGGGGCCAAGTTGGCTGCCTCTGAGGAGAAGCCCTTCCACCTCCACTCCATTGCACTTGGGTGCCATTCCCCTCATTTGAATATCTCAAAGAGATGAGCAAAGGTACATCTACAGAGTTCAGGGTACTGACGTTTATCATAATGATTTATAACTCTCAGAAGAGTGAAAAACACATGAATGCACAGAATAGAAGATTGAAAAATAAACCACAGAACATTCATATAATGGAATACTTTGCAGTCATAAAAATCTTCTCATAGAAGAATATTTGACAGCATAGGGATATCTGTGGCATATTAAGTAGAAAGTCAGACTTGTAAACATTATATACATATTCATATATATTTAAACACCATGATCCCATATTTAGATATAACAACTAAAAGTTCAGATGGCTATATATCAAAATGTGTCAAATGTTCAACCTTGCATAGGCTGACTGTAGATGAATTTTATATTATTCTTTGTGCTTTCTTGTAGTTCCCAAATTTTCTTTATTGAATCTATATTACTTTTGCAATTTAAAGAATTTAATTTATAAAATTTTATAAAATAACTTATAAATTTGAAATGTATTGCATTTAAGAATAAAAAGTGTTTAATTACAGAAATAATTCACAATTTATTTAATGAGATTTTAAAAGGATATATATGAGTCTACATTCTGATTTCATGTTTGCGTGCGTGGTTTTTTTTTTTTTTGAGACGGAGTCTCGTTCTGTCACCCAGGCTGGAGTGTGCAGTGGTGTGATCTCAGCTCACTGCAAGCTCTGCCTCCTGGGTTCATGCAATGTAATAGTGTTTTATTATTGTTTCCATTTTTATTGAAGAAGTAAGATTGTCCCTAGCAGATGGAGACACTGAGATATGGGACAGAAGTTTTGTTCTATATAATTATTATGCGCTTCCACCTTTCTTAGCATAGACAGTTTCCAAAATGCAACTTCAAGTTACCCCTTTATAAGCATAATAACAATAATACCCAACATACATGTAATGCTCTTTATGTGCCAAGTACTATACTAACACATGCACATCACATACACACACACCACATACACATATTTAAACTAATTTCATTCTCACAATGACATTTTGAGGCAAGTATTATTATTGTACAGATGAGAAAACCAAGGCACACTTTATCTGTAAACCTCTGCCATGCAGAAATTCTGGAGGGGCTTCTGGCCCCTTAATTTTAAAATAAGGCCAATAATACAATACTTACCACACAGCAATTCTCTAAAGATTATGTAAGATATATACCAAAGCGCTTAGCTCAGGGACTGGAGGGATGTGAGGGAATTTGTCTTTTGTGATATGCTTTATGGTCCGCTCAGTCACCTCGTTCTTAATCCCTTTCTCAACTTCTATTTTATACAGGAATTGTGAGCATATCAGCATCAAGTACCACTGGTGTGGCAATGCACACTTCAACCTCTTCTTCAGTCACAAAGAGTTACATCTCATCACAGACAAATGGTTTGTTTTCATTTTTATTTTTAAATTGTGGCTCCGAAATCGTTTTTGTGATGCAACCCTATTTTAGGGGACCTGTCACTGCAGAGAAACTGACAAACACTGAGAAATGCGAGCTAAGTAGACACAGCCTACTAAGTAGACACAATTCCTACTACAGAGGAATTCTTGCCTCTGAAATATCTCACAGAAATAATACTGTGAGTTAAAGAAATTAAAACAATGTGGCAAAGCACAGAAATGATGCACGTGACCATGAAATAGTGGGCCAGATAAAGGGGACCTAATAGTGCGGTGGTGCGGAGGGTCTGTGGGCAAAATGAGTTCAGCTCAGACCCGGGCTCAGCTCTATGCCAGCTGCTGACCCAGGGTGAGTTGCCCTGCAGGGTTTCTATCCCATTAATTTTAAAATGGGGCCAATAACACAGTACTTATCTCACAGCATTTCTCTAAAGGCTAAATAAGAAGAAGTGTCTAAAAGTTATTAGCTCAGAGCCTCACACATTCTCAGTGACTGATAAACAATAAGC
This sequence comes from Homo sapiens, assembly GCF_000001405.40. Classification (NCBI taxonomy): domain Eukaryota; kingdom Metazoa; phylum Chordata; class Mammalia; order Primates; family Hominidae; genus Homo; species Homo sapiens. The sequence continues at coordinate 143,879,883 of NC_000004.12, read as the reverse complement.
AAAGCTGGGTGCTGAGATAAGAGTAATCTGGTGGCAGTCTCTCTTGTTAGTTTTCAGGGGAGAAGAAGAAATTCTGGAGCTGCTGCTGGGAGGGATGTGGGAGATTTGTCTTTCATGATACACTTTATGTCCACGCAGTCACCTCATTCTTGTTCCCTTTCTCAACTTCTCTTATATGCAGATAAGCACAAACGGGACACATATCCAGCTCATAGTGTTAATGAAGTTTCAGAAAATTCTGTTACAACTGTTTACCCTCCAGAAGAGGAAAATGATATGTTCTTAGTTTTAAATAGTTGCTCTGGAGTCATTGTTGTGATTGAACTCTGTTTACACGAGCTGTAACTCATGACAGTTCTCAAGCTTTTGTGACAGAAAACCCATCTGTTTTACTCCAAAGCCCATATACCACCCACAACCATTAACTGTAACCAAGAAAGAGAAGGAAAGCCCCAATTAACCTTTGTACGTAAAGCCTAAAGAATGAAAAAATATACCTGAATCCTCAATCATCAAACAACGTAGTATATACTAAGTAATTTGTAATAATTAAACTCTAGAAAATTGTGTGGCTTTGGTAGTAAGAGAGCTTCATGATGTAAAATGGCAAGTGGAGACAGAGACATAAGTAAGATGTGGACTGAGAGGGAAGGTTAGCACAGGTGGAACAGTAAGGCAACCATACTATCAATTGCTGCTGACATAGAATCCAGAGAGACTATTGGCAAAAGCTCAAATGAGACACAGTAACAGTTTAGATTCAGACAGTGGCTGTGGCATACATCTGGAAAATTGATGGCCGCATGATCCCTCTTTGCATGGGACTGGCATCTGTGTGGAGTAATGGCTCCATATGCCTCCTTTCTTCTCATTATTTTTATATTTTTTAAAAATGCATTGCTTCTTGTGGAAGTCAATAAGTGATTCTTCCAATACTTTCTCATTCCTTTCCCCTCAGTTATAAGACAATTTGCTTATTTGTCATCCATGAATACTTGTTGGGTCATTAAAAGTAGATACTGAAATTACTAATGGTAGGACTGACACATTCCCTCATAAATTTTACTAGCTAGATGTTGAAAGTTGACCAACAACTCTCAAAATATGATTAAGAAAAGGAAACCCACAGAACAGTTCGATTCCAAAATGATTTTTTTCTTTGCACGTCTTACTTATTTGGACTTACATTGAAATTTCGCTTTATAGGAGAAAGGGGACAACTTGTCCATCGTTTCCCTGAAGCAGATATGTTAATATTTGACAAAGAATCAAAATCATTCCATTTTAAACTATCCCATTGCTTGTTTCAAATGCCTAAGAAAATGTGTCAATCTTAAAACAGAAGAGCATATGTTGTTAACTTTATTCACACAAAATTGTAAAGGCAAAGAAAATATTCTCTTTTTAAAATTAAAATAGGCATTTCTTATTTTTAAAAACATTTTGGGGGCCAGGGGCAGTGGCTCATGCCTATAATCCCAGAATTTTCAGAGGCCAAGCCTGGCTAATCGCTTGAGCCCAGGAATATGAGAACAGCCTGGGCAATATGGCAAAATCTATCTCTACAAAAAATACAAAAATTAACTGGGATGGGGCATGCACCTATAGTCTCAGCTACTTGGGAGGCTGGCTGAGGTGGGAGGATCGGATCGATTGCCTGAGCCTGGGAGTTTGAGGCTGCAGTGAGCTATGACTGTGCCACTGTACTCTAGCCTTGGTAAGACCATGTCTCAAAAACAAATACATAAGTAAATAAAAATAAATAAAAACATTTTGGAAATAGAAATACATAATTTGGTAATAGTTTTTCTCTTAAGTTAGATGTTTTACCTTTCTAACCAACCCTGAGTACTTGAAAGAAGCCTCATAAGAGCTTATAAAACAAGTGAAGTTCCCTCTGCCCTCATGTAAAAAGCAAGGCATTTAAAATCATCTAATTAACTGGTACTGTATTTCAAGGGTAAATCTCAGCCTTGATTCATTTTTGGCCCAATGCAACCACTTAGGGACCATCTTGACAACCTCTGCTGAAGGGACATCCCTTCCCCTCACTTGAGTATCACTGTGTGTGCTCATTTGCTATTCTGCATTCTAACCCTCCCTTCACACTTGGCCGTGTCCATGGCTCACAGGGTAAAAAGCACATCATAGAACTTCATCACTATCGCATACATTCAAGCTAAGTGGTCAAGAAGGCTGGGCAACACCAGCAAGAGGAAATGCTACTTTCACTTTTTATCAATAATAGGACTTTTAAATATTAATTAGGCAAATAAATGAGCCATTTTACCTTTATGTCTAGCCTTCCATTCTATTTACTTCAACTGGAAGCACTACAAATATGCTATAAATATGGAAATATCTCTTACTTGATTTAAGTTGTTTCATTCCCAACATACAAATGACTTAACAAGCATTTTTATTGACTATATTGGAGACTATGCATAAGAATACTGTGGAAGGAATAAAGCTTAGAATATAGATGACCTGCATTATAGTTATAATTCTACTTTTAACTAGTTGTCTGACCAAGGCTAAGTTAACCTTATTCAGCTTCTTTTCTTCATTTGTAAACTGTTTATACCAGTTTCTTTCCAAAATTATGATTCTATGATCTGTTCAATGCTCTTTTATATGTTAAGACATTGTTTTCTCTCATAATTTCCAAACTATGGGAGAATTTGTGGTTTTTTCCCCATATCTGAGGAGAACGTCCACTGAGTTCTTATCTACAGTTACACTAGTGAAGAACGCTGGGTCTGGAATCAGAAGCCTCAGGTCTTAGTTCTGTCATCAACTATTTGTGCGACCTTGGACAAAAGACTTGATCACCCACAGTCCCAGTTTCCCACAAGGTTACTGTAAAGCACACAGTTTTAAAAAAGACAAAATACACATGATAGTATATTAATTGTACTTTCTATTAAAAGGCAAGGTGATGTTATGCTGATGTTATCTTATTTTTCAATTGGATGTGGTCATTTATTTCAGACTTTCATAATTTTGCCGCTCTCTTTATCTCCTGTAGGGATAACACTCATTAATTGGTGGGCGATGGCTCGTGTTATTTTTGAGGTGATGCTTGTTGTTGTTGGAATGATCATCTTAATTTCTTACTGTATTCGATGACTGATAAAGGTGAGAATTCAGTTTTTAATTTTGCTCTAAATACCAGTGTGAACAGCTCTCGGAGGGTTTATTCCTCTGAGTTCAGTTAAACTCAAAAGAGAAACAGAACTGCATAAAATTCCATCTTTTTCAACTGGACACATAGAAGTCACTGTGTTTCTCTAGCATAATTTATTTTTTGCATTTGCCCAATTAAAGGGAGCCTCTAAATATAAATCTGTCCCCCATTTTCCCAATGAAAGCTCTCCCTAAGTTTTGTCTAACTTGCTTTCACATATTTTGATGGATATTGAGGAAATATTAAGATGCTACTTATAGTATTTACCCTATTAGTGAATAAAATGTTTAAAATAATATATTTACATATGTTTAAAACTTTGGGGGAGGCCAAGGCAGGAGGATTGTTTGAGCTCAGGAGTTTGAGACCAGCCTGAGCAAAAAGGTGAAACCTAGTCTATACAAAAAATATGAAAATTAGAAAGGCGTGGTGGTGCACACGTGTAGTATCAGCCACTCAGGGGGCTGAAGTGGGAGGATTGCTTCAGCCTGGGAAATAAAGGCTGCAGTGAACTGTGATCATGCTACTGCACTCCAGCTTGGGCAACAGAGACCCTGTCTCAATAAATATATAAATAAATAAATAAAAATAAACAAAATAAACCTTTTGCCTTTCTTAATTCTCACATATTTTGCAACAGATTTTTCAAATTTCCACCCATGAATTCTTAACATCAGTGATTTTTTTTGAATCATTAATGCTTTTTTTATTTTTTTTTTTTTAGACAGAGTTTCCCTCTGTCACCCAGGCTTGAGTGCAAAGTGGCGCAATCTCTGCTCACTGCAGCCTCTGCCTCCCTGGTTCAAGTGATTCTCGTGCTTCAGCCTCCACAGTAGTTGGGACTACAGGTGCGGGCCACCATTCCTGACTAATTTTTGTATTTTTTTAATAGCAGAGATGGGGTTTCGCTGTGTTGGCCAGGCTGGTTTCAAACTCCTGACCTCAAGTGATCCACCTGCCTTGGCCTCCAAAGTGCTGGGATTACAGATGTGAGCCACTGCGCCTGGCCCCAATTAGGGTTTTTATAAAGCCAAAAGAACTTGGCAACACCCCTAGGTACCCTTTAGAAGCCTCCAATTGGCTACACCCTATGAAGGATTGGCCTGTGACCAATCAGAGGCTGAAGTGGAGGCGTAGCTCATGGTCAAGCAGAGGCTGAAGTGGAAACTTCTGTCTTTTTATCACAGGCATGAGGATGTGGCCTGCATGCTGCCTGATCTTGCCTAGAACCAGCTGCACCTGCTGTTCTCTTGCTTATGCAAACTGGCTGCACCTGCTATTCCTTTGCTTATGCCCCAACCCTTGGCTATCCTAACTCCCTGTTCTCCTGCCTATTACTGTATTCTCTACTTCTAAATAAAAATAAAACAAAATACAAATTATTTGCATGTAGTATAGTCATGATTTGTTATTTCAAGCTATGTTTAAAATGTAAAGCCCATTACAGTAGGATAGATGAGAAGAAAGAAGGGTCTGAACAAAGCCAACAGCAGAGAACATGCAGAAGGGGAATGAAGACTTCAGCCTGGACTCTCATTAGGTGGCTGTCCAGGATAACATGAAGTCTCATGTGAAATATGTTGGAAAAGAACAAGATTCAGTCAAGTACCCAAGGTGCCTGACTGCTGAAATGGCACTGTAATTTAAAAAGCAAAGACAAGTTTATCATACTGTGAGATCCTTGAGGGCAAGGACCAAGTTCTATTCAAATCTTTGTCAAAAACCAGATTCTTGATAGGCTTACTTTAGCATCCATTGATCTTAATTATAGTTCACCTGCCAGGAGTTAAGGTCCCTCCTCAACAGTAAAGAGAATGACAGGCACAGGGGTAGGAGCACATAGAGAAGGGCCTGACTTTCAAATGAACTCTGGAGAGCACTCATCACCTCCAGGACACAGCAGATCTTACTGAGATGGCTGGGTCAGAAATCTCTGAGGGACTCCAGGATGCCCACACCTCAGAAAGGACAGGTTGAACTAAAGGACCTGGGGTCCCAATGTGCAGCACGTTTCCTCTTCGAGTACACACCAGATACATTCTGACTGCCTTATCCTTGGAGTCAGAAGGAGGAGTGTCTGAGGTCTCTTTTCTCCCATCCTAAAAACAGGACGTAGAGCAGGCCTTGGCCATATGCTGTATGCCTCCCCTAAGTGAGCAGTAAGAGATTGTCACAAATCTGCTATGTTCAGCATCTGCATTTGAATAAATGAATGTTATTACCTCTCAAGGTGACTGCTTTGAATGTATAAATTCTAAACTATTTCAGAAACCTCAGACATTACAGTCACACCATGATAAAATCTGGTAGGTCTGATGACAAGGAATGGTGTTTGTTGCATGTTTAAAAGATTGCAGACAGTTCTACATTAAAAGTTCTTTCTGTGGGTGAGGGGGCTGTGGGATGGGGGAGATGCCAGGATATGTATAGAGCTTAATTTCACTTGGTGGGATTATAGCTAATTTTTGTCTTTTTCTTTACACTTTTTTTCTAGCTTCTTAATTTTCTGTAACAAAACTATATTACATTTTTAAAGAGACAATAACAAAAGCCATTAACTTTTTCAAAACTAAATACATATATACATATATATACATATATACATATAGCAACAAGACAGTTGCTAGTACACATCTCCCTAACAGAGTTACATTAGTCTACATGGGGTTTTACTTATAATTGACATAGTTACCCTAATCTATGCATTCTTTGACTATGTTGCATGTCTAACATGTTCCAGTGACCATTCAATTGTGGATTACAGAGAACTGTCATTGTCCAAATTAGAGGCAGGAATTTCAGTCCTGTGGGAAGCATCCAAAAAGTTCTTCAGCACAGATAGGTTTAGGAATAAAACTGGAGATCTTTTGAGTGGTTCTCATTTTTATAAGCTTGGTCATGAACTTATCTGCCCCTTAGTTATTTTTAGAATTGATTTCATGCTCAGGTCAATCATTTCACAGTGAAGAATATACCATTTCTCAAACTGCCTTCTTTCCAAATTTTATGACTAGAGTTCAGCCTGAGTTCACATAATCAGCTGATGAACATCACTCAATGGAGCATATTAACTAGAATTGTTGTCTCTATCTGGGTCTCTTCCAGATGGTCTTGTCAAATGCTATCAGAGCATCATATATTAGAGAATATGTTATATCAGCCTCCACTTAAGTTACTCATAGATTGTTCTTGACCCTTCTCATGGCTCTTCTCTCTTGTAGGTTGTGTTATTGGTAACATAATTTGCTCTGACAAAAGCAAATAAAGGAAATTTTAGACCTTTATTATTCAACTGGATAAAACTGAAGGTTCAGAAGTGATTGCAAATATTGCCAACCAGGTGAAAATTATTTCCATTCTCAGCTGAACGCTATTACCTTTAAATCAAAAGTAATCAGTTTAATGTAAGTCTTACCTAAGTCTATTAAACTTTTTCTAGGCCTAGCAAAGCATAAAAATGCTGTATATTTTAATGTCCTCAGATTAAAGTATCCCCATCTCTGAATATTTTGAAATTTTAAAAAGAAATCACTAAAAGGTGACCAGCAGAATTTATTCTTACTAAAAAGAATGGATGAGATGGCATGGAATATAGTAACAGCCCCACAGCTTGTCTCCCTGTCTCTACTCTTGTTTTTTATATTCCCTCCTTCACAGAGCAATTTTTTCAAACTATCAATTAGATCATGTATTTCTCCTACTTAAAATCTCCAGTAGGTTTTTCACTGCACCAGAATAAAATCACCACTTGTTAGCATGCTCTCTGAAGTTCTGACCTGTCCACATGCTCAGCTCACCTGGCCTGCCCCCTTCAACCCTCTCCCACTCTCTCCTGTCATTTGGTTGCAACCACTGAACTTTTCCCCAAAACTCCAACTTACTAAGCTTGCTCTTTCTTAGGAACTTTGTTCTAATTTTTTCTCCTTTTTTTGCTTCATATCTTTGCTTGACTGCCTCCATATTATTCCTGTCTCACACCTTCAAGGAAAATTCTGATGACTGTATTTTTTATCTGCTTTGTTTACGATGTATCCTCAGAGCGCAGAATAATGGCTAGAACACAGGAAAACTCAGTAAAATTTCATTGAATGAAATAGGTCTTCCCTGCCTACCCAACGCAAAGCAGCTTGTAGTCTTCTTCCCTCCTTCCCATTAATTTCTCTTTCATTTTCTACCTGTATTTTTTTCATAGCACTCAGCTCCCAGGACTAGCCTCTTTATTTGTATAACTGGTTATTGGCAAGTCTCAATTCAGTAGGGTAAAAAAAATTAATTTTTTAAATTTGCTTATACTGCATGGAATATACTTTTCCTATTTCTTATTCCTATTCCCTAGAAACATCTTGGGGAGATAGGCAACTTTCTGGTTGTTTTTGTTATTAAAATTTCAAAACATCAATCTTATATGTAAATGAAAGCTATACAGCTACTTTCTTTTTTCTAGGTTTTCATGCCTCTGGGATTGAGATTAGAGGAAGAAAGCAAAGAAAGGACATTTTTTTACTTCACTGTTCATGGTGTAATTGTGTGCCTGACGGCTGTAGCTACTAACTTGGCTTACGTTGACTGGCTACTAAGGGACTCTAGGAGTCAGAAACTAAATGCTGAGTCTCTCAAAGGCGTAGAGAGAATTTCAGAGGGCCTTACCATGACATGAGGATTAAACTCCAGTTCTGCCCGATTCTCATCACGAAATCCTTATCCCATGCCTCATTGTGTTTGGTGTCCCCTTGCCTAGGGGACAGTCCTCCTGGGTAAGATCAGCAAGATAACTCTTCAGTCACATTCCATTTGATACTTTGAATACTCTGAGGTCCTTACCCACCAAATGGATGGAATTCAGCTGCTCAATCACTGCCTTTCTCAGAACTCGGTTGTCCAACCACAATTCCCTTTCCCTTAGGATAGGGCTATATTGGCAAAATGCCGCCCGAACAGACTGCTGACAGTAAACCAAATATTAGTTTCTCTCACCTTCTTGAAGGCATTTACAGTCTTTGTAAGCTTTTCTCCTAGATTTTCCCTTTCCTGTTCCTGCTTAGATTCTAAGAATGAAGTGCATCCTTCTCCTTTTCTTCATTAGGTGAAGTGGGATTTACCCATTACCATATATTCACCACCAGGTCACTGACGAGAGACTCCAGTGAATCGCTTTCCCTCTGCATTCCTCTCCTTGTACAGACTAGAGGGTCACATTGTGTAAAGCCTAACATAGCCCTGCAAAGAGATCTGGCCCCAGCAGTGAACACAAACTCAGTAATTCTCTTTAGAGTGAGGTGGTAATCAGTGCCTCTTGGTTTCAGCCGTGGTCCTAGTGGCTACTTATGGAAGAATAGGAATAGTTCCACAACATCCTGTAACATTGGCTTACCTGTATATTATATGCCACCCGTAACCATAAAAACACCAGGATTTAGGTTCCTTGAAGGTAATGACTATGGGTCCCTCTCTGTGGAAGAATACTGAATAGAAGAGAGAAATCACTCAATATGTGGAATGACTGATATGGTTTGGCTGTGTTCCCACTCAAATCTCATCTTGAATTGTAGTTCCAATAATCCCCACATGTCATGGGAGGAACCCAGTGGGAGGTACTTGAATCATTGCGGTGGTTTCCCCTGTGCTATTCTCATGATAGTGAGTAAATTCTCACATAATCTGATAGTTTTATAAAGGAGCTTCCCCCTTCACTCAGCTCTCATTCTTCTCCTTCCTGCCACTATGTAAGAAAGATGTGTTTGTTTCCCCTTTGGTCATGATTGTAAGTATCCTGAGACCTTCCCAGCCATGCAAAACTGTAGATCAATAAAACCTCTTTCCTTTATAAATTACACAGTCTTGGGCAGTTTTTTATAACAGCATGAGAACAGACTAATACAGTAAGTTGGTACTAGAGGTGGGGTGCTGCTATAAGGATACCTAAAAATGCAGAAGTGACTTTGGAACTAGATAACAGACAGCCTGTGAAAGCAGCCGAGGCGGGGGGGTTTACCATGCAAAGCCACAGGAGCTGAGCTTCCCAAGACTGTGGGAGCCCACCTCTTGCAACAGCATTACCTGGATGTGAGACATGGAGTCAAAAGAGATTATTAAGATGCTTTAAGATTTAATTACTGCTCCACTGGATTTCAGACTTGCATGGGCCTGTAGCTCCTGTTTTTGGCCAATTTATCCTATTTAGAATGGGTGCATTTACCCATTGCCTATACCCTCATTGTATCTAGGAAGTAACTAACTTGCTTTTGATTTTACAGGCTCATAGGTGGAAGGGACTTGCCTTGTCTCAGATGAGACTTTGGACTTGGACTTTTGAGTTAATGCTGGAATGAGTTTAGACTTTGGGGGACTGTTTGGAAGGCATGATTGTGTTTTGAAATGTGAGGACATGAGATTTGGGAGGGGTCAGGGGCATAGTGATGTGGTTTGGCTGTGTCCCCACCCAAATCTCATCTTGAATTGTAGTTCCCACAATCCCCATGTGTTGTGGGAGGAATGTAGTGGGAGGTAATTGAATCATTGTGGCAGTTTCCCCCATGCTATTTTCATGATAGTGAGCAAATTCTCATGAGATCTGATGGTTTTATAAGGGGCTTCCCCATTTACTTTTGCCATCATGTGAAAAACGATGTGTTTGCTTCCCCTTCTGCCACGATTGTAAGTTTCCTGAAACCTTCTCAGCCACGCAGAATTGTGAGTCAATTAAACTTCTTTCCTTTATAAATTACCCAGTCTCAGGCACTTCTTTATAGCAGCATGGGAATGAACTAATACAATGACTGACTGATCGGAAAAATTCAAACGTTTTCTTATGACCAATTCAATTTGCTAGAGCAATTAGAAGATCACACCTCAAAAGTATTCAGTACATTCATACTGTTTTTCAAAACATTTAACTTGTTCAAAACTCATTCCACATTCTGACCAATAAACTTCTATTCAACTTCTTATGCACATGCATTTCAAATTGCATCATTTTCAACCTCACTACTTTTAAAACGTAAATTAAAACAACAGAAAATTTATCCATTATCTATGAAACCTACAAAGTGGTATTTCTAATATAATATTCAATGTGCTAAGGATGCAGTAAATTCTTATTGTTGTTATGGTAATGTAACTTGGTGCAATCTTTTAGAAGGAAATTTGCATATATATTCCAGCACCTCCAAGATACTCATAGAAACTAAAACTCTAACAAGTATTAAAAGCGTAGCAGGCAGACATATGTTGTTATATACCGATTGCTTCTTCCTATATCACACACTCCCACACACGCTCATCTGAACTTCTTTATTGTATAAGACTGATACATTTTTCCCTATTACTTATACCAGCAACTACAAGAAAATTGAATCTACAGACAAGCTGAAAATAAAGTTACTTTTATAAAACCATGTTAAACATTTGGATGGGTCAAATACAATGAAATGAAATAAATAACTGCTGCCGAAAATATTAAAAAAAAGTGACTAAAAGCAAAATGGCCTTGACGGAAAACTTTGAAAGAGATGTATAGCAAGACCTCAGCTTTTGCCTGTATCGTCCTACCATGTGAAGATTGATTAAGCAATGCTTCATAAACAAAGTTTTATGGCAGATAAAGGGGACTGACTCTATGGTGCACATATTGGCCCCAGGCAAGAAAACATCATCTGGAGAGATCCATTCTCCTCAGATACTATGAAATTTTTAGTGGTTTATTCTACAAACTTCAGGTGTGAAAAAAAGGGGCAATAGTGTGTTGATATATCAAGTACTTGAGACTGCTTGCTAGAGGCAATCACAGTTCTTATAAAAAGAGCTGTTTGCAGTTTAACTGCAAGGAGAGAAATGGCAGTTATTTTACTTTAGTTGTTTGTGTTAAACACTAAGGAAAGTGTCATGAGGCTGTAAGAAGCCAAAACAATTCAATAAAAGGTAAAAATCACAGTCCATTCTTGCAACAGTTCCTCATTTATTTCTAACAAAATAGCTCCTATCAATCTCAAACTCACCATTAACATCTCTTACCTAATAAAAAGGATAAAATAATAAATCACTTATAAATACCAAACAATAGCAGAGCAATTAAAAACAGATAAGTGAAAATAGTAATTTAAATATTTCTTAAAGAAATTTAAAATGAGAAGATGGAGGCTTGAGAAAATATTTACAAATTCCATCTATTTGAAATCTGCTTAAATGAAGAAAAGTATAGAATAAACAATAATCTACTCTGAAATTTAAGAAACAACCCAACGTCATACAAGAAACTCTGCAGAATATCTGCTTTGGGCCAAAAAGAAAGAAGGTACTGGAGAGTTGACATAGCATTCCCACCTGAGGGCACCAAACAGAGCTACAAAAAGAAAGTAGAGGAAATTAGAAGGATCCCACTACTGATTTTTATTTATCCAGTCCAAAATATCAATAGTGCCAAGGTTAAACAGCCTCCATCTAGAAGAATAAATGTGTGTTAATAGTCAGAAAAATTATGAAAATGAAGAACAATGAGTGGGAACTTCTTCAGCCAGGAATTATAATATATAGTTATATTAAGCATTAATTAAAAGAACATTCCGGGTAAAGAAATATATATTCAGATAAGTGAAATGTAACAATTCATTTGTAAATTCAAATACGTGTAATAATTTAGTGTCATGAAGAAAGCAGCTTTCAAATCAATATAAAAAGATAGATTTTCACTGTATTCAGAAAATTTGTCAGATACTCAAGAAGAAAAAAATGGATCTGTACTACTCATTCTTTACAACATAAAATATTTCACATAATTAAGGTTAAGTTACTAAAATAAAAACAGGAAAGCACTAAAAGCAAATATGGATAGAGTCTTTTAGTTTTAGCAATTAAAGACTCCCTTGGCAGACACAGAAATTCTAAACAAATATGGCAAGTCTACTTTTATTTGAGGGGAGAATAGGAACAGAGGATGTTGTTGATACTTAGTGGCTTGGGTTTTAAGGTAACAATCAATCAATCAATGTACTGTAACTTTACTAAAAGTCACGTACTGTTTGAAAGTAAAATCTTTAAAACATAAATAGATAAGTAAAAAGTAAGGGATGGAAAAAAAAGATGTCTGAGGAAAATACCAACTGAAATAAAGCTAGTGACTTCCTTTGATGCTGGCAATATTCTCTATCTTGATCTGGGTGGTGGGTACATGGCTGTATACATTAGAAAAAAATTATCAAACTCTATTCTTAAGATCAGTGCCTTACATGCTCTTTATTGTATGGGTATTACATGTCAGATAGGTAAAGAGGCTGTAAAAATACAGAAATTTCATGTAGCTATATTAATATCAAATAAAATAGATGATAGATAAAGCATTTTCAAAGATAAAGGGGCCACTACGTAATGAAAAAAGGAATCATCTTGGAAGTAATGTCAGAGGCATTTGAACCAGAGTGTCTCCATCTTGGATAGGGGCCTGGTAAAATAAGGCTGAGACCTGCTGGGCTGCATTCCCAGGCAGTTAGGCATTCTAAGTCACAAGATGAGATGGGAGGTTGGCACAAGATACAGGTTATAAAGACCTTGCTGATAAAACAAGTTGCAGTCAAGAAGCTGGCCAAAACCCACCAAAACGAAGATGGTGATCTGACCTCTGGTTGTCCTAACTGCTACACTCCCAACAGCACCATGACAATTTACAAACGCCATGGCAATGTCCAGAATTTACCCTATATGGTCTAAAAAGAGGAGGCATGAATAATCCACCCCTTGTTTAACATGTTGAAACAGGAGAGTTCCCTGACCCCCAACTTGCAGGACGTGCAACAGGGGTGTGGTTTGTCTGTTTGGCCACCATGAGCTCAAACCCCTTACGGGAGGAAGAGCATGCACATAGGCAGGTGCAAGAGCTGGAGAAAGTGCTTTTGGGCTCCAGCCCCATGGTAGGATCTAAGGGTGGGTGTCTGCGACTCCCAAAGCCCCAGTGTGCATGTTACACTGCCTCTTAGCTCTGCTGTCCACAGATGGCTTAAGTGTTAATCAGCTCAGTGACCTCCTGGTATCCGGGTCCTTGTCCGGTGTCCAGGAAGAATCAGGTCACACACAGACTTGAAGGATGGTGAATGCGGGGGTTTTACTGAGTGGTGGAGGTGGCTGTCAGTGGGATGGATGGGGAGCTGGAAAGGGGATGGAGTGGAAAGATGATTTTCCCCTAGAGTTTGGCTGTCCCATGGCCTATCTCCTCTCTGACTGTCCCCAGCTGAACTCCTCTTGACATTTAGACATTCCTTCTCTTCTCTCCTTCTCTGCTGCACCACTCTTCTGCTCCTCTGATCTTCTGCTGTTGGAGCCTGAGGTTTAGGGTTTATTTGGGTATAGGATTGGGGGACATGGCAGGCCAAAAGGCAACATTAAGGTGTGAAAACAGGAATGCCTGTTCAAATTTAGGGCCATGGATTTCCAAGCTTGAGGGTGGTGTCTTTGCCAAGGAACCGCCCCCTTCTACCCAATATTTCCTTGCCTCCTGTTCGTACCAATATAATCAAGAAATAACCATAAAAATGGGCAACCAGTAGCCCTCGGGGCTTCCCTGCCTATGAAGTAGCCATTCTTTATCCTTTACTTTCTTAATAAACATGCTTTCACTTTACTTTATGGACTCACCCTTTCTTTCTTGTGCAAGATCCAAGAATCGTCTTTTGTGGTCTGGATCGGGACTGGTTTCCAGTAGCAATAACTGTTCAGAACGTGGATTAGTTTAATAAATAGCCTAAAAAATATAAAGTAACACAAAGTGAAAACTTCAAAACATTCAGCAATTGACTTACAAAGACTAAAAGCTAACTAAATATGAACTCAAGAACTTAGAAAAAGAACAAGAAGAATAATCAAAAAAAAAAAGTAGACAAAAGGCATAATAAAGAACAGAAGTCATTAAAATTGAAAATGAAGTGAAGTGAGCTGCCTGTATGGGAAGCTGCTGGAGGACAGATGGAACAACAGGAGCCAGCCAGATTTACCCTCCTGCAGGAAATGACACCAAGCAAACAAACAAAAGGTATGAAAAAAATGAATTTCAGACACTGGGCATCAGTAGCACAGAAGAGTGATTGCCAAGAGAGAGGAAACAAACAAAATGGAGGTGAGCTCCATTGTCCAGCTCAGAGCCTGGAGGGTTCCCAGGCCCCATTGTAGGGTCTCTCTGAGATGAGGAGGCAGAGCTGAGTCTAAGAAAAGCCTGGCGGTTTGAGTTTGCAAGTCAGAGAACCCAAGAGAAAAAGTTGCACAAAGAACTCTAGAAACTTGCAGAGGGCTCCCCTGAAGTCTTTGGCTGAGGTCTAATCAGCACATAGATGTGAGAAAGCTAGCCACGTATTTCAAAACTTCTTTAATATCATAACGATCAATGAAAAACTCTTGATCTTATTCTGGGTCTTAATTTTCTCTTTTACAATACAAGGCATACAGAGTGATTTTAGTTGTCATTTAGCAATAAAATGCTACCTTTCTACAACCTAGCCCTTTCATTGGATCCTTTTTTGTCCTTTTAGGGAATATACATGAATATTTTTTGCTCCTGACTCAGGTAAAAAAAAGATACTCAGGCTGTTGTAAGATGGCTTTCATTGTAATGCTGCAGCTCTTCCATCTTCCATGAGTAATTCTGGATAACATCAAACCTTCTAATCATGAGAGAAAAGTGAGGCTTGGCAGAGCATTAGCAAAGTTTTCTTCCTTCTGGAATCAAAAGAATTTAAAGTCAAGAGCAAAGAGTACAAAGAAAAGGGAAAGTAAATGTAGATACCATTTTCAATGACTTAACTTTTCTTTCAGCCTACTTTTTACTTGGAGCAATAAGCCCTGAGTTCTCAGTCAGACTTCCTTCTAACTATTTTCTAGAAATATAAGAAGGTTCAGGGAAAAGAGGGAAATTTGAGATGATAAAATACTAACTCATTTGTCTTTAATTATTTTATGACTGTCATTAGTGACAAATGTGAGAATCTCAGGTTTACATAGGCATATGGATAAACCACAAATCGGTCTTACTGAATTTTCCTGACTGATTTTCAGCCTGTTCTAGAAGTGACTATCAAAAACAAAGCTGTACATGTAGATACAATATTTTACAGACTAACACTTTAAAATTGCTATGAACATAGAGGACAAAAAAATATTTTGAAGGGACTTGTAAAGCAATTTGACTTTGAAAATGTTCTATAATATTTTTATGTTTTTAGTATCACCCGCAAGTCAAAGAATGTTAAATGAAACAAGAAAGCCAGTGGAATTTCCACCTTCTGACCATGCTGATATTGCTGTCTATATCCAAGTGTTCTTGGGTCAGTGTTGAAAAAAAAAAAACAGGATTGCCTTTAAAGAATACATAGAGTCAACTCTGCTTTAGAGAGGTAATCTTTAAGTAGACAGTCCTGTGACATCTTTTCAGCATGAATGGGGCAGTAGAAGGGGAGACACATGGATTGCGAGAACTGAAGAGGTTGTTTAGCTCAGCTCAGGATCTGTGAGGAGGGAGTAAGAAGTTATTCTCTCCTGGGTGTTGGGTGGTAGGAGTTGGCACTTTTGGAGATCTCCCCATTGTCACTACTCAAGCTTGCGCCAGCTCTCATCAGAGATACCGGCCCACTCCTCGAGGCAGGCTTTACCTGAATCTCTTCATGCTAGGAGCCCATCGTTAGCAATGAAAACCTCTCCCACAGCTGAGTTGCCATTGAAACATGTGTTTTCTACATAGCAGGCCAATGTTTATAGACCCTTATGGATTTAACCCCATCTGACAATGTAAGAGGTCACTAAACAAAACTTGGTTTCATTTCCAAAGCCACTTATCTCACCTACTTTGCCCACCTCTGTTCCACACACCCCATCCCACCCCAATTCAAAGAAAGCTTCACCATTCCCTATTTATTCATACACCTGGTTTCTTCTTTGGCTTAGTGTTTCCCTGCTGCACCTTCCTTACCTTGTTTAACTACACTGGACCACTGTTTACACTATATTTTTAATTGCCTGTTTCATTTGTCAGTCGCCTCACCTTAACAGTTTCAAACACAGGGACTAACTCCTCCTGCTCACCATGGTGTTCATTGCACCTCGCATAGTAACTGACATACAGTGGGCATTTATAAACACTCACTGTGTGACTGAATGAATAAGTAAATTAACTAATTAGCTAATTAATACTCTAGTAAGATCTTATGAAAGATTTACATCAGTTCCTAAAGCAAAGCTTGCAATTACATGATAAAAATGACATTATTGTTGTTATTACTATTATTACTACTACCATGATAAGCACAACTGGAAAAGCAATATATGAGCATAGACATTACTCATATAGATAATCCACATGAAAAATCCAAAGAAGTTCAAAATTATCTTCCTCAGAAATATTTTCCCCAGATATCTACTTGCTTTCCCCCAGATTTCATGAGGTTCCTCCCTCATGTCCTTCACATTTACTCCCAAAATGTTTTCAGAGAGGCTCCCTTGATAATCCTTTAAAAAAGCAATCTCACCTCCTGCCTCCCAGACACACACACACACACACACACACACACACACACACACACACCCCTGTAATGAACACAGTGCTACTGGCTGGAAGCTCACTACTGTCAGCCCTCTCTGGGAATTGCCCTCAGCAGAGGAAAGTCATGTCACCAAGGTCACAGTCCCCTTCCCAAGGGACAACTTGCATCCAATTTCTGGCCATTGCAGGAATATAAAGGCCTGGCCTCCATACCCCAAGTCAAGGCAATCAGAAGGCCCATCCCTGCTTTCCAGTTCCCCATGGAGTTGGCAGAGGCCCAACTGTGCCTGCTTCGGAGCCCATCTTCTCTCTCTACCCAACCCTGCTTCCTTCCTCAGAAGACTCTGAATGAACTTCCTGCACTTCAATCTCCATCTCAGATTCTGCTGCCTGCACATCTGACCTACAGAATTTTCCTTTATTCTGCTTTATTTTTTCTCCATAGCACTTACTACATTTATTGCTCTATCACATATTCACATATCACATATTCATTACTGACCTATTACATATTCATTTTCTACTGTATTATTGGCCCTCTCCCTCCTCCCGTTGGATTGTAAGCTCCGGTGGGGCAGGAATTTTGTTTTACTTGCTGCTGTAACCACAGGCCTTTGAACACTGAAAGCACTATATAGGTTTTCATGACAAATATCAAATAAATGAAAGTTGTGACTTGCAATCTTATAGCCTGTTTACATTGCTGTTCCTGAACCCCAGGTTTTACTGTCTGCCCAAAATCCAAAGTACCTACATTGGTATCCATTAATTAAGATCAGACCAGAAATTAAGAATATTTAAAGAGATTTGCGCTAGCATAATTAGGACTACAGTAGCAAGAGTTAACATTTTCAGGGGAACAACTTCTGTCATTTTTCTTTAATTTATATAACTTCGATTATAATAGTCATCTTCAGAATAATGATGGCTAGCATTAGCATAGAGTGCTCTGGGTCACAAACCTTTGCACATATTATTTCATTTAGTTTGATGCTGATGAAACCATGTAAAGGACGCAGAATTGTTATGCTAGTTTCACTAATGAGGAGACTAAAGCTCTGAGAGCTTAAATGACTTTTTCAATGACACACCTGGTAAATGAGTTCCATCCAGGTCTACTGACTCCAAATCCACTGTTCTATCTCTCAGTACATCACCCTAATAATTCCCTGGAGAGGGACTCAACAAAACTAAAGCTCTTCTACAATACTGATCAGAAAAGCAAAATGGGGGCCCCTCAGCAACCCAACTAAAAGACATCCTGTATGTAGCTTATTTAAATTTATTCCAAATAATATATTTACTTATGCAACATTCATGAGAATTCTGAGTTGTTTTGGTTTCATTTGTGGGTTTTTTTGCATATATATTTGCAACTGAGAATGAATACCATAGATCTTCTGGATAAAGGACACTTCTTACCTGTTACTTATATAATATCTCTGAACATTCATCAACTCTTTGCTATTCTGTTAAAGATGTATATTTACTCACCTATAAAAATAGAGTTATTTTTGATTTTGTCAATGACTTTTATTCTCTTTTATATATTTCAAAGGTAAAAATATTATAAATTCATATAAACAAAAACAAAGAAAATTACATATAGCATTCTCACAGAGACATCACATTATCACATTGTATTTATATGTATTCTTCCAACACTCTCTCTCTTTCTCTCAGTATAATACATATTGTTTCATAGATTTATTTTTTTGAATTATTTTATGTTCTGATGGTATATAAATGCTATCTTGTCATTTGAACATCTAGAAATCAATTAGAATTTTTAAAAAATTTTAAGTAAGTCCTCATCAACAATATAATTACATTGTACATACACAGTGTGATTGTCCTCAGCAAATAAATAAATAAAAACCTAAGGCTTACACATTAAACATAAAAATAAAGGAAAATATATGTTTACTCCTTTTGCATACCTGATTTCTGTTTACTAGGGCCCAAGAGAAGGTCCAAAACGTTCACGTCTTGTGATGGCCTGTCTTAGTCTTACTGGGCTGCCATAATAAACAGATACCACAGACCTGTGTGGGTTAAACAACAGAAATTTATGTCTTCACAGTTTTAGAGGCTGGAAAGTCCAAGATCAAAGTCCAGCAGGGTTTGGTTCTGGTGAGGACTCTCTTCCTGGCTTGTAGACAGCCATCTTCTCGCTGTGTCCTTGCATGGTAGAAAGAGAGGGGGTGAGCTCTCTGGCGTCTATTCTTATAACTACATTATCCTGTTGGATCAGGACTCTACCCTTATCGCCTCATTCAACTTCAATTACTTCCTTAGAGGCTGCATCTCCAAATACAGCCACATCATGGGGTAGGGCTTCAATATATACATTTTGGGGGGAACCACAGACACTTAGTCCACAACAAGGCCCAAGCCTAAAAATAAGAATAGGTCTAAATAATATGCTCTCAAGGAAGGATCTTGGGGACAACCGAATGTACAGAGTTTAGTACCCCAAATCCATGCTAGGCAAGGCATGCTACTATCCAGATAGCAGCTAAGGTGTGACACAGGTCCACACAGTATAGTCAACTTAGCTGCTACTAGTATTATTGCTATTAGTGAGTCACTTTATTGCTTAAGTCTCAAATTTCTTATCTGAAAAATAGGAATAATATGTTCCTCAAAGGACTAGTGTGAAGATTAAATGAAGTTATGAGTGCCAACTCTAGAGCTTACACATAAGCCTAATAAATGTTAGTAGAAATGAAGAATGACAAGCTGTTCCAGATCGCCCCAAAGGATATCCAGCTGTTTCCAGATTTGCTAAGTCCTAAAGGTATGCTCCCAGAGTTCTAACCCAGTAGCAAGGAAAGATCTGGATTTACTCAATAAACCATGAGCATATATTGAATGCACACTTCCTCTCTGCCCAGGCTCTGCACCAGGTAATATACTTTCTTAGGTAGGAATTATCAGATTTAAAGTGTTAATTATAGTTAACATATAATTAGACAAGCACACTAGAGGGAAGTGTCTATTGGTAATGGTTAGTCTTTTAGGGCATTAGAGCAGCAGGTCAGGGTTCTAAGAAGTGAATCACTCTCTTTGATAATTATCAAACCTAACAACGACCATACCTTCTAAGCACATCTCAGTACTAAAGTTCATTGACTGTCAGACTTTTCTCACTGATTGCTCAGACAAAAGGAAGAGGAGCTTTGAAAGCTGTGATGGGACTTGAGACACTCCTTTATATGCTACCAGCATATAAACAAAAACATCACAAAAAATCTTGGCTTTCCACTGACCATCATCCCAGGTAACAGACCCTAAGCTAGGTTCACCACCTAGGCTATATCATTCAAATAACATAACTCAGTGAGGCTGGCACTTTCATTATCCCCATTCTTAAGATAACAAATAATAAAATAAAATAAAATAAAATAAAATAAAATAAAATAAAATAAAATAAAATAAAATAAAATAAAATAAAAAAAGATGTGGCTTTAAAAGTAACCTGGCCAGGTGAAAAGCCAAGAGCTGAGAAAAGTTCCAAACACAAATTTTTCTAACTCAAAAGCCCATGCATGAGTTTACAACATGTCCAGGAGGGGCAACCTGAAATTAAGAAAGGCTGGTAATTTAGAATTCTGAATTGCAGGCAAAGGCCTCCTCTTTCATGTAACTTTCAGTAAAGACTGAGAGCTAGGATATAATGGACTATTCCAACTTGGTATCAGAGCTCTCAAAGGAAATGACATAAAACAGCTATTAGAAGGCAAAATGTAAAAGAAAATAGGAAGAATTGACTTTTCAGAGCTATTTATTTTCACTCAGAGATGGAGTTGATATTAAACCCTTATTTATACTGGGTATGCAATCATACACATTGTTGAGATCTGGGTCTGATTACACCTATGGCACTATGCAGTGTATTTCAGTGTAAACAGAGTAAGTCTGAGTTTGATTTAGAGAAAAACAAAAAATACGCTAAAAAAATAAAAACTACATGTGAGGGGGAAATACTTCTCTTTTGGCCCCTTTGCTCCTGATCGGTGAGCATTTTTGCATTTTTCAAAGACATCAAAGGGTTGCTACAAGGCTTACCTTGCTCACAGGACTTTGGATGTATCTTCTAGTGCTGCTGAGATGTGTCATGACAAGGCACATCCACCGTGGTGTGGTGTGTCAAACTTGAATCACTGGACTTGAGAAAAGAAGGCAGAGTTTGTGTTCTATGCTGAAGATAGCCCATGTATTTCTCTCAGGGAGGAAAAAGTTTTCGAGGTTAAAAAAATTGAGAAAATGGGTAAAGAAAAAAATAGGCTTTTAAAAAATATATAAACATCTGTAAAAATCCTATCTTAAAATATCAGTAATACAAGTAAATTAATGTACTAGTAGCAAGATTACCAATCTAATGCAAAGTCTATTCATTGCTCATTCATGTGCTTATTCTTTTCCACAAAGTTTTTACAAGGTGGAATGACATGAAGAATTTGCTTGGAAAAATAGATGATCTAACTTTATAAGCATTTCTCAAGTATTCCTCTGCTGCCAGAATTTATAATGAATCTGCTTACTACCCTGGCCTCAGCCAAATTAATTAATAATTTCCTTTCTCCTTCCCATGAGTCTCACAGATTACTACACCTTTTTTACCCAAGAAGTCCTATCCTATTGTATCCTATTATATCTGCCTGAAGGAACTAGATTCAGCTCCATCAAACGTATACCTTTCAAGAAAATAATCTTAAAAGTGAATTGTTTTAAAGATAAAAATGTATGCATTTTCTTTTTCTTCTGATCTTCTACCTTATGGTATTCGGGTCCATTATAATATAGGTTTTAGGGTAATGAGTACATTACACCAATAGATTTGCTCACATATTTAAAGAAAAAGCATAGCCTAAACATGTATAATATTAAAAGAAACAAAGTAAAGACAGGCTATAAAAGTAAACAGGTCAGAGTAAATTTTATGCATAACTACAGAAGCCACCAGCAGAGGATGCATTCAAAGCCCTATCCTTGCTTGTCTCTGGTAACTGCTTCCCAGTCATGTCTTATCACTACCTTGTACTCGGTGTAGCACAGCAAAGCAGCATTTATCACTGACACAAGTGTATTACAGGGCATCTAGAAAAAGGGACATGGAATTAGCTCTTTCTTCAGCAGTCATAGGTCTGAGTCTCTCTGCCTACCACTTTTCATCTACTTTACTGAAATTCAGTTTTCTGAGCAATTAAATTCTGGCTGAGAGAAATGTTTCTGCAATCCTTTTCAATATACTCACTTTCCAATGTAATCCCAAGCTCTGACTGACTGGGTTCCACATCGTAAACCTAATTCCTTAAGATTTATAGTGTCTTAAACTTTCTTTAATTAGACTTTCAAGTTGTAAAGGACTGAGATAATTACATTTGGAATGTTTATACCTCTCATCATAACTATGCGCAAAGAGATACTCTGTTATCAAAAAATGGCTAGATTAACGCCCAGTAGCTGTCAACTCATCTTTTGGGGGGTGGGGCAGCAATGCACCATAGTAGTTAATTTTGAGTGGCAAGCTAATTTATTTCTTCTGAATGATTTACCAGGATAACAGTAAAAATAAAAAGGCTATACAAGTGCCAAGTAATTAAGCATGTTAATGGAATTACATCAGGCTGCCGTGTGGGGTCTAGGCTTCAGCACAAGAATAGAAAATTGATTTATATTATCTAGGTGATCATATCTTTACACATCTTCTGCTAACAATTTATAATACTTCAGTCTGCTTTTTTTCCTAAGATTACGCCAGCTAGAAGGCATTTCCTTTAACTTCTATATTTGTAGTCCGTAAATGTACAGAAACTTTCTTGTCTTTCAGAGTTACATAGATAATATAAAGTATTAACTTTTCTCTACCCTGAACAAGTACTTATGTATTTGATTGATAAGTGTTTAAATTGAAAATCAGGCAATCAAGTTTTATTATCTGCCAATATTCTAAACAGAAGTTATAAAATATATTATTATGGGGATAAAAAATAGAATAGGGTCCCAGTTTATAAAAGAACAGTGATTTACTATATCTCTGTTTATATATATTTTGAAGAAGAGTGATTTACTATATTACTGTTCATATTTACTATATCACTGTTCCACATATATATATGTATGTGTATATATATATATATATATATATATATATATATATATATATATATATATATATACACATATCTCCTTCATGCCCTTTAGGACATTAGTACATTTGTGAGTAGAAGCTTGGAAACAGAAATGAGTTATTTAAGGTAATCAGTTCTCTAGAACATGGATCTCTTAAAAAGGCAATAATATCTTGGTGTCCAAGTGGCCCCAATTTAAAAATAATAGTTACTTATATGTTTTGTATTCGAATGGGTCTGCTACTCTCCCATTCTCCCACCTACCTTATCCCACAAAAGAATAGTCCATAGAGAGGTATTATGTATATGTGGGATATTTTTTCTCTTTTAATTTTTATCTTGTCTTCTAAATAAAAGGCATAAAGATTTATGTAAAATGGTAAGTGTAAACAGAATATAAAGTCTGCTCAACTGTAAGTATCAGAAGCTTCAGGATATTATTTTTCTAATTTTGAAGTTCAGAAATGTAGCAACAAAACCTCACTTGCAAGAACAGATGATCAAGTTTCAACAGATCATAGATCAGATCAAGTGAGAAAAACAAGATGACAACGATATCTCTATTTCCTATTCTAGAGAAATAAAGCTGAGATTTGGTCCTTAAAATCATGAAACTAAATTACAAAAATCCATCTTCTCCTTTCTTCTGGTTTATTTCTCACAGGAGGAAAAAAAAAAGCCCTCATGTGGGAGGAATTTCTAGTGCAGGATCTGGAACCCTAGCAAGTTCTGATAGTTTCATGTGACATGATAGCATGTCACATCGTCAGGCACTCAGTGTGTTCTCGGCTTATTCACTTAGAAACCGGAATCTGTACCAATCAAGATGTATTTCCAGCTAACCTAGGGGTCATCTTGAGTCGTTGACTGCCTGCAGCAAGAATGACAAAGCCATTTTCTAGTATTTTACAATTATAATGTTAGACAACGTCATTTTTAAGGCAAGAACTAAATTGGAAAACTTAGCAATACACTAGAAAAAGAATGAGTTAAGAAAAAACAGAAATATGCCCTATTAGGGTTAAGAAAACTGGCTCATATTATCCTGAACAAGATAAAGCTAATGGAAAAGTGTAAATTAGTCCAGTTAACCCTATGCTCTAGGCAAAAACAAAACAAAAACCTCTGTAAAGAGAAAACTCAGAATATATTTCTCAATATCCATTTGGCTCATAATGAATTTTTTCTCTTTTTATAGTAAACCAAGGAATTGTTCTAACTCAGTGAAAACTCAAAAAATAAGCTAAGAGAACAATCACACATACAAAATATTTGAATGTTAAATACATGGAGAAGATGTTTGACTTCATTTAAAG
Organism: Homo sapiens; assembly: GCF_000001405.40. Lineage (NCBI taxonomy): Eukaryota > Metazoa > Chordata > Mammalia > Primates > Hominidae > Homo > Homo sapiens. The sequence goes on along the minus strand of NC_000004.12, from coordinate 143,855,733 downwards.
TGAGTCAAAACCTTCTTGAGAGGCAGATAACAATATGTCTTAAGACCCACTAGACTCAGTAATTCCAGTTTTGAAATTTAAGAATGTGCCCCAAGATTTAGCAAAAATTAGACGCTACCACAGTGTCCAAATAAATAAATAAATAAATAGGAACTTATTGAGTTCTGAAATATCCATAAAATGAAACACTCTGAAACATTAAAAAATGATGTGAGAGAAGTTTATTTATTGTAAAAGAAAGATATTCAAGATTAAAGTAGAAATTTGACACAGCTATTTTATGTGTCATTTTTGGGTATGGCCATTTTTTCCCAGCTTAACTGAGGGAAAATTGAAACACAAAACTGTATTTAAGGTGTACAGCAAGGGTGTCCAATCTTTTGGCTTCCCTGGGCCACATAGGAAGAATTGTTTTGGATCACACATAAAATACACTAACACTACTGAGAGCTGATGAGCTTAAAACAAAAACTGCAAAATAATCTCATAATGTTTAAAGAAAGTTTACAAACTTTCTTTGAATGTGTTGAGCCACATTCAAAGCCTTCCTGGGCTTCATGCAGCTCATGGGCCGTGGGTTAGACAAGTTTTGTGTACAATGGGATGCTGTACCCCAGTACTGCCATTTCCCTAAGAGGAAGAGAATGAGTTATTTTTTGAATTTTTTTTCTTTTTTTCTCTTTCCTCCTCTGCCCGTGTTCTCCACTTCCTACTTAACTCTTTAGAAATGCAATTAGAACCTCTACCTTGCCTTCACCAGACACTCACTACAGAACAAGTTCACCTAACTGTGTGCATACCTAGAAGCCCCAGAGCCGGAAATCTCTCCCACCAGAAGATTGCCTCTAGAGACAAGAGTCAATTTACAACCTAAAGTTTGCCCACAGGAAACTCTCTCCCATCTGGAGAGTATCTCCAGACCACAGCCACCTTACAATCTAGCACTAGCTCAACCACTGGGTAGATAAGGCAACAAAGCAAGTCGCCTAGACCCCCAACTGCTCCTTCCCTGCCTGCCATTCACGCCAAGTTCCCCTTTAAAAGCTCTGGCTTTCTGCCCCAAAAGTGAAGCAGTGCCTTTAAAGGCAAGAGCCTGGACTTCTTTCCACAAGCTAAGCTTTGGATTAAAAAGTCACTTTCTTTATATCAGACCTCACTCTTGTAAACTGGACTCGGCAAGCATCGAGTGACTGAATCTGCAATTGAGTTACAATGCTTTGATATATGTAAATATTCTGAAGTGATATCAAGTTAGTCAACACCTCCATCACTTCACATAGTTACCTGGGTGTGTAGTGAGAACTTTTAAGGCCTGCTCTTTTAGCAGATTTCAAGGATACAATACAGAGAGTTCTCTACTTAAAATTTTTCAATTTTAAGATTGTGTAAAAGTCAGTCAGTAGAAACTGCATTTTAAGTACTCATATAACCATTCTGTTTTTCACTTTCAGTACAGTATTCAATAAATTACATGAGATATTCAGCACTTTATTACTAAATAGGCTTTGTGTTAGGTGATTTTGCCCAAGTACACCAATATAAGCGTTCTGAGCTTATTTAAAGTAGGCTAGGCTAACCTATGATATTCTGTAGCCTAGGTGTATTAAATACATTTGTAAGTTACAACAAGCTTGTCAAAACCATGGCCCATGGGCAACATGCAGCCCAGTATGACTTTGAATGAGGTCCAACACAAATTTGTAAATTTTCTTAAAACATTATGAGATTTTTTTGTCATTTTTTTTTTTAGCTCATCAGCTTTCATTAGTGCTAGTGTATTTTATGTGTGACCCAAGACAATCCTTCCAGCATGGCTCAGGGAAGCCAAAAGATGGGACATCACTGAGTTACAATATTTTCAGCTTACGTTGAGTCTGTTGGAACATAACTCCATTGTAAGTCAAGGAACATCTGTACAGTATTATTAACTATTGTCATCATGCTGCATATTAGATTCCCAGAACTTACTCATCTTGTAAGTGAAAGTTTGTACTCTTTGAACAACATGATTTGGGTGATATTACATGGCCCTAAAGAAATAATTTTAATTTCATCTTTGTAAAAAATCAGTCATATATATGACCAAAATTTTACCTCATCCCTGGCATTCACCCCTCCAGCCTATAGAGTAAGCAAGGTGGTGGGCAGAAGTAAGTCCAGACAATACAGTAAGGGAGTCTGCAATATAAAGCTAGAATGACAAAGTACATGAGGTTTTAAATGCACACAGCATCAAAATAGGTGTGTGTATACTCATTCAATTTATTAAGAAAGAAAAAATCAAATAGCTAAAAAACATATTTCGCATTAAAACTGCAAATTTGTACAAATGGTGAAACCTTTATCTCTGCATACCAGTCACACAGAAATAAGAGAATGAAGCCAGTATCACCCTAATCCCCAAACCAGGAAAGGACATAACAAAAAAAGAAAACTACAGACCAATATCCCCAATGAACATACATGCAAAAATCCTCAACAAAGTATTTGCTAATCAAATACAGCAGCACATCAAAAAATACACCACGATCAAGCGGGTTTCACCCCAGGGATGCAGGGATGGTCTAATGTATGCAAATCAATAAATGTGATACACTACATAACCAGAATTAAAAACAAAACCATGTGATCATCTCAATAGATGTAGAAAAAGCATTCGATAAAATTTAGCATCGCTTTATGATAAAAACCTCAACAAACTAGGTATAGAAGGTACTTACCTCCAGTTAATAAAAGCTATATATGACAAACCCACAGGCAACATCATACTAAATGGGGAAAAGTTGAAAGCGTTTCCCCTGAGAACTGAAACAAGACCAGGAAGCCCACTTTCACCCCTTCTATTCAACACAGGACTGGAAGTTCTGGCCAGAGCCATCAGTCCAGAGAAATAAATAAGGGGCATCCAAATCAGAAAAGAAGAATTACAACCTCTATGGAAAACAGTACGGAGATTTCTTAAAAACTAAAAGTAGATCTATCCTTCAATCCAGCAATTCTACTACTGGGCATCTACCCAAAGGAAAAGATACCACCTTACTCTTTGCAAGAATTGCCATAATTAAAAAGCCAGAAAACAATAGATGTTGACCTGGATCTGGTGAAAGTGGAATGTTTATACACTGCTGGTGGGAATGTAAATTAGTACAACAGAAAACAATAGATGTTGACCTGGATCTGGTGAAAGTGGAATGTTTATACACTGCTGGTGGGAATGTAAATTAGTACAACATCTATGGAAAACGGTATGGAGATTCCTTAAAGAACTGAAAGTAGATCTAACCATTTGATCCAGAAATCCCACTACTGGGTATCTTCCCAAAGGAAAAGAAATCATGATATGAAAAAGACACATGAACACATATGTCTATTGCAACCCAATTCACAATTGCAAAGATATAGAACCAATCTAAGTGTCCATCAATCAATGAGTGGATAAAGAAAATGTAGTATATACACACCATGGAATACTACTCAGCCGTAAAAGGAATGAAATAATGCCTTCTGCAGTAACTTGGATGGAGCTGGAGGCCATTATTCTAGGTGAAGTAACTCATGAATGAAAAACCAAACACTGTATGTTCTCACTTATAAGTGGAAGCAAAGCTATAAGTACACAAAGGCAAATAGAGTGATATAATGGACTTTGGAGACTCAGAAGGGGGAGGGTGGAAGAGGGGGGAGGGTAGAAGAGGGGTGAGGGACAAAAAACTACATATTGGGTACAATGTACACAACTCGGGTGAGGAGTGCACTAAAATTTCAGAATTCGCCACTATGTATTTCATCCATGTAACCAAAAACCACTTGTACCCCAAAAGCTATCGAAATAAGAAAAAAATAAAAACAAAAAAATACAAAATGTATTAATAAGCGCATAATTCTCTAACACAAAAGAGTGAAAGTTCTGTACACCACTAGCAGAGGTGTCCTAAAAGAAACAGGCAACTAGGATATATAGCAGTATTTGGGTGTGTGAGAGTCAAAATATCCTCATCCATAAAAGAACACAATGAATTTGAAACAAGTTACATAACTGGTTTTATATGAAGTTCTAAGTTGTCATATATAACATATGTTACATGATTATACATATAATACTAAATTGTCAATATAAATTACCAGAATTGGCCCAAGAAAAAGTGGACAAAAATGAAAAGCCTAATTATGAAAAAAGAAATTGTTAAAGGCTAACTACCAAAACTTTATAACAAACATCATACTTAACAGATAAACTGTAGACATATTTTTAAGACTAAGAAAAAATAATATTAGCTATGACATACGTACAATTCCTACTTAGAAGGATAAAGTCAAGACAAAGAAATAAAAATTTTAAATTATTAATATTATTTTTGATTGACAAATTGCAATTATATACATTTATGGGATACAATGTGATGTTTTGCTACATGAATACAATGTGGAATGATTAAACCAAACTAACATATTCAACCCCTTGATTACCCATTATTTTTTATGGTGAGATATTTCAAATTTGTTCTTAGTTATTTTGAGACATAAATACATTATTATTGGCTATAGTCACCCTGCTATTCAATAGATCTCAAAAACCTGTTCTTCCTCTTTATGTGAAACTTTGTACCCTTTGATCAACAGCTCCCCATTCCCTCCCTCCCCCACACCCTACCCTCTGGAGACAACCATCCTACCTCCTACTTGAAGTAAAACATACATATGAAGTATTCCATTAAAATAAGAAATACACAAAACTGCAGCAAAATCAAAGGCAACTTCTATTAGCATTTAATTGGGGCCTTCAAGTAAGGTATAAAGTGTCAGATAGGTTGCTAACTAGTGAGCATTATGAGTACAGCACCTGAGCACCCAACATATTTTTAGGACATGTTCTAATTTGTATAAGACAAGAATATTTTATTTTTAAAACTACAGTAGGAGAGAGCTTGAGAGCCCATCTTTTTGGCAATGTCAATATGATGCCTCTACTTCTGATCAGAGGCCATCTATTCTGAAAAACACCATCTGTCTTCTTCCTACTCGTCTTGTCCCCCAGCCTGACCTTTCCAAGCTGCCTCATCTTCCCATCCCCTCCCTTAAGCACCCAATTTCAGGTGAAGTAAGAAAGGAAATATTTTGTTAGAGAGTTAGTGATAAGAAAGCAATTATTTTTCTGCCCCTCTTCCTATCATATAATATAAAATTATATATAGGTATCTAATATATATTCTAAAAAGCATTTCACAAAGCAACAGAACATCAAACCACAGAATTTTATAAAGCAAGGTCGTTTTCTGTTTTCAAAACTATGTAGAGTGACATTTGCCAATTTGTGGAAGCCCCTCTCCACCTTGAGCCAGAGTCCTCTCCCCATTTCCACCTTTGCCTCTGCCAAAATTGAAGAGGGCACCTGAGACACTAGACAGATCTCAATCATCCTAAGTTCCACAAAGTCTTGTCCAAATCTAACATTGGTTTGCCCTTTCTAGAATTTGCTTTTTGGTTTTATTTGGAATAATATTGATTTATCACATGAATTATTGTCTCCTCTTTTCTCAAGTGAAGAAAAAGGGCCCTAATCATATTTTTACCTAAGTACTAGTTTAAGATGAAATGAAGAATCAATACACCAAGGATTTCTTAGCAGGGGTAAGCTTAGGGTAGGGAGCTTGTACAGAAATTAGAGAGTATGTAATCGCGTTTTGACACACGCTCATGAATCCAGAATCAATACATTGAAATAAAGCCAGATCATTAGTTTCCTTTGTAAACTTAGACTTAACTAAATGATTTGGATGAAATTCAATACACAGTTTTGGTTCTGAAAACACATGATGTAAACACTATTTCACTTAGCAACAGAACATCAAACCAGATAATTATACAAAGTAAAGCCTTTTCTTGTGTTCAGAAAGTCTTTGCATTAGTCTCAACATTTCCTACATTCCCACAAAGAAACGAAAATTTGGAAATGGCATAAAACTATTTAGTATTAATTGAAATCAAGCTCCATTTTGTGAGCACTTGAAAATTAAGTGTGTAGCTATTTGGGAAGATGAGTTGCATTTATGTTGATGTTTATGTTATGTAGACCACATGATGAGTTTTGACTAATGACCCAATATGTTGTTCCTTGTCAATTTACTTAACCTATTTACACCTTTTTCCTGGCCAAAACTTCTCATATATATAATAACTCCTGTTTACTCAACTGACTGTGGAGCCGACTTGATTATAGATTTGGCAGGCAACCAGCCCTTCTCGCCTTCCCTGAGATCACCTTATACTTCCTCCAATGAGAGTTGAAACAACTTCTTTCCTAGGAACTGGAAGTTAAAAGCATATCAGAATTACATAACTAGCAAGAAAATGTTTCACCATGTAAAGTCATACTTCCAGTTTACAGAACCCTCCCCCTTTGAGCCAGAATCCTCTCCTATTTTTACCTTCTCCCCCTTCCAGAATTGCAGAGGATATTTGAGATATAAGAAAGTGGCCATGACCCACAATGAGCACTCAGATCTACATGGGGACTCTGGCTAAGCCAGTCATCCAAGATCGTTCTAGTTATTATTATTCTTTTAGAATAGCTCTGACTTGATTAAATATATTTTATAATGCTTAAAAGAAAATTTGATGCCATTTTTGGAATGTTTCTGGGTAACTTGGTCACTGGCTATAATTTTATCATTGATTATAAGTAACTATAATTACTAGGAATTGGAGAACTGAATGATATATGGTAAAGCACTGGACTGGCAAATTTGGGTTCTCATACCATCCCTCCAAGATATTTGCTCGGTTTCCTTAGTTAATTATGTTAACCTCTCTGTACCTCAGTACACTCATTGGTAAATAAGGGACGATGTTAACTCTCCCACCTACTATATGGTTCTTGTGAGGGTCAAATGACAGACTCCAAAGTAATTTGAAATCCACAAAGCACTTTGCAAATTCAACAAGTTACTTTGTATACCCTTAGAGATATAACTTATCAAAAATTTTAAGCCAACAATAATTAAAGAAAAAACTTTGCTACTGAGAAGCAGCTACAAATTTCTAGTTTACCATCCTTACAGTTTATGATTTAAATATGTTTTTATATGTGGATTGGATATGTAAAAGGAAAAGTTGTTTCTACATCAATCATATCTTTCCTTGGGTTAAAAGCATCACAAACCATTTAAATAACTTCACATTTATCTTTGTCTCCTCTTTCTCCCACAGGCTCTATATCCAGCCAATCAAATCAGTGAGTTCTCTTGAGATGTCACTTCATCTGTCTCCCCTCCCTCACACCTACTGGTACTCTCCACATAGTCAGGCCTATTTTAGCTATAAGTGGCTTAGGGAGAAAAAAAATAATTTACTTACAAATTTTTAAATTTCAGAAGTAACTTATAGCTTCAGGCATGTTTGGATTTAGGAGTTTTAAACAATATTGTCCTGACTCTGTTGTCTCCATCAAAGGGTTCTGCTTCCCCGGCTTTCTCTCACAGGTCCTGCACGTACAAAGGCAAAAAAGGCCATTAGCAGCTCTGGCCTTAAATCTACCAGCTGAGAAACCTCAGTGGAAACAATATCACTTTCCCACTAACTTTTGTAGAAGTCCAGTGCTGACATTCTTTGGGCTGACTAGGGTCCCATATCTTTCCCGGACTCAAGCCCTCCGATAGGAGAGATGGAACATAGTCATGGGCCAGCCTGAGTAGCATGCCTGCCACACCTACCCACCCACCTCCCATTCTTAGACCCCAGAAACTGGGTTTATCCCACCGAAAAACACAAGGACTGACAGTGGCTTTCCACTTCTCAGAAGTGGCTTTCCAAATAATAATAATAAATAATATTAGGAAGAAGGAGAAATAGAGGCTGATCAAGCAAGGCATCTGTCCATTATACCCTCCTTCCTAGGTCCTCATAATCTACTATCTCCCTCCAGATTTAATAAAATTGACCTAAGAGTAAGTAGAAGAAACTACATGTACATGTAAGAGGTATGCAAGAGGGGGCTATTTAACCGATTAACAGTAAGAAAAGAAAAGTAAAATTTAAAAAGAAAAAAAACATTTGTTTGAAGGCATGGGAGAGCTTCCAAAGTGATAAGAATCTGAGGTGTCAAGATCCCAGAGAGAAGAGAAATGTAGAAAGGTGAGACAAATTCTGAATGTCACTTACCCTTAATGGCATTTGCCAATTCTAAATATAGGCTGGAATATTAATAATCCTCAGCCCCTGCTAAAAGGCAGATAATCTAAGAGAGCTCTTGATAATTCATAAGTCGAGGTGGACAAAAAATTATAGGTTGATGCTGTGAAGGCAGCCAGGATTTATGAGTACAAGCCTGGAGAGAAGAGAGGTGTGAAAAAGTAAGCATAATACTAAGGTCATTTTCCTATAAAAGCATTTTCTGAAGTAAGCTGATTAGAGTGAGAGGCTAGGAAGCCAAGCATACAGCCGTTGAAAATCAAATCAGAGTTTTTAAACATCTTTTAGTGCTGAGAAGACAAAACTGGAGGCCATGACTCACTAAGGGAGAGGAGCAACAGAGAACACTTCATACTCTCATTCGAGACCTTTAGGGGCTATAGCACTCCAGGAAACCAATCTTAAGAAGACTGAAACCCAGCATTTGGTCTTCTCATTTACTTGATTAAAGTGATTTGCCTCCACTATAGCTTCCAACCAGAGGACAGGGCAAACTCTCTCAGGAAAGCTATAACACAATCCACATCATCCCTGGTTTTTTATATTCAGTATCTGGCATTCAACAAAAATCTACCAGATATACAAAATATAGCAATAACACAACAAATAGGAACAACATAAAAAGATCGACAACGGGAAAAGACTCACAGATGATGCAGATATTGTCATTAGCAACACAGAATTAAAATAAGTGCTTAAAATATTTAGGAAATAGAGGGTAAGATGGGGAGTTTCATCAAAGGAATAGACTTAATAATCATATAGAAATTTGAGAACTGCAAAATAAAGTAACAAAAATTAAGAATTTGATATATGGATTTAATAGCAGTTTGGATGTAGCAGAATAAAGAGTTAATGGACTACAACACCAACTGGAAATCTAGGCAGATGTAAACAGATTTTAAAATATGTTTTGTGGCCAGGCACAGGGACTCACGTCTGTAATCCCAGCACTTTGGGAGGCTAAGGTAGGAGGATTGCTTGAGCCCGGGAGTTCAAGACAAGCCCAGGCGACAAAGCAAGACCCATTTCTTAACTAAATAATTAGCTGGGTGTGATGGGATGTACCTGTAGTCCCAGCTACTCAGAGGGCTGAGGTGGGAAGATCGCTTGAGCTCAGGAGTTCTAGATTGCAGTGAGCCGTGGTTGTGCCACTGCACTCCAGACTAGGCAACAGAGTAAGACCCTGTTTCTAAAACACAAAAAAATGGGGTTTTTAAAATTATAATTAAAAGTCAATAATATTCTTTCTTTATTGGTGGAAGAAAGGAAAAGTCCAAATGAGTTTTATTCAAACAAAAAAAAAATGGGACAAAAAAGAAAGATGATATGAGTGGAAGAAATATTCCTCTAAGCAAGGACCCATTACCTGGGTCCAGACTGGGGATGGAAAGGTTCCCTACATAACTGTGTTTTCTTTGCAGAATATATATTTTTCTGTATGTCGTATTCTTCTATAAGCTGGAAAACAAAAGTAAAATTGATACTTAGATCATACTAAAGCTAATAATTAGGAAAGCTTATGACAATTAAAGGATTCTGTTATGCTTTGAATGGTTGTCCCCTCCAAAACTCATGTTGAAACTTAATCTCCAATGTGGCAGTATTGAGAAATAGGGCCTTTAAGAAGTGATTGGGTCCTAACAGCTCTACCCTCATGAACGTATGAATCTATTAATGGATTAATGGGTTCTCATGGGAGTGAGACTTGTGGCTTTATAAGAAGAGAAAGAGAGACTTAAGCTACCACACTCAGCCACCTCACCATGTGATGCCCTGTACCACCTCAGGACTCTGCAGAGTCCCCACCAGCAAGAAGGCCCTCACCAGATATGGCCCCTCGACCTTGGGTTTCTCAGCCTTCATAACTGTAAGAAATAAATTCCTCTCCTTTATAAATTACCCAGTTTCAGGTATTCTGTTATAAGCTACAGAAAACCGAAAAAGACACACTCTTACTAATGAACCTAAACAGTATAAGCACTGAAAAGACCTTAGTGTTAAAACTCCTGAAAATTAGGAAGGGGATACATACTGAGAACTGGTTTTTATGCATAGTGTAAATATGCAACGTGAACTCAGAATCAGAAGAAAAATGAGAGTTCAATTGTGTAGTCTATTAATTTAGGTTCCCAGCAAACCATACGAAAAGATTTCAATGGCCGGGTGTGGTGGCTTACGCCTGTAATCCCAGCGCTTTGGGAGGCCGAGGTGAGCGAGATCACCTGAGGTCGGGAGTTCAAGACCAGCCTGACCAACATGGAGAAACCCCGTCTCTACTAAAAATACAAAATTAGCTGGGCATGGTGGCACATGCCTTTAATCTCAGCTACTTGGGAGGCTGAGACAGAAGAATTGCTTGAACTGGGGAGGTGGAGGTTGAGGTGAGCCGAGATGGTGCCATTGAACTCCAGCCTGGGCAACAAGAGTGAAACTCCATCTCAAAAAAAAAAAAAAGAAAAAGAAAAAAGAAAAGATTTCAAGTGTAAGCAATTTATTTTTACAGAATTAAGCATTAGGAGAGTACATAAGTGAAACTGGCCAAGGATAAAAGTTGTATTATGAAGCCAGCTACCATTGTGCACTGCCAGTGCCTAATACGTTAGAGCTCTGGAAAATTGTATAAAATATACGCCTACAAATTATTCAACTAGAGGGATAAGAAAGCTGGCATTTTCATAAACCAACTCCTATCATTTATTGTTTGAGGGTTGAATTGAATATGTCAAGTGGAGACAGGGCTAATTCCCTAGAACCTCCAGCCTGGAGTTTGCATGGGCAGACTGGTCCTTTATTTAGTAGAAGGAAACCCTTGGGAAGAGGATACAAATACTGCCAGTTGGAAGTCACTGTCTCCTTGGAGCATGCTGAAATAATGAAGTCCAAAGAATATGGGTGAGGTACTGTCCCATATTAAATACTGGTGAGATAATTTGGCAGGCTGATGGCAGCAATGGCCCAACTCTCAACTTCTTCCTGTATCTATGCCCTTTGCCATGTGACTTTGCATTTCCTCTCACTATAGAGGAGTGTACTTCTTTGCACTTTGATTCTGAGTTTGGCCATCTTACATGCTTTGGCCAACAGGACAAGAGCAGATGCATGCAGAGGCTTGAAAAAATCTTTCACACTAACAGTCTCTTAATCCTCTGACTTTGCTGTGACACATACCTGGACTAACCTACTAACCCTACTAAAGGTAAAACAGAACCAGGTTATCTCAATCATCCCAGATGAGTTATACTAGAGCAGCTAATATGCAACCCATCTCCATGCATGTGAGACCAGAAGAACCAAGTTGCTGGCCCACAGACTCATGCACTAAATAAATTTTTATTGTTTCAAGAGGCATTTTGTGTTGTTTATTATGCAGCATTATTATGGCAATGGGTAATTAGTACCTATAAGGAACGTGCTACCATAGCATAAAACAGACATATGTGGAATTAGCTTTGGATGAGGTAGGTAGCAAACAGAAGCTGGAAAAGTGTCAATGATACTACTAACAAAGCCTGGAAAAATGATGAGGCAACTGTTAGAGCAAATCGAAGAAATGATCACCCATGCTACGTCGGCATGAAACATCTGTTAGAACTGGTCACTTAAGATAACTTGAAGATATAAAATGTACCTTATGAATTTTTGGACTTGATCTCCAGGCAGAATGTTGAAAATATCAGCTGACTCTTACTAGTTGTATATAAAGTACTACAAGAAAGAAACAAATGTCGACAAAAACACACACACAGTTTACAAGGAGAATATGGGGAATTAAGAGATGCTAGAATTTATTAGAATAGAAACTAAAGTTGTTTTTCATCTTTGCTGTCTCATGCCAGATAAATATTTTCACATTAAGACTTGGCCTCAAGGTAAAGATAAAAATCAAGGGTGTGGTCATGAGACTTTGAAAGAATTAAGCCAGTGCCTAGAGATACTCTCAGCTGGAAAGAACTTTCAGAAAATTTGGAATATTGTTCTTCAATAGCCCAGTACCCAAAAGAGCAGTGGTTAAGTGTAAAAGCAGAACTGTAATCAGGCTAGGGAGGCTATTATACTATGGATCAGGATCAGGCACTCTCCTTCTCTCCCTGTTTCTCTTCTTCTCTCTTCCTCTTTCTTTCCCTTCCTCTACCTTTTCCTCCCTCTTCCTTTCCCTTCCTCTACCTTTTCCTCCCTCTTCCTTTCCCTTCCTCTACCTTTTCCTCCCTCTTCCTTTCCCCCTCAGTTTTCCTCCCTCTCAGGTTTATAAACATCCCCAAGGCACGGGCTAGAATCAGACTCAAGTTGGAATCAGAAATTTCACACCTCCTATCCACTTCCACTGCAACCTCTTAAAACCAAATCAAAGATGTATTGGTCGATCAGCTTTGTCATATTGTTAGTTGGAGGCTTCATTTCTGATTCCTTATGTCCTTTCATGTTAATATAACTCAGTATCTAACAGTTAACAAAGCAACAACAGTAAGGGCGTGCTGCCCAGGCAATATGATGCAAGGGAAGGACATTGAAATAGTCAAGACTTTCCAACTTCAGGGGTGGGAGTTGTTCAGAGAGAACCCTGGAACAATGCCCTCTTCAGAAATATATTTGAGAGGCTGAAGAATGGAGGCTGAAAGATTCATTTGTTTATCACTTTTGACCAGAGAAGTTGTCCACATGTGTGTAAACAGCAAACAGCTCCAGGTCTTACAGTTGGCCCTCCACACCATACTATTTTAAAATAATGAGTACTTTCATTTTCCAAGAGTAACACCTGGCTTACAATTACTAGCAACACTGCAGGTCAGAAAAACAGACTGCTTTTCTGAATGCAACTTGAAAAACTCCTTTTTGAGTTCTGTAGCCAGAGGAAACACAGCTAATAAGTTTCAAACACTACAGGCTCCAGAGATCTGTACTTTTTTTCTTTCTTAGTTGGAAGAGCAAATATGAAATAAAAATAAGTATAAAATTCTGCCACGAAGAAAGTTACATTTCTAGCCCACAATTTTTTTTAAATCTTAATAATAATAATGATAATGATAATAATGAAAATCTAAATGTCACATTGATTGGCAAAAGAGAAAAGGCCATGCCTTCCGACTCTAAGTCCAGTGCTCCTTCCACTGCCAGCTCATTTGACTGGATAGATTAGATACTATAAAGATAATTTCTACTCTCAAAGTTTTCAAGCAATTTTTTCAATATATATACTTTTTTACTTTAGAAATGGAGTCTCATTCTGTCACCCAGCCTGGAGTGCAGTGGTATGATCATAATTCACTGTAACCTTGTACTCCTGGGTTCAAGTGATCCTCCCCCTCAGGCTCCCAAGTAGCTAGGAGTACAGACATGTACCACCACACTCAGCTAATTTTTTAATTTTTTGTAGAGATGGGGTCTTGCTATGTTGCCCAGCTTTGTCTCAAACTTCTGGCTACAAGCAATACTCCCATCTTGGCTCCCAAAGCACTGGGATTACAGGCAGAGCCTATAATCTCTATGTAATCTCTTCTGGCCTCAATATTGAGATCCTGTAAATTGTTATTTGGGGGTGAAAAAAAAGCATGTTACAAATAGTATGTCATATGATCACATATTCAGAACACTCTTTTAAAAGTCTAACATAATTGACAATTGAACTAATTATATTCATATTAAGCTGAAGACAATTCATCAATTAATTTATCAAAAGCAAGACCTAAATGGAAGGGACAGCTACTATTCCATGATTCTCTGAAGAATACAGATGAAGGAAAACTACTGCTTTTTCACCAAATGTCAGTCAGACTAGTCATTAAAAGAGGCTTCTGGGGAGGAGTCATCAAATAATATCCCAAAATTGAATGAGTGAGAATACAGTCTGACAAATTATTATTGAAAATATTATAAACTACGTCTGTAAGGTAGTCTTATAAGGAACTGAGAAATTCCACAATGCTTGGAATAAACACACTTGGAAAAAACTCCCAATGTACAGGTAAACCCATATCTAAATCATGCTAGTAAGAAGTGTTGTTTATTAATTTGGGGCAGAAATAATGTTCAAAAACTTTAACCCCTTTGACCACATGGTACCAATCAATCAGAATGAATACTTGGTAACGCAATGTAACAGTGAAAGCCAGTTAAATATCAACCATGGTTTTAGGTAGCAGTAGTAAACTGAGTTAAGCAATAACCATATTCTACTTGACCCCCACTAAACCCTTAAAATAAGTGCTTAAAAGGGTGAAAGTATATAATCCACAACTGATCATATTGAGAGATGTTCCAGTGTTGAAGCTATAAACCCATAGAGCATTTCTGGTCCGAGGGCTAGTTTGGTTTGGCCTGCACGGTATTTGTTTAATATCAATTAATTGACAATATTTTGTAAACAGTAGACTTCATATAAAATATTTTTACTTCTCTTGAAATATCAGAAGTTCCATGAATAATGGCCCACAACTCCTCATGACAACAAAATAGTTAGCAGCGTTTTTTCTCATTTTTGTTTTTGTTTTTTCAGAAAGAGCATGCTCCCTGTGTTGATGCAGTCGCCCCCCTCCCGGGCTTTGTTCTACACATGGATGTAACCTGCCACACACTGGAAGACACTAAGTTTGGAACCCATGTAATGTTCAACTAGTCAAACAAGGGAAAATAGCATCAACCTTACCATTAATTTAAGTCACCTTTTGCAAAAGCTCCTCTACCCCATATGTTTTTTAACCGACTAATGGAACTGTCAGCAAAAGTAGGAAACAGCATCACAGGTAAATAAGTGACTTGGAAAGGAATATAAATACTATGTACAGGCTGTCTATAAAAACCAGGGTAGAGAATATTTTATTACACTAGTAGAATAGTGTTTGCTGTGTCATTTCCTTACAATTTATCACAATGCTCCTACACACAGTCATTCCTCTAAACAAAGTGCCCCTGAATTACAGTAGAAATTGGATTTCAGATTAAAAGTTTCTTATCTCCTAACAATTCAGACTTTTAAATTTTGCTAACTAAGACTTTAGCTCAGCTGTAGTTGACCGAAGAACTGGAAACTCAGTTATTAGTTTGCTGTAAATCTTTTTTTTTGCCTCAGAAACACACTTTTGGGGGACATTAGAAAGATGACTGATTAGAGACACCTGGTGCTCATCCTCCCCACAAGAAAGAAGCAAGGCAACAAATAAACAGATGAGATTTGGATGGTGTGTCAAAGGAAGAACTCTGGGGTGCAGAGAGGTAGTGGAGATGCACCTGTGGTGATTGAAAGTCCGGGAGGACAGCATGGAGACACTCAGCCTCTGCGGTCCCATCTTCCCCACCTGGATCATATCCAGCCAGAATCAGGAGGGACTTCCTGTTGCAGGGGAAAGGTAAGGAGAAGAACCGCACCAGCCCCCATTGCGACCACAAGCACTTACAGTCCTTATAAGAGAATTTCACAGTCCTTGCAAGCCCGGAGCCCAGTTTGGAGAGATACCCAGAATTCTCACAGCTGCATTGCGCTGGATTAGGAGTACAAAGTGTGCACTCCTTATTCCCCACCCATGCCCTGTGAGCCAAGCTGCTGCAGCGTGGCACTATCTCAAGACTAGAGATGACTCTGTAGTATGCCTTGCTCTGGGGTCAGCAGCCACTGCACTGGGACTCCATCTTCATTCCACTAAGCTCACATTGGTTACTGACTGCCACAAACCCAGCAGTGCGAATTCTAGGCCCAGGGATAGCCGTAACTTTGGTCTTGCACAGCAAGGAAGGCAACTCCTACTGTCCTCACTTAGAACCAGAGGAACAGTCCTGCCCAGGGTGAACTCACCCTCGAGCCAGCCAAACTGGTGAATGCCCTTCCCCAAGCGGGAGAAGCCCTCATATCTCCAAGCAGCCAACATGCTTCTGGGTTGAAGGAGCAGCTATGTGCCCACACCCAGGTCCTGAGAAACAGCCGCACAGTGCCCCACCCACTACAGACAAGCCCCAGTCCCGCCCAACAGCTTTGTATCCACAATTAGAGCCTGCGAAACAGACCTGTGTGCTGCCCCTGACAGACATGCTCCTTGGCTATCTGAACAGCTCTGCGCTCACATGCCAGGACTGAGAAATAGTCTGCAGGCCACCCCTGGTGGGAAAGCCCTCGAGTCAGCCAATTATCCCTGTGCCCATATCCCAGGCTGAGAAGCAGCCCTCCAAGCAGTATCTTGTGGGCAGATACTTCCAAAAGGAAGCAAAAGACCTCTACAATGAAAACTACAAAACACTTATGAAAGAAATTGAGGAGGATACAAACAAGTGAGAAAATATCTCATGCACATGGATTAGAAGAATCAATATTGGTAAAATGGCCATACATGTTCAGTGCAATCCCCATCAAAATACCAAGGACATTCTTCGCAAAAATAGGGAAAAAAAAATCCTAAAATTTGTATGGAACCACAGAAGGCCTTGAATAGCCAAAGTAATCCTAAACAAAGAGAACAAAGCTGAAGACATCACACTACCAGACTTCAAAATATACTACAATGCTGTAGTCACCCAAACCGCATGATACTGGCATAAAAACAGACACAGAGGCCAGTGGAACAGAATAGAGAACCTATAAATTAATTCACATATCTATAGCCAACTGACTTTTGACAAAGGCCTCAAGAACATCTACTGAGGAAAGGACAATCTTTTCAATAAATGGGGCTGTAAAAACTGAATATCTATATGCAGAAGAATGGAACTAGACTCTCACCTCTTACCCTTTATAAAAATCTAATTATAATGGTTTAAAGACCTAAAACTCAGATATGGAACTAGAAGAAAACATAAGGGAAACACTTCCAGACATTGGTCTTAGAAAACATTTTATGAATAAGACTTCAAAAGGAGTCAAGAAAAGAAAAAATAAATAAATAACATCATATCAAACTAAAACGCTTCTGCACAGCAAAGAAAACAACAGTGAAAAGACAACCTACAGAATGGTAGAAAATACTTGCAAACCATTCATCTGACAGAGGATTTATATGCACAATATACAAGGAATTCATGCATCTTAGCAACATAAAAACAATCTGATTTTAAAATGGGTAAATGATCTGAACAGACCTTCCTCAAAAGAAGGCACACAAATGGACAACAAATATATGAAAAAATGCTCAACATTACTAATCATCAAAGAAATGCAAATCAAAACCACAATGAGGTATCATCTTGCCCCTGTTAGAATGGCTATCATCAAAAAGACAAAAAATAGCAAATGCTGGTGAGGATGCAGAGAAAAGGGAACTGTTATACACTTGGTGGGAATGTAAACTAGTACAGCCACTATGGAGAACATTAAGGAGGTTCCTTAAAAAACTACAACTAGGACTACACATGATCCAGGAATCCCACTACCAGGTATTGACCCAAAGGAAAAGAGATCAGTACGTTGAAAAGACATCCACAACCTCAAGTTTATTGGAGCACTATTTACAATAGCCAAGATATGGAATCAGTCTAAGTGTCCATCAAGAGAAGGATGGATAAAGAAATGTAGTATAGATACACAATGGAATACCATTCAGCCATTAAAAAAAATGAAATCCTAGGCTGGGTGTGGTGGCTCACACCTGTAATCCCAGCACTTTGGGAGGCCAAGGTGGGTGGATCACCTGAGGTCAGGAGTTCAAGACCAGCCTGGGCAACATGGTGGAACCGTCTCCACTAAAAATACAAAAATTAGCCAGGTTTTGTGGTGCGCACCAATAATCCCCGCTATTCGGGAGGCTGAGGCAGGAGAATTGCTTGAACCCAGGAGGTGGGGGTTACAGTGAGCCAAGATTGTGCCACAGCACTCCAGCCTGGGTCACAAAGTGAGACTCTGTCTCAAAAAACAAAAAACACACACAAAAAACAATGAAATCCTGTCATTCATGCCAATGTGGATGAAATCAGAGGACACCCTGTTACACAAAATAAACCAGGAGCAGAAAGTTAAATACCAAATGCTCCCACTCGTATGTAGAAGCTAACAAAAAGTTGATTTCATGGAAGTAAAACAGAAAATACTTGAGGCTATGAAGGGTTGGGGGAAAAATGACATTGGGAGAGATTTGTTAAAGGATACAATGTTACAACACAATAGGAGAAATAAGTTCTAGTATTCTATACCACAGTATGATGACCAGAGTTAACAATAACATAATATATAGTTTCAAATAGCCAGAAGGATATTGAATGTTCTCAAAAAAAGAAATGATAAACGTTTGAGATGATGGACAGGCTAACTACCTTGACCTGATCACTATGCATTACATGTATGGCAACATCGCTACGTACTCCATAGATATCTACAATTATTATGTGTCAATTTAAAAAAATTAATAACAATAATAATAAATGGATTCATACCAGAAAAAAACAAACCGGAACAAAAGAAAAACATTTGTAAAATCTTCATACTATAATTCATTGTCACTAGACAATGAGCATATAAAGCATTGCCAACTGCAAGTGCTTATTAAGTTGATTAATATTGATCAAAGAAGTACAGAAGAGGTATGCAAAGCCCAGCCAATACCTAGTCATGTCAAATAAAATTCATTTTCTTTTTCCAATAGAATCACTAGATTAGTAGATCAGGGGAACACGGCCACATACTGCATCTATGAATAATAGATCCTGGCATAAGCTTTCTTATCATATTCTTGTAGAGCAGATGGAGGAATACAGGCTAAATGAAATCACGGTTTGAAAGATTTTATCTTTATCTTAAAACTGGCTCTTTCTTCAGGATTTTCTTTCTTAGTTCATGGCACCGTCTTTCATAGCCCAATATCTAAGCTAGAAACTTTGGTGTCATTCTGATTCCTCTTTCTCCATCACCAGCCACATTCAATCCTCTACTATTTCTAAAATCCAGTCTCTTTTCTCCATGCCCATTGTTCCTGCTCTGATCCAAGTCCTCCTACTGAAACAGCTTTTGACTTGTTTTTGGCCTCCAAAATATCCTCTTTTACTCCATCCCCATAAGTCCACAAAGATTATTTAAAATAAAAGTCTCTCAATGGCACTACTCTGCAAAAAACCCATCAATGGTTCCTCATCCACAGTCCTTCCTGATCTTAGGTTGTCATCATAAAATTCAAGATCTAGCATGTAGGCACTGGAGGTGCCATTTTGTTCCACACCAACATCTGGGCAAACGACAAATAAACCAGAATTGCAAAGAACCATATAACCCTTTCATATAAATCTGGAGACATTCTGTGTGAAAGTTAAAAGTCTCAGATGCATAGAGCAATCTGGAATTAATGGTAGGACTGTAGTTAGATTTGCTCTGCAAGGACCCAAGAAATGGAGCTAGCATACATATATGCTAGAGAATCAACTTTTGACTATCACAATTAAAAAAATTTAATACTCAGAATTAAATAAGACTATGCAGAGATGAATTTCCCATCACTAAAGATATTCAAAATAGACTGGATGACTGGGCATGGTGGCTCATGCCTGTAATCCCAAAATTTTGAGAGGCTGAAGTGAGTGGATCACTTGAGGTCAGGAATTCAAGACTAGCCTGGCCAACATGGCGAAACCCCGTCTCTACTAAAAATTAAAAAAAAAGCTGGGCGTGGTGGCAGGCACCTGTAACACCAGCTACTCAGGAGGCTGAGGCAGCCTTGAACCTGGGAGGCAGAGGTTGCAGTGAGCTGAGATCGCACCACTGCACTCCAGCCTGGGAGACAGAGCGAGACTCTATCTCAAAACAAACAAAGAAACAAACAAACGCCATAAACTGGACAATTTGTCTGATCAGAGTACTATAGAAACTGTTCAAGTCTCTAATAATTCAATTATATGAAATCTAAAGTCCTTCCAATCCTCTTACACTATGATTCTGATTAATTTTCTAAAATTAAAAATACTCAATACCACTAATTTTCTTTTTATAAGATTTAATACATCAAAATACTGGTAACTGGTGACTTATTTATAATAACATAATTTCTGTTTCACACCTTTTATCCAACCACATCCACCTCCCAATTACCCAAGCCATCAGTTCTGACTACCTTTTTTTTTTTTTTTTTTTTTTTTTTTTTTTTGAGACGGAGTCTGGCTCTGTCGCCAAGGCTGGAGTGCAGTGGTGCGATCTCGGCTCACTGCAAGCTCCGCCTCCCAGGTTCACGCCATTCTCCTGCCTCAGCCTCCCGAGTAGCTGAGACTACAGGTGCCCGCCACCACGCCCGGCTAACTTTTTGTATTTTTAGTAGAGACGGGGTTTTGCCGTGTTAGCCAGGATGGTCTCGATCTCCTGACCTCGTGATCTGCCCACCTTGGCCTCCCAAAGTGCTGGGATTACAGGCGTAAGCCACCATACCCAGCCAGTTCTGACTATCTTAACTAGAGCAAACAAGGACTCCCTGGCTACAAAAAAAAAAAAAAAAAAAAAAAAAAAAAAACCCTCAATGATACAACCACTGCCCACATCAATTTCTCATATGAGTCAGTGGGCAACCCTGACACTCAGAAAATGCCAATATCAAGGCATTTATCACTCAAAGCCCTTCAAAGATACCCTTTCACCCTAACTACACAATAACATTTTTTAGTAGGTTCTAATTTTAAACTCAAGTCTAAAGTCTCTGGTGAAATAAAGAATGCCTATGCAGATTCGCTTACCTCTACCACCCAGACTTTATGACACCCAGAGCCAGGAGAAAGGAGGAAAACGACATGTGGAAAAAATAAATTCAAAAAGAATACTGCAAAGTAACTTATGTGGTATTAATTCCATTATTTTGAATGATCAGTTTTGTTATTTTTACAGTATGAAACAAGCTTCCAGGACTAGAACTCTCTTCCAGGAATGAATTAGGTAATAAGTCGCTCATATTTCTCCCCAGAGGGAAAAGTGGGAAAAGGAAAATAAACACAACATAAACATGGCAATGGTGGATGGCCATATCATTTTTCTGCTGCTACTCAAGCCTCTTCCTCTTTACAAGTGCAGAGGGACTGAATGAATGTAAAGATTTATCAAACTTTTCAACATTCTGGCCACCACATAGAAAAGATGTTACCAAGCACCATCTTGAAATTCGTAAGTGTGAGGTTGGGAATCTGATTCTTCTCTTGAGGATCCTCCAAGCATCTAAAGGAAGAAGGTCTGTGGCCAAGTCTCTGTCAAGTTGAGGTTTCTGAAGCCCACGGGATGATTACAAGATGATACCCAGACTGCATGCCAAAGATAAACCGCTCTGGTGCTCTCTGTGGTACACATGCTATACCATGCCAGCTTCTGTACTGATATGGCAACTCCATCAGAGGAAAAATTTCAGAAGCAGAAGTGCAGGAGGATGGAGAAATCTGGGAAGCGTGCAGCAAAAGAGCCACTGTAATAGAATGGTGAGCCTTCTAGGGGCTTCACTTCAGAAATTCCTTCTAGGGACTTCACTTCAGAAATTCAGATCTCTAAAGAAGAAAGCCTCTTCCCAGTATATCTGGGGGAGAAATATCAACAAATCACCTTCAATGTCTTTTCTAAAACACCTAGCAATGTGTGAACTCCAATGGAATGTTGACATTAGGTAATATCAGAAAGGAAAGTTCACTAATGGTCACATAGCATGAAGAAATGCAGCCATTAATCTGTTCTCCACTCTGTTAGTTCTCTTAGTCAGTCTCCCTGCAATCTTCAAAGCATAATAACTCTCATTTGCACCACTTCTAAAAGTAGCTAAGTATGTTTTGAAATTGTACGGTTCATTTCATGTTCATTCTAACAGCAATTACAATATTCTGTAGTTAACACAGCGTAAAGATCACTGAAACTCTATAATAATTATGCCAGCCAGTTATAAGTGAATCACTCTGGTAGAAGTCCTGAAATATAATACCACCAAATAACCTTTCTTGGCCACCCACACAAGACAGCTTTCCCTCTCAGAGCAGAAGGTAAGTTAAGTATCTCTCGCAAGCCCTCTGGAAGAGACTGCACATAGCAATCTGAAAGAATGTCTTTTGATTGTATCATTTGTTTTCAATATTGAGAACCTGAAGAAGTTGTAAAATATCAGTCTCCAAACCACATTTTTCCCTGTGTTGGATTATATCTAGGGTCCTGCAGGGATTTCTTTTTGCTAATGAATCATTTTATACAACTATTCTCCTTGCAGCTCAGAGCTGGCTGCTGCGGTGCTTTCAAGTCATCTATGGTTTCATTGTAGGTGTGCTCTTATGATTATTTACAACTGAATGGTATTTAAAATATAATATGTTTTGAATAGAGTTTATACCCACACAGGATTTGAAAATGTTCATTTCTGCCTTGTTCCTCTTGACCGCATTAGGTATCCTGAATAGATGCAGGAGAAGGAAGAGGGAGAAAGCAGTAGAAGCCACAGTTCTTGGGAGCCAAACAAGCCATGGTAGAAAGAGCATCCGGCTTTAACTCTCTGCCAGAGCAAGCTGCCTGACATAATCACTCTTGCTCTCATTTTCTGCCTTACGACTGTATTTCATAGTTTCTGTTCTCTCTAGGAAAACCTGCACACAAAAATTCCACCAAGCTTTGCATAATTTTGATGTCCATGGACTTTCATAAGCTGTAGTTCTGTGCTGACAGGCACCACTAAAAGTTTTCTTTCAGGAACTGCTTCAGTCCCACCAAGGACAGAGACTGCATTTGTTTCATTTTTTACTGTCTTCCACTTCTTATTTAACTGTAGACATGAATATTTCCAAAATTAAATTTCTATTCAATATTCAACATACTTTTTAACTTTAATTTCTACTATTTGTTATTCTATTCAAGTGGAATGGGAATCCAGTGGCCAAAAAATAATAATAAAATAGCATTTAAAAATTTTAAATTAAAAGTCAGAAAAATAAAGTATTAACAATTAACATTGTATTACTTCGTTCTCACACTGCCATGAAGAAATACACAAGTCTAGTAATTTATAAAGAAAAGAAGTTTAATTAACTCACAGTTCTGCATGGCTGGGGAGGCCTCAGGAAACTTATAATCATGGCAGAAGGCATCTCTTCAGAGGGTGGCAAGAGAGAGAATGAGAGTCAGCAGGGGAAATGCCAGACACATAAAACCATCAGATATCATGAGAACTCACTCACCATCATGAGAACAGCATGGGGGAGACTGCCCCCATGATTCAATTACCTCCCACCTAGTCCCTCCTGTGACATGTAGGGATTATGGGAACTATAAATCAAGATGAAATTTGGGTGAGGACAAAGGCAAACCACATCATTACATTCCTGACCCTTCCCAAATTTCATGTCCTCACATTTCAAAACAAAATCATGCCCTTCCAACTGTCCCCAAAGACTTAACTCATTCTAGCATTAACCCAAAAGTCCAAGTCCAAAGGCTCATCTGAGACAAGACCAGTTTCTTCCACCTATGAGCCTGTAAAATCAAAAGTAAGTTAGTTACTTCCTAGATACAATTATAAGCATTGGGTGAATACACCTGTTCCAAATGGGGAAAATGTGGTTAAAACGAAGGGGCTACAGACCCATACAAGTCTGAAATCCAGCAAGGCAGTCATTAAATATTAAAGTTCCAAAATGATTATTTTGATTCCATGTCCCACATCCAGGTCATGCTGTTGCAAGAGGTGGGCTCCCGTGGCCTTGGGAAGCTCCACACCTGTGGCTTTGCAGGGAACATCCCCCAACCTGGCTTCTTTCACAGGCTGGCATTGAGTGTCTGCGATTTTTCCAGGTGCACAGTGGAAGCTGTCGTTGTGGATCTACCATTCTGGGGTCTGGAGGACGGTGGCCCACTTCTTACAGCTCCACTAGGCAGTGCCCCAGTGGGAACTCTATGTGGGGGCACCCACTACATATTTCCCTTCTACACTGCCCTACCAGAGGTTCTCAATGAGGCCTCTGCCCCTGCAGCAAACTTCTGCCTGGACAATCAGGCATTTCCACACATCCTCTGAAATCTAGGCAGAAGTTCCCAAACCCCAGTTCTTGACTTCTGTGCACCCACAGGCTCAACACCATGTGGAAGTTGCCAAGACTTATGGCTTGCACCCTCTGAAGCAATAACCCGAACTGTACCTTGGCGCTTTTAGCCATGGCTGGAGCTAGAGGGGCTGGGATGCAGGGTACAATGACCTGAGGCTGCACAGAGCAGGGGAGCCCTGGGCCCAGACCATGAAACCATTTTTCCCTTCTAGGTCTCTGGGCCTGTGATAGGAGGGGCTGCTGTGAAAGTCTCTGACATGCCCTGGAGACATTTTCCCCATTGTCTTGGTGATTAACATTTGGCTTCTCATTACTTATGCCAATTTCTGTAGCCAGCTTGAATTTCTCTCCAGAAAATGGGTTTTTCTTTTCTATCGCATTGTCAGGCTGCAAATTTTTCAAACTTTTATGCTCTGCTTCCTCTTGAATGCTTTGCCACTTAGAAATTTTTTCTGCCAGATATTCTAAATCATCTCTCTCAAGTTCAAAGATACACAGATCTCAAGCAGAGGCACAGTGCTGCAAGTCTCTTTGCTAAAGCATAACAAAAGTCACCTTTGCTCCAGTTCCCAACGAGTTCCTCATCTCCATCTGAGGCCACCTCAGCCTGGACTTCATTGTCCAAATCACTATCAGCATTTTAGTCAAAGCCATTCAACAAGTCTCTAGGAAGTTCCAAACTTTCCCACATCTTCCTGTCTTCTGAGCCCTCCAATCCCTAGAAATTTCCAAACTTTCTGACATTTTCTTGTCTTCTCCTGAGTCCTCCAAACTGTTCCAACCTCTGCCTGTTACCCAGTTCCAAATTTGCATCCACATTTTGGGGTATCCTTATAGTAGCACCCCACTCCTGGTACCAATTTACTGTATTAGTCTGTTCTCATGCTGCTATGAAGAAATATCCAAGACTGAGTAATTTATTTAAAAAGAGGTTTAACTGACCCACAATTGCATGTGGCTGGGGAGGCCTCAGGAAACTTACAGTCATGGCAGAAGGCACCTCTTCACAGGGCAGCAAGAGAGAGAATGAGAGCCAGCAGGGGTAATGCCAGAGGCTTATAAAACCATCAGCTCTCATGATAACTCACTCACCATCACAAGAACAACACAGGGAAAACCACCCCCATGATTCAATTACCTCCCACTGGGTCCCTCCCATGACACATGGGGATTATCAGAACTATAATTCAAGATGAGATTTGGGTGGGGACACAGCCAAACTATATCAAACATCACGTAATATTTCTTAAGCATCTCTTTGTGCCAGGAATTCTTAAAATGGTGTGTATGGGCAAATGCCTGTATCACTAACAAGAAGTCACAACAGCAACAAAACCAACAAATTGGCCAGAGAGTGAAATGGTGAGAAGTGGTGGTTGCGTGTTCGGTCTCATGCACTGAAATTTTTAAGAACTACACTGGGTCCTCTCTCATCTGCATGGTATATATCTGTCCTGGACAGAGGCCACAGCATTAGAAAGCTGGCTTCTGCATTTTGAGAACTCTGACACAACTGTGACTCAATAACATTTTTCTTTGAGACGAAGTTTCACTCTTATTGCCCAGGCTGGTGTGCAATGGTGTGATCTCGGCTCACTGCAACCTCTGCCTCCTGGGTTCAAGTGATTCTCCTGCCTCAGCCTCCCAAGTAGCTGGGATTACAGGCACCAACCACCACGCTGAGCTAATTTTTTATATTTTAAGTAGATACAGGGTTTCACCATGTTGGCCAGGCTGGTCTCGAACTCCTGATTTTAAGGTGACCCACCCTCCTCAGCCTCCCAAAGTGCTTGGATTACAGATGTGAGCCACTGTGCCCAGCCAACTCAATAACATTTTTAAAATTCAACCTGTTTCTTTTCCTCTCCCCTCCTAAATCAAGCAGGTACTCAATCATGCATTTCTTGCCTCTTGCCTCTTGCTTCTGAGTAGTAACCATAAGGGAAAAAAAAGCAGCACTAAGTTTCCTGGGCTTGGGAATCCTGAATACACCAGTTCCAGAGAAGGAAGATAATGTGGTGTCAACAAAATACTTGTAAGAAACAAGGAGACAACTAAAAGCCCCACCACAAGGATTCTCCAAACCTGCAGGAAATGAGAAGGTGAGTAGCTGCTGTGTGCTTTCTGTGCAGTGCAAACAAGGAAGTGGCAAGATCCCGGGAGGAGAAGTGGCTCTGTGTGCAGCTCAGAAATTGAGACCACGCCATGGCGTCACAAAGCCACCGGAGCTCCAGGGCTGTGCTAAAATACAGAATGAGTGTCTTACTGCTAACCTGTGTGGGTAAGTGACTCAATCACCAGATGCCATGTCCTGAATTTTTAGCACTGGGCAAATTTTTTATGTCATAGTCATGACATAAATTCCAGGGAGATAGCAGAGCTCTTTTAAGGACAGTTTCCTCCCTTTCTGAAGGCACAGGGGCTCAAAGTCCTCCCTTTTTGAAGGCACAGGGGTTCAAAGTAAGGCAGGATGATTTACAGAAACATAAAGAGAGGAGGTTCTTTCTCCCCACCTGTAGTGTTCCCATTGGCCAGGGAAGACCGGGATTCATGTTTTCATTTTAATCGGCACACGAAAGGGTACACCATAGTTCCTGAGTTTTTAAGAACCACTTTTCTCCCCATCTGCAAACTCATTCCAGCAGCTGTTTCTTCCCACCTCAGCAAAGAATGGAGGAAATTCTTTATTTCTTAGCTATTTGATCAGTAAGGTTTTTGTTTTGTTTTTGTTTTTGTTTCGAGACAGAGTCTCGCTCTGTCACCCAGGCTGGAGTACAGTGGCGCAATCTTGGCTCACTGCAACCTTTGTCTCCCTGGTTCAAGCAATTCCCCTGCCTCAGCCTCCTGAGTAGCTGAGATTATAGGCGCACGCCACTACGCCTAATTTTTTGTATTTTTAGTAGAGACGGGGTTTCACCACGTTGGTCAGACTGGTCTCAAACTCCTAACATCAGGCAATCTGCTTGCCTTAGTCTCTCAAAATGCTGGGATTATAGGCATGAACCACTGCGCCTGGCCGATCAATAAGATTTAATAGCTAACGGCACCTATTGTAATTGGGATTTGCAAACACTTAACCTGTTTTAATGTGACCTTTTGGATCCCAGTTCTCTTCTCGGCTGCAGGATCTTGATTCTCTTAGGTTGCAGTTCCTGCTAAACACACAGCAAACTTCCTTATATTCTTCTCTAATTTATACTCTTCACACTCCTACACCACTCACAAATCACAAAGAGAACTACCTCTGCAACCTTGAATGGGTGAGGAAAAATATCTTCCACAGGAGCTTCTTTGTAGACATTTTTGTGCAGCAATCAGATATTAAATCTTGTTTGTGACTCAGCCACCTGAGTGATTGGCTACTCCACAAAGCAAATTCATCTCAGTCTTTTTCCACTGTTTGAGAGCAATGATGGGTCAATACCTACTGCATAGTTTCACAGTATGGATTCGATCGATGTCTCTGTTTTTTCCCTCTCTCTCTTACAAAGGGACCTGAATCTTCCCTTTATCAATATTGAGCAAATGCCGATGGCAAGGAATTTTATTTCAAACAACTGAAAATCCATTTTAGTTTTTTCCCCACTTGCAGATTCAGATCATTGTCTTTTGCATGTGCTGTCCCCTTTGTGATGGCATTTTCTAAACAGAAAGTAATCTACTTGCCTGACACATGGTATGTGTTCAATAAATTTTAATTAATAATAATAGCCCTTGTTGTTGCTATAGTAATAAAAAGTAAAAGTGAGCATAGAGGGGTTGATCCCAGGGCTGGGTCAGGAATGCAGTGCCACCATGTGACCAGAGGACAGGACAAGGGGGTGTCGATGTTGTAGAAGGAAATGATAGGCTGGGCGCGGTGACTCACACCTGTAACCCTAGCACTTTTGGAGGTGAAGGCAGGAGGGTCACTTGAGTCCAGGAGTTGGAGACAAGCCTGGGCAACATAGTGAGACCTTGTCTCAATAAATAAACAAATAAGTAAACAAATAAATAAATAAATAAACAAACAAAATTAGCCAGCTGTGGTGGAGCACATCTGTAGTCCCAGCTGCTCAGGAGCTAGACGTAGAAGGATTGCTTGAGCCTGGATGGTTGAGGCTGCAGCGAGCCATGATCATGCCAATGCTCTCCAACCTGGGCAACAGAGTGAGCCCCAGAAAAAGCAGAAAAAAAGAAAGAAAAAGAAGGAAAAGAGAGAGAGAGAAAGAAGAAAGGAAGGAAAGAAGGAAGGAAGGAAGGAAGGAAGGAAGGAAGGAAGGAAGGAAGGAAGGAAGGGAGAAATTAGTTAGAAAAAAAATCTTGTTCCCAACTGGTTCAGAAATTTAAAAAAAAGGAAATGGTAAAGTAAGAAAAGGGAAAGCAGGAAAAAGAAAAGGTGGAAAATCAGAAGGTGAAGAAAAAAGAGCCAGGTATGTAAGAAGAGTGGCACCAATGAAGAGAACTTGAGGGGAGTAAAAATACCCTGTGTACAGAGAAATAAATAAGAAGAGAGAAATCCAAAGAGAAGAAGAGGGAAGGATGAAAGGAAATAAGAAACAGAGGAGAGAAGGGGCCTCAGGAAGCTTGGAATGGCTTTAGTTGGCTTGTGAATTTCAGAGGAAACTACTATTATTTTTCCCCTTTGAAATTCTAATCTGATAATTAACCATTATTAATAATTTTTATTTGTGTAGTCCTAAATGAGTTCACACTGAAGGGGGTAATAATAGCTCCCCATTGACAGAAAGTGGAAGAGAAATAATTATTTCCTGGCTTTCAGACATGGCCAGAGCAATACTATCTCAAAGGCCAGATATTACAGCTAAAAACTGCATCTGATAGCCAAACATCCTCACCCTCTGTGTTAATCTTTTGAACATGTATGTTCAACTCAAAGACTCTAGGAGTGTTAAAAAGAGTAATGACCTTAATAAGTGTAAAGTTCTTTGAGGGTTAAAAAGCACAAATACTATGTTTTTAAAAGTCAACATTTAATTTGTTAACTAAAATAAATTGTAAGGTTTTATTTAGGCAAGTCTTTGAGAAAGAAAGAAACATGCATTAAGTACATTGATTTATGTTTCTGTGCTTCTCCTGATTGGGAAAGTGAACTCTTAACATGACCTTAAAAAGACACAAGATGCCAAGTAGGAGATGGAGAGGAGACAGAGTAAAGTAAGGAAAGGAAGTGATCTATTTTGAAATCGCAGCTAACACAGGAGCACAGCCAAGGACTATGAGACTGAGAAATTGACAGTTTGCCTTCACCTTCATCTCTTTATCTCCTTATCCTGTCCCCTGGCTGTATGGAAGCATTCCATTCCCTGCACCCCAAACCCCAGATCAACCACCTGGAACTGCACCAGGTCCAACTTCTTAGCACTTTCTTAGCAACACCTTTCCTCCTATTTCTCTCATCCCCTTTCTGCTGCCATATCTGTTCTTCCACCATGGAGATACCTGTTTTTCCTGTATCAGCACATCCTGCTGTCAATTCCTTCCCTCCTGCCTGGTTAGTGGGTGACTTCACTCACATCATCAGCTCCCTCACCCTCTTCTCCTCTCTCTGCCTCAATCCTGGCCTGGGTGGATGCCATCAGTCACTTCTTAGCTTGTGCCCATACAATGATCAGCTATGCCTCAACCAATTACGTCAAATAAAATAAAATAAAATAGGATAACATTTAAATAGAATAGAAATGATAAAGGAGAGTAAAATAAAACAACAGTTTTTACTGGCTTCAGCTACAAAATGATGGCTTCAACTAGACCTTGTGTTCAGTTGGACTCAGTACTGACTCCATTCAGCTCACATTTGTATTCTTGGGTGGAGTAGTTCCAACACTTTACCCCTCTCAAATACTCTACTCCACTCCCATCTTTAATTTCCCACCAATGATCTTGCCCCATACTTCATACAGAAAAGGCAGACCATCAGAGGAACCTTCTCCAACTTCGTTTTCCTTCTCCTTTAGAGCCGATGTATCCAGATACATTATTATAGTCTAACCTTTTCTCTTAAAAATGAAGTGGCCCCATACTTCCTAGACTAACTATCTAAGTGACTTGATTATGTTTACATTTCTAACTTCTTTACTACACCATGAGCTCTTTTTTGGGTGGCACCAACCCTTCTCTTTCTTGAAGAAAAAATGGCATAGGAGCACCCCTGAATTATATCACCAAAAAGGGAAAACACTTCACGAAGCTTTTTAAAAATGCAGCACCTTCTATACTCTAATAATAACAGTTAACATTTATTGAGCAGTTACTCTGTCCCAGGCACTCTAGTAAGTGCTTTATATTTGTTACCTTATTTGACCCCCACATTAACTCTTTCAGAAAAATTCTATTAGTACTATTACTAACGATGAAATAGTGACAAACAATCACAACAACCCCTGGGGAAAAGTGCTATACAGTGCTGATGGCAGGTTGATAGCATTATACGAAATATACAAAATCATTATTAATATTTTTATTTGGTCATTGGCTAAATCTCAAGACCCCAAAGAAAACTTTAGAACATTTAAAATATTTATTTTCATTATTTTGAAGACATTAAATATATTACTTATTCTAAATATTATGTGCTCAGATCTATAACATTACACAAGAAAATACTTAGAGACTTTAAGAAGTTTTTTGAAAGCAATGTGGTAAGTCCTAGGAGTTTGCAGTAGAGAAGCTTCCTATCTTCTTATCTTACCGTGGGGCATGTCTTGTCTCTTAATGGTGTCTTTTTGGTACATAGCCTGAAAGCCTAAAGGTTATCCAAAATGCCTTTCTTATTTACTTGAAGTGTTCTATTTTGGCATAGAATGAGGACGTTGGAAGATTTCTGTGTTTCTACCATTCTAATAAGACTGAAAAATTCTAAAAATAGTCAATTTATATTTGGGTGTTGCGATGGATTGAATTATGCCTCGTTTCCCAAAAATTCATGTGTTGAAATCCTAACTCCCAAGTATCTCAGAATGTGACCTTAATTGCAAACAGGATCATTGCAGATGTAACAAGTTAAAATGAGATTATACAGGAGTAGGGTGGGCCTCAAATCCAACAGGACTGGTATCTTCATAAAAAAAAGAAATTTTGACACACTCAGGGAGAATACCTTGGGAAGATGAAGGCAGGCATCAGGATGATACCATAGAAGCCAAGGAACACCAAAGATTTCTAGCAAACTACCAGAAGTTAGGGCACAGACATGAAACAGATTCTCCCTCACAGCTCTCAAAGGAACCAACTCTGCAAACCCTTTGAGCTGGGACTTCTGGCACCCCAATCTGTGGTGCTTTATTACGGAATCCTGGCAAACTAATACAGGTGTCTTCAAAGGGACAACGGTATCTGTTAACCCATAGGACTTAGAAATCTGGGGGTGGATGAGGGAAATTTCTGAAGAATGAAGCATAACCACATAAACATTTTTTTCCTAATGTTCCTTTTCCTATTATTTTGTTTGTTTTTCAACATACTTATAGCCGCTTTCAGATTGCTTTATTGTCTGCAGTCTTCAGAAGGCTTTTTTAAGAGAAAATGTTGTGTTTTCTGATTCTTCATGATGCTCTTTTCCCTGTCTGGTTTATAATGTTTTATTATGAGTTCATTTTCAGTGGATTTCCATTGTTCTTCAGGAATGCAGTTTGTCCTGAGATGTGGAAGTTTTCTGACAAAACGTCTCTCCCAGAGCCCATCCTGATTTGAGCTCTTTCTTTGGCATCCAAAGATTTCTCTTCTTTTCATCAAGTTTCTCTATAGTCATTTTTAGTGTCATGGTTTACTATTTTGTTTAGCATTTCCAACTGTTTTCAGCAGGTAGGGGACCCTTCTGCATTAGCTGAGGCAGCCAAATTGCCCAGTCTCCATTTCATGGGCTTTCAAGAACATTTCTATGCAAATAATAATAAGACAGAATGATCACTTACCTGTCATGATATAGTATCGGAAATATTTCTCTTCCCTTCTCTCACTTACCAAAACTAAAGTGATAAGAGCCTGTTGGCTTTTCAACTGAACCAAGCCTTTAGTATTTTGATACAAAAACTCCCCCAATAAAATTGTAAGCCAGTTTCTGGAAATGATTCTAGTAAAATTTATACCTCTTTAAATTTACTAAAATGTAACGTGTACAAAACCAATAAAGAGGACTAGGGTAATGCTACATGCTTTGAAACACTTGTCATACAATTTTAATTCAAAACTTAGAAAAATTATATCTACCTTTTTTTGGTCCTACCAAGTAACAGAAATATAATAAGCATTACCTCAACTTGATCTTCGCAAACTGCGTTTACATGTTTATGCTCCTCGACATAGGAGAAATAGAAGTCTCAGAGAGGTTAATTAAGGTCTCTGAGCTACTTGTTAGAGCATCTGGATTTATGGCAGACTCCAGTCTTTCTGGGTGCCTGGGTTTTTTGTTTGCAATGGTATCAGGCTATTTTTCATCAAATATTTTAGGCTTTCAGTTGCAAATACATAATTATGATGAGGGGATTTAAACCATCTATTTCTGACTAAAAAGTGCTTCTTTTTCTCTCGGAAACAGTTTTAGGTAAGAGGATTTATTCTTGTTTTATCATAAAAGAAAACCAATGTATTTTTATTCTATCACTACAAAGTTACTTCAAGTATCACAAAACATTTTAATTTTATGTAATTGGTGTAGATTTTCACCATGGCAAAATGTTAGCTTTTATCCTAATCAGTATATTGGACTCTTTCAAAATGAAGCACAACTAATAACAGCAATGTATCTTAATACAGATCCTGCAGATTTTAGCGGCAATAGATACACTTGTAGCATACTATTATGATGAGTTTCACAAGAATCTAGTTAAGAAGATTAAGAAT
Source organism: Homo sapiens (assembly GCF_000001405.40). Classification (NCBI taxonomy): domain Eukaryota; kingdom Metazoa; phylum Chordata; class Mammalia; order Primates; family Hominidae; genus Homo; species Homo sapiens. The sequence goes on along the minus strand of NC_000004.12, from coordinate 143,822,766 downwards.
TACTATACCGACAAATGTTTATGCTACAGAATCTCCAGTGTCAAAGTGGGCAATATTATCTGCTAGTGATACAGGATACTGTTGGCCTTCAGGCTTGTCTTTGGTTACATTTAACAAACTGGAGAGACAGCAGTTTAAAACAAGAAAATTCGCATAAGCAGATTTGCATAAGGACTTTGCTTTTGGATAGAAGAGGATGCAGGTACTTAAAAAGGACCTGAAATGCAGGAAGTGGAAACAGAGAAGATGCTATTGGGGTCATGTGGAAGGACTATATGAGACTCTGGATAGAAGCCTTGCTAGGTTCTTAAGTGATAAAATATGAAATCCACAAGAGAAGATGAAACAAGTGTCTTATGGCCACCTTGAAAGCTGCTGGTTTGGGGAGCATCAGGTAATAATATCTGTAGCTTTGATATTGTCATTCTAAGGTGAGTAGAGAATGCAGCAGCAATAATGAGGCATCATGAGGTTTCATAGAAAGACCATCAACAAGAAGGATGCAGCTGGGTGCAGTGACTCATGCATGTAATCTCAACACTTTGGGAGGCTGAGGCTGGAGGCTCACTTGAGGCCAGGAGTCTGAGACCAGCCTGGCCAACATGGCAAAACCCCATCTCTACTAAAAATACAAGTATTACCCGGGTGCAGTGGGAAGCACCTGTAATCCCAGCTACTCAGGGGGCTGAGGCAGGAGAATCGCTTGAACCCAGGAGGTGGAGGTTGCAGTGAGCCAAGATCACGCCACTGCATTCCAGCCTGGGTGACAGAACGAGACTCTGTCTCAAAAAAAGAAGGATGGGAGCAAAAGACTGTGACAAACAGCTAGCTGATGGTGACTGTGGCTGGCAGATCAGCTTTTGAGCACTGTGTACAGATTCACCCAAGGACAAGGTTGGGGGACTCTCTACACGTTGTACTCAAACTATTATATTCCCTTCTTTCAGCTGAGGCCTTGCTCTTAGGCAGAGTACATGCCTTCAGCTTCCTTTAGGATCAACCCGTTCCTAGGAGACTTCTCATTCTTTCATGAGGACAGTGGCTCACCTCTTGCAGGTATGTCTGTATCCTGGTACAAGCACAACTTCAGCCCAAGCTGACACCACACAATGTACATCTAATCTATTTTTCCCTATAGTTAATGTTTCATATTTTATTAGACTCTTTCTGTCACCAAGGTCAGACTCAGGCACTCTCGGAATTGGGGACCAAAGAATTCAGCAATTCTATTCTAGGTCCTGTTAAGAGGTTGATGGCTCCAACCATCGCATTTATGGCCCAGCAGGAGGTAGGAAGCTCATAGAATTCCCACGTCTTTTCCTAGAGAGGAAAGTTTTTTTTTTTTTGAGATGGAGTTTCGCTCTGTCACCCAACCTGGAGTTTAGTGGTGTGATCTCAGCTCACTGCAACCTCCGCCTCCTGGGTTCAAGCGATTCTCCTGCCTCAGCCTCCTGAGTAGCTGGGATTATAGGCGCCTGCCACCACGCCCAGCTAGTTTTTGTTTGTTTGTTTGTTTGTTTGTTTTGTATTTTTAGTACAGACACGGTTTTGCCATGTCTCGAACTCCTGACCTCAGGTGATCCGCCCACCTAGGCCTCCCAAAGTACTGGGATTACAGGTGTGAGCCACCATGCCCGGACAGAGGCAAGATTTTTCTGAACTTGTTGAAGTCTTCCTTGGTTGGCTGCTTCCACTTTGCTATCACACAAGACATTCCTCCTTGTTTCCCATTAACCATTTCCAGAAAAACTTTTCCTTAAGTCTCCCAGATCAATCACTGTACACGCTTAGCCCCCAACCTTGACCTTGTACCTAAAAGTCTGATGGAACAAGAAACTCAGTCCGCATGGTCTGAGTTAGCTTTGCCTACTTCTGTTGGGCAAGAGGTGTAGGAAAGTCTGGGGAAGTATCTGATTAATTCCAACCTTTCCTTAGCTCCCACTCCCTGAGTGAGTCTGTGCATAATAAAAAAGCAGAGGGCCCCGGACTCAAATGCTTGTGTCACTTATACAAGATGTGGAGAGATAAAATAAGCACAGTAAGGTGAGTTGTCTCGAGGTTGTCACCCACCATACAGTGCCCAACATCTCCTTGCCTCTAACTGCTCACCTGACAGCCTTTCCTGCTGCTGCAGGTTTAACACAGGGTACTGGCATTGCGGCCCCTCCCTTGGTGGTTTTATGTTGACCATCTGAAAGCATCCTTCCTGAAAATGAGAGCTAGGTTTCTTCTTTGTTTTCTTTGTTACTAATAAGAGCTTGATGTATGATTAAAACTTCTAAAAAACTGGAAGGGCTGTGCTTTCATAGTCAATGGCTTCAAGAAAATACCAAGAAAATTCTTTCTTTCTTAATGGGGTGATTTTCACCCAGTGAAGAGCATGCTCTATGAAGTTGTCTCGGGAATATGCATGATCAGTAGCTGGAACTGGGCCATATTTCAGCAACCTGGTGAAAGAAATGAAAAGTGTTTGCCTCCTATTGCTGCTGTAAGTCTTGATTTGTTAGTTTTGAAAGTACGGTATTGTAAAATAAACCCACAAAAAGCCTCATGACTTTAAACCAAGATGGTTGTGTAATTTAAACATCACACCCTTAACCCTTATCCAATTAAATAAGCTTAAAGAAATATCCACCAACTGGAATACAGAAAAATATTCTTCATAGAGAGAGTTTTGAATTTTAGGTAAAGAAAATGTAAAGAACAAATCATACATATAAAAATCTGCATGACTATGATATGACTCATTTTTATATTGATAAAAATAACTATGTTTAATACATTGGAGTTGTAGTAAAGTATTAATGATTTCTATTTTAGTATTCAGATTAAATATCATACAGAAATGGAGCAAAGCAACTATACCTCATGGGTCAGAAAATGATTTTCATGAGTTAATAAAAAATTGTATCTTCTAAAATTTTTCAAATAACACAAAACTAGACTTTCTTGCTTAGGGTAAAAGGATGGATTCTGATAAGAACCATCTTTTTGTTTCCTAATATTTAAACATCCTCTTTTGTCCCTCATGGAAATTAACAAAGAATTCTTGAGTCTGTCTGGTAGATAAAAACGTCAACAGTGAAAACACAGTTTCAAGAAAAGTATTTCTTTCTTGATGGGGTGACTTTCACCCCATGAAGAGCATGCTCTATGAAGTTGTCTATTTCACAAATATGATAATTTTATATTAAAGATAATTTTAAATATAAAATATATTTTAAAATATTTAAATATGAAATGCTCTTAGCATATTACTCTACATAATAAAGATTCAAAACATATTCTTTCCAACATTTATATTTTTCTTTCTCAGATGTTTCTGGTACTCAGAAAAATCAGGAACATCATTTTCAATCTGAAGAATTAAATAAGAAATTCAATAAAGCAGGATAAGAAAATGGCTGGCATGTTTTCCCATTACCTAGAATAGCTCTGTGGAGACCAACCATTCCATGAAAACAACTGCAAAACAGGATAATCCAGTAAAAACATCTGCTGAAAGGCATCAGAAAACTAGCAAGGCAGCAAGACTGAGAAGCCAAGATAGCAGAAAGAAGGGTGTGCAGAGAGGTCAGCTCAGTATTCGGTGCCACTTTTCCTTGAGGCATTTGTCAACTCCTAAACAGCAGCCTAAAGATGAAGGAGCTGAGCAGATATTCTAAGAGTTTCACGGGGATAAGGAATAACATGGAAGCTTAAGACCCAATAAGAAGCAGACAAAATATCCCAGCATTTCAGTTGGAACCCTGGATGGGATTCATTTCAGGAGTAATAGGGAACCAGAAACAAAGGACGGTCATGAAGATTCAAGCCCACTGAGATTAGACTAGCTGATCTGCCTCTACCCTAACTTTCAACCAGAAAGAAAATAAACCCGCTAGCAGTAACACCATCTAGAGTCTGGAATTATCTCTGAAAATTTTCACATACCATATCCTGATTTCAATAAAAAATTATCAGTCATATTAAGAAGCAAAATAAATGATCAAAAGCCAAGAGGAAAAAAATCAAGTAAAAGAAACGAGCCAACAGGAGACAGGACACGGTGGCTCACGCCTGTAATCCCAGCACCACAAGGTGGGTGGATCACTTGAGGTCAAGAGTTTGAGATCTGCCCGGCCAAAATGGTGAAACCCCATCTCTACTAAAAATACAAAAATTAGCCGGGCATAGTGGTGGGTGCCTGTAATCCCAGCTACTTGGGAAGTTGAGGCATGAGAATTGCTTCAACCCGGGAGGCGGAGGTTCCAGTGAGCTGAGGTTGTGCCTCTGCACTCCAGCTTGGCTGACAGAGCAAGACTCTGTCAAAAAAAGAAAAAGAAAAAAGAAAAGAAAGAAGCCAACAGGAGATCCAGATGTTGAAAGTTTTCGATATGGATTTTTAAATTACTACAGTTAATATGGTCAAGAAATTTGCTGGTAGTATGAATAATTTCAAAAAAGGACTGGAAATTTCAGAACAGAATCAAGTGGAAATTCTAGAACTGAAAATTAGAAAAACTGCAATCAGACATCAAAAGATAGGACTAAGGCCATTTATGGAATATGGTCTGAAAGGTCTAAAATATATGTAACTGGAGTTCCAGAGAAGAGGTAACAAGAGACTAGAACAGAGGTAATATCTGAAGAAGAAGTAGCTGAAGAATTTCCAAGTGATAAAAGTCACAGTTCACAAAATACTACTGTGCCCAACTGGGAAAAATTCAAAACAACCGCCTAACCACATAAAAAGAAAGCTATCTAAAAAGACAAAGAGGAAAATCTTTGCAGATAGAAAAAAAAACACACATAATACTTTTAAAAGGAATAATCATCAGTCTGACAGTTAATTTCACAATTGAAATATTGGAAGCCAGATGACAACAAGCATCTTCAAAACATTAAAAGAAAATAACTGCAGCCTAGAATTTTGTATCTAACAAAAATATTCCCCCAAATAAATGTTAAATAAAAACATTTTTATACAAGCACAAAACGAAAAGAAAATGTTACCAGTAGGGCTGCAGCAAAACAAATTCTAAAGGGAGCCCTTGAAGTCAAAAAAAATAATTTCAAGTGAAAGCACAGAAAGAACAAAGAATAAATAAATACATAAATAGCAATGAAAAAAACTAAATGAATATTAAACATGTAAAATAACAATCATATATTGAGGAGTTTATAGAATAATATACAAATAGCACTAAAATAAATGACAATAGAAGAAAATGGGAGAAGTAGAAAAGTAAAGTGAAATCATTTTAAAACCTTAGATTGTCCAAAAAGTGGAAAAATTACTAATTTTTATTAGAATTAAATAAGCCAGGAATTCATGTATAATCTCTAGAGTAACACCTAAAAAAATTAGCAGTAAAAGAATGGTGAAGAAGAAAAAAAGAAAAATTAATTTTTAAGAAAGAAGAGGAAAATAACAGGTAAGAACAAAGAAAAAAACACACATTGACAAATTTTGAAGGATTGAACTTATACAGCGTGTGGTCACTGGAAATGAGTTAGAAATCAATAATAGAATGTAAACAAAAAACTATCAAATATTGAAAAATTAAGCAATACTCTCCTAAAAAGTCCCATAGCTAAAGGGCGAAATCCCAATGAAGTTAGAATACACACTGAGCTGGATGATAATAAAATATTACATATCAAAACTTATAAAATGCAGCTATGGATGTGCTTTAAGAAAAAATGATCATCTTCAATACATCTATTCTAGAAAACAGAAGGGCTAAAAATCAGTGATTGAAGTATTCACCTAAAGAAGATAGAAAAATAATAGTAGATTAGACCCCAATAAGTTAGAAAGAAAGAGTAACAAAGATTCAAACAGAAATTGAGTCAGGACAAAAAATGCAATGAAGGTAAGTAAAATCCAAAGTTGTTCCTTGAAAAGGCAAATAAATGTATAACCTTTGTAAAAACTAATAAAGAATAAAAACAGTGAAGTTACTGATTACCAACAGAAAGACTAAAAAGGAATGTCACCATAAAGTCAACATTTATTAGACAGATTAAGAGAATTTTAAGAACAATTTTGTGCTAACAAATTTGAAAACTTACATTAAAACACATTTTATCAAAATTGATACAGTAGAAAATAATTGGAATAATTCTATACTAACAATAATTTTGAATCTGAAATTAAAACCTTGCCACAAAGAAAATTCAGACCCATATGTATTTATTAATGAATTTCTCTAAACATTTAAGAAATAAATAACACCACTTACACAATCTATTGTGTAGAATAGAAGAGAGAACACTTTTCATCTCATGTTGTGAATCCAAGACACCCTGATGAGTATATTATAAAAAAGGAAACTTCTAACTCAAACATTCTGAAGCAATATCAGCAACCTAATCTGGTGATTTCTAAAAAGAATAACATATCACAACTAAGTAGGTTTTATTTAGGAACAGACCCTTGAATTTCAATCATGATAACTCAGTACAATAATAAAGGAGAAATTATCCTGTCACTATCTCAATAGATGCAGCAACAAACAGATGTTGAATTTTTTGATAAAATCCAATGCCCATTTATGATAAAAACTTCCTAACTAGCAATAGAAAGAAATTTCTTTAATATGATAGAGTATTTACAAGATAATCTTGAGAAAGTTTTCAGAATTAACATCAAGAGAAGGAAAACTACAGCCAAATTGTAAAAAAAAAATTCTCAGATGAAATTATGAAGTTTATAAGGCCCAGTTTTCAAAGCCTTCATTTTCACAGGCCCCTATAAGTGTTAGGAATTGCTGGGGATTGTAGAGAATTCTGGAGAGAGAGCAAAGTGGGTTGCAACCAAGAAACATTTATATGTTAACATGTCTGGAAAATTGTGTAAAGTTGCCTCAGAAGAAATGAAAAATCTCTAAGTTTCCAATAATTTGTGGTACATATTTCTTAATCTAAATAAATATTCATTTTCATACTGTATATTACTGCATTCTCACACTACTATAAAGAACTATCTTAGAAGGGGTAATATATGAAGAAAGGAGGCTTAATTGGCTCACAGTTCTGCAGGCTTAACAGGAAGCATGGGTGGGAAGCCTCAGGAAACTTACAATCATGGCAGAAGGCAAAGGGAAAGTAAGCATGTCTTGTCATGGCAGACCAGTAGTGAGAGAGAAGGGGGAAGGGCCACACTCTTTTAAGCCATCAGATCTTGTGAGAACTCACTCACTATCATGAGAACAGCAAGGAGGAAATCCACCCCCATGCTCCAATCATCTCCCATCAGGCCCCTTCTCCTGTTTGACATGAGATTTGGGTAAGGACACAAATCCAAATGATATCACATACCTTTAAAAAGCATTTTCAAAAACCTATGATAAATATCATATTTAATGGAGAAATATTGAAAACTTTTTATCTGACATTGCAAAGGAGACAGGTTCCCCTTATTAACAACAGTTTTATTTAACATTGGTAGGAAAAAGATCCTAGCATGTATAATAATGCAAGAAAAATAATACATATAAAGATTAGAAAGAAAAACTGTCATTACTTATAGATTGTATTATATCCAAGCTGCAAGATAATCCATAGGAAAATTATTGTGATTAAATGAATTTAGAAAAATCACAGAGTTCAAGGTCAATATGAAAAATCTCTGTTTATATACCAATAAGTGATTAAAAATGATATTTTAAAAATTATATCATTAACAATTATATCAAAAGACCAAATATCTAGAAATAAATTAACAAATGTGCAAAACTCTACACAAAAAATATGAAACATTATTTAAAAAAATTTCAAAAGACCTAAATAAAAGGAAGACATTCAATACCATAAACATGTATATTATTTTTAAATTATTCTATAAAGAGTATCTCCAATACTGAAGGAAATAATGTATACAATGGCCCATGGTCCATTTCCAAGACGAAGTGCCTTAAATAGACTTACGTTAGCAAACTACAGAAGAAACAGAACATACTAGGCCCCTGCTTGGATAGCCCATGCCTGCTTGTTGGCCTCCCCCTCCCCCACTCCGCCTCCACAACCCTGTTTCCTTGCCTTCACCAGAACCAAAGAAGTTTAGTCTAAGATAAAAGTTTACTAGCCTGCAAAATAGTTCGTTTTGTCTGTTTTTATTAGCCTGCCCAGCTACTTAGCTCATAAGTAAATACTTGAAGAGCCCCTGAGCTAACTAGGATTGCAATGCATTGTGGGCTGCAACAAAATGCCGCAAAACAACCCTAAAAACAAACAAAACACCTAAAGCCCCTGCCCAACAATCAATAGGTGACGTCCAGGAAGATTGTGACCCCCTAGTATTCAGCCTATGAAAAACCGGGAGAGGGACCTGCACACTAGGAGTTAAATTGCTTGTTAAAACTGTGCTGTGTGTGCCTGCACATCAGACACCCAATTCTTGCAAGAGCATCATTAAAAGTTTCACTTTCGCTGTTCTCCAGGTCTCTGAGTCCATTCTTTGGGTTTGGACAGGTAGGTTTGTTTCTCACAATACCAGGTATAATACCAGTAGAATGTTTCATATAATTTAACAAGTTCATTATAAAATGTACTTGAAATTGCAAAGAGCCACAAAAAAAACCCAGACAATATTGATGAAGAAAAGACGAAGTCAGAGGACCTATACTACAAGATATCAATATAAATTATAAAGGTACCATAATTAAAACTGTGGAACTGGAGTAAACATGGACAAGTAGACCAATGTAGTTAAAAACAATTCTGAAAAAGACCCACACATATATAGATGCTTGATTTATTACCATGTTGCTACTGTAAACAAGGGAAAACTGTTTTTTAAAATAAATTATGCTGAGTCAGGCCAGGCACAGTGGCTCGCGCCTGCAATCCCAGCACTTTGGGAGGCCAAGGTTGGCTGATCACTTGAGGCCAGGAGTTCAAGACCAGCCTGACAAACATGGCAAAACCCCTATCTCTACTAAAATTATGAACATTAGACTGGCTCGGTGGCACACGCCTGTAATCCCACCTATGTTGGGTGGCTGAGGCATGAGAATTACTTGAACCCAGGAGGCAGAGGTTGCAATGAGCCAAGATAGTGCCAATGCACTCCAGCCTGAGTGACAGAGTGAGATTCTGTCTCTAATAAAAAAAAAAAAAAAAGAAAAAGAAAAGAAAAGAAAAAAGAAATTATGCTGAGTCAGTAGAATATCCATAGTGAAAAATATTAACCCTTCCTTCATACTAAATACCATTTTAGGTGAATTGAAGATTAGTATGAAAGAAAAAATAGAGTTTCTAAAAAAATAATGTTAGTATTTTTATGACTTTTGGGTAGGCAAAAGTTTCTTAAGCAGAGCACAAAAAGCACTAGCCATAAAAGAAAAGACTAAGAAATTGAGAAATTAGACCACGTTAAAATTAAGAATTCCTGTTTATCACAAGACAAATTAAGAAAGTGAAAGGCAAGTCTCAGAGGTATTATTTGCAATAAATATAACAAAGAAAGAATTCACATTGAGAGTATATCAAGAACTTAGAAAAATCAATTTTTTCAATACGACAGAAAACTTGATTTTAAGATAGGCAAATTTAGTCTTGCTAACTTTCAGGGAGACACGAATTAAAGCTAAAACGAAATACCACTGCATATCAAACAAAATGGTCAAAATACAAAACGACTCATATGTCAAGTATTGTAAAGGATATGGACAGAGCAACTGGAACTCGAAGTCACTGCTAATGGGAGTGTAAATTGGTATAATCCCTTTGGAAAACTGTTTGCCAGTATCTACTAAAGCTGTATGTTTGCATATCATATCACCCAGCAATTCCATTTGTAGATCTGCGCCTGACAGAAGTGTGTACAAATGTGAACTGAAAGACATTTACAAAGTGCTTATGGCACTGTTATTCTTAATAGCCTCAAATTAGAGAAAATTCAAGTGTCTATCAACAGTAGAACAAATATATTCTAGTATATTTATTCAATGTAACACTATGTAGCCATGAAATAAACATGTGTAGCAACATTCCACATGGATGAATCTCTCCACAGTATTGAGTGAAAGAAGCCAGACACAAAAGAATATGTACTATAAGATTCCATTTATATATTTATATAATGTACAAGCAGGGTCAAAGCTAATCTACAGAGCTTAAACCTCAAGGTATTATCTGTGGCTTGTTAGAAACTGGGCTACACAGCAGGAAGTGAGTGGCAGGCGAGTGAGCATTACCGCCCGAGCTCCATCTCCTGTCTGATCAGCGGTGGCATCAGATTCTCATAGGAGTGTGAACCCTATTGTGAAATGTCCATGCGAGGGATCTAGGTTTCATGCTCCTTAGAAGAATGATGATCTAGGCAGGCACGGTGGCTCACACCTGTAATCCCAGCACTTTGGGAGGCCGAGGAGGTCGGATCACAAGGTCAGGAGATCGAGACCATCCTGGCCAACACGGTGAAACCCCATCTCTACTAAAAATACAAAGAATTAGCCGGGCAGGATTTCATTCAGACCATGCTAGAAAGATGATTACCTGATGTTTTCTTATGGTTTCTCCCTTAATCATTCATCATTCCATCTAGCTGTGTTAGAGTGTTAATGGTTTTGAATTTCTCATTTATATCTTTGGGTCAGTAAATTGAATTTAATCCAGATTATATTTTTGGGTAAAGAGAAACTTAAAAAAAAGCTTTAAAATTAAGGGATCTACAAACATGATCCCTTCCCATGAAATTAAAATTTGATACAAAGTCTATCAGGAAAACTTCTAACCTTTAAGATTTGTCAGGAAAATTGTGAAACACTGAAATATGCAAAATATTAGTGGATGTCCTATCTAGTATACCCTTCCAGATTATCTGAGTCAGTCAGAATATGAGCCTCACATTGTCTTTCTGCTACTTTACAACCATGTAGTTGTAAGGCACAGAATAATACAAACAATTCTTTTCCATAAAAATGCAAATAAATTGTGTCCAGTGAAATGAAATGGATAATTGGCCTGTGGCTATTAACCAGTTTTGCGTCTGTTTCACATTCATTTCAGCATCCTTGATTGCCCATATATGTGTGCTCTTAAAATTCTCCTTTGAATTATTTGTAACATCTTACTGATCCCCTCATTAATTAATGAGCTTAATAAAGTCTTTGATACCCATTCTTTTTACATTTGAATAAAAGACATGATTTTAACCTTTCTTTAAAAGTATCCCTTGACAGAATCTATCATTAAAAGTATGACTTTTGATCCACCTTCCATAAACAGGCTTTCCTAAAATTTCCATTAAGTCATAAGCCATCCCATTCAAATTACTCAAAATAAAATACTGCAGCATCAATATTTTGAATCCAAATATGAATGAATCCAAAGCACCATCATTATATGATATAAGTTTACTATTTATATATCCCTAGAAGCAAAAAGGCTGCCAATTAAACTAAGACATAATGCTTTTTTATCAATTAGATTTCATTTTTTGGATATCTGTATCATATATTCCACTGTTCTGCCCCATGCCTCTCATGTAGATAGATGAGTATATATTACTTATCCTTCTAAGCCTAAATCATAGGATTTGGGAATCATCAGAATACCTGAAGTGCATATAACTCAATTAAACTTTGACATTATGACCACATTCACACATGCACAGATAACAACTCCATCAAAACCACCACCTACCCAACATGGATTTTGAGTCCATCAATTCAAAGAAGCATCCCAGTTTCAGGTATGTTCAAATATGAAAAAATAGACATCTTAGAATGCATAAAACACCACAAATATAAGTGCAAAAACATATAGCAGGATTATAAATGGCAAATAGCTTACAATCAGAAAACCTGTCACTAGAGGGTCATCATTTCCTTAAATAGTAACACTAGAATAATCCACACAGACTGCTAGAAATTTATGAATCTTAAAACTGACAGTCAAAATCTCAATGAAGCCAAATAACTCTTTAGGGCAAGAAAAGGTGAGATCCTTGACTGAACTAAGGTTATTCAATCTCTTGTTTACTAAAACAGTGGTAGGGGTGGTTTGGTCTCTAGCAGAAGGGCAAACAAGATGGTATCACATAATGCAGCTGGCTTAAAGCAAAATAATAAAAATGAAAAAACACTCATTCCTCTACTTCTAAGAAAATTATATTCTTCCTTTTTGATGTACTGCTGACATTCCTTTCCTCTCTTCAATCCTAGATTAGTTAACAGCTTGTAAAACTGCTGTTATTATAATGACAATCTCAATCAACTATATCATAAGGCTTTTTGCCTAAAGGATCATCTCTCCAAGTTGTAATCTCTTTGAAGACTAAGGAGACAAAAGTCTCTCTTGAACACTAAGGTCTTTTCCAAATTAAAAAAAAATATTCTAAATATTTATGAACGATATCAATCAGACTTCCTGCTAAATATTACTTCTTAGTTTTTAGGCTTTTGTAATATGTTATAAAAGTTTCCATTGTCTTTGTATTGTTGAAGGCTACAATATTGCCTAGCACATAGTAACAGCAAATAAATGTTGGTAAACTAGAAACTGACTCTCACAGTGGCCTTGATTCTCACAGTTAACCTAGAAGTAAGTACCGCAACAATGTTTATTCCCATTTCATATATAAAGAAACTGAAGGTTGGAGAATTTAGGGTTTTGCTCTAAAATCACAGTTAATAAGTGGCATTGTCAAAACTGAATCCCAGGCCCTTTGTCTCCAAGACCAGAGCAATTCTTACAGTAACAGACTGAACATCCCATGCCTAGATTTCCTTCCCTCTCTCTTCTCTTACCTACTACATGATACTTGACTCAGGATTCTGGTTTGCTGAATTACTGAAACCACATCAACAGTGAGTCAATGGTAATTCTCTACCTGGTTACATTTACATTTTAGCACAGATATTGTAAGATAAGGTGCAGCAGAGATTATTGGAAATACACATATTGACAGTCAGATAGCTCACTTCTAGTGGAACTAGAATATTTAATTTTCCTGTGTCTCAAGTCCTTTATCTGCAAAAGCAGGTGAAATGCAGATGATCAATAAGGTCTTTTCCTAACTAAAAACCTAACATTCTAAATATTTATCAATTATACAAAATCAGATCACCTGCTACATTTTACTTAATACTGGCCTTGAAAAAAAAAAGAAAACTATAAAAACCTGTCTGTTAGATTCTGCAGTGGGCCAAAAACAGAATATATAAACAAAAATTTAAATATATTCCAACCGTACTACTTGACTAAGGACACTGTCTGTACCAATTTAAAACTAGAAGGTTTTAAGGATAAATGAGATCTATACAGGCACAATTGTCACAGCAGTCCTTCTAGGTATACAAGATACTGAAACATTTTACTGGCCTATAACTTACTTTTTCATACATGGCAAAACTATATTTTTCTCATTACAAATGCCCTAGCTCTCCCCACAAAGTTATTGTGAAGTCTCCAAATATTGCTAATTTGTCCCTTAAAGCAAAAATATAAAACACTTTGTGACATATGAAAAATGTTCACCATGTCCTTTAGTTGCTTCAAGATATAGCATATAAATCTTTGAGTTTCTAAACAGAACCATACTATCTAGATATTTTTGTCTAAAAGATTTAAAGCTTAAATGTGCTACCTTTTTTTCTCTCTTGCAGCTTTCAAGTCACTTAGCCTGCTCCAGTCTCCAAGATATACATTATTTTTCCAATAAATCAATAAATAAAATTGGTATTTTTGACTACTTCTTAGTATAAATCTTGTCTTTGTATCAACAAATGTTCGAGTGCATTTTCATTGTATGACTAAATTTCTATTAAAAATGTAAATAATTTCTGCTTACTCTATCGAGTCTTTAATTAAAAGTGGTTTTTAAAGAGAAAAAAAAAAAAAAAGAATTAGCCGGGCATGGTGGCGGGCACCTGTAGTCCCAGCTACTCAGGAGGCTGAGGCAGGAGAATGGCATGAACCCAGGAGGCAGAGCTTACAGTGAGCCGAGATTGCGCCACTGCACTCTAGTCTGGGCGACAGAGCGAGACTCTGTATCAAAAAAAAAAAAAAAAAAAAAGAAAGAAAGAAAGAAAGAAAAAGAAATTGATGATCTGATGATGATCTGAGGTAGAACAGTTTCACCCCCAAATCGTCTTCCTCCTGCCCCGGTCCATGGAAGAATTGTCTTCCACAAAACCAGTCCCTCATGCCAAAAAGCTTGGGGACCGCTGCTCTAGTGATGATAAGAAGATGCTGCCCATTGTGATAATGGTCAGTAATGGTAATTACATTCATTTGCATTTTGCATTCAATTATATTCTTTTTAAAAAATGTGCTACAGAAATATATACTTTTTTGAAAAAACGAGCCAATATTAAAGAAGTTATGTTAGTCCATTTTCTGTGGCTACAAGAGAATACCTGAGACTGAGTAATTTATAAAGAATAGAGATTTATTTAGCTCACATTTCTGGAGGCTGTGAAGTCCAAGATCAGGTGGCTGTATCTGGTGAGGGCCTCATGCTGCATCACAACATAGTGATGGCATCACACGACAGGAACACATGCAAGAACAGCAAGCAGGCACATGCAATGAAGACAAAACATGAAGGATGACCTTGATTTATAACAACTCACTCTCGGGTTGCTATTCCAGACCTACGCTCACTCAAAAGAGATGGGATTAATCTCTTCATAATGGCATATCCCTTATGACCCAAACACCTCCTAAGGATCCCACCACCTCTCAACACTATTACACTGGGGATCAAGCCTCAATATGAATTTTGATGTGGATGAAGCTTATTAAATAATAGCAAAAGTAAATTTTTTCAAAAAAAAATTTTGGAAAGACACTATGCATAAATTTTCTAAGCCTTTAAGGATTTTTTTTAAGTTTGAGTGAGAAATCTACATAAATTCTAAATTATTTCCTAGAGGAAACATGGATGAATTCTTGGTGGAAAAAAAAACACGAAGACAAAAATAACCATGTCTTCTCACAGCTTTATTTTATATCTACTTTTCATTCATTTTTAAATTAAACAGATTGTAATATTCATTTTCTATTATTTGTTTAGCAATTGCAAAATCAGATATGACAAAATCAACTAACAGCATAGTAAATGTATTTCCCTTACGCTTATACACAAAAATCTGTTAGTTTTCTACTTTACTAGGTTTTTGTGGCATATTATTTAAATGTACCCTCACTCACAGGAGTCCTCTAGAGCTAAAACACATAATGATGTATGGTCTTTTCAGTTGATCCATTGAACATGATTACCATAGTCAACCAGAATTTTTTGGCAACGTAAGTCAATTCTGTGTCAGAAGTGTATAACAAATTTCATTCCTTCCACTATTAAAATGGAGTAAAGTTGAGAGAGTAGCAGCATGGATGTCTCCCTGACATGAATGAGAGAAAGCTCTTTGACTTCTCCCTGTCGTCTTCCCTCAAAAGAGCCTTCAACTTTACATAAATCTTGCAAGAAGCAGTACTCTAGGGACAGTAATCCCTTCTGGGGTCTTTTTTTCCCCCAAGAACTTCAGAGAAGCTCTATTAGTAAAGATGGCAACATTTATACAATGGCCCATATTCACCTCTTTATCCTTTGAAGATTGTGCCCCCAAATTTGCCATTGAATCTAAGGCTTCTCTGTGACAGCACCTGTCACATAATTCTCCTCCAATTATTTCAAGTTGCCTAGATGTCACATCTATTGAAGTTCATGATAACCACAGATATTATCTTGGTAATAAGAGTTTATTACTATGTTTACACATGAAACCCAGCTCATGTGGCCTTGGAAGAATTGCTTAACATCCCTAAGCTTAAGTTTCCTTCTGTAAAATAAGGAAAATGATACATATTTCATAGAGCTGGAAGATTGAAGGTGATAATGCATAAAAAATACTGAGCATAAAGTATAGTAAGTATTCAATTTATATATTGAATATATCTTATTATAATTAATGGGGATCTACTTAGGAAGATTTTTCTCTCTTCTGTATGTAATATCCACACTATTTTATATTTTAAGGACACAGCTATATTGGTTGTTGCACCTATTTGTCTCCTGTAGTTCAATAAAGTAAATGTTTGAAGAATTAAAAACAATTTCCCTGAGAGACCACAATTCTCACACTTTGGAATTTATTCTCAATGACTCCTCATGACACTGCCAATTAGTGTGCCCTTTGTTACATTACCATTTTGTTTCGAATTCTCTAGAGGTTGTCCACACAAAATACTTCGAAAACTTTAGGAAAGTAAGTGTTGCAATGGTCAGAGTGATTGTGGAAAAAGGGCTACAGGGTCACTAATAAAAAGTTCAAGATAAATAGCTAGAATTTTTCTTTCCCTTTTTCTTTCAACCTGAATTTTTCAACTTATAAACATTCTCTTAAAATTTTCATTCTGTTAATAAAGTGAACTTTTAGACAATCAAACAGCTTACCTCATTCTATAAGAGTAAGTAAAATTTAATAAAATGGCAATTAAACCTTTTTGCTGCTTAGAGTAATTTACATATTAATTGACAATTATTATATTCATTTTTTTGCCATTTTTTTGCCATTATTGATGCTACAAAATACTCTTTAACTCAACACAAACAATAATTACAACAGTTTACAATAACTATACAGTTTTAATTGGGAATAAATGATGTTTATGTTCCTGAACTTGTGCTTTTAAAGAAAAGCCATATCAATAGCCAAACTATACAAGAGTTGACTCAGCTCAGCTTCAAACCACAAATATTGCATTAACTGACATTGATGATTTTAAAGAGGTTCTAGATAAGTGCGCTCATTTTACTCTTCACTCCAGTGCCATTTGATTGGTCCCACACTTACCCAATTAACAAGGTAACTCACATTGAATCCCATAATTGATTCAGGCCCTCAAATTAACCTCAATCCCCTATTCAACCCCATGTCCTTGGGTTTTCTCCACATAATTTCTCCAACACCTACTTTCCTAGTCCCTCTCTCATTTTGTCATCTGCTGCCCACCCCTTTGGCTTCCTTTTCTCTTGCATTTGAATATCCTTCAAAAGTCCAAATGCACTAGTATCCCCTGCCTCATCATGAATGTTTTGTATAGATCACTGGACAACAGAACTCAGAGACTGAAGTATTTATGATCAGATTGTTCTGGTGGAGTGACTAAAGCATGGAATATTTGAGGGATTTCAGAAAGGACCTCACAGCAATATCAGTATCAAGTTGCTTTTTTGAATTTTGTGGTTGAAATATAAGTATTTCCACTGCCAGAGTCCCAAGTTTCAATTCTTACTTGGTTGTTGATTATTTTATTTTTCTGACCTTTACTTTTCTCATTTGTAAAGTAAGGAAAATAGACTATATGGTTTCTTTCAGCTTTTTTTTTATTATACTTTAAGTTTTAAGGTACATGTGCACATTGTGCAGGTTAGTTACATATGTATACATGTGCCTTGTTGGTGCGCTGCACCCACTAACTCGTCATCTAGCATTAGGTATCTCTCCCAATGCCATCCCTCCCCCATCCCCCAACCCCACAACAGTCCCCAGAGTGTGATGTTCCCTTTCCTGTGTCCATGTGTTCTTATTGTTCAATTCCCACTTATGAGTGAGAATATGCGGTGTTTGGTTTTTTGTTCTTGCGATAGTTTGCTGAGAATGATGATTTCCAATTTCATCCATGTCCCTACAAAGGACATGAACTCATCATTTTTTATGGCTGCATAGTATTCCATGGTGTATATGTGCCACATTTTCTTAATCCAGTCTATCATTGTTGGACATTTGGGTTGGTTCCAAGTCTTTCCTATTGTGAATAAAGCCACAATAAACATACGTGTGCATGTGTCTTTATAGCAGCATGATTTATAGTCCTTTGGGTACATACCCAGTAATGGGATGGCTGGGTCAAATGGTATTTCTAGTTCTAGATACCTGAGGAATCGCCACACTGTCTTCCACAATGGTTGAACTAGTTTACAGTCCCACCAACAGTGGAAAAGTGTTCCTATTTCTCCACATCCTCTCCAGCACCTGTTGTTTCCTGACTTTTTAATGATCGTCATTCTAACTGGTGTGAGATGGTATCTCATTGTGGTTTTGATTTGCATTTCTCTGATGGCCAGTGATGGTGAGCATTTTTTCATGTGTCTTTTGGCTGCATAAATGTCTTCTTTTCAGAAGTGTCTGTTCATGTCCTTCGCCCACTTTTTGATGGGGTTATTTGTTTTTTTCTTGTAAATTTGTTTGAGCTCATTGTAGATTCTGGATATTAGCCCTTTGTCAGATGAGTAGGATGCAAAAATTTTCTCCCATTTTGTAGGTTGCCTGTTCACTCTGATGGTAGTTTCTTTTGCTGTGCAGAAGCTCTTTAGTTTAATTAGATCCCATTTGTCAATTTTGTCTTTTGTTGCCATTGCTTTTGGTGTTTTAGACATGAAGTCCTTGCCCATGCCTATGTCCTGAATGGTAATGGCTAGGTTTTCTTCTAGGATTTTTATGGGTTTAGGTCTAACGTTTAAGTCTTTAATCCATCTTGAATTGATTTTTGTATAAGGTGTAAGGAAGGGATCCAGTTTCAGCTTTCTACATATGGCTAGCCAGTTTTCCCAGCACCATTTATTAAATAGGGAATCCTTTCCCCATTGCTTGTTTTTCTCAGGTTTGTCAAAGATCAGATAGTTGTAGATATGCGGCGTTAAAAAATACCATTCCAAAAGGTTAGAATTTATGGATCTGCTGTAAATCAAAATAATTTAATGTTTTAAATATTATTCAAGCTCTGTTAAATTTCTAGGAGGCTTTATTCTTTTATTAATCTCATCTCTACCCACATCAATTATGAAAAAGTCATGCCTACAATGAATATATTATTTCATTATGAGATTTTAGAAGCATATATCTCCTACACAATTCAACACACAGTACCTTCTCCGAATGCTTAGTTCTCAGAGCACATATTGTAGCCATTTCATGATCTTTATAAAATAATTGTGCTCTAACACAAAATGGCACAGCTATCTCAAGGTTAATCTAAAACTTTAGAGCAACAGATCTCATTTCCTTTGTAAATAAGTCTATTTTTTGTGGAGTTGTTAGTCAATTTAAGCAGGAAAGTGTGAAGATTGATTTAGGTGTACCTCAGGCGAGTGGTTTGCTGAGTATGATCAATAATCACCCAGTCTGTACTTCTAAATGTTCTTTTTTTCTGTGTTATTCTTTTATTTACTTATTTATTTATTTATTTATTTATTTATTTATTATACTGAAAGTACTAGGTTACATGTGCACAACGTGCAGGTTTGTTAGGTATGTGTACATGTGCCATGTTGGTGTGCTGCACTCATTAACTCAACATTTACACTAGGTATATCTCCTAATGCTATCCCTCCCCACACCCCCCACCCAACAGCAGACCCTGGTGTGTAATGTTCACCTTCCTGTGTCCAAGTGTTCTCATTGTTCAATTCCCACCTATGAGTGAGAACATGCGGTGTTTGGTTTTTTGTCCTTGCAATAGTTTGCTGAGAATGATGGTTTCCAGATTCATCCATGTCCCTACAAAGGACATGAACTCATCATTTTTTATGGCTGCATAGTATTCCATGGTGTATATGTGCCACATTTTCTTAAGCAAGTCTATCATTGATGGACATTTGGGTTGGTTCCAAGTCTTTGCTATTGTAAGTAGAGCTGCAATAAACATATGTGTGCATGTGTCTTTAAAGCAGCATGATTTATATTCCTTTGGGTATATACCCAGTAATGGGATGGCTGGGTCAAATGATATTTCTAGTTCTAGATCCCTGAGAAATTGCCACACTGTCTTCCACAATGGTTGAACTAGTTTACAGTCCCACCAACAGTGGAAAAGTGTTCCTATTTCTCCACATCCTCTCCAGCACCTGTTGTTTCCTGACTTTTTAATGATCGCCATTCTAACTGGTGTGAGATGGTATCTCATTGTGGTTTTGATTTGCATTTCTCTGATGGCCAGTGATGATGAGCATTTTTTCATGTGTCTGTTGGCTGCATAAATGTCTTCTTTTGAGAAGTGTTTGTTCATATCCTTTGCCCATTTTTGATGGGGCTGTTTGTTTTTTTCTTGTAAATTTGTTTGAGTTCATTGTAGATACTGGATATTAGCCCTTTGTCAGATGAGTAGATTGCAAAAATTTTCTCCCATTCTGTAGGTTACCTGTTCACTCTGATGGTAGTGTCTTTTGCTTTGCAGAAGCTCTTTAGTTTGATTAGATCCCATTTGTCAATTTTGTCTTTTGTTGCCATTGCTTTTGGTGTTTTAGACATGAAGTCCTTGCACATGCCTATGTCCTCAATGGTATTGCCTAGGTTTTCTTCTAGGGATTTTATGGTTTCAGGTCTAACATTTAAGTCTTTAATCAATCTTGAATTAGTTTTTGTATAAGGTGTAAGGAAGGGATCCAGTTTCAGCTTTCTACATATGGCTAGCCAGTTTTCCCAGCACCTTTTGTTAAATAGGGAATCCTTTCCCAATTTCTTGTTTCTGTCAGGTTTGTCAAAGATCAGATACTTGTAGATGTGTGGTATTATTTCTGATGGCTCTGTTTTGTTCTATTGGTCTATATCTCTGTTTTGGTACCAGTACCATGCTGTTTTGGTTACTGTAGCCTTGTAGTATAGTTTGAAGTCAGGTAGCATGACGCCTCCAGCTTTGTTCTTTTGGCTTAGGATTGGCTTGGCAATGTGGTCTCCTTTTTGGTTCTATATGAACTTTAAAGTAGTTTTTTCAAATTCTGTGAAGAAAGTCATTGGTAGCTTGATGGGGATGGCATTGAATCTATAAATTACCTTGGGCAGTATGGCCATTTTCACAATATTGATTCTTTCTATCCATGAGCATGGAATGTTCTTCCATTTGTTTGTGTCCTCTTTTACTTCATTGAGCAGTGGTTTGTAGGTCTCCTTGAAGAGGTCCTTCACATCCCTTGTAAGTTAGATGTTCTTTAAGCAATACGTTGACAGGCAACAGCCAGTAGGTAAAACTGAGGTTAAATTATATCTTCTATCAAAGATGTAAAAACCAAAGCCTCACAATAATATCTGACTTGTAGTCTGCAATCAATAATATGGGAAAATTATATTTGATATATGATGAAGTAAGACTGTTGACTGGGTAAAAAGATAATTAGCATAAAGAGAAGAAAATACACATTAGAAATGATATTTATTTTTTGTTTGGGATTGTGAGATCTTATGGGTCTTAGGTGACATTAAGAATTCATAATTACCATTCTAACTAGGAGTCTGTCTGTTTCCCAGACTGTCTTAACATTAACACCATCTCTTGCTTCAAAGAAACAGATTTGTTATACCTACAATGCTTGTTTTATAGAGTCAACCTTGAATTACCTTAGAGAAACAACTGCACTTCTTTATCTTATTCTCTGAAGCTATTAAGTGATTTCATAGCATGAAACAATACTTTAAAGACTGAAAGTGTATGTTGTAGCAATCAATAGAGTTATTTAAAGAATGTGCTTTATTATTTGGTCTATATTCCTTAATGTGATATTATTACTGTAAACAAAGAAATCTTTAGATATAAGTAAAATCTTAATAATGATTAAAATAGCAAATATGAAGAGAAAAATAAAATAAATTTTTCTGATTCAAAGTTTCTATTTTAAGTTACTCTTTTATTTTTTCTTAGTGAGTGACCTAGAATCTTCAAATTAATTTCAAATACACCCAATACTTGAGTGATATAATATATTTGACAACTTATTCAAAAGAAGTCAAGGTCTTGAATTTTAATTTCTTTAATCCATTTACATATGGTCTGAAATGGACTTTTAGAATAAAATGTTGATTAAAAATAACCAAAGCATAAAGATTTAGTTCCATCCATTCATATTAAGGGCTACACTTCTTTCATTTATAAAATTGAGTCAGATGGTCAACAAGATCTATTTGGCCTACATTTCATGTGACATCTTCAGCACAATGTAAGAATGTGTTCATTAACTTGTTCTTTCAAATATTTAATTCTCTGAGCATGGAAGGAGTCTATATCATGTCCTCCAAGGACACAGGAATAAATAATAGAAAGATCTCAGATACACACAAAAATTAAATACAGAGGAAAAAAAAGCTTTCTGAACAAGTAGAGGATTGCTAAAGATTGTAATCTGGCCATAGCAAATGAACAGTTGTCCCCATTAGTTAAAATGCTATGCTATGTAGTTAGCCCTTTGGGAATCCTCCTCACTCATGCTGCTCTTTGAATCAGAGATGCCAGCTTCTTTTGAGAAATTCACCTCCTGGCATCACAGCACAAAAGTAGCTCAGATTAGTCACATAGGGAGTCTAGTCATAAAAGAAAATGAGGGGTAAAAAACTTACAAAAATCAAGTCATAAAAGAAGGTAATATGCTTTGGCTCTATGTCTCCCACCCAAATCTCATGTCAAATTGTAATTCCCCATGATGGTGGAGGGACCTGGTGGAAGGTGATGGGAGCATGGGGGTGGATTTTCTCCTTGCTGTTCTTGTGATAGTGAATGAGCTCTCACAAGATCTGTTTTTTTAAAAATATGTGGCACTTTCCCCATCACTCTCTCTCTCCTGCTCTGCCATGGTAAGATGTGCTTGCTTCCCCTTTGTCTTCTACCATGATTTTAAGTTTCCTGAGGCCTCCCAGCTGTGCTTCCTATACAGCCTGTGGAATTACTCAGTCTCAGGTAGTTCTTTATAGCAGTGTGAGAATAAACTAATAACAGTAATTGTTACCAGAGAAGTGAGGCATTGCTATAAAGATACCTGAAACTGTGGAAATGACTTTGGAACTGGGTAATGGGAAGAGGCTGGAACAGATTGGAAGGATCAGAAGAAGACAGGAAGGTGAAAAAAGTTTGGAACTTCCTAGAGACTTGTAGAATGGTTGTGACCAAAATGCTGATAGTGATATGGACAGTGAAGTCCAGGCTCAGGTAGTCTCAGATGGAGATTAGGAACTTATTGGGAACTGGAGTAAAGGTCAATCTTGCTATGCTTTAGCAAAAAGACTTGTGGTATTGTGTTCCTGCTCTAGAAATCTGTGGAACTTTGAATTTGAGAAAGATGATTTAGTGTATCTGGTGGAAGAAATTTCCAAGCAGCAGAGCATTCAAGATGTGCCTGGCTGCTTTTAAAAACTTACACTCAATTGCATAAGCAAATGTTTAAAAGGGAAGCAAAGGGTAAAAGTTTGAAAAATGTGTAGCCTGAATATGTAGTAGAAAAGAAAAACCCATTCTGGGGAGAAATTCAAGCTGACTTCAGAAATTTGCATAAATAAAGAGGAGCTGAATGTTAATTGCCAAGACAATGGGGAAAATTACTCCAGGACAGTTCAGAGACTTTCACAGCAGCCCCTCCCATCACAGGCCTGGAGGCCTAGGAGGGAAAAATGCTTTTGTGGGCAGGGCTCAGGGTCCTGCTGCTCTGTGCAGCCTCAGGTTATGGAACCCTGCATCCCAGTCACTCCAGCTCCAGCTGTGGCTAAAAGGGGCCAAGGTACAGTTTGGGCCATTGCTTCAGAGGGTGCAAGCCTCAAGCCTTGGCAGATTCCACATGGTGTTGAACCTGCAGGTGCACAGAAGGGAAGAGTTGAGGTTTGGGAGCCTCAGTCTAGATTTCAGAGGATGTATTAAAATGCCTGTTGCAGGCAGACTTCTCCTCATGGAGAACCTCTACTAGGGTAGTGCAGAGGAGAAATGTGGGGTTGGAGCCACCACACAGAGTCCCCAGTGGGGCACTCCCTAGTGCAGCTATAAGAAGAAGGCCACCATCCTCCAGACCCCAGAATAGTAGGTCCATTGACAGCTTACACCATGCTCCTGGAAAAGCTACAGGCAGTCAACATCAGCCTGTGAAAGCAGCCACAGGGGCTGTACCCTGCAGAGCCATAAAGGCAGAGCTTCCCAAGGCTTTGGGAGTCTACCCCTTGCATGAGTGTGCCCTTGATGTGAGACATGGAGTTAAAGGAGATTATTTTGGAGCTTTAAGATTTATGACTGCCCTGCTGGGTTTGGGACTTGTGTGGGGCCTGTAGCCCCTTTGTTTTCTCCAATTTCTCCCTTTTGGAATGGGAGCATTTACCCAATGCCTGTACTCCCATTGTATCTTGGAAGTAACTAACTTGTTTTTATTTTACAAGCACATAGGGAGAAGGGATTTGCCTTGTCTAAGATAACCCTTTGGACTTGATCTTTTGAGTTAACACTCAAATGAGCTAAGACTTGGGGGACTGTTGAGAAGTCATGCTGCTTTTGTTTTGAAATGTGAGAAGAACATGAGATTTAGGTGGGGCCAGGAACAGAATTATATAGTTTTGTTCTGTGTCCTTACCCAAATCTCAAGCCAATTTGTAGTTCCCAGTTTTGGGGGAGGGATCTGGTGGGATGTGATTGGATCACGGGAGTGGATTTTCCACATGCTGTTCTCATGATGGTGAGTGAGTTCCCATGAGATCTGGTTGCTTAAAAGTGTGTAGCACTTTCCCCTTCACTCTCTCTCTCTCCTGCTCCACTATGGTAAGATGTATTTGCTTCCCCTTCACCTTCTGCCATGAACGTAAGTTTCCTGAGGCCTCTCAGCCATGCTTCCTGTACAGCCTGTGGAACTGTGAGTCAATTAAACCTCTTTTCTTCATAAATTACCCAGTCTCAGGTAGATCTTTATAGCAATGTGAGAACGGACTAACACAGAAGGCTTGTTTTGAGATCTAATTATGTGATGTTACAAACTACTACATTGTTTAAATCTTCTAAGAGGAATTAATGTCTAAAATTACTCTCCTGGGCCATTGCAAAAGGGCATCTGAGTGAATGGGTATGGGGATGCTGAGGTCAGTCCCACATTCTGCTTACTAAGACATGGCCCATGAGGGTGAGATTTCCAAATAGGCCATTTTTTTCTACTTTTCACAAAAGAACAATATGAGCTAGGTAGACCTTTGTTTATTATAAACTAAGCAACAAATCCTACAAGCCTAGAAGATTCTATGAACTCTGATGCTAATCCAAAAAGGAAAACAATATATGTCAATAACTCTTTCAAGGACATAAAGAATCCAGGGGTAAGACTACTTTCTTGTTCCAACCTAAAGACCAGAAAAGTAATAAGACAAGCATGCTGAGTACAGAATTTGTGAAGCTGCTGCAGAACTATGTTGAGCTTCCGTTATTGGTTCTGGGCTTCCTCTTGCCCAGTGAATGAGAAGCCATGACCAGAGGTCATCAAACAATAACTGGAGCACATTTTTATTTGCATGGCATTATAAATTCATAGAATGCTTTATTTTAGTGTATCAAACCAATGAAAAATTAATGAATGTTAAAATATATAAGCACACATGTTATTTTCTGATTTTTTTATGTTAATAGAAATTCTAATGGGTGTGAGGTGATATCTCATTGTGGTTTTGCTCAGCATTTTCTTAATGATTAACAATATTGAGCATCTTCTTATATACTTTTGGCCATAGGTATATCATCTTTGGAGAAATCTCTATTCAATTTCTTTTCCCATTATTTATTTGCTTTTTTTTTTTTTTTGCTGTTGTGAGTTACTGGAGTTTTTTATCTAATCTGGGTATTAACTACTTATTAGATATATGAGTGTCAACAAGATATTGTACACCCATGTTCATAACAGCATTATTCACAAAAACCAAGAGGCGGAAACAACCCAAGTGCCCATCAATAGATAAATGGATAAAAGCTGGTATATATGAGATACCATTCAGGCTACAATATGAATGAACCTTGAGGATCTTGTGCTAAGTGAAGTAAGTCCATCACAAAAGAAATGAATTTGTATGATTCCACTTATATGAGGGATCTAAAATAGTCCCCTTCATAGAAATAGAAAGTAGAATGGTTGTTGTCGGGGGGGTGGGAGAAGGAAGAAATGGGGATTACTGTACACTTAAGAATGGTTAATGAGGCAAATTTTATAGTTTTTTAACACAATTAAAGTTTTAAAAACATATAAATAACAGAATGTTGAACAATTGTTTGCATTTAGTCAAGGTCAGTGCTTAGATGTTTCAGAGAGGGGGACTCCACCATATTGTGACAGAGTGAGCACTGTGTGTGACCAACTCTTAATCAGAGGCCTCCTATTTGCTCTCCTACTAATAAAATACAGAGAAGACTTCAGGGCATAAATCTTACTAGATGAATACTTATTCTTCAGACCATTTTCCCAGGTGTGGATTGTGACCCTCTAAAGAAGGATTTAAAGAGCAAGTAGAGGCCAAGGGTCCTGGGAAAACTATCACCTTATCTCCTCACTTCCCCTGGTCCCAGCCTCCCTGAGAGATGCACTAGGATGCAGCACATGTGGTGGGTGTAGCTTGGACGCATGCCTCAGAGCCTGTGAGAATCCCCACTCTGCCATTTCTAGCAGTATGACTTTAGGTATATTCACTTTGCTTAGCCTCACTTTCATCACCTGTAAAATGGGGATAGGTTCTCAATATTGAAGTAAGATGAGGCACGTGAAGCTCTAATTTAGACTAAAAAGAGTAATGTGGAAAATAAGAAATTGCTGCCAGAATTGACAGCTTTCTGATGTATACTTGCATGAACATGACATGACAAGTGTCCACAAATACAGCAGTATGATGTGAATTAGAAATCTATTTTCAGGGGCATGGCTTTCAACTGTGCCTTAAAACTTGGAAGCCATCCACAATAGTGCTATCTCAAAAGGAAACTTGACAAATAAGAACTCTCATGACTGAGATTATAATGAAGAAGAAATGTGAGATTATAAATTCCAAATGAGATTATTACTTTTCCTGATTTGGTCATTTTTGTCATGTAGATGTAAAATGTCATCAGGATGCAAAAATGTCTCGTGGGTGTGATTTGGGAAAACTGGTCCAAAGTGCATTTTGACATGAGAGAATGTCAAATTCTAGATGCTATTAGTAACTCTTTTGAAATCTCAGTATGTAACTGTACATGCCCTTCAAATTGGAGTCAGTTTGTGTTTGTGTTTCTGTAGTTTTATTTCTTTGATGAGAAAAAGGTATAAAAACTGGATTACTTTGTGGGGTGAAATGGATTCTAGGTGGATGGGGGTGGATAATCAATTAAGTGCTTATATTGGTTATGAAAGTGTCAGTCAATGAGGTTATTGATAGAAAGAACAGAGTTCATTGTTGTATGTCACAGAAATTTTTTTAAATGAACTTTTAGCATAGATTTTTAAGCATGATTCCCAGCAGAATAATGATGAAACACTGTAATTCATTTGGCTTGCTCCAGCAGAGGGTGTCTATCCAAAGTTGATAGGAAATAACATGTCTGAGATTTGGGGCATTCCCTCAGTCCATATTAATTATTTTATGATGATCAGCAGGCCAGTTATAAAATAAAAACAATGGTTTCAAGCCTTTGCATAACTGGTTTGCTTTCTTCTGGTAAAAGTGCTTGGTTCTAATTCTACAGAATATAAATCTAAGTAGTCTATGAAATCAATCATTTTTGGTCTTCCATTATCATTATAATTCATTATTTTTAAAGTCATGACGTATTTAATCAACTTTTTTAAGTGATGGATACAATCTTCCAGTACGTTGGTTTATTTTGAAGTTTTAGGTCTTTATACATTAGCAAATTCAAAATCATTGTTTGATTCAAAAAAACATAGATGATTAGGCAAAGCTTATTTTTTCCATTTCGTTCATTCAGTCAGTATGATAGGCAGAGTAATGCCCCACCCCAAGAGGTCTGCATCCCAACCCCCAGAACCTGTGAATATGTTGTTACATGGCAGAGGGGAAGTAAGGCTGAAGACGAAATTGAGGTTGCTAATCAGCTGACCTTGAGAAGGGGGGATTATCCTGGATTATCTAGGTGGGCCCAGTGTAACCACAGGGTCCCTAATGTAGAAGAGGGAGGCCAAAGGAGAGAATCATAGAGATGACAGCATGAAAAGACTCAGTCTGATGTTGCTGACTGTGAAGATGGAGAAAGAGGCCATAAGCCAAGAAATGTGAGTGACCTATAGAATATGGAAAAGGCAAGAAACAGAACCTCCCCTGGAGTCTCCAGAAATAACCCAGCCATAACAACACTTTTATTTTTGCCCAGTGAGACCCATTTTGGACTTCTGACCTCCAGAAATTTAAGATAAATTCTTGTTTCATTCCACTAAGTTCATGGTAATTTGTTATAGCAACAACAAAAAAAACTAATACAGTCAATTCCTTGTTTTTGTTTTTAATCTTCATAGGTACATGACAGTTGTACATATTTATGGGATACATGTGATATTTTGATCAAGCATGCCATGTGTAAGGATCAAATCTTGCTAATTAGGATTTTCATCACCTCAAACATTTATGATCATTTCTTTGTGCTGAGAACATTCCAAATCTACTTTTATAATTATTTATTTTGAAACATACAAAATAAATTATTGTTAAGTATACTCACCCTATCTACTCTGGGCCCAAGGAGATGGGGTTCCTTGGGGTCTCAGAAAAAACTTTAAGAGCGGGATTTGATCTCTAAGAAAAGGCTGTGGAGCCCAAAAAGAAACTTGAGGTCTCTTGGAGATGCCATGTAGTTCTATGGCCTACTGTCCTCACAGTAGGACAGTACTTTTCTACTTAAAGTAGAAAAAATCCTTCTCATCTCTATTCACCTTTTTAATGCTTTCAGGAATCACTTTCCTCCTTCAGGAAACTGGCATTTTCTGTAGAGAAATTTTTCTATGCAAATACTTGTCTTTACAGGAGTAAATGAAGTTAAAAATATGGAACTTTAGGTAACTAAGTAATTAGACTTGGTCTTTCGTTATTTAGCATCTTTTAAATGAATATAAAACTGATTTTGTGTCATTCAATAGCATTTATTTTACTCTGAAGAATCAGATAAAGCATGCTCCATAGAATTTCAATCATCCCGCTTTTTTTTTACTGTGTGACCTGGAAATATGAGATAACCTCCTCTCCACCAAACAGTTCACAGGTCCTCCAGTGCATAAGAAGTCCTCTGCCTCTTAGTCAAGGAAAATGTTAACTTGCAGTAATGACTACATTATTGGGAAGCACACTGAAAGAGGATCTTATGAACCATTAAATGTAGCACAATAAAGGTGAAAGCTACCTTATACTCATCATGTAACAGTCCTACTATAAACATGGCTTAATGTACCTTTACTTATAATTGTGTTTGTCTAAAACTTCATCAAGTTTTTTGGTTTATTTTTCTTGTATTGTTTTTCTCCTTTTTTCTTTTTGCTTTTATTTTTAAAAGATAGAAATATTTTAAGAAATGTGTTCAGATAGCAGGATGTAGTAGAAAGAACACTTGCTTTGGAACCAGAAATCCACAGTGACAATATGACACCTGGCACTGACTGAGAAACCCTAGACAAGTTCATGAAATGATTTCTACCTCAATTATTTCCCCTATAAAGTGGGCACTTTGCAGGGTTATCATAAAAACTATATGAAATATATAAATACCCATGTCCAATTGGAGAAGATATTTACTAATCATGTCTGCTAAGGGGTTAATATCAGAATATATAAAGAATTCCTAAAACTCAGCAACACATTCAGTCAAAAGATGGTCAAAAAACTTGCATAAACCTTCTCCAAAAATGAAATACAGGTAGCCAAGAAACATGAAAAGATGCTCAACATCACTAGTCATTAGGAAATGCAAATCCAAACTACATTAGGGTGGCTACTGGGCCAGGCACGGTGGCTCACGCCTGTAATCCCAGCACTTTGGGAGGCTGAGGCGGGCGGATCACTTGAGGTCAGGAGTTCAAGACCAGCCTGGCCAAAATGGTGGAACCCCCGTCTCTACCAATAATACAAAAATTGGCGGGGTGTGGTGGCATCTGTGTGTAATCCCAGCTACTCAGGAGGCTGAGGCAGGAGAATTGCTGGAACCTGAGAGGCAGAGGTTACAGTGAGCTAGAGATAGTGCCACTGCACTCTAGCCAGGGAGACAGAGCGAGACTCCGTCTCAAAAAAAAAAAAAAAAAAAAAAAAAAAACACAAGGCGGGGAGGATGTCTACTGTATTAATCCATTAGTACTGCTATAACAAAATACCACAAATAGGATAATTCATGAAGAACACATATTTATTTCTTACAGTTCTGGAGGCTGGAAATTCCAACATCAAAGCACTGATACTCAGTGTCTGGTGAGTGCTCATTCTCTATGCTGTTAAGATGACCCCTTGGTGCTGCATCTTCCAGAGGGGATGAACATTGTGTCCTCACATGGCAGAAGGAGGAAGGACAACAGGGTCTAAGCAGTTTTCTCCTACCCTTTATAAGGCACTAATCCATTCATGAAGGTGAAGCCCTCATGACTTAATCACTTTCCAAAAGGCCCCACCTCTTAATATCATCACACTGGGGATTAAGTTTTAACCTTAATTTTGGAAGGGACACATTCAAATAAGAACAGATACTAGCAGAAAAAATATATATATATATAAAAATAAAAACTACACACAAACCAGAAAATAAATATTGGCAAAGATGTAAGGAAATTCAAACCCTTGTGTCCTGCTAGTGGGAACATATAATGATGCAGCCACTGTGGAACAGTATGGCAGTTTCTTAAAGATTAAGTATAGAATTACCATGCAATCCAGCTTTTCCACTTCTGGTATATATCCAAAAGAATTAAAAGCAGGGTTTCAAGAAGGTATTGCACATCCATGTTCATTATAGCATTATTCACAATAGCCAAAAAGTGGAAGCAACCCACCTGTCCATTAATGGAAGAATGAATAAACAAAATGTTGTAAATTCTTCTTTATAAAGGAAAGAAATTCTAACAAACGCTACAACATGGATGAATCTTGAAGTCATTATGTGAAATGAAATAAGTCAGTCACAGACAAATTCTGTATGATTCCACTCTATGAGGTATCTACAAGAGTCAGATTCACAGAAACAGAAAGTAAAAGGGTGGTTGCCAGGGGCTTGGGGAGGGAGAAATGGGAAGTTGTTTAATGGCTATAGAGTTTTATTTTAGGAAGATGAAAAAGTTCTGGAGATTGCTTGCATAATGATGTAAGTATACTTAACAGTACTGAACTATACATATAAAAATGGTTAAGATGGTTAATTTTGTTATGCATATTTTGTCACCGTTTTTAAAAACTCATAACATGTAGGAAGTTCTGATTTAATGCTGAGTGGATGGATGGGTGGGTGAAATCTTATGGGGCAGTGAAAAGGTCATTGCATTCAGGTGACCTTGTGCTATCCTACTAGTTGTGTGACTCTCAGCCTCTCAGAAACTCAGCTCTCTTCTCTTCAAAAGAGAAAAAATAACACCCGCGTCCCCATAGGCTTATTGTGAGGCTTGCCTTCAGTAAGCCATGTATGTGAAAGCATGACACCTTGCATAATTGAATAAGAGTCTAGGTAGTAAAATATTATAATTATTTGGTCAACATACACGCGCATGCACACACACACACACACACACACGCGACACAGAAAGAGAGAGAGAGAGAGCCTTTCACCCAAGGTTAAATTTTTCCATAAGTATCACATCTGCTATCAATATCACTTAACTAATTAGGGCCCAAGGTTCTAAATCACAATTTCAGAATGGGTTATAAATACAGAGAAGTGTCTTAGTATGCTCAGTAGTTTTTAATCTCTCACAAGAGATTATGAAACAACCTTGTGTACAACGGAAAAAGACATAAATCTCCTGTTCTGCTGTAAAATTATTTATAATAGTCTTTCTTGTTTTTTTTTCTTCCTATTAGTCTTTCCCTATCTTCTGTTGAATTCTGAAATAAATGTGTCCTCCAATTTGTTGGGGGAGCATAAACTCAGATTTCATCTCTGATGGTTCTGGGAAGGAAGTGGGTTTTAATTTAAAGCAAAGCTCATGTATCTAGCAATATATCGACTTTGTTTTTTTTTTCACCTTTCTTAAAGGAAAAATAGGAAATTAAGTGTATCCTGGTAGAGCAACTTGGTTGATAAAGTAACACTTTTTCTCATTAAGAGGAAGTTTGGGGCTCACTTCATTTTACTCACTGCCACTCCTGATGCAAAAGAGGGTAAGTGCTGTCACTTCCTTAGGCTGCCATTTGGTTCACACAAGCTGGAAATCTGGCTGCTTCTTAGATGCCTTGGGAAGAAAACCCAAGGGCGCGCAATGCACTGCATCACTGATACTGAGAATGTTTCAAGTCCAGCCTGTAACTGCCAGCTTCTTTTGTTGTTTTAAATCAAATACTCAGCCTTGGGAAAAACACTTAGCCTTGAAATATCTGCCTGAAGAATTGTCAGTTTTGTTTTAACAGCCAGATCACCTTTTTGGCATGTATTCGGGAAGACTGAGTCTTTGTCTAAAGTCAATATCTGCTTTCAGAGAAAAACAAAAAAGAGAGAGAGAGAGACTCCACAGAAGGGATTCAAAAAACACAGCTCAATTGGGTCAAAATGTTGTTTTAGAAACACTTGCCCTTGTAACAAAATTCAAAAAACTCTTACTCAAACCACTGCATTCAATCCCAGAAAGGAAGCATGTCCTGCTGATCTCTCATATGTGAAGAATAGATAGATAAACTCATTTCAGTTCATGTCCTTTGCAGGGACATGAAAGAAGCTGGAAACCATCATTCTTAGCAAACTAACACAGGAACAGAAAATCAAACACCGCATGTTCTCACTCATAAATGGGAGTTGAAGAATGAGAACACATGGACACAGGGAGGGGAACATCATACAACGGGGCCTGTCGGGGATGGGGGTCTAGGGGAGGGATAGCATTAGGAGAAATATCTAATGCAGATGATGGGTTGATGGGTGCAACAAACCACCATGGCATGTGTATACCTATGTAACAAACCTGCATGTTCTGCTCATGTATCCCAGAATGTAAAGTATAATAATAAAAAAAGAAACTCATCTCAGCTTCTGACTTGCACAAAAGATAAGCTTCCTGTGGTTTGTCTGCATGTTCTACTTCAACAACCAAGCTGACAGCAGAAAGTGGCAACACAGGGAAGTAGCCTTTTTTAAAGAAAAGTTTGAAATTTGAAGGAAAAATAGGATAAGTGAAGGGTAAAAGCAGAGCCAAAGGAACTGAGGGAAAAGTTGCAGTATCAACTCTACTGGACCGGAGCCCTCGGTACCCTTCAAATTGCCCTTCTTAAAACAAATGCTTACACCTATGAATAAATATTTGTTTACTTGCTTTAATCTCCAATTTTGCAGCCAATAGAAACTGACTGAGCTCTCCCCAACTCTTCTCACTTTGAAATCTTCCTCTGTGTTCTCTCCTACATCCCACATTTCATGCCCCACTACCACTCTCCCATCCCCTACTAGTCAGATGGTCTTAGGACGACTGTAGGTCCCCAGGGCCACAGGGGCCCCTAGTTAGGTGGAGAGGGGTTATTAGCAGGTGGGGAGACCTGCAGGGATGACCAAACAGGTGGAGAGGAGTGACCAGCTTATTATTCATTCGTTCATTTATTCAACAAATATTTCTTTGGAGTCTATTTTCTGCCAGGAATTATTATAGATTCTGAAGATCCAGAAATAAAAAGATAATCAAAAATCCTTCTCTCCTGGAGCTTACATCTAGTGAGATAAAGAGTATATAGTATGTTAAATGGTCATAAGTACTACAGAAAAAATTAAAGCTGGGAAGTAAGAAAAAGATTGTTATAGACTGCTTGGAATTTAGGTTAGTCAAGGGAGCTATCTTTAAAGGGTGACATTTGAGTAAAGATCTTAAAAGAGACATAAGCCAAAAAATTGTATAGCAAAAGAGTATTCCAGAAGCATGCATCAAAGTGAAAAGGTCCTGAGGTCTGACTTGTTGAAGTAGCAGCCCAAAAGACAGAATTACTAAAGGGGAGAGTTCAAGGAGACGAGGTCAAAGAGATAGGAAGGACTGATCGTGTAGGCCCCTGGCTGATTTTCTTAGTACAATGGGGAACTATTAGAGGATTCTGAGCAAATAACTATTGTGACTTGACTTATATTTTTAATAGATCTGGAATGGACACTTATTTTCATTTATGACTTGCCTATTCCCATTAAGTTCCTAATAAAGGTAAAGGGGAAAACAACTGAGGACTAGACTAGTAGGAAGGAGTTACTAGGTGGAGAGACACTCGTATTGTTGTGAGATAACAAAGGCAACAGGAGTCAGGGCTATAGATGTCCTATTGCTCAAGAAAGAAACTTCAAAGAGAAATGTATTGCTCTTCCATGACCAGGTATGGAACTTCAGAATGAAAGTCTGAGTATACGACATTGTAAGCAGAAATCTGAGTCTCAAGAGAAGAAAAATCTCAGTTTGAGCACCTGGTTGCAGAGCTCTGACCCATCTTAGGAGAGCTTCATCATGTAAGAGCCTGGATGACATCGCTGGTGTTAAACCCTGTGGATGATCTTAATCATTCTTACTTGGTCCCTCTGCAGTATTGAAGACCGTTTTTCCATTCTTAAAATCCTCTTTCTTTGTCCTTCTGTGATTTTAGGAACACTTCCCTTCTCTGGTATTTCTCATTTCTCCAACACCATTCCTTCCCTGGACCCGTTATGGCCACTCTTCTTCCTATGCTTTGTTCAGTTCTCCAGTGCACATTTTAGCCCTATTTCCTCTCACTCTTGCTAAACTTACTCTTTCCCGTGATTTCAATTATCATAGATATTTGGACATTTACTCCACTTGAATATTCCATAGTCTTTCAAAGCCAGCATATTCCACATTTAGTCACCATATTTATTCCTTCCACTATTCCCTTCTCTTTTTATTTGTTGACTCTTACTTATCCTTCAAAATTCATATTACATTATCCAGAAACTCTTTGCTGGGGGCTCATCTCCAGCTGTTTACAGCCTGGACTCAGACCCTATAATCCAGCTTTAACAGCTTTCACTTTGCACTTACCTCCACTATAGTATTTGTTACACTGAGAGGCAATTATCTGAGTAGGTTAAAAAATATTATATTTTAAAAACTATTTGTTGGGGCTGTAGAATTCATCTGGAGTACAGAGACAACTGATTTTTCATTAAAAAAGACTTTTGTTATAAAACATAGTCAATAAAGAGATGTATTACTCTGCTTAATAAAGTAGGAGAGTACCTTTCTGAATCAGAAATTTGGGTTTAAAAGGAAAAACTAAGGAATATTCTGCTTTTCCTCAACAACTGAGGAAGAATACAGGAAAAGCCAGGAGGATGGAGTCCTGAGGAAGTAAGAAAAAAAGGAGAAGGAATTCAATTCTGAGGAATGAATCGTAGCAATACAGTGACAGGCCAGGACCCAGAAGAAAGCTGACCGAGAGGGGATTCCCTATGAAGATGGCTTGCAGGCTTCAGACAGTGTTGTTTTCTCCTCTCTGCTGGAATTCCTCTCTCTTGTCTCTAAACCCTTAGTAAAATTATTTCATATATGATAGTCTTGTGTTAGCTGTCCCTGGGAAGGAATGAGAAGAGGTTCTGTCCATGAATTCTATGTAGGGCAAAGTGGTGGGCAGTGCACACCCTGGGCCAGGGTTCTGATAAAAGAGGTGATTGAGGAGAGGTCTTGAAACAGGTTTTGGAAGAAGATAATGTGGCTCCCCCAGTATGTTAGTCCATTTTGCATTACTATAAAGGAATACCTGAGGCTGGGTAATTTATAAAGAAAAGAGGTTTAGTTTGACTTATGTTTCTACAGGCTGTACTGGGAACATGGTGCTGACATCTGCTTCTGTTGAGAGCCTCACAAAGCTTCCCAATAATGGTAGAAGGCAAAGGGAGAGCTGGTGTATCACATAGCAAGAGGGAGCAAGTGGGTGGGGAGGAAGCATCACATTCTTTTAAACACATGGGGAAAGGATTCCCTATTTAATATATGGTGCTGGGAAAACTGGCAAGCCATATGTAGAAAGCTGAAACTGGATCCCTTCCTTACACCTTATACAAAAATTAATTCAAGATGGATTAAAGACTTAAATGTTAGACCTAAAACCATAAAAACTCTAGAAGAAAACCTAGGCAATACCATTCAGGACATAGGCATGGGCAAGGACTTCATGTCTAAAACACCAAAAGCAACGGCAACAAAAGACAAAATTGACAAATGGGATCTAATTAAACTAAAGAGCTTCTGCACAGCAAAAGACACTGCCATCAGATTGAACAGGCAACCTACAGAATGGGAGAAAATTTTTGCAACCTACTCATCTGACAAAGGGCTAATATCCAGAATCTACAATGAACTCAAACAAATTTACAAGAAAAAACAAACAACCCCATCAAAAAGTGGGCGAAGGATATGAACAGACACTTCTCAAAAGAAGACATTTATGCAGCCAAAAAACACATGAAAAAATGCTCATCATCACTGGCCATCAGAGAAATGCAAATCAAAACCACAATGAGATACCATCTCATACCAGTTAGAATGGCAATCATTAAAAAGTCAGGAAACAACAGGTGCTGGAGAGGATGTGGAGAAATAGGAACACTTTTACATTGTTGGTGGGACTGTAAACTAGTTCAACCATTGTGGAAGTCAGTGTGGCAATTCCTCAGGGATCTAGAACTAGAAATACCATTTGACCCAGCCATCCCATTACTGGGTATATACCCAAAGGATTATAAATCATGTTGCTATAAAGACACATGCACATGTATGTTTATTGCGGCACTATTCACAATAGCAAAGACTTGGAACCAACCTAAATGTCCAACAATGATAGACTGGATTAAGAAAATGTGGCACATATACACCATGGAATACTATGCAGCCATAAAAAATGATGAGTTCATGTCCTTTGTAGGGACATGGATGAAACTGGAAACCATCATTCTCAGCAAACTATTGCAAGGACAAAAAATCAAACACCGCATGTTCTCACTCATAGATGGGAATTGAACAATGAGAACACATGGACACAGGAAGGGGAACATCACACACCGGGGACTGTTGTGGGGTGGGGGGCGGTGGGAGGGATAGCATTAGGAGATATACCTAATGCTAAATGACGAGTTAATGGGTGCAGCACACCAACATGGCACATGTATGCATATGTAACAAACCTGCACGTTGTGCACATGTACCCTAAAACTTAAAGTATAATAATAATAACATTAAAAAAAAAAACTAGATCTCATGTGAACTCAGAATGAGAACACACTCACTACCACAAGGACAGCACCAAACCATTCATGATGGACCTTCCCCCATGATGCAAACACTTCCCACTAGACCCTTCTACAACATTGCAAGTCATATTTCAACATGAGATTTGGAGGAGACAAAATATCCAAATCATATCGTGTCACATCCAGCCCCCTAAATCTCATGTTCTCACATTGCAAAATACAGTTATCCTTTCCCAGTAGTCCCCCAGATTCTTAACTCTTTCAAGCATCAACTTAATCAAAAGTCAAAGTCCAAAATCTGAGCTGAGACTTAAGGCAGTTTCCTTCCATCTATGAGTCTGTAAGATTAAAAACAAGATATTTACCTCCAAAATACAGTGGTGGTATAAAGATTGGATAAATGTTCCCATTCCAAAAGGTAGAAATAGGCCAAAAGAAAGAGGCAACAGGCCCCACAGAAGTCTAAAATCCAGAAGGGTAGTCATTAAATCTTAAAGCTCCAGAGCAATCTGTTTTGACTCTGTGTCCCACATCTAGGACACGATGATGCAAGGAGTGGGCTCCCAAGGTCTTGGGCAGCTCTGTCCCTTTGCTTTGCAAGGTGCAGCCCCCAGCTGGCTGCTTTCAAAGGTTGTAATTGAGTGTCTGTGGCTTTTTCAGGCTTTCTGATACACCCTCTAAAACCTAAGGGGAAGCTGCCAAGCCTACTTCATGCTTGCATTCGGTGCATTTGCAGACTTAACACCATGTGGAATCGACCAAGGTAGCTTACACACTCCAGAGCAGCAGCTCCAACTGTACCTGAGGCCCTTTGACCAAGGCTGGAACCAGAGCAGGTGGGTTGCAGGGAGCAGTGTCTCAAGGCTGCCAGAGCAGCAGGCTCTGGGGTTGGACCCCAAAAACCATTCTTTCATCCTAGGCCTCTGGGCCTGTGATGGGAGTGGCTGTCTCAAAGATTTCTTAAATGCCTTTGCAACCTTTTTTTCCATTGTCTTGGATATTAGCACCTGGCTCCCTTTTAGTCATGTAAACCTCTCTAGCAAGTGGTTGCTCCTTAAGCCACTTGGATTCTTCCCCTAAAAATGCTCTTTTCTCCTCTACCACATGTCCAGGTTATGACATTTCCTGGGCATTTTACTCTCTGTTTCCCTTTTAATTATAAATTCCAACTTTAAGTCATTCCTTTGTTCCTATATATGATCATAGGCTGTTAGAAGCAGCCAGACTATATCTTAAAAGCTTTTCTACTTAGACATTTCTTCCACCAGATACCCTATGTCATCACTCCTAAGTAAGTTCAACCTTCCAGAAGTTCCCAGGTCTTTGACACAATGCAGCCAAGCTCTTTGCTAAGGCTTGACAAGTGATCTTTTCTCCAGTTCTCAATAACTTCATTTCTATCTGAGACCTTGTCAGCCTGGACTTCCCTCTCCATATTTCTTTCTTTCTTTTTTTTCTTTTTTTTTTTTTTTGAGATGGGGTCTTGCTCTGTCCCCTAGGCTGGAGTGCAATGGTGCAATCTCAGCTTACTGCAACCTCCACCTCCCTGGTTCAAGTGATTCTCCTGCCTCAGCTTCCTGAGTAGCTAGGATTACAGGCACCCACCACCATGCCCAGCTAATTTTTGTATTTTTAGTAGAGATGAGGTTTCTCCATGTTGGTGAGGCTGGTCTCAAACTCCTGATCTTAAGTGATCCACCCACCTTGGCATCCCATATTTCTACCAGCATTTTGGTCTCAAGCATTTAATTAGTCTCTAAGAAATTCCAAACTTTCTTTCATCTTGCTATCAACTTCTGAACGCTCCAAACTCTTCCAATCTCTGCCCTTTATCCAGTTCCAAAGCTGCTTCCACATTTTCAGGTATTTTTATAGCAATGTCCCATTTCTCAGTAAAAATTTTCTGTGTTAGTCCATTTTATATCACTATAAAGGAATACCTGACATCAGATAATTTATTTAAAACAGAGATTTATTCTGGCACACAGTTTTGTAGGTTATACAGGAAGCATGATGCCAGCATCTCCTTCTGGTGAAGCCCTCAGGGAGCTTCCAATCACGGTGGAAGGCAAAGGGGGGCTGGCATATCACATGGCAAGAGGGAGCAAGAGGGGTGGGGGATGTGCCACACTCTTTTAAACAACCACATCGTGCCCAGACTCAGAATGAGAACTCACTCCTCACTGTGAGGGCAGCACTAAGGCATTCATGTGGGATCTGCCCCCATGACCCAAACACCTCCCACTAGTCCTACCTCCAACATTGGAGGTCACATTTCAACAAGAGATTTGGAGGAGACAAAACATTCAAACTATATCCCCAGCAATCCTTAGAAATAGTAAGGAAGGCATTGAACTATGTATAGTAGTATAAGGTAGAGCCTCATTATTTAGTTTAATCATTAAAGGACATCATGACTCCAGAAGGATAGAAGATTTGTGGAGTAACCTCTAGTTCACTGTATCTTCCACTAAAATTCTGACTTCTTAGATGGGGATTACATATATCCCTGTCTCTATCTTTCCACCCCCTGACATGGTGCTTATCACAGAATAAGTGATTGGAACTTGTTTGTTGTTTGAATAAATGCTTGATTCTTTCATTCCGTTTCACCTTTGAAATCCAGATTAGACAGAAAATTAGTAGAGTGACCGTGGCCTACTTGCTATGATCACCTGGGAGATTGCCTAAGAATAGACACTAAGACAGTGCTTCTCAGTCTTTAATGGGCATGTGAATTACCACCAGGGGATCTTTCAATAATGAAAATTCTGATTCAGTTGGTCCTGCTGTGGCCTGAGGTTCTGCATTTTTTACAAGATCGTAAATGATGTCAATTTTGCTGGACCACAGAATATGCTGGGGTTAGAAAACTCTAGGTCACCCAAGAATAACATAATGGTTCATCATCCCAGAGTGATACTGGGCAGATAGTCAATTGGACAAGGAGAGTGAGATTATAGAAAACTGATAGGGAACTGGTGAGTCACAGAATAAAATGCTTTGCTCTTTGTGAATATAATTAGATATTAGGGCACTGTGCTTTGACTGTTACAGAATACATATTTGTTGATTTTTCTGCCCTTTTAAATGGGGTGTCCATTTGAATTATAGCCAGCTGTCAGCAAGCTTGCAAATTTGGTAGTTGATGCTAACTTCCTGACCTTTCTATCCAGGAGAGAAATTTCCCTGAATTTTGTGAAAAGCTGAGACTCTGAGACATGGTGCTCTATGCAAACACCAAAGAATCAACTTATTAAATTTATTTTAAGACTGAGACTAGATAATATCTTAATCTGTCTGTATATAAAAGAGAATAAAGAGGTAAGAAAGATAACATTGGCTGCATATTTGAAAATAAATTAAATGTAGGTAAACCTGTATAAAATTTTATAGGTACTACCAAATAATTTACCAATATAAAAAGCTGAACCTTGACCCAGCACCTCTATCAGCTATTTTGTATTGCAATTCAGTATACTCCAACACACCTTATCTTTTCTCCATCTACATCCATGCAAGTAGATGCCTCCTAAACTTTCAGGAAATCCAAGCAATGGCATCTTCACTCATATACCACAGTGTAAAGAAACATGTTTAATTTCAGGAAACACCCTAAAGATGTTCTACACACATAGGTTCTTCTGTCCTAAATCCAAATATCTTTTTTTATTCCATGATAGCCAAAATATTGAATATTGATCCTTCAAATCACATTTATGTTGTTACTCATTTTTAATGTATTTTTTCCAAAGCTGTGACTCCTTAAAATTTCTCAGTTTAATTCTATGAATTCTAAAATAGAATTTCTTTGTTGTCTCTGTGTCATAAATATCAGGCAAGTGGCACATGACCTGGCTGTTAGTACTTCCAGATTTACTGAATTATGTGGTCGAACCAAAGTCCAGGAATCTGATCTCTAACCCTTCACCCCAAAGTATATTATATATCATTGTTAGATGTGATGCAGACATATGAACAGCAAAATATAGCGTATAGTAAATCATTTTATTGCATCTTCTCTGAGCCTACCTTCTGCAAAGATGTCAATAAATAAGAACAAGATGACCCTGCCAAGCAGATTCATTATTTAATGAACTATTTTGGAGCTTAAGCTTAAATGCCAAGTGTGAAAAGACTGAAAATTGTCATTTATTTTAAGCCAGATTTTTTATTGTAAGACAAGCAAACAGTACTGGGAAGTTTGTCTTTAAAAAGTACTCAGACATTTCTATGAAGAGTAGATTATTGAAATTATTGGAGAGGCCCAGCTTGTCATGCCTCCTACTGGTTTCTCTGCTCCAGAGTAAGCATCCTTCCTTCCAGAATAAGCTTTCTTTGTCATTTCTTGTATGACAGGGTTCCCAGCTTCTTCACATCTGGGTGAATGCTAATCTGCAAATTCCTCTACTCAAAACATGGTGCCATATGCCCTGTTTTTATAATTTTATCAAAGGTAACATTTGTGTTTTGGTAATTTAATTGCCTTCAAGAACGAATTCAACACTATTTAGAAAATTGTAACTTAAGAGAACACTTCTACAATGCATTATTCTCAATGTGTCTCATAATAATTGTAAAAATGCCAACAGCAGAAAACCCATAGATGACCCAGGTGTTGTAATTAACAGGCAAGGACTGTAAAATAAATATTTTTAAATGTTAAAAATTTAGTAGAGGCCGGGCATGGTGGCTCACACCTGTAATCCCAACACTTTGGGAGGCCGAGGTGGGCGGATCACTTGACGTCAGGAGTTCAAGACCAGCCTGGCCAACATGGTGAAACCCCATCTCTACTAAAAATACAAAAAAAGAATTAGCCAGGCATTGGGATGTGTGCCTGTAATCCCAGCTACTCAGGAGGCTGAGTCAGGAGAATTGCTTGAACCCGGGAGGCGGAGGTTGCAGTGAGCCAAGATCGCGCCACTGCACTCCAGCCTGGGCAACAGAGCAAGACTCCATCTCAAAAAGAAAAGTTAGTGGAAAGGATATACAAAAATGACTAGATGGGGGAATTAAGCCAAAGCAATGGAAATCCTATAAACAAACCAAATGGAAATCCAAAAAGTAAAAAATAAAATATCTTAAATTTATTGGAATCACCTAAAAGCAGACCAGCACAGAATAAGAAAAGATATTTAAACTTGAAGACAGATAAATAAAAATTATCTGTCTAAAACACAGACAGGAAAAACAATTTTAAAAAACTCAGCAGACCTTTGAGACAATTTCAAATTGTTGAACATATATGTGCAATTGGAGTACCAAAAGGAGATAATAGAAAAAATGGGACCAACTAAATATTTGAAGAGAAAATGGCTAATTTTTTTCCAAAATCGATGAAATACATCAGTCCAAAAATTCAGGAGACTCAGAAAACTCCAAGCAGAATAAACACAGAGAAAACTGTATGTATGCACATCACAGACATACTGCTAAAAAAGCAAAAATAAATAGAAAATTGTTAAGTCAGAGTGAGGAAAAAAATGTTACACTCTAGGGGAAAAAATGCAAGTTATGGTTAACTTTTCATCAAATAAAGCCATACGACAAATGGTTAGAGAGTCATCATATTAATTTAGGAGAGACACAATTTGCTCCATAACACTCAGGATGAAATTAAATAAAAATTGTGGAAGACCTCTACAAAATAGAGTGTAGAAAAATGTTTTAAAACCAAAGTAAATGGAAAGCTATACCATATTCAAAGATGCAACGGTTCAATCTTTTTAAGATTTCAATTCTCCATCAGCAAACATTGCTCACTAAAGTCATCACAATCCCAGTGAAAATTTCAGTAAAATTTGAAAATTTGATTTGTAAATTTATATGGATATGAATAGATGAAAAAATAGTCAAAACGATCTTGATGAACAAAGTTGGTGGGCTTATACTACCTGACTTAATATTAACTTACGTTAATTAATACAGAGTGGCAGTAGTATAAGCATAGATAAATAGATTAACAGAACAATAAAAGTCCAGAACTAAACCAACATATATATGGTCACTTGACTTTCTACACGAGTGTGATGCAGTTCAGTGAGGAAAGCAAAATCTTTTCAATAAATTGTGCCAAAGCAAATAGATATTCATTAAGGGAAAACAACAAACAATGACCTTTACCTCACACATACTCAAAAATTTGAAAGGAACAGTAGGCCTGAATAAGAAAGCTATGGCTATTAAACTTTTAGAACAGTAGGAAATATCTTTATCACCTTGCAGGTAGGCAAAGGTTTCTTAGATAGTACACGACAGGCACTCACTATAAAAGAAAAACCACAATAAATTAAACTTTATCAAATTTTTAAAACTTCTGATCACTAAAAGAGATATCTAAGAAAGTTAAAAGGTGGAATATGGAAAAGAAAATATTGAATGGAAATAAATACCATTTGGAATTTGAACTAAACTAGCCGGAAGTAGATAGCCCTAAAGAAGAGAACTCAAGGAGGGAAAAAGCTGTTGTGGGAGACAGTTGTTTTTTTAAGTCCTGAAATTATTTCTGTATCGGTATTTATTCACACATATATATGGATTATATATAATGTATTATATATAATATATATGGATTATATATAATGTATTATATATAATATATATGTTATATATATAATACATGTATGT
The DNA here is from genome assembly GCF_000001405.40 of Homo sapiens. Classification (NCBI taxonomy): domain Eukaryota; kingdom Metazoa; phylum Chordata; class Mammalia; order Primates; family Hominidae; genus Homo; species Homo sapiens. Next base: position 143,779,044 of record NC_000004.12, on the reverse strand, counting down.
ATTGTTTGACAAGTTAAATACCAATAATATAAAACATAAAATCTATTCATATATGATTTAATAAAGTAGAAAATACACATAATAGGTACCAATATCTTCTGCTTCAAAAATTATCTCAATAAATTAGAAAAGAAAACACATTAACTTGTTAAAGAGTGTCTACATTACTTCAATCATTGACATTGTGTTTACTGGTAAAATGTTAAAAGCAGCAATATTAAAGCAAAATACCATGCCACAATCATCATTACTGTTTAACATTATTCTATAAATTCTAACCAACGTACAATGGAAAGAAAAATATAAAAGAGTCATGCATAATTATCATTATTTTAGTTGATAAAATTGCATAGAAACTTAAAAATCTTAAATAACATTCAACATTCAAAATTTTAAGTATTCTCCGAAGTGGGATTACAGATGATTTTTACTTTTGCTTATCCATATTCTAAATAAGTATTAATATCATGAAAAATATTTTGTTTATAATGTAAAATATTTTAAAATTATAAATATTAAATACTTAACTGAAGCACAGAAGAACATCTAAATGTGTATATACATTTAAATATGTTATGTTTTATTCAAGCATAAGTTCTAAAAATTAAAATGTTAAGAGTTAAATAAGCATTTGCAGAAAGTATGTGTTTTAGTAGTTTGCTGAAGTAAAACAATTACTATATACATAAATATTGAATTCTATCTATAGGTTGATGTTGGGAACCAGCCTCAACACCACCCGTAGGGTACCCAAAGTCTGGTGGTGACAAAGGATTGAGGGGAGACAAGTTAAGAGGAAAGGTGGGGAGCCAGGGGGCCAGTTGCACTTTTGGAGACTGCAAAAGGCCCCGAGCTCTGGTCTCCACACTATTTATTGAGCACAATCACTTACATCTAAGAAGCAGATGTTCAGGGTGAAACAGTGAAAAGGAGGCAGTATGTCATAGGCATAATCTGTAGCAATAGCGGTTTAAATGAATCTCCTTTGTGCTCAAACAGCATCTCTTTAATATATCGGAGAGTAGCTAGTGGGAGCTGGCTTAAATAGGAGCCTGCACGTCTGTCCCCATTCCAGTGTTTCAAAGGAGTGTCTTTCTCCTTGAATACGGTGTTTACCCATAAGAGAGCGGGTCTCCCTCTGAGCATGGGAACGTGATGGAAATTAGGAGGCTTTCCTCCTCAGAGGCCTCTTGTGGCTTTCCACAACTTATTGTCCCATATTTTCATGGCCAGTTTATACAGGCATTCCACAAACCCTTTTCCCAACAGGCTGAAAATTTCTTATAATTTTAGAAAATCTCCCCTGTCATTGCAAATCACTAAAATGTTAATTCTTCATGCGGAAAAAAAAAATGAGTATTTTAGTCTGTTTGAGCTGTTATAACAAAATACCAGAGACTGCGTAGCCTAGAAACAACTGCCTAGAAATTTGCTGTTCACAGTTCTGGAAGCTGGGAAATTCAAGATCATGGTGCCAGCAGATTCGGTGTCTGATGACGACCTGTTTCTTGGTTCATAGATAGTGTCTTCTTTCCGTGTCCTTACATTATGGAAGAGGCTAGGGATCTCTCTGTCCTCTTTTATAAAGGCACTCATCCCACCATTGAAGGCTTCCCCCTCATGACCTAATCACCTCCCAACAGCCCCAGTTTTTAATGACATCACATTGGCAATTAGCATTGATAAAAATTTGGGGACCCTTAAATATTTAGAACGTAGCAATGAGGTTAACAATCTTTAAGTTGGCAATTGGTCTTTAAGGATTATGCGGCAAAATGCACCAAATATATCCTAAGTTCAATAGAGTTTGTCTCTGCAATTTAATGTATCTTTTCGACATTCCTTTAGTATTCATTCTCATTTAAATATCCGAATTAATGTGAGCAAAAAAGACATTTGTTTATTTCTGACTCCTCCTATTTTTCTTTCAGCCCAGGAGAATAACATGGCAGTCTTTCATTGCCTTCAGACAAAACAGTTTGATAAATTAATGATGTGCTCTGGTGACATCAAATTCAAAGCAGTTGGCAGTACTTGAGAATATAATTTAGACTGATTGGAGCAAGGCTAATAAATGATGCTTTGCTGGTGCGCAATAACATCTTTTATCCATGAAGCTAAGTCTGCCAGAGCATATCATGACCTATATATTTCAGCCCTTTGAAAGCAAATCAGCCTGTTGTTCAATTTTGAAAATATATGAAAAGTTCCATAATAGTGTATCTTCACATTGTAATAGTGATCAATTGTATTTTAAAACAATATTCAAGAAACAAATTAAATAAACTATGTTATATTTCTCTAAAAATTCGAGATCAATCTTCAAGGCATGAAAGGAAATTCTCCAGATCAATTTTTGTTCATATATTTCCTGAGAAAAACGTAAATAGAATTTTGTACATCTATTAACTCATTTTAAATCCTCCCCGTAACACAAATGATTATCATTTAGATATTGAGCTATATAGGAACTCCTAATTCTGGACTACCTTCTTATTCTTTGTCATGCATCTTTCTGAAATAAGTACAGATTTACAAGAGCATTGATTATATTTTTATTGAAGTTCTTTTCTCTATATATTATCTATATTTTAATTTTTAAAAATCCTCTTGATAATGGTGAAGCTAACCACCAAAAACCTCACTGTCACCTATTTACAGCATTTTGAATCAAACCCCATCTCAGCACTCTGGAGATCTAGGATCCTTTATTGTGGGTTCATGGATGGACCTAAGTGGGGTTATGAACACTGTGAAAATTTGGAGCACTAAGCATATTTTTCAACACAAAGATTCCATAATTTTCATCAAATTCTAAAAACATCAGTGACTCAAAAATGTGAAGATAAGAATATTTTGGTCAAAAAACTAGGCTTTATTTTTACTTATTCTAGGCTGACATTTTTTCTGACTCCCCAGAATTATAATTTTGACCATTTCTATAATTTACTATACGCTTTTATTTTAAATTCAAAGACAAATTCATAGTGTACTCAGTAGTTTCCTATAAGACTAATAGTGTTTTGGATACAACAGTGTATTTACAACTTTTTCTTTACAACTGCAAAACTGTATCTTTATATTTATTCATATTGATATGAGGCTTCCCAATAAATCAAACCTTTTGGTTATTAGCATGTACAATATACATGTATTAGAATCATAGCAGTTTATAATGGTAAGAAGCCTTAGTAGAGATCAGTTTCTACTGTCCATCCAAAGCATAAATCCTGTTCACATTACCCTTGAGAGATGATCAATTTTCAACCTTTGTATGACTGTTTCTTGTGACAAGGAACTCTACAGTTTAAGCTGGTCAAGTACATTTTTAATAACTATAATTATAAGGAAGTTATCTCCTATATAGTATTTATGTTAAGTAATTTGAATATTATCCTAAAAGCAAGAGGAAACCATTAAAAGGTTTTAATCATGAAAATAACATGATTAGATTTATATTTTAAAATATGCACTCTGAAGTGCAAGTAATTAGCTTATAAAACAAAAGACAGATAAACAGAAAAAAAATTTTATTGTGGTCTGAACAAACTTGACCATAGAGATAGAAATTTTAGAAGTTTTGTAAGAGGTAGAAACAATGTTGTTGTAGCTGGCTGGATTTAGAGGGGAAAAGAGGTGAAACAGATGACACTCAGGTCTCAGAGTGAATGGTGGGGCATTTCGATGAGATAATAACTAAGAAAGACAAGCAGGTTTGGAGGATCATATTGAACTTGTGGTGGCTACGGAGCATCTATGAAGTTCAGACTAGAAATCTAGACTTAAGGTATTTTTTCAGAGTCATAAGAATAAAAATATAATTGGAGTCATAAAAAGTGAATGAAATTGCAACTCAATAAAAAAGAAAAGTATCCAATCAGGAAATGTACAAAGATATAGACATTTCTCTAAAGGTGAAATACAAATGGCCAATAAGCATATGAAAAAAATGTTCGACATCATTAGCCATCATGAAAATACAAATGAAAATGACAAACATATCATTTCATATACACGAGGATGGTCATAATCAAAAGGATGTAATAACAAGCATTGAAGACATTGGAACCCTTACGCACTGCAAGTGAGAATGTAAAATCTTGCAACCTCTTTGGAAATCAATTTGCAGTTTTTTGAAAAGTTAAATGTAGAGTTACCATATGCACCTAGCAATTTCACTTCTGGATATACACTCAAGAGAAATGCAAACTATGTCCACATAAAAGTTTATAGGTGTATTAATAATAACAGCCAAAAAGTGGAAATGAGGCTGTTTATGGAGATATGAGCACAACGGTGCCAAACTTCTGCTGCTGTTGCTCTGCATAGGATTCACAAACTCACGAGAAATGAAGATGATTGATCAGATGCAGCTGACATGTGCCTCTTCACTGAGAGGAACCAAAATATCAAGTAAACCTTCATACTTTGAACAGCCAGGAAAAAAACCCTGGCTGCCGCTTTTTCTCTTGGTGGGTTCTTTGGCACAGGAGAAACACCTCTGCCCCTCCCTGGGTTGTTCCAGTGGCCTGAGAGCTGCCCCTCAGCTCCCACCAAGGTTGTGCTTGGTCCCACCCTAGTTAGCCTGGAGAGCCTGGAGGTAGGTTCGCCCAACCCAGCCCCACCCAGCTTTCCCCCCTGCACCCCCGTTGGTCAGAGTGTGGAATGGGACACTTGAGAGCTCCATGCTCCCCATCACCAGGCACACCCTGGTAGTTCCCCTGATCAACAAAGGCCAAGTAAAATTTCCACTGCCATCACCACAGCCGCCTCTCACCTGCAAGCACCACATATGGATGGGAGGTCAAACTGCATGTCCAATCACAACTTCTGCTGACATCATTGTACAGTGCTCAGCCAACTCTTACCTGTAAGCACCACCTGCTGGCCTGTATGGTGAACTGCACAACCCAATATAATTACTGCTGGTAGAAGTGCACAGCACGGGGGAATGAGGTAACTTCTGAGATCTCCATCTCCTCATCTCTGTAGGAGACAGTAAGCCTGACCATATGTACAGCACGCCACTACTACAATCTAGCATTTTAGAAAACCACTACACTAATGTGATATATAAGCAAAGAATTCATACAGTGCTTTGGTCCTCTAAAAGCATATAGAAGTGAAACCAAAGGACCCCACCAATATATGCAAAAATCACACTCTAGTGGAAGAAAAAAAATCCCACGCAAATAAAAGTAAATTCCCAGGTAAGAAGTGACAGCTTCTACAAATGAGAAGGAACCACCACAAGAATTCCAGCACCATGAAGAAACAGAATGTTGTGACATTCTCCAAAGACCACAATAGCTCTCTAGCATAGATTCTAACCAAAATAAAAACTTTGAAATGACAGATAGAGAATTCAAGATGTGTGTTATAAGGAAGCTCAATGAGAACACAGAGAAAGTTGGAAATCGACACACACACACACACACACACACACAGAAAAACAATTCAAGAGATGACAGATGAGATAGATGTATTTTTAAAAAACTAACCAGAAAACCTGGAAATTTTCAAATTAACCCACTTAGACAAAAAAAGAATTTAAAATACTGAACAAATTGTTTGAGATATATGGATTATGTGAAGCAAGGGAGAAGAAAAAGTAAGAAGTTTGAAAAACATATTTGAGGGAATAATTGAGGAAATTTTCTCCAATCTTGCTACAGATGTATACATGCAGATACAAGAAATTTAGGGAAGACCTTGAAGATGTTATATAAAACAATTATAACCAAGGCATATAGTCATCAGACAATCAAAGGCCAGTGTGAAAGAAAAAGTCTTAAAGGCAGCTAGAGAGAACTATCAAATCACCTATAAAGGCAATCCTATCAGACTAACAGTGGACTTCTCAGCAGAAACCCTACAAGCCAGAAGACATTAGAAGCCTATTTTCTGCCTTCTTACAGAAATAAAAATGCCAGCCAAGAATTTTATATACTGCCAAACTAAGCTTAATAAATGAAGGAGAAATAAAGCCTTTCCCAGACAAACAAATGCTAAGGGAATTTGGCACCACTAGACCAGTCCTACAAGAAATGCTCAAAAGCACTCTAAACATGATAATAAAAGGATACTCATCATCATATAACACACTGGTTATTTCTAGTAAGTGTTTTCCAAACACTTGCTAGAAATCTCATGGATCTTATAAAACAATTACATACATAATTGAGACTCAAAGGCAACTAGCTGACAAATCTCTGGCAGGACAAAACTTCACATATCAATATTAACCTTGAATGTAATGGCCTAAATCCTCCATTTAAAAGATATAGACTGGCAAATTGGATTACAAAACAAGACACAACCACCTGCTGCCTACAAGAGACCAATTAAATAGCTAAAGACACCTGCAGACTCAAAGTAAAGGGGTAGAAAAAGATATACCACACAAATAGAAAACAAAAGTTAGCAGAAGTAGCCATTTTTACATCAGATAAAACAGACTTTAAACCAACAACAGTTAAAAAAAAAAAAAAGACAAAGAGGGGCATTATATAATGATGATGAGGTCAATACTACAAGAAGTTTTAACTATTCTAAATAAAATAAATATGCACCCAACACGGGAGCACCCAGATTGATAAAACAAATACTACTACACCTAAGAAAAGAGATTGACAGCAATTCAGCACTAGTGGGGGACTTCAAAATCCCACTGACCACACTAGATAGATCATTGAGGCAGAGTCAACAAAGAAGCACTAGACATAAACTGGACTCCAGACCAAATGAAACATAGATATTTAACAAACATTTTATGCCCAAAACCACAGAATATACATTTTTCTCATCTGTGCATAGAACACTCTCTAAGATTCACTATATGCCTTGCCACAAAGCAAGTCTCAATAAATTTTTAAAAATCAAAATTATATTAAATATATTCTTGGACCACAGTGGAATAAAATTATTAATCAATACCATGAGAAACTCTCAAAAATACACAAGTACATGAAACTAAACAACTTGCTCCTGACTTTTTAGTAAAAAATGAAAGTAACATAGAAATCAAACAATTTTTAATGAAAATACAGACACAACATATCCAAACCTCTGGGATACAGCAAAGGTAGTGCTAAGAGGAAAGTTTATACTATTAAATGTCTACATCAAAAAGATATAAATATATCAAATTAGTAGTCTAGTGTCACATTTCAAGGAACTAGAAAAGCAAGAACAAATCAAACCCAAAAGCCAGCAGAAGAAAAGAAATAATAAAAATCCGAGCAGAACTAAATGAGATTGAGACCAAATGAACAATACCAAGGATCAATGAAATGAAAAGTTGGTTCTTTGAAAGGATAAACAAAATGAATAGACCACTAGCAAGTTTAACCAAGAAAAAAAGATTCAAATAAGGACAATCAGAAATAAGTGTTATTACAACCAATACCACAGAAAAACAAAATACTATCAGAGATTACTATAAACATCTCTATGCACACAAACTAGAAAACTAGAGGAAATGGATAAATTCCTGAAAACATGCAACCTCCCAAAATTGAACCAGGAAAAAATAGAAATGCTGAACAGATGAGTAACAAGTAATGAGATTTAATCAGTCATAAAAAATTTTCCAACAAATAAAAGCCCAGTATCTGATGGATTCACAGCCAAATGTTATGAGATGTGCAAAGAAGAGCTGGTACCAATCTTACTGAAACTACTCCAAAGAATAGCTAGTTAGTTAGTTACTTAGTATCATAGAATACTCAATTCATGGAATTCCTCCTCAATTCTATGAAATGAGTATCACCCTGATCCAAAATCAAGAAAGGACATAACAAAAAAGAAAACTATAGGCCAATATTTCTGATGAATATAGAAGCAAAAGTCCTCAAAAAAAAAGAAAATTAGCAAACTGAATCTAACAGCATATTAAAAAGATAATTCATCACTATCAAGTGGGCTTTATTTTTGGGATGCAAGGATGGGTCAACATTTGCCAATCAATAAATGTGATTCATCACATAAACAAAATCAAAAACAAAAATCATATGATCATCTCAATAGTTGCAGAAAAAGCATTGGGTAAAAGCCCACATCCCTTAAAGATAAAAACCCTCAACAAACTATGCATCAAAGGAATACACTTCAGAATAATAAGAGCCATATGTGACAAACCCACAGCCAACACCATACCAAATGAGGAAAAGTTGAAAGCATTCTCCTTAAGCACTGGAGCAAGACAAGGATGTCCACTCTCACCACTCATACTCAACATAGTACTGGAAGTCCTAGCCAGAGCCATCAGGCAAGAGAAAGAAATGATAGGCATTCAAACTGGAAAATAGGAAGTCAGCGTATCTCTGTTCACTGATGAAATGATCACATATCTGGAAAATCCTAAAGATTCCTCTAAAGACTCTTAGACTTAATGAACAACTTCAGTAAACTTTCAGGATACAAAATAAATGTACACAAATCAGTAGCATTTCTGTACACCAATGATGTTCAAGCTGAAAACCAAATCAATAACTCAATCTCATTTACAATAGCCACACTGAAAAAAAAATTCTAGGAATACATTTAACTAACAAGGTGAAAGATCTCTACAAAAAGAAGTATAAAGCACTGATGAAAGATATTATAGATGACACAAACAAATGAAAAACATCCCATGCTTATGGGATGGAATAATCAATATAGTTAAAATTACTATACTGTCTAAAGCAATCTACAGATTCGATGCAATTCTTATCAAAGTACAAATGCCATTCTTCACAGAACTAGAAAAAACAATCTTAAAGTTCACATGAAACAAAAAACAGCCCAAATAGCCCAAGCAATAATAAAAAAAAAAACAGCAAAGCCATAGGCATCACATTACCTGACTTCAAATTATGCTACAAGGCTATAGTAACTAAAAGAACACACTACTGGTACAAAAATAAACATATAGATTAACAGAACAGAGGACCCATAAATAAACCCACATACCTACAACCAACTGGTCTTTGACAAAGTGAACACAAATAAACAATGGGGAAAGTATACCCTATTCAATAAATGCTGTTGGACTAGCTGGCTAGCCATATGCAGCAGAATTAAACTGGACTCCTACAATTTCCCATATACAAAAATCAACTCAAAATGGATTAAAGATTTAAATGTAAGACCTCAAACTGTAAGAATTCGAGAAGAAAACCTAGGAAATACCTAGGTTTTTGTGGACCTCAGTTTTGGGGAAAAAAATTATAACTAAGTCCTCAAGAGCATTGCAATAAAAACAAGATTGACAAGTGAGACCTAACTAAAGAGCTTTTTCACAGCAAAAGAAACTATCAACAGAGTAAACAGACAACCTATAGGGTTGGGAGAAAACATTCAAAACCTATGCATCCAACAAAGGTCTAATATCTAGGATCTATAAGGAACTTACACAATTCTACAAGCAAAACAACAAATAACCCCATTAAAAAGTGGGCAGAAGACATGAACCGGCACTTCTCAAAAGAAGACGTACCAGTGACCAAAAAAGATGTACCCAACATCACTAATAATCAGGGAAATCCAAATCAAAACCACATTGAGATACCATCTCATGCCGGCCAGAATCACTATTATTAAGAAGTCAAAAAATAACAGATGCTGGTAAGGAAATGTCAACCAGTTCAGCCACTTTAGAAAACACTTTGGAGATTTCTCAAAGAACTTACAGAACTACTATTTGACCCAGCAATCCCATTACTGGACATATATCCAAAGGAAAATAAATCATTCTACCAAAAATAACATATGCACTTATATATTCATTGTGGCACTATTCACAATAACAAAGACATGGAATCAGCCTAGGTGCCCATCAATGGTGGATACTATTTAAAAAATGTGGTACATACACACCACAAAATACTACACCACCATAAAAAAGAATGAAAGAACGTCCTTTGCAGCAACATGGTGGCAGCTAGAGACCATTATCCTAAGTCAATTAATGCAGGAACAGAAAACCAAATACCACTTATAAGTGGGAACTAAGCATTGGGTACATAAAGATGGAAACAATAGACACCAGGAACTTCTTGTGGTGGGGGAAGGGCAAAGGTTAGAAAACTACCTATTGTGTACCATGTGCACTATCTGGCTGACAGGATCAACTGTACTCCAAATCCCAAGATCACACAATATACCCATGTAACAAAACCTGCACATGTACCCCTGATCTAAAATAAAAGTTGAAATTGATAAAAAATAGTAATAATAATATAAAATACATTTATTAAGAATATAAAAAAAAAAGAATGATGAGAGTATTTACACCAAGGAAACTGGCAAACACTACAAACCAGGACTTTTAATTTTCTGAATGTGAGTTTATCAGCACACCACCGGCTATTACTTTAATGGTGCTGAGATCCCAAACATTGTTTGGATCATTTTACGTACATTCACTCATTCAATCCTTACCCTACTTTGTAAAATAGGTACTATTTTTATCCCGATTTCAACTATAAGAAAACTGGATCCCAAAGATGTTAAGTTATTTACACAAAGTCATGCAACTAGTAGCGACAGAGACAACAGTACAGCCCAGACAGTCTGGCTCCAGAGACCTGAGAAACAATGAGAGTACAGTTTCTTGAATGCCAAGGAATGACAGTGCTTTCGGAACAGGGTAATGGTTAGTGCCAAATACTGCTGAAAGGTCAAGTAATTAAATCAAAAGTCACAAGTGCCATAGCAAAAAATGAGTCATGGTGACTTTGGCAAGGCATTTCAGTGGGATTAAAAAAAAATGAAAGAGAATGAAAAATTTTAAAATTGTGTTGCCTCCTCAACCACTTCCTTCAGCAACGCTGGGAATTGTCGGAGTTTCCTGATTGGAGCACATGTGTAGTCAAGAAAGGTTAGAGGAAATAGAAGCCCACAGTAACACTAGGGAAGTCACTATTGGGGAAAAAAACTATATTGAATAGAGACAAAAACAGTCTACAAACTCTTAGTTTTCATAAACAATGTGCTTCTGATAAGGAACCAGCAAGTGTTAAAGACACAGCTAAACAATTTAAACACATGTTTGAAATGATAATTAGCATGTATTTAAACTGGGACTATTTACTATGTTTCTGAACACAGATTTTATCTATTATCTTTAGAAAAAATCTGCTTGAATAGATAGGTAGAGATGTGTAGTTTACACATTTTTGAAAGAAAAAATATATTAATCTTTGTTTCTAATATGTGCCTGACCCCTTGCAACATGTCTTATTCCCCAATTCAATTAAAATTTCTATGTGACAATAATAGCAACCACCAATGACAGAAGAACTTAATATCCATGTAAATGTACAAAATTAATTATGTCTTATATATATCAACAATAATAATGAAACAGACAAATAATAAGATTTTAGTCCATGATAGGAAATTTTAGATATTAATTATGTGGCATGTAGAAGTGAGCAGCTTTCAAATTTTTCATTTTCTTTGGTCTAATAATCCCACTATTGAAGTATATCCAAGGAGGAAATAATCTAAAATGTTCAAAATAAAATTTTTTCAAAAACTTTGCACAAACTCAAATATGCTTTTGGTGAAATTTCATTTGACCCACGAGATAGTGCTCACCTTTTCCCACTCTGCTCAGTGCAGCAGGAGGCTGACCTGCTTAGATTATAGCCATGAATCCCTTCTGCTCTGGCTTCTAGTTGTGTCAAGTCAATGGGAGGCATGGGAAGAGGAACAATCAATACATGGGAGACAAATAAGGCTGAGGTGTTTATTGTTCTGAATCTCTCCCCTTTGGATCTACAAGAGTTGGTTGGTTTTCTGTGTCCCTTTACCCAAAACCTTCACTCCAGATAGGTAGCTCACTCTATACAGCTACTCTCTCCAGTATTATTTCCCTTCACATGTACTATTGCTAAGTCCAGGATATTATACTGCTTCTTGCTTGTTTCCTTAAACCCTGCTCATATCATTATAAATAATGCCTCTAAAAGTCTGTATGGTGAGCATACGAAGGAAGACAAACTTTTATCATTGCCAGTGGGATACAAAACAGTATAGCCATTTTGGAAGACAGGTTGGCAGTTTTGCACAAAACTGAGAATACTTATACAATATGATACAGCAATAATGTTCCCAGGATTTACTCAACTAATCTAAAAATTTATGTCTACAGAAAAACCTGCCCATTAATGTTTACAGCAGCCTTATTTATATTTACCAAAAACTGGAAGTAATCAAGATGTCCTTCAACAGATGAATGGATAAACACAATATGTTATATTCATGCAACGGAATATTATTCAGCAAAAAAGGGAAGGGAAGGGAAGGGAAGGGGAAAGGGAAGGGGAAGGGGAAGAGGAAGGGGAAAGAAAAGGGGAGGGGAGGGGAAACGGAAAGAAAGGGAAGAAAGCATGCTTTCAAACCACAAAAAGAGGAAGAATTTTAATACACATTGCTAAGTAGAGAAGACAGTCTGAAAAGGCTACACACTGTATGATTCCAATTATATGATTATATAACATTCTAGGATAACACAGCTACAGAGAGAGTAAAAATATACATGGTTGCCGGGGTTTGGTGTGGAGGAGGGTTGCACTGGTGAAACACATTTTATCTAATCCACTGTTTATGGGCACCTAGGTTGATTCCATGTCTTTGCTATTGTAAATAGTGCTGTAATAAACATATGAGCGCGTGTATCTTTCTGGTAGAACAATTTATTTTCTTTTGTATATATACCCAGTAATGGGATTGCTGGGTCGAATGGTAGTTCTGTTTTAAGTTCTTTTAGAAATCTCCTGTTTTCCGGATAGGTAGCTCCCTCCATACAGCTAAACTAGTTTACATTCACATCAATAGTGTATAAGTATTCCCTTTTCTCCATGGGAGACTATGCAGCCATAAAAAAAGAATAAAATCAGGTCCTTTGCAGCAACATAAATGGAGCTGGAGTCCATTATCCTCAGAGAATTAACACAGGAACAAAAAACCAAACATCACGTGCTCTCCCTTAATAAATGAAAGCTAAACGTTGGATACTCATGGACGTAATGACTGGAACAACAGACACTGGGGACTACTAGAGGAAAGGAAGGAGGTTATCAGGGGTTGAAAAACTACCTCTTGCATACTATGCTCACTAGCTGAGTGACAAAATCAATTGTGCCCCCAAAACCAGAGCATCACACAATATACCCATGTAACAAACCTGCACATGAACCCTCTGAAACTAAAAGTTGAAATTATTTTTAAAAATAAAAAGAAAATTTAAAAATGAAAAATAATTTCTAGATCTATGCATATATATATGTTAGTAGACACACATATTTTCTTGCTCTCTCAGGTAAGTCATGAAACAACAACCTCCCAGTAACAAAGAGTACCCAGATCTTGGTTTCTAATACTATTCTCCACTAAAAGGAACCAGAGCTTCTTGGAGAAATGACCGATTCTAGAACTGCGGCAGAAAACATACAAGATGAGCTAGAGCATCCTGTAGTGCCAGAAAGAAGAGTTTCTTTAAAAAATAAAATTAAAAACCTACTTTGATGGGAATGTGCTACATAGCAGCCAACTGAAAGAGCTTCCAGTGACCAAAATTGGAAAAATTTGAGTAAAAAACTAAAGCGGCATTGGTGATATAGTTTGGATATTTGTCCTCCCCAAATCTCATGTTGAAACTCAATCCCCAGTGGTTGAGGTGGGGAGGAAAGACGTTTGGGTCATGGCCCCAGATTCCCTCATGAATGGTTTGGTGCTGTCATGGTAATTAGGAGAGTTCTCACTCTATTAGTTAATATAGGAGCTGATTGTTTAAGAGAGTTTAGGACCTCCCCCAACCCACCTCCGTCCTTCCTTCCTCTCTTGCCATGTAATGCCTATTCCCTTTCCCCTTCTGCCACCATTGGAAGCTCTCTGAGGCCCTCATCAGAAGCTGATGCTGGTGCCATGTTTCTCGTACAGCCTGTAGAACAGTGAGGCAAGTAATCCTCTTTTCTTTATAAATTACCCAGCCTTAGATATTCCTTTATAGCAACTTAAATGAACTAAGACAATCAGATTATGTCTTAGTCCATTTTTGCTGCTACAACAAAATACCACAGACTAGGTCATTGATAAACAGTAGAAATTTGTTTCCCACAGTTACAGAGGTGGGGAAGTTCAAGATCAAGGTGCTGCCAGGTTCAGTGTCTGGTAACAGCTTTTGACTTCTTGCTACATCTTCCAGAGGGGATGAACACTGTGTCCTCACATTGTGAAAGGTGGAAGGACAAAAAAAGCCTAGTTTCCTCCAGCACTTATATAAGGAACTAATCCATTTATAAAGGAGTAGTTACCATAACCTAATCACTTCCCAAAATGCCCTGCCTCTTAATACCATCACTTAATGGGTATTACGTTTCAACATGTTATTTGGGGTGGAAATCTTCAAATTGTAGCAGGTTATAACCCAAAGTATAATATATATATTTATGATTCATATTTATATAAAAAGTGATTAAATGAATAAGTAAGGAATAAGATACAGGTATCTCCTGCAGAAGAATTCCAGATAATTTATATAGATACTCATCACTCAAGGAGAAGGGGCATGAATCCCCACTCTTCAACTGTCAACCATATATGATGGCTCTTTTCCCAATGGGTACAGTATGGAAAAGAGTGAAAATAGAGTAACTTTACAGTGAGAAACCTGACAAACACTACCTTAGCCAGATGATCAAGGTCAATATTAACAAAGATAAATCATGCTGATATATGTACCCTGGATAGAATGTAATGAAAATGAAACTTTACCTGTGGTCTTCCTCCCAAAAACCCATAACTTCAGTCAAATCATGAAAACAAAAATCTGAAAAATTTCATTAGGGTAGCATTCTACAAAATACTTGACCAGTGCACTTCAAAACTGTCAAGGTCATAAAAAATAAAGAACATCTGTGAAAGTATCACAGCTAAGAGGAGCCTAAGGAGATATGACTACTCAATGTAATATGGTATCCCGGCTGGGATCCTGGAATAGAAAAGGATATAAGTTAAGAGCTAAGGAAATCTGAACAAATGATGGGCTTTAATCGATAGCAATGCATCATTTGGTTCATTAATTGTAACAAATGTACCATATGAATAACATATACCATGTTAACCAAAAGGGAAACTGGGTGATAAGGTATATGGAAACTGTACTATCTTCTCAATGTTTCTATAAATCTAAAACTGTTCTAAAAAATAAAGCTTATTTTTCAAAAATCTCCTAAACTACCCACTTTGATTGTGCAATCTATTTCCTGGTGGAACACTAACTGTTAATCCAGATGCCCAACAGTGAGCAGAATAATTCAGTAAACGCTGTTTCTGTTCATTAGACATAGTGTTTTTAACCTGTTAAAAATATTTTTACAAAATGTGTAAAAGATAAAACGTTTAAGTTATATTGCCGAGTAAAGAATTTAAAAAGCATAATGCATAGTTACATATATTTTTTTCAAATATCTTTTTTAACTTAAATAAGGAAAAGACTAGAAGGACAAGCACCAGCATGTAAAAAATATTTAAAGTGAGTGATGGAAAACAATATTTTTTCCACTCTCTTTTCCACTTCTTTGTATTTTCCAGAATTTCTGAGTATTTAACTACCTTTGCTATGGAAAATAATAGTGAAATACATTACACATGGAAGTTTTTGGTAAGGTTTCAGACTTAATTATATTTTATGTATTTTAATTTTGCAATTCTAACATTCTGACATAGCCATAAAATTCTCAAATTTTGCTATTTAATGTATGTTATAGACTGAGTTGTGTTCCTCCAAAATTCATATACTGAAGTCCTAACCATTAGTATCTTAGAAGGTGATTGTATTTGGATACAGACATTTAAAGAGGTAATTATTTTTAAATGAGGTCATTAGGATGGACTGTAATCCAATATGGCTTGTATCCTGGTAAGAAGAGGAGTTTAGGACACAGGTAGGTACAGAAGGAAAATCTTATGAAGACACAGGGAGAAGAAGCCATCTATAAACCAAGGAGAGGGGCACTGGAGGAAGCCAATTCAGCTGACACTTTGATCTTCAACTTTTAGCCTCCAGAAATGTAAGAAAATTAATTTCTGTTGTTGAGACCACCCATTCTGTGGTACTTTGTTATGGTAGCCTTAAACTCAATGGATTAAGTTTGAGGTCTTATTTTCCTCTGCACTTTTTATAGTCTTATTCTCTATATTATATGATTTTATAATTCGTTTCTAGCAATAATGATTAGTTCCTAAAACAACATCACTGTGAAAATAATTATATATATCTTAATCTGATATTAGCTCAACTGAAAAGAAAACATTTTTACAATAATAAGCTTTAATTAAAATTTGCTGACACCAAAAATAATTTAATTTGCTCTTCAAAGGTAAATTTATATGGATATCTGTGTAAATTTATCCATATTTGTAAAACACACACACAAAAAAAATAAATAAATAAAACACCTGGGAAGGAATTAGTGTTTGTATATTAGAATCACCTGGGAAGTTTTCAAAATGACTAATGCCTGGAGGCAGCCCCCGAGATTGTGGGTTAAAAGTCTGACATGTCATCTCATCCCTGGAATTGTTAAAGTTCCCTAAAGTAATTCTAACGTGCAGCCACAATTTAAGAGCCATTGCTTTTTATTGAGAAAACATTACCTGAGTTTTCCTCTGAGTGAAGACATAATAGTTTTTAAAAATTCCTCTCTTATCCATAGAATCAATAAGCAACCTAAATGATGAAAAACAAAGAATATTTTATCATCAGTGAAACAAGAGCCATAACCCCAAAGCCCAGAATTTGAGGACAAAAAAAAAAATATCTACTGATCTTGTACAGAAGGAAGAAACTGATCAGTAATCCGCTTTGTAGCAGTAGTTCAGAGTCCACTAAAGTGAGGTAATAAACTGTAAATAACTGAATAGAAGGCATCTGTTATATACAGCTTGTCAAGAAGTCACAGGAAGGATGGCTCCACCAGGCTGCCAGTGCCACTGTTCTTATGGTTGCCATCTCATCATTGTTATGGCAGTCTCCACTGTTGCCTTGGCCATGGCCAGTTACATCAAATGGACCTCAATGAGGTGTCCAAGTTGAATGCTACGGTTTAGGATCAAGAGGAGCAGCACTGCCAGGAGGGGGCCCTGAGCCTTCTACAACACCTGTGGCAATATTGGGACCTTCCAGGAAGTAACTCTGAAGCTCTTGATAGAAGGAATCACAAATAAACTTATTGGCCATTGTATGGGTGATATAAAGGAGGATGTAGACCTTGAGAATTTATAGCAGTAAGACTGAGTTGCTAATTGAAGAGATAACGGAAGTAAAGGGTTTCAGAGTGCCATAGACTCTACTGTACCTTCTATCACAGTTCTACTGGACCTCTATTTATGGACCACACAGTAAATGTATACAGGGAGAAGCACTGGATCCAAAGCATGCTGGCAACTCAGTCATTTTCAAGCTAAGAGCTGTTCAGCTTATTAACATTTTGGCTATTTATGCACACAATGACTGGATTCCTTTATTAGTCAGAGTTCTCCAGAGAAACAGAACAAATAGGATACATATAGAAGTTTAGAAAGAGCTTTGTTATGAGGATTTGTTCATGCAGTTATGCAGGCTGAAAAGTCCCACAATCTGCTGTCTGCAAGTTAAAATCCCAGGAAAGCCAGCAGTGTAGTTCCAGCACAACCCAGAGGCTTGAGAACCAAGGGAGACAATGGTCTAAGTAAGTCCTCATCCAAGTTCAAAGGCCCAGGAACCAGGAGCACTGATGTCCAAGCATGGTAGAAGATGAATCTGTCAACTCAAACAGAGAAAATTCATCCTCCCTCCACCATTCTGTTCTATGTAGACCCTCAATGAAATGGATGATGCCCACCTGCATGGGTGGAGGCAATCTTCTTTACTCAGTCTACTGATTTAAATGCTAATATTTTATGGAAACACCCTCACAGACACACCCAGAAAAAAATATTGTATCAGCTATGTAGCCATTCCTTAGCCCAGTCAAGTTAATGCATAAAATTAATCCTCATGATTCCTAAGTCTAATCTATGACTATATATGGGAAAATACTTCTCTCTCATTCCCACAGAATTTGCATACAAAGACATTAATAAAATGTTCCTAAGAGATATTCCAGGCTCTCAGATTCATCAGTAGGTGATGACTTATTTGAAGGAGATTCTCTCCAACATGGGCTCATCAGTCATGCTTTGCCATAATGGCCTATTTTGCACAAATGCAATCAGCAATGAGAAACAAAGTGACATACAGTTCAATGATTGTGAACATTCTAGATACAACTACCTAGCACATGATATTAGAAGTCATTTTAATAAATTTGTAGGTGTGCTTTATGTATAGTCTCTATCCAGGCAAAGAACTACAGGGCCCATGGCTGCATTCTTATCTTGAAGTCTACAAAAAGTATAAGGACTTTGGAATTAAATTTACTAAAAAGAAGGTAGCCATATTCTTTATTCAAGCCTGTCAGTTTGCATTGGCCTCTAGTTTCTTTTGGAATTGTGAGCTTTCATTCAAGCCAAATACTCCACTAAGTTTTATTTCCTTGGGTGTGCAATAGTTCATTTTAACCAATACTTCAAAATAAAGCCTGAGATCGCTGCATTAAGAGTGCTTGAGTAAAGAGATTTAATTATTGTTAAATAGCTGAGCAATCCTTGCATATCATAAGAATTCTAGAAAAAAATACTGAAAAGCCAGTATTTGTTATAATTCTGTTATTTAACTGGTTATCTCGCTTTACAAATTATGTCTCTATTTTTAAAACAGATTTAATGATGTCAAGAAATATGCCTACTTCTATCGGTATGTGGCAAAACAGAAATTTGTTAAATCTGCCAAGAGCTATAAAAATGTCAGTTTAGTCCTTCCTTTGATAATGTAATCTGTGCTATGTGTGAGTTTTTTAAATTAAACATGATTCCATAGCTGCATTCATCTGTTTCATCTGTGTTCTACTTTAATAAGATTAATTTTCATAAACATTCTAGGTGTTCAGTGTGAACATTTTAATCTTGAGGCACTGTACGTAAAATGAATCACTTACTCTTGAAATGCCAGTCACTGCTATAAATAACTTAGAATGTTCATATAAAAATATGTGTTCAGGAAGGTGAAAAACATTTACCTTCTCTGTTGATTGCACATCTTTTTGAATTAAATACTGAAAAGCATTTCTTTGGGGAGAATATATCTTAAAATTAAATTCTCTTCTCCCTGAATAATCTGGAAGTATAAATATTATATATCCTGGAATGTATATGATATTAAATATTACCAAAATCTATATTGAATGTTTTCATATAGTAATGTATTCATATTTACATGAATAGTTTCTGTTTTTACAATTTTACTGGATCAAATTCTTCCTTTTTTTATTGAAGTGTTCTTTTTTTGCTTGCTATAACATAGTAGCTAGTAGGACTATTGCTAATTTTTTAAACAAATATACCAAGGTTATCACACTTGGGGACATTTACTACCATTTAGATATATTATTCTTAACCTCTCCAATTGTATTTCTTGCATTTTTGGTTGCATGGGTTTTGTTGTTGTTGTTGTTCCACGTATTTAAAGTAACAATGATTACTTGATACATGTAAGTTCCGAGTAATATGTTGAGGCTGTGAAAAAGATTAATAAGGAACTTTTAGGGCATTGATCTAGTACCCTGACAGTCTGCTATAACAAAGTATGGATTAAACAGAAATGCTTACGGTAGGGGGCTTCTGTTGTTTTGTTTTTGTTCAAGTGTATTTTTATATTATGTTTCAGGATGAAAAGGAGGCAATCTTGTGGAAGGAAGTTAGCCCTTTGGGTAGATAAGTAGGCATCAAGTTTCAAAAATTGCTGTTTCAAGTTTAGCAGTTATAATTAGCTTTAGTTTGAAAATTAGTGTGACAAGCTTTACACTTTGGTCATGTAAGTGCCTAGATACAAAGTTGGCTTAATGGATCTGCATAGTTGTAACCACAAATTTTTTCTCTGAAAAATCTTCTGGAGAGCTTGATGTATTATTCTAAATAACTTATACTCTCAATCAGCTGCTTTAAAATACTTAACTTATTTTAAGATGTTTAAAACTAATAATAGAAGTAGAAACAACTAAAGGCCATTTTAAATGGTAAATTCTAGTTACATACATAGAATCTTTTAAGGGATTTTTTGTATTTATATTGGTGTTAAACCAAGATTTGTTTTCTACCCCTCAATGTTATAAATGTTTGCTTTTGTTTTTATAAACCATATTACATAGGATCAATAGAATTTTGCCTAGTTAATTCAGTGAGTGGAACTAATTAAACAATTAATAGCTCTTTACAATGTTAGAGTGAACTTGAAAATATGTTTTTGGCGGAGTTTTCATCTATGGTTGAAACACTTTCATAGAACCATGAAGAACTTGTAATACTCTTAATTTTTTGTTTACCAGCCTCTTAAAATACAACAATATATATCTTAAAGAACTACGGAGGAGCAAAGTTCATTTTTCTACCTCACTTCACGTTGCATCAAACCATTTTGTACAGGGATATGCTGAGCCATTGCTGGTGCACTGTGCATAGCTGCTAGCTGTGACACTATTAAATACAAGCATTTCCAAATTCACTTCCATTAAAGTGAATGCAGTGGGGAATAAGGGTACCCACTCTAGCCCTATGACTATGCAATGGGTGTTAGGAACAAAGTCAGATGTTTAACACATTGCCCCCACTCTCTGGTGAGATTTTGGATGAGCTGTTACTTCCTATAAGGGTTTAGAGATTATGGCACAGGTTAATAAAAGGGTTCAAAATTGCTTCTCTTTATGTTGACCATTTAAGGAATTATAAAGGAAGATAAATCTCAACTGTATTTTTTTTAATTTTACTTTAAGTTCCAGGATACAAGTGTAGAACGTGTAGGTTTGTTACATAGGTATAGGTGTTCCATGGTGGTTTGCCGCATCCATCAACCTGTCATCTACATTAGGTATTTCTCCTAATGCTATCCCTCTCCTAGCCCCCCGACCCCGACAGGCCCCAGTGTATGATATTCCCCTCCCTGCATCCATGCGTTCTCATTGTTCAACTCCCACTTATGAGTGAGAACATGTGGTATTTGGTTTCCTGTTCCTGTGTTAGTTTGCTGAGGATGATGGCTTCTGACTTCATCCATGTCTTTGCAAAGGACATGGTCTCATTCTTTTTATGGCTGCATAGTATTCTACAGTGCATATGTACCACATTTTCCCTATCTAGTCTATCACTGATGGATATTTGGGTTGGTTCCATGTCTTTGCTATTGTAAATAGTGCTGCAATAAACATATGTGTGCATGTGTCTTTATAGTAGAATGATTTATATTCCTTTGATTATATACTCAATAATGGAATTGCTGGATCAAATGGTATTTCTGGTTCTAGATCCTTGAGTAATCACCACACTGACTTCCACAATGGTTGAACTAATTTACATTCCCACCAACAGTGTAAAAGCATTCCTATTTCTCCACAGCCTCACCAACATCTATCGCTTCTTGACTTTTTAGTAATCACCATTCTGACTGGCGAGACATGGTACCTCACTGTGGTTTTGATTTGCATTTCTCTAGTGATCAGTGATGTTGAGCTTGTTTTCATGTTTGTTGGCCACATAAATGTCTTCTTTTTAGAAGTGTGTGGTCATATACTTTGCCCACTTTTTGATGGGGTTGTTTGGTTTTTTCTCATAAATTTGTTTAAGTTCCTTGTAGATTCTGTATATTAGACCTTTATCAGATGGGTGGTTTGCAAAAATTTTCTGCCATTCTGTAGGTTGCCTGCTCACTCTGAGTTTCTTTTACTGTGCAGAAGCTTTTTAGTTTAATTAGATCCCATTTGTCAATTTTGGCTTTTGTTGCAATTGCTTTTGGCATTTTCATCGTGAAGTCTTTGACCAGTCTATGTCCTGAATGGTATTGCCTAGGTTTTCTTCTAGGGTTTTATGGTTTTAGGGTTTACATTTAAGTATTTAATCCATCTTGAGGTAATTTTTGTATAAGGTGTAAGGAAGGGGTCCAGTTTCAGTTTTCTGCACATGGCTAGCCAGTTTTCCCAGCACCATTTATTAAATACGGAATCCTTTTCCCATTGCTTGTTTTTGTCTGGTTTGTCGAAGATGGGATAGTTGTAGATGTGTGGTGTTATTTCTGAGGTCTCTATTCTGTTCCATTGGTCTATATGTCTGTTTTGGTACCACTATCATGCTGTTTGGTTACTGTAGCCTTGTAGCATAATTTGAAGTCAGATAGCATAATGCCTCGAGCTTTGCTCTTTATGCTTAGGATTGTCTTGGCTATACAGACTCTTTGGTTCCACGTGAAATTTGAAGTAGTTTTTTCTAATGTCAAAGTTAGTTAGATGGGAATAGCATTGAATCTATAAATTACTTTGGGCAGTATGGCCATTTTCATGATATTGATTCTTCCTGTCCATGAGGAAAGAATGTTTTTCCATTTGTTTGTGTTCTCTTTTATTTCCTTGAGCAGTGGTTTGTAGTTCTTCTTGAAGAGGCCCTTCACATCTCCTGTTAGCCATATTCCTAGGTATTTTATTCTCTTTGAAGCAATTGTGAATGGGTGTTCATTCATGATTTGGCTCTCTGCTTTCTATTGTTGATGTATAGGAATGCTTGTGATTTTTGCACATTGATTTTGTATCCTGAGACTGCTGAAGTTGCTTATCAGTTTAAGGAGATTTGGGCTGAGACTATGGCATTTTCTAAATACACAATTATGTCATCTGCAAACAGAGACAATTGACTTCCTCCCTTCCTATTTGAATAGCCTTTATTTCTTTCTCTTGCCTGATTGTCCTGGCTAGAACTTCCAATACTATGTTCAATAGGAGTGGTGAGAGAGGGGATCTTTGTCTTGTGCTGGTTTTCAAAGGGAATGCTTCTGACTTTTGCCCCTGCAGTATGATATTGGCTGTGGTTTTGTCATAAATAGCTCTTATTATTTTGAGATATGTTCCATCAATACCTAGTTTATTGAGAGTTTTTAACGTGAAGGGGTGCTGAATTTTGTCGAAGGCCTTTTCTGCATCTATTGAGATGATCATGTGGTTTTTGTCGTTGGTTCTGTTTACATGATGGATTACATTTATTGATTTGCATATGTTGAACCAGCCTTTCATCGCAGGGATGAAGCTGACTTGATTTTGGTGGATAAGCTTTTTGATGTGCTGCTGGATTCGATTTGTCAGTATTTTATTGAGGATTTTCACATCGATGTTCATCAAGGATATTGGCCTGAAATTTTTTGTTGTTGTTGTGTCTCTGCCAGGTTTTGGTATCAGGATGATCCTGACCTCATAAAATGAATTAGAAAGCAGTCCCTCCTTTTCAGTTTGCTTGGCATAGTTTCAGAAGGAATGGTACCAACTCCTGTCTCTACCTCTGGTAGAATTCGGCTGTGAATCCGTCTGGTCCTGGACTTTTTTTGGTTGGTAGGCTATTAATTACTGCCTCAATTTCAGAACTTGTTATTGGTCTATTCAGGGATTTGACTTCTTCCTGGTTTAGTCTTGGGAGGGTGTATGTGCCCAGAAATTTATCCATTTCTTCTAGGTTTTCTAGTTTATTTGTGTAGAGGTGTTTATAGTATTCTCTGAGTTTGTATTTCTGTGGGGCCAGTGGTGATATGCCCTTTATCATTTTTTTATTGTGTCTATTTGATTCTTCTCTCTTTTCTTCTTTATTAGTCTAGCTAGCGGGCCATCTATTTTGTTAGTTTTTTCAAAAAACCAGCTCCTGGATTTATTGATTTTTTGAAGGGTTTTTCATGTCTCTATCTCCTTCAGTTCTGCTCTGATCTTAGTTATTTCTTGTCTTCTGATAGCTTTTGGATTTGTTTGCTCTGGCTTCTCTAGCTCTTTTAATTGCAATGTTAGGGTATGGATGTGAGGTCTTTCTAGCTTTCTGATGTGGGCATTTAGTGCTATACATTTCCCCCTTAACATTGCTTTAGCTGCATTCCAGAGATTCTGGTACATTGTCTCTTTGTTCTTATTGGTTTCAGAGAACTTCTTGATTTCTGCCTTAATTTCATTATTTACCCAGGAGTCATTCAGGGGCAGGTTGTTCATTTTCCATGTAATTGTGTGGTTTTGAGTGAGTTTTTAATCCTGAGTTTTAATTGCTTTCCACTGTGGTCTGAGAGACTGTTTGTTATTATTTCAGTTCATTTGCATTTGCTGAGGAGTGTTTTACTTCCAATTATGTGGTCGATTTTAGAATAAATACGTTGTGGCACTGAGAAGAATGTATATTCTGTTGATTTGGGATGCACAGTTCTGTAGATGTCTATTAGATCCACCTGATTCAGAGCTGAATTCAAGTCCTGAATATCCTTGTTAATTTTCTGTCTTGATCTGTCTAATATTGACAGTGGGGTGTTAAAGTCTCCCGCTATGATTGTGTGGGAGTCTAAATCTCTTTGTAGGTCTCTAAGAGCTTGTTTTAGGAATCCAGGTGCTCCTGTTTTTGGGTGCGTATATATTTAGGATAGTTAAGTTTTCTTGTTGCATTGATCCCTTTACCATTATGTTATGCCCTTCTTTGTCTGTTTTTATCTTTGTCAGTTTAAAGTCTGTTTTATCAGAGAATAGGATTGCAACCCCTGCTTTTCTTTTTTCTTTCCATTTACTTGGTAAATTTTTCTCCATCCCTTTGTTTTGAGCCTATGTGTGTCTTCGCATGTGAGATGGGTCTCCATAATACAGCACACTGATGTGTCTTGACTCTTTATCCCATTTGCCAGTCTGTGTCTTTTAATTGGGGCATTTAGTCCATTTACATTTATGGTTAATATTGTTACATGTAAATTTGATCCTGTCATCATGATACTAGCTGGTTATTTTGCACACCAGTTGATGCAGTTTCTTTGTAGTCTCATTGGTCTTTATATTTTGGTTTGTTTTTGCAGTGGCTGGTACTGGTTTTTCCTTTCCATTCTTAGTGCTTCCTTCAGGAGCTCTCAAAAGACAGGCCTGGTGGTGACACAATCCCTCAGCATTTGCTTGTCTGGAAAGGATCCTATTTCTCCTTCACTTATGAAGCTTAGTTTGGCTGGTTATGAAATTCTGGGTTGAAAATTCTTTTCTTTAAGAATGTTGAATATTGGCCCTCACGCTCTTCTGGCTTGTAGGATTTCTGCTGAGAGGTCTGCTGTTAGTCTGATGGGCTTCCCTTTGTAGGTAACCTGTCCTTTCTCTCTGGGCATTTTTTCCTTCATTTTGACCTTGGAGAATCTGATGATTATGTGCCTTAGGGTTGATCTTCTCGTGGAGTATCTCAGTGGTGTTCTCTGTATTTCCTGAATTTTAATGTTGTCCTGTCTTGCTAGGTTGGGGAAGTTCTCCTGGATAATATCCTGAAGTGTGTTTCCAACTTGGTTCCATTCTCCCTGTCTCTTTCAGGTACTCCAATCAATCATAGGTTCAGTCTCTTTATTTTTTGTTTTATTTTCAGTTCCATATTTTTTGGCAGTTTTGTTAATTCCTTTTTATTCCTTTTTCTCTAATCTTGTCGGCATGCCTCATTTCAGCAAGATGGCCTTCAAACTCTGATATCCTTTCTTCCGCTTTACTGATTCCCAGCTATTGATACTTGTGCATGCTTCACAAAGTTCTCATGCTGTGTTTTTCAGCTCCATCAGGTCATTTATGTTCCTCTCTAAACTGGTTACTCTAGTTAGCAGCTCCTGTAACCTTTTATCAAACTTTGCACTGGGTTAGAACATGCTCCTTTAGCTCAACGGAGTTTGTTATTACCCACCTTCTGAAGCCTACTTCTATTAATTCATCTATCTCATCCTCTGTCCAGCTCTGTTCCCTTGCTAAAGAGGCATTGTGATCATTTGGAGGACAAGAGGCACTCTGGCTTTTTGGGTTTTCAGAATTTTTTCATTGATTCTTTCTCATCTTCATGAGATTGTCTAGTATCAATCTTTGAGGATGCTCACTCATGGATGAGGTTTTTGTGGGGATTTTTTTGTTGTTGTTGATGCTACTGTTTCTTTCTGTTTGTTTTTCTTGCAATGGTCAGGTCCCTCTCCTAGAAGTAGGGCTGCTGCTGTTGGCTGGGGGTTCTCTTCAGGCCCTATTCATCTGGTTCACTCCCGTGCCTGGAGATGTCACTTGAAGAAGCTGGAGAACAGCAAAGATGGGTGCCTTCTCCTTCCTCTGGAATCTCTGACCTTGAGGGGCACTAGCATGATGCCAGTAGAAATGCTCCTGTACAGGGTGTCTGACAACCCCTGTTGGAGGGTCTCACCCAGTTGGGTGGCACAAGGAGCAGGACCCATTTAGTGAAGCACTTTGACTGTCCCTTGGTGGTAGGGGTGTGCTTCACTGGGGGAAACTTACTCATCTGGGTTCCCTGGATTCCTCAGAACTAGCAGGAAGAAAGATTAAGTTTGCTGGTCTGCAGAGACTGTGGCCACCCTTTCCCCTAGGGGCTCAGGCCCAGGGAGATCAGAGTTCTGCCCCTGAGCCCCTGGATGGGGTTGGAGTTCCTGCAGGGAGGCCCAGCCCAGAGAGGAGGGTAAGTCAAGGTCAGGCCTGAAGAGACACTCTGGCTGCAGTGTGCCACAGCGGTGTGTAGGGCTATGGGGGATACCTATTGGGTCCAAGCCGTCCAGCCTCCTTGGCTTCAGCTGGTGAAAAGCAAGCATGGTCTGGAGCTGCAGAGAGGGCTGCTGCCCTTCCCCTACCCTGGGAGCTTAGTGTGTTAGGTAGCTATCAGTCACAGTGTTGGCTGTCGCCCCTCCCCCAAAGAACTCAAATGGTTTAGACAGTAGGCAGCCACAGCTTGGATGCTGGTCACCCCTCCCCACCCGCAGCTTGGCAGGCTTAAGCAGATTCTAGCTTAGTGGTTGTTGAGAATCTCTGTGGCTCCATGGTTGGGACCCTAGGCCCTGGTGGCATGGGCTCATGAGTGGGATCTTTTGATCCGTGGGTTGACAGTTCCATGGAAAAAGCACAGTTTTCCTGGCTGGGTAGCACGCTCACTCACTGCTTCCCTTGGCTAGTGGGTGGGGGCTCCCCTGCCTTGTGTGGCTCTCAGGTGGGCCACCACACCACACTGCTCTTCCTTCCTCTCCATGTGTCACACCAGCCACCTAGTCAGTTCTGATGACAGAACCTGGATACCTCCATTGCTGGTGCAGGATTCATATGCTGTTACGGTTCTTTTCAGTGGGAGCCTCCAATCACTGCTGCTTCTAGTTGGCCGTCTTGGCCCTACCCTCCAAACAGTATATTTAAACCATCCCTGTAACATTTGTCTTGTGACTTGTTGAGATGCCTGTTGTCTTTTTATGTTAAGCTAAGAAACATGAGTGCCTTACCTGGTAACTCAACTTGTAGTAAGACCAATCTATAAATATAAAATGCTTATTACAGTGGTATTTGGCCAGCCACAGTGGCTCACAATTATAATCCCAACACTTTGGGAGGCTAAGGCAGGAGGATCACTTGAGACCAGGAGTTTGAGACCAGCCTAGGCAACAGAATGAGATTTCATCTCTACAAAAAATAAAAAACAGCCACAAATGGTAGCATACATCAGTAATCCCAGCTACTCAGGAGGCTGAGGTAGGAGGATTGCTTGCACCTGGGAAGTCTAGGCTGCAGTGAGCTGTGATCACACCATTGCACTCCAGCCTGGGCAACAGAGTGAGACCCTGCCTCAAAAAAATTAAAAAATTAAAAATGGTATTTGTGTATATTCAATGTCAGTCAATATGTTAGTCAATAGATCATAGTGGCCTGGAAGCGTCAACAAGCAAAATTTAACACATTTTTTCTTTTTTTCTTACTTATTTGTACAGTCTTTCCTGGCCAGTGATATTTGATTAATTTTTCCCTCCTAATACCATGCTACTACCATTTTCTAGAAGTCAAAGAGATGTTACAGTGAATCAAACTGTTCATATGATCATCTGAGATCAATATGAGCACAAAACTCATCAACTAGATCTTTCTGGAATGTAAATAAAACTGCGTAAATAAAATTTTGTAAATTAGTGCAAATTGTATCTTGCATACGATCTTGTGTATTGTTTTGAATTCTCTCCTCTTATAGAAATTTGTCTGTTAGGAAATAATCTAGCTCTTTGGATTTGAACTGGAGATAGCAAACAGTTCTGGTTGCACAGTGGAATGATAGAGGAACTGGAAATAAGGTTTTTCAGTTTTCATGTTAATATCAGCACTTATTTAATATTTAACATCCCATTTGCTAATATGGTTTTTCTTTACTAATTTAATTGGCCATAAGTTTTTGTGAGGCTAAATTTTGGCAAGTAAGTACACTGTTGTATTAATAGAACTCCATTCTTTGAGTAATAATCCTTAGCTAAAGCAAAGTAAGAAATATAATTTAATGATTGCAAATTGAAGCATGACCCTTTCGTATTTTCAGAGCTATGAGCCTTTTTCTACAAAAATAACTCAGAAATTTATACATCTCAATGTGACTCTAAACCCCATGTATACAAGAGATATTGTATTAGTCCATCACATTGCTGTAAAGAAATAGAGACTGGGGAGATATACCTAATGTAAATGACAAGTTAATGAGTGCAGCACACCAACATGGCACATATAGAACTTAAAGTATAATAAAATATATATATATATTATATATATATATATATATTATATATATATATATATATATATAAAGAAATAGACACTGGGTAATTTATTTAAAAAAAAAGAGGTTTAATGGGCTCACAGTTCTGCAGGCTATACAGGAGACATGGCAGCTTCTGTTCCTGGGGAGACCTCAGGAAATTTACAATCATGGCAAATTTACAATCAAGGCAAAGGGGAAGCAGGCCTCAGCAGGAACGAGAGAGAGAGAGGGAAGGTGCTACTTACTTTTAAACAACCAGATCTCATGAGAACTCACTAACCATCACAAGAACAGCCCCAAGGAGATGGTGCTAAACCATACATGAGAAACTGCCCCCAATTATTCAATCACCTTCAACCAGGCCCCACCTCCAACATTGTGGATTATAATTCAACATAAGATTTGGATGAGGACACAGATCTAAACCATATCAGATATGATAAATAATACCTTTTAGTTCAACTAAAGCATATTTCAGTTGGCTTCTCTAAATAAAGTTGTTAATTATGGGATTGTAAAGGGTAGAAAAGATATAAGTAATCTTTTAATTACAGCTATTTCCATTTTTACTGAACTAAAATATTTATCTTAACTCCATGTTAACTTCACAAAAATATGTAAATAAATCTTCCAGGTTTAAAGGAAAATTTCCTTAAACATGCTCAATTAAAAGTTTAAAACATCCACCTTTAAAATTATAAAAACATTTCCTTTTTAGACTACATACAAGCCTTCTGTACCATTTCATGAATTCCTTACTTTGTAATATAAATAAGAATGCATGTGGTAACTTGATTTTTTGCCATAAATTGCTATTATATATTGCATTTTATACTGCATTTCAAAGTGATTTAGGCTTAAGCTTTTAATATTAATCAGTCATTAAATTGATAGAGAAAGTTACCAATGTTTTATGCTGAGAGGAAAGTTTTGTTATTGGTATCCACTTGCGTTACTTTACAGAAAAGAAGGCAAGCACCAGTAATTATTATGCACAGAGCAAAAAGAATGATAAGTATGTGGTTAAGCAAATTTAACACAGCTCTACCTTTACTTCAAAATGGAGTTTCTCTGGTTCTTCTTTCATCTGTTAGATCTCAGCATATCTTTTGACTGGGGACATGTTAACGCAGTCTGTCTTGTTTTCATTTCTTTTTTTGAAAGAAGACATTACTTATGTTGAACCACCTTTTTCTTTTCTTTTCTTTTCTTTCTGTTACATACCACTTCTGTGATTACAGTGTTATGTCTTGGATTTGATGTCTTTGGACAGAAAAGTATATCCATTATTTTAACATTATTTTAAATAAATTTTTCCCTGTCTTTGAAGCTCAGTCTGTAAATGTGTTGCTATGAAAGAAATTACTTAGGTTTAAATTACTCGAAGTTTTACACACATATATGACAGAATGAATTAGATTTTTCTGAACAGTTTTTTTACACTGGAAACTTTTCTTTCTGGATAATACTTTGAAAGACGTTAGAGATTTGAGCTATTTGGATGGGAAAATATAACGATACTGCTTGTAGAAAATATCCTTTTGTGTTTGAGATATCCAAAATTCAAGTCAGTGATAGGCTTCTGTCTGAAATCTTCTGTCTCTTCATTCCTATACTCAATTTACTTACTGTATTACTGATGTTATAAAATATTATTGTAATTACATACATTAACATACAATCTCATTATATCTGTGTTTAGTGTGAATTCTACAGCTTTCCTAGTTATGGGGAAAAATGCTCTCTAAAATATTATTTTAACCCCTAAATGTAGGCATTTCTTGTTTACATCTTACCATTAATGGTACTATGAATACCATTAGTCACCGTAACAAAACACTGATAAGATGCTTTAAAAATTAAATAATAGGCCGGGCGCAGTGGCTCACACCTGTAATCCCAGCACTTTGGGAGGCCGAGGCGGGCGGATCATGAAGTCAGGAGATCGAGACCATCCTGGCCAACATGGTGAAACCCCATCTCTACTAAAATACAAAAAGTTAGCCCGGCGTGGTGGTATGCACCTGTAGTCCCAGCTACTCGGAGGGCTGAGGCGGGGGAATCGCTTGAACCCAGAAGGCAGGAGGTTGCAGTGAGCCGAGATTGAGCCACTGCACTCAAGCCTGGCAACAGAGCAAGACTCCATCTCAAAAAATAAAAAAGTAAAAATATAAAAAATAATGTAAACTATGGTCTTTGGGTAATAATCATGCATCAATGTTGGTTCACCAGTTGTAAAAAATGTACCATTCTGGTGCGGGATATTGATAATGGCAGAGACCATGTACTTCCTGAGAGGTACATGGAAAATCTCTGTACCTTTTTCTCAATTTTGCTATCAATCTAAAACTGCTCTTTAAAAAAATGAAGCCTATCAAACAGTTTAAAACACTTATCTATTGCATTTGAACTACTCAGTAGAGAGTAAGAAAAAAACTGACTGATTTATAAATGTTCTGTTAGTAATATTTCAAAACTCCTAATACAGAAACTTTCAATGATAGGCTGAAACATTATTGTAGCCTTACAAGCTAGCTTCTGTAAGCTGGAAAAGACCCTCCAAGAAGTGGGAGGAGACAAGAATATATACTTGCCATTGTTTGGGTTGTGATGTGCTGCTGCTTAAATGTAGGTAATGACACAGTGAGCTTTCTATCGTCCAACAATCTGAAGTAGTTTCCAGTATGTATCTATACTAAAATAATTATGAATTAATGGAATCTACAAAAAGAAAACTTTTTGGTTCTGCTGTATTTAGGCGCCTTTGTATATCATGGTCAATTTCCATAATATGAAGTATCTGAGGTTTAAAATATATTATTACTATAAGGGAGAACATGGCATTATTCCATGTGCTTAAATGATTATTTCTTTATTCAGCTTCAGAAGAAAAAATGACATGAGAAAATGTTATTGCATTAGCTGTACCTTGAATTGGAAACTTGTGGCATGAAGTTTAAACTCAGGTTTATCAGATGTGAACCCTAGTAGTACAATGCTGTTTTCAGTATATTGTAAGTACTGTAAATACTCTCAGCACTGAAAATGTATTAATACCTCCTGAATGAATGCAACTTTCGATACAGGAGTTCTGATATGTCTCAGAAACTCTGAGAATTTACTAATAACCTGCTTTATAATGAAAACACTTCCTGTTTTTGTTGCATATTTTCATGTCTAAAATTTAATTTTTAAATGTTTTAATATTAACTTAAGTAAAATGTGTCCTGTAGATAAAATAAAATTGCCAGTAAAAAAAATTAAAAACAGCCTAATTCCTGTAACTGCTTAATTAAGTGTATATTTTTGCTATATGCTCCTAAATTTCTAATAAAGCTATTTATATTAAATATAAATGATGAAGTTGGCATGGTGGCTTATGCCTGTAATCCCAATACTTTGGGAGGCTGAGGTAGGAGAATTGCTTGAACTCCAGCCTAGGCAACATAGCGAGGCCCCATCTGTACAAAAAATGAAAAAAAAATCAGCTAGGTGCAGTGGCTTGTGTGTGTAGTCCCAGCTACTCTGGAGGCTGAGGTGGGAGGATTGCTCAAGCAGTCTGAGGATGCAGTGAGCTAGTATCATGCCATTGCACTCCAGCCTGGGTGACAGAGTGAGACTCTGTCTCAAATAATAATAATAATAATTAATTAATTAAAAAAATATATATACACATACACACACATATATGAAAGATATACTTTATTTTTGTTAAGTAGGCCTTTTAGCATTAATTAAATGAAGGAATATATCTTTTATAAGATTTATATTAAATAAATAAAAACTGATTGTAACAATAAATTTGTATCTTAACTGGGAAAAAAATCAAGGTAATTTACCAAACAGACTTGAAAAATGAATGATCATTTCAATAGATTAAAAAATATGAATTTCACAAAATTCAAAATTCAATATCCATTCATGCTTTTTTTTAATTTCAGAAGATTAGGAATGGAAAGTCTTCCTTAATCTGAAAAAGATCATCTACAGAAAACCCACAGCTAACATCAAATCATACTTAATGATTAACTATTGAATAATTTTTCTCTAAGATAGAAACAGGGCAAGACTGTTCACTCTTTTGCCATTTATCATTGTACTATTTGTCCTAATCTTTTCAAGAAGGCAAGAAAAATATGTAAGTTCATAAAAATAAGAAAGGAAGAAGTAAAACTGTCTCTATTTTCAGATTATATGATTGCTTACATAATAATTATAGAAAATATTTTAAAAACTACTAGAAGTAATACATGAAGTTGCAGGGCAAAATAAAAAAAGCTAATTTGCAAAAGTCAGCAAAAATAACCAGTATCTGCATAGAAATACCAATTTTATCTTATTATTAGATTGAATAGTCTGTGCCTGAATGGCAAAGCTGGGCTATCAGAGTATGTATATTTAAAGATACACTTTTAAGAAGGAAAATGAGAAAAGATAAATTACACATCTTTTTCAGTTCTATTCTAGGTGAAAGGTATACACAAATATGGTTCCTAATTATGTTCTCTTACCACTCAGTGTTGAAAGAATATTGAAGATTACCTAGTTCAGTACACACATCTCAAACTATCTGTAGTGAAGAACCAGTTTTCTCTCCCAATATGTTTGGAAGAGATGCTCTTAATAAATATAATAAAAGCACCAAGATAATGTCAAATTGTTTTAAACATTTCTAACTGCATAACCTCAATTTCTGTACTTATTCTATTACAGATTGGTAACAAGAGTTAATGAATCAGAACCAGTTATAAATAAAAGTACTGCCACTGCCAACACTCAATTTTCTTTAATTTAATTTTCCCAACTATCCTTTTAAGATACTGTTTAAAAAACTTTCTCTTTTTTGCTACCAACTTGCCTCTGCTCTTTTCACCATTTTGACCTTATGTTCAATCTGTCCATGTTCATTGAATGTAATCTGAACAATGAAGAGTATTTAATTTCATTTATCCCTGTTATTCTATAAAATATATAATTGTTTTTAAAAGTCTAAAGCTGAATAAATGGAAATTATTATTAGACCACTGAAGGTGACCAAGATCCACTGTATGAGCTGGTTAATTTTTCTCTGTTCCAGTATATCAAACCATATTATTAGGTGGCTATTATATTGAAATTCACATCATATTCACATATGATCAATTATTCACATATGAATGGTCACACATTGTTAATTAGCCTTGAATTTTAAAATAAAATGAGCAAGTAAGGAAAATTAATGGATATGAAATAGATGGATCTAGACTATAATTGCTTATGCAGAAACTGAATCAGATGCTAACTCTCAAGAATATTTATGATCTTGAACAATATTTATAATAAAGTATTTTCCTCTGGAGTTTTGAAAGTACAAACCAAGAAGTGGCCTTCTTATAAGAATGATATGATGGGCCAGGCTCGGTGGCTCACGCCTGTAATCCCAGCAGTTTGGGAGGCCAAGGCGGGCGGATCACAAGGTCAAGACATCGAGACCATCCTGACTGACACGGTGAAACCCTGGCTCTACTAAAAACACAAAAATTACCTGGGCGTGGTGGCACACGCCTGTAGTCCCAGCTACTCAGGAGGCTGAGACAGGAGAATCGCTTGAACATGGGAGGGGGAGGTTGCAGTGAGCTGAGATCATGCCATTGCACTCCAGCCTGGCGACAGAGCAAGACCCCATCTCAAAAAAAGAAAAAAAAAAAAAGAATGATACAATGGACTCTGTAGGTATTGGGTACAGTGTACACAACTCTGGTGATGAATGCACCAATATCTCAAAAATTACCTCTTAAGAATTTATTCAGGTAACCAAACAAATGCCACCTGTTCCCCAAAAACCTATTGAAATTTAAAAGAAGGAGAAGGAGAAGGAGAAGAAGAAGAAGAACTGGCCACTTTAGCCGGGCATGGTGGCACACACCTGCAATCCCAGCTACTCGGGAGGCTGAGGCAGGAGAATCGCTTGAACCCTGGAGGCAGAGGTTGCAGTGAGCCAAAATCACGCCACTGCTCTCCAGTCTGGGTGACAGAGCAAGACTCTGTCTAAAACAAAAAAGAAGAAAACAAAGTGGCCTTCTGATACCTATTCCCAGTTCTCACTCACATGATTACAACCAAAACAGAGCAATAATTATATCCTATAGGAGATAAGATATCCTGCATTAAAGATCTCGATAAATTGCACTCCACAACTTTTTTTGGACTTTAAATAGCCCATTTACATATATCTTAACCATACCTGAATCCCATGGTTCTTCTATTTTACTGGTCATGATGCTGTATTTTGTAATCTGCATTTTGGCTCTATTTAAGCGAGGTACATTTCCAGCTGACTTCTCAATAAGAGAAGCCATAGTTGGCTTTTGGGTTTTTCTGAACCAATGCTTCCATTTCCTCTTCCTGCAAATTGCAGTTCATCTCCAGGGCTCATGAAAGTCTTAGTTTTCCTGGGTCCCATGGAGTTCAATGTCAGAGATTTACCTCAATAGCTGAATAAGACGTGAAAAGATTGTCTCAACCCAGATAGTGTCTGACCTGAATTTGCTCCTAATAGATGAGCAATTCATGCTTGTTTTCCCAGGCTTCGCTTCCTCCTGAGCTTTCCATTCACCTAGAAACAACTTCCTGTGGCCTAACCTATTAAACACCAGACGGGTTTAGGACTATGTGCTTGGCTAAAAATAGACATTCAATAAATATTTGTTGAATGCAGCCTATTCACAAAATTATCTTAAAAGTTTCAACTTCTCATCTACATGGAGATTCTAATACTTGAGAAATAACTGCTGCTAGAAAATCTTAAAAAGATAAGAGAATAAAATACCAAATCTATATTAAATTTAAAATTTTTCATCTCTAATAATATTTCCCATCCAAGTGTTATGGTGTATAATAGTGGCATAGCCCTCCAAGGAATAGGTAGGGAAATTAAGATAAACTGATAATCATCTGCTCGCCTTTTAAGCACTATAGTTTTAGGATTATATAAAATTCACCATTTAAATTAGCATACATTATCATCTTTTTCCATTCTGGTCATGAATAAACATATTTCAGGGAATACCATGAAATGTAGGAAAGATTTTAATTTGTTGTTTTGGTCCTTCCATATATATATGTTTGTATATGTATATAACCTCGGCATTACAGTGTATTTTTCTACTTTCAAATTGTTTGATGTTAACATTATTTTCTTAGTCAGGGATTGTTTGGTTGCCAGAAACAGAATTCCTTGGACTGAGTTTAAGCAAAAGATAGAATACGAGAATGTCTCCTGGAACTCAGTGGTAGGAGATAAAACTAGGTCTCACAAAGAAGTAGGATCAGTCAATAAATGACGTCATTCACTTTATCTCTTTTGGAGTCACAGAACCTTCCATTTCTACTGACCCTCTGTATATGCTAAATTTCTCTCCCTCCCCTTGTCTGTCTCTTTCTATTTCCCAAACCTAATTTTCTCTACTTTAGTATGCACATGATTACCCCCAGGCCACTTTAAATAGCCTCTCTAGTTGCAAATCCAACAAAAATTCATGGAAGTCCCTGTGCTCCAATTTCTAGGAAAGAAAAATTTATTGTCCTACTTTGAGTTAGATGTCCATACCTGTTCCAGTCAGCTGTGGCCAGTGTGGTGAACTCAGATGTCCTACAAAGAAGGAGATGTGTGTAGATCATCTACAAAGGTGTTATTATGTGGATTTAAAAAGAGGATATACTAGTAATACAGATATAAATCTACAGAAATATGTGTTCTTTCTATGATTAGTGTTACTGAAACCAGCACATTGATCCTTCTTGACTACTTGTCCAAGTACTGATTCTTGACTTTTTAGAGGCTATTGAAGAATCCTCAGAGGAAATCCCAATGGTGTACGACAGATATAAGATGATACAGGAAAGTACAGTTGTGCAGAGTGCAATAAGGAACATCGGTGTGATGTTCATCTTGGTTGTCCTTACCTTCCTCTCTACACTGGTGACACAGCTATCAATGGTGAGGCACACACAGAACTTATAAACAACCCCTCCTTCTATTCTCCTTCTATTTGCCATCTTACTGTCTCTAAACTTTTCTTGCATACTTATCCTTGCCTATTAAACAACTCCTGGTATTAAACAAAGGCAAATTCTGCTCTTCACAAGCCAGCAGAGAGAGATACTATTGGTTTTTTGCTTGTATATAAAAACTAAGCTTGGCTACTGCCAAATCAGAGTCAGAGATCAGAAAATCTAACAAAATCCTGGTACACTTTCTGATTTCTGTCTTCCTAGAGACCTTTATTGACTGCCTGGCCTTAGGAAAGAAAGTTCTTTGTTTTATTGTTTTGTTGTTGTCATTGTTGTTATTGTTTGCAACCTCAAGGCTTAAGTTTTTTCACAGATTATTATTGTTACCACAGTAATAATAATCACAGCCACCTCGTAGTGCTGTTGAAAACTTTTAGAGCATCCCCTAAGACATGATGAGCACCTAATAAATGTTAGTTATTATTATCCCTGCCACAGAGGAAGCTAGAAAAATTTGTAAACTTAAATACATATATTAATAAACAAAGAATAAAAATAAATGGATTAAATATTAAACTCAAAACATTAGAAAAAGAATAAAATGAACATAATACAAAACAAATTTAAAAAATCAAAGGAAAAATTAGTGAATGAGAAAAGAGAGATGAAGATAGAGCTAATGAATATATGTAAGAACTGAGTTCTGGGGAAGGAGGGAGTTAATAAAATACATAAACTCTTAGATAATCTAAGCAAGAAAAGGGAGCACATAAAGACACAAAGTTAAAATGACAAAGACATCAAAAACCACAGATATAAAGAAAATTGCAAAACCAATGGAGGATAGTTTTCTAAATTAAAAAAAAATAAATCTGAAAACCTGCATGCATGACTCATTTTCTGGGAAAATATAAATTGCCAAGTCTAAATCCAGAAAGATAAAAACCTAAACAGATGAATTACCATTAAAAATAGAGAAAATTGTCAAATAACAACCACTCTCCCAAATAAAGCAACATAATTAGGTAATTTTACTGTGGAGTTTTACCAAATGTTTAAAAACTAAAAATCCCAATGTTCTTTAACTGTTTCAGAGCATAGAAAAAGATAACTCTTATTCTTATAAAACTAGAATATTGATACTAAAAACCAACATAACCATATAATAAAATTATAAACTACATTCACATGACTACTGAAACAAGGTTATGAATAAAATATTAGCAAGTATAGTTTATCAGGAATTCAAGAATGATTCACTTATAAGAAAATCTTATAATTCATCATAGTATCATTTAAAAACATATTATTAATCTCAACAGATGCTGAAAAGGGACTTCTTAAATTCAACATTCATTCATTCATGTTTAAAAACAAAAATACAGATTTTTAAATAAGAACAAATACTTCCTAAACATAATTATATTGGCCAGCATCTTGCTCAATGAAAAAACATTTTAAAATATACAATTAAAATTAAGAATAAGACAAAAATACCACTATCACAAATAGTAAAAAAAGCAATAAACTAGGGAAATACATAATCAGCATAAAAACTGGGGAAAAAACAGATAAAATTATTATTTTTATAGATAATATGATTGGGC
This sequence comes from Homo sapiens, assembly GCF_000001405.40. Lineage (NCBI taxonomy): Eukaryota > Metazoa > Chordata > Mammalia > Primates > Hominidae > Homo > Homo sapiens. The sequence continues at coordinate 143,740,759 of NC_000004.12, read as the reverse complement.
ACCTAGAAAATCCAAGAGATTCACCTAAGGAAACTATTCTAAATATTAAGACAATGTGACAGAGCAGTGGAGGAGAAATTAAGGTACAGAAATCAATTGCCTATGTGTACATAAGCAATCACCAGTTAAAAACATAATACATTAAAATACCCTGTATTCAGTAACAACAGCACAATAACAACAAAAAATGTAAAAACACTGATCATAAAAAATACAAAATATACATGAAGGAAACTTTATAATGTGACAAAAAAGAAGAAAAGGGAACAAATAGAAATAAGAACTAGTGTACAGCCAAATGAAGTTCTTCTATAGGAAGGCCTAATATCATATAATGATATCAAGACTCCCTAAATTTACCTATAAATTTAGCATGATCTTGTTCTCACTTATAATTGGGAGCTAAACATTGGGTATTCATGGACACAAAGACGGGAACAATAAACACTGGGGACGACTAGAGCGGGCAGGGAGAGAGCTGGGCAAGGGTTGAGACACTAACTGTTGGGTACTCTGCCCACTCTCTGGGTGACGGGCTCATTCGTATTCCAAATCTCAGCATCATGCAATATACCCATGTAACAAACTGGCATGTGTACACCTTGAATCTAAAATAGATGTTGAAATTATTCTAATAATTAATTAATTAAATTACTTAAAAAATTTAACATGATCTCAGTAAGAAATACCGACATGATTCTTTCAGAAAGTGGACAAGGTGATTACAATGCTCATCTAAAAAATAAACAAGTAAGAAAAACCAAATATTGAAATGTATTATAACACTTCCAAATATTAAAATAGGTTATTAAGGTGCTATAATTAAAGCAATACAGTGAAATAAGATGGAATGCAGGCATAGACAGAACAATGAAATAAAATGAATGATCTAGAATAGATCCATCAGCATAGGGAAGTTTAGGATATGATAAAAGTGCCTTCAAAATCAGTGCCTCCTAAAACATTCAACAGATGTTCAGACAACTGAGTGGTAATCTAAAAAAAAAAAAAAATATATATATATATATATATATATATATATATATATAAACTTAGATTTCTACTTCATCACCAACTTCATCTACTTCATCACCAACATAAATGCCAGACTGCTGAAAGATTTACATGAATGAAATACAGAACTGTAAAAACATGAGAAACAATGAAAAAAATTTTTTAACCTCAGCACAGGGAAGGCCTTTCCAAGTATGCCACTAAAAAGCCATAAGCTATAAAAGAAAAGGATCCCTCATTCCAGTGGAATAAAAATTAATAATTTCTACATAGGAAAAAAAAGACAAACAGAAATAACAAACCAGGAAAATAAGCTTAGAAAACAAATTTTTATATAGGCCTTCTAAGAGCTCTTAAAAACCAAAGGGGAAAATCCATCGGATAAGTGGTCAAAATATATTAAAAACACAGTTCATAGAAAGAGAATTACAAATGACTATTAAACATATAAAAAGATGTTTAATTTCACTCATAATAAGAAAAATTAGAGCCAGGTGCAGTGGCTCACGCCTATAATCCTAGCAACTGAGGAAAATGAGGCAGGAGAATGGCTCGAGGCCAGGAATTGGGGACCAGCTTCAGCAACATAGTGAGACCCTGTCTCTAAAAAAAACTTGTTTTAACTTACCAGGCATGGTGGCCTGAGCCTGTAGTCCCAGCTATTTAGGAGACTGAGATGAGAAGATCCCTTAAGCCCAGGAGTTCAAGGCTGCAGTGACCCATGATCATGCCACTGCACTCCAGCCTGAGCGACAGAGCAAGACCCCAACTCTGAAAAGACAAGAAAGAAAACTTGAAATTTAAACTACATCAAAGTACATATGTAGTATATATCTGGAGAGTTCACAAGAAATAATGGTTTTGCCTCTGGGAAAGTGGAATGTGTAGCTTGAGGACCGATATTCTTAAAAGACATGCATTTCATGAAATATCCTTTTGTATTCTTGGTATCATATGCATATAGCATCTACTTACAATAATACATAAAATTAATTTTTAGAAGATAAGAAAAAATGCTTAGTGGAAATAAACAAAATTTTGAAATTATATATACAGAGTTCTGTCACTTACATGATTGCTAAGAAAACAAAATGATGCCATTGCTCATGAATACATACAGATATGTTAAATGTTTCAAAAATGTGTAAATAAGGGATATGAACCAACTTCATGAAAAGAGGAAGCAGAAAAAGGGCTGGGCACCAAACCAAAAGGGCCTTCTAATTTATCTATAATTTTTTTCCTCTAAAGCAAATGTTATCATTGTTAATTCTATGTGGTAGGTACATAGGTGCATGCTAATCTCTACATATATATTTTTATACTTGAGATAGTTTACAATTTTTTAAAGCTACAGAGCCTGATCAGAAAATACTACCTCATCGCTATGGAAAATGTATCAAATCACTGGCTAAGAGAAAATGACATTATTGAAGATCACTTAAAGACAACATAATCTAGTCACTCCTACCCATACTCTGAATTCTACCTGGGATCAGATTGAATCAGCAGTCATATTACATACTTGGAGCAATAGCTTAGCCCTAACAGAATCGATATTAATCTTGATACCATTATCAAAAATAATTGTTGAGGAGATCATTCACTACATCTATCACTGTATCCCCAAAATTTCAAAAGAAGGACATGTCCTTTGATTTTTTTCCTTTTAGGAAAAGCCCTGCGTTCCCTGCGGAACTGTGGTGCATGATTCTTTTAAAGTAAGAATCATCAATTACGTGTCACTCTTTCTTTTGGCTGCCTTAATACGTCTCATCAAATTTCAGGTCCGACTCAACAACAATATTGTCTTTCATGATTCAGATTCTTATTTTCTTTTTATTTGCCCCAATTTTGTATTTATAGTTTATTATTATATTTCCTTGAGTTATTACTATAAACCAACTTTATACCTACTATAAATATCTCAAAAGGTACCATATTAACAAATACATATATACATCAAATTGTCCTATTGGATCTTCAGAAATGCCTTGTGGGGTAGACAAGATTGTTACTAATTGGTCCTTGTTGTGGAGAAAATTTTCCTAGAGAAGCTCAGAGAAAATGCATGCTCTCCAGGGGTTGCAGCCCCAAGCACCCTGAGCAGCCAGCAGCTCTCAGTTTTTATTGATTGAGCCCTCAGTGTGCATACAGAGTCTTCAACTTGATACAATGGGGACAAAATCAAAACACACTCACAAAAATCTGTTATACATTTATAAGCACAGCAAGCATTTGGCCACTAATTGATGGTAGAAAAAATATTAATTTATATCATCATTAAATGTTTGCATTGAATTGACTAATTTTTGAAATTTGTGTGTGCCTTTGAAAAAGCTGTTCTTTCTTGTTGGAATGAGCTGCTTCTCCTCCATGGGCAAATATTTTACAGCCTTTTCTCATGCCCCTAGGCAGAACTTGGAGTTCTCTTATGGTTCTCTGCAATATAGTGATCATCCCTCAGTCATAGCACTCATCCTTCTTGATTATATCTGTCCTGCATTAGTACATTTTCACACTGCTATAAAGATACTACTCCAGACTGGGTAATTTATAAACAAAGGAGGTTTAATTGACTCACAGTTCTGCATGGCTGGGGAGGCCTCAGGAAACTCACAATCATGACAGAAGGGGAAGGAAAGGCAAGTACTTTCTTCACAAGGTGACAAGAAAGAGCAAGAGAGTGCACGAAAGGGGAAGAGCCCCACACTTCTCAAACAACCAGATCTCATGAGAATTCACTCACTATCACCAAAACAGCATCAGGGAAACTGCCCCAAGATCCAATCACCTCTCCCCAGGTCCCTCCCTTGGCATATGGGGATTATGGAGATTACAATTCTAGATAGGATTTGGGTGGGGACAAAGCCAAACCATGTCATATCCCTTATATGAGAACGCAATAAACATGGACTAATAAAGCTAGTTCTCACTTATAATTTTTTTCATGTATTATATTTATTCTTTAAAAACTTATTCTCTGTAATATTTTTCCTTTCACCAGGGAGCCAGACTCAATTATTATGTTTTCTCAAAGTTACTGTTGAACTCTGCAGTCTATAATGTTCAGGGATTATGACTACTTACCAGTATTCAAAAACAAACTACCCTAGCTTTACCACTGAAGAATGAATGATAAAACATTTACTGCTAAAATTGAACTATTGTGCAAACAGGGATCTTCATTTTAGTTGGTGTTTAGATTTTATCTTTTCTCATGGATGTATTTCAGACACACAGCACTCAATAAATATTTGTTAAATTAACAAATGTTGATGTGGAAGTGGGTTAACCTTTTATTATTATTATTATTATACTTTAAGTTCTGGGATACATGTGCAGAACGTGCAGGTTTGTTACATAGGCATACACGTGCCATGGTGGTTTGCCACACCCATCAACCCGTCATCTACATTAGGTATTTCTCCTAACGCTGTCCCTCCCCTTACCCCCCACAGTGTTGTATACAAAACTGTTGCTGTTCACTGATGATATGATTGTATACCTAGAAAACCCTAAAGACTCGTCCAAAAAGCTCATAGATCTGATGATAAATGAAACTGAAACTTCAGTAAAGTTTCAGGATACAAAATCAATGTACACAAATCAGTAGTGCTGCTATACACCAACAGCGACCAAGCTGAAAATCAAATTAAGAACTCAACTCCTTCCACAATAGCTGCAAAAAATAAAAATAAAATACTTAGGAATATATCTAACCAAGGAGGTGAAAGAGCTCTACAAGGAAAACTACGAAACGCAGCTGAAAGAAATCATGGATGACACAAACAAATAGAAACACATCCCTTGCTCCTGGATTGGTAGGGTCAATGTCGCAAAAATGACTATACTGCTAAAAGCAATCTACACATTCAATACAATTCCCATCAAAATACCACCATCATTCTTCACAGAACTAGAAAAAAAATCCTAAATTTATATTAAACCAAAAAAGAGCCTGCATAGCCAAAGCAAGACTAAGCAAAAAACAAATCTGGAGACATGACATTACCCGACTTCACACTAACTATAAGGCTATTGTTACCAAAACTGCATGGTACTGGTATAAAAATAGGCACATAGATCAATGGAACAGAATAGAGAACCCAGAAATAAACCCAAATACTTATAGTCAATTGGTCTTTGACAAAGCAAACAAAAACATAAAGTGGGGAAATGACACCCCATTCAACAAATGGTGCTGGGATAATTGGCAAGCCACATGTAGAAGAATGAAACTGGATCCTCATCTTTTACCTCATACAAATATCATCTCAAGGTGTATCAAAGACTTAAATCTAAGACTTGAAACCATAAAAATTTGAGAAGATAACATAAAAAAAAACCCTGCTAGGCATTGTCTTAAGCAAGGACTTCATGACCAAGAACCCAAAAGGAAATGCAACAAAAACAAAGATAAATAGATGGGACTTACTTAAATCAAAGAGCTTTTGCACAGCAAAAGGAACTGTCAGCAGAGTACACAGACAACCCACAGAATGAGAGAAAAATTTTGCAAACTATGACTCCAACAAAAGACTAACATCCAGAATGTACAAGGAACTCAAAAAAATTAGCAAGAAAAAAACAAATAATCGCATCAAAAAGTGAGCTAAGGATATGAATAGACAATTCTTAAAAGAATATACACAAATGGGCAACAAACATATGAAAAAATGCTCAATCAATAATTATCAGGGAAATGCAAATCAAAACCACAATGTGATACCACCTTACTCCTATAAGAATGGCCACAATCAAAAAATCAAAATATAATAGATGTTGGCATGCATGTGGTGAAAAAGGACCACTTTTACACTGACGCTGGGAATGTAAACTAGTACAACCACTGTGGAAAACAGTTTGAACATTCCTTAAAGAACTAAAGTAGAACTACCATTTGATCCAGCAATCTCACTACTGGGTATCTATCCAAAGGAAAAGAAGTCATTATATGAAAAAGATACTTGCACATGCATGTTTATAGCAGCACAATTCGCAATTGCAAAAATATGGAAACAGCTCAAATGCTCATCAATCAATGAATGAATAAAGAAAATGGTATATATCTAGAAAATACCATGGAATACTACTCAGCCATAAAAAGGAACAAAATAATGACATTCACAGCATTGTGGATGGAGTTGGAGACCACTATTCTAAGGGAAGAAACTGAGGAATGGAAAACCTAACATAGCATGTTCTCACTTGTAAGTGAGAGCTAAACTATGAGGATGCAAAGGCATAAGAATGATAGAGTGGGCTTTGGGGACTCTGGGGGAAGAGTGGGATAGGGCAGAGGGATAAAGGACTACACATTGGGTGTAGTGTACACTGCTTGGCTGATGGGTGCATCAAAATCTCAGAAATCACCACAGAAGAACTTACCCATGTAACAATGCACCACCTGTTCCACAAAACCCTATTGAATTTTTTTTTTTAATTTAATGCCTTCCCTGCTGGGTTTTGGACTTGCACGGGGTCTATAGACTCTGTCTTTTGGCCAATTTCTTCCTTTTGGAGAGGGAGTATTTACCCAATGCCTATACTTTTACTTTATACTAACCACTTTTTTATTTTACAGGCTCAGAAGTGGAAGGGTCTACCCTTGTCTCAGATGAAACTTTGGAATTTGGACTATGGACTTCTGAGTTAATGCTGGAATGAGTTAAGACTTTGGGGGACTGTTGGGAAGGTATGACTGTAATTTGAAATATGAGAAGGACGTGAGATTTAGGAGGGGCCAGGGGCAGAATGATATGGTTTGGGTCTGTGTCCCCACCCAACTCTTAGGTCAAATTGTAGTCCCCAATCTTGGAGGTGGGGCCTGGTGGAAGGTGATTGGATCATGGGGGCAGATTTCTTCTTTCTTCATAGTCCCTTTCGCCTTCTGCCATGATTTTAAGTTTCCTGAGACCTCCTCACCTATGCTTCCTGTACAGCCTGCAGGACCATGAGCCAATTAAATCTCTTTTCTTTACGAATTACCCTGTCTCAGGTATTTCTTTATAGTAGTGCAAAAACAGACTAATGCAATAACAGATGCTGGTAAGATTGCAGAGAAAAAAAGAACACTTATACACTACTAGTGGGAATGTGAATTAGTTCAGCCATTGTGGAAAGCAGTTTGGCAATGTCTCAAATAATTTAGAAAAGAACTACCATTTGACCCAGCAATCCCTTTATTGGCTACATACACAAAGAAATAGAAATCATTCTACCATAATGATAGGTGTACACATATGTTCACCACAGCACTATTTGCAATAGCAAAGACAAGAAATCAATCTAAATGCTCATTAACAGTATACTGGATAAAGAAAATGTGGTACATATACTACATGGAATACTACACAGCCATAAAAAAACAAGATCATGTCCTTTGCACCAACATGGATGGGGCTAGAAGCCATTATCCTAAACAACCCAACACAGGAACAGAAAACCAAATACCACATGTTCTCATTTATAAGTGGGAGCTAAACATTGAGTACACATGAACACAGAAGAAAACAGAAACCAGGGCCCACTTGAGGGTGGAGAATGGGAGGAAGGTGAAGATTGAAACACTACTTATGTTAGTTACTATGTTTATTACCCAGGTGATGAAATAATCTGAACACCAAATCCCCATGACTCACAATTTAACTATATAACGAACCTACACTTCTACCCATACTTGTATTTTTTAAAAATACTTATGAAGCCTGGTCTGAAACAGACACTGTTCTAGGAGCTGCAGACACAACAGTAATATAATGATTAGGAGCAAAGACACTGAAATGAGAAGGTCTGATTCTAATCCTGACTCTGCCACTATCTAGCTGGGTAACTTGGGGCAAATTACTTAAGTTTTCTGTTCCTTGGTTTCCTCATTTGAAAAATGAGAATATCAGCATAACCTACTTCTCAGAGTTATATGAAGCTTAAATAAGTTAATCTTTTCAGAGACCTACAAGTCCTTAGAATTGTACCTGGCAAATAGTAGGTACCATACAGGTGCTTGCTGAATTCAGCTTTAAAAATCAAAAATTTCTGTTATCTTGTAGTTTACATCATAGAGAGGATGAAATGGCAAAGAAAGACAACAGATAAACTAAGTGAATAAATACATACTTTTTCAGGTGATTATAAGTGTTCTGTAATAAAATAAAGTGAGGAAAGGAGAAAGTGATGCAGTAGGACCAAGAATTGCTATTTTAGAGCAAGTGGACCTGAAAGGCCTTTCTGATAAGATGAGGGGTGAATAAAGTGAGAGAGTAAACCATGTGGAAGTTAAGTACAATCATCCTTAAACATTTATAATAACGTATTCTTTGAATATCACTATTAGTCTTATTCTCAGATTTATTTTTTGCAAAACAGAACTTGTCATTTTGACAGAGGTATTAATTATAATGCCTTTTTTCAAAATCTAAATATAGACAATAATTTGAAAACTCTAAAACAATCACCCTAATATCTATTCTCAGATTTGTATAGTTTTAAATGTCAGGTGTAAATGCTGCCATATACTTCTGTTCTATAAATGCCAGAAGCATCACATTACCATAATTATACCCTGGCTGTTAGGAATCCAAACCCATGACTTTATCTCAGAAGGTCCTTTACTTCTGGATTGTTGGTGGAGGTGGAGGGGAGCAGGGAATGAGACTTCTCTCCATAGGTAGATTCTTTTTGTTTCTGGGTAAATATTAGAAATAGACTTGTTTTGTTATCAAACTGAACTTGAGTCCACCTATCCAGCACAGCAAAGCCAAACACTGACATCAGAATTTGCAGCAAGAGCAAAGTGAGGTGTTTATTGTAGGGTGCCAAACAAGGAGAACTGGGAAGCTAATGCTTAACACCCAAACTCCTGAGAGCTTATATCAAAGGGTTTTTAAAGGCAGGGAGGCAGAGATTACAGGCAAAGTTATAAATCAGTATATAGAGGCTATACATTGGCTTGGCCCCAAAAGGTGAGATATCTTAAAGCAGGGGCTTGCAGACCATAGGTGGATTCAGAGATTTTTTGATTTGCAGTTGGTAAAGCAAGAAAGACTTTGTCTGACATCTTGGAGTCAGCAGAAATGAATGTTAAAGTTTGACCTGTGGGCATGACTCTTTGCAATATCCTCCAGAAGAGATTTAGGACACAGAACGCTGATTAGAGTTTAGTCCTCAGCTTTCCTTATCAAAGGTTTATGTGATAGCAAGTCAGCATTTTTCATCTGGTAGGGGTCCAGGCTTCTTAAAAACAACTCAGGGACATAGGTCAATATGTTATCTTTAGTTTTTATGGGGAAATAAACATCTTGTGGCTCTAACTGATTTGGGTGGCCATTGCTTTAAATTATTATTACCTTCTTGCTTATTAAGTTGTTTATTTTTTAAGGCTAGTTAGGTACCTGAAACTTTTCTTGAAAAGACTCAAGATTTTTCTTCATTTTATGTTTAGGGGGGGCTCAGAGGACCCCTAAGAAGGGTCCTTACTCCTTCTGTCTTTTTTAAATGATAGCAGCCAGTGAACAGCCTCATCTTCAACAAAAGCTTACAGACAGAATATTTCTCGTTCCCATCACATTGATTCAATTAGGATACCAGGGCTCTCTAATAGTTGGCTTAGCTGCTTTGAGAAGGGTGTATTACTGCCTAATTTCCTGCTCGAAAATTATTTAGCATTAAGAAGAGAACTCATCTTCTCTTTCTGTTTACTTTTCCATGACATGAATTAGTACTTAAGACTTTTGGTAGTGAGATTATGGAATAGGACAGAATTAAAAAGAAAAAAAGGAGAAATTGAGAAAAATGAATCAAATTTTTTTTCCATCAGCTAAATGTTTCTTCTCTAAACCAGGGTTTCCCAACCTCAGCACTACTGACATTTTGAACTGGGTAATTACTTGTCACAGGAACTGTACTGTGCATTGCAGGATATTTAACAACATCCCTGGCCCTTACCCACTAGGTGTCTGTTGCACTATCCCCCACCTCCCATATGACAACCAAAAATGCCTCTGAACACTGTAAAATGTCTCCCTAGAGCAAACATTACCCCTGCTTGAGAACCACACTCTAAAATCATTTTTATAGAACTTTAAAATAAATGACAAATAATTAAAATATAAATGTATGTATGTAAGCATGTATTAGAATTATCTCACAGAATGTTAGACCAGTAGATCTTAATTAAGCAAACCAGTAGATCTCGAAGTTTTTCTTCAGATCACATCTTCCATCTCCCATATATTCCACAACTAGACTTAAAAATATCCTTATTGAAATTAAGTAATCAAAAAGAATCTGTTACAACTAATAAAAAGCTGGACTTTCACCAAGACTCTTCTTACCCCTTGATATGGTTTGGCTGTGTTCCCACCCAAATCTCATCTTCAAGCATAGCGCCCATAATTCCCACATGTTGTGGGAGGGACCTGGTGGGAGATAATTGAATCATGGGAGCAGTTTCCCCTATACTGTTCTTATGGTAGTGAATAAGTCTCACGAGATCTGATGGTTTTATAAGGGTTTCCCTTTTTGCTTGGCTCTCATTTTCTCTCTTGTTTGCCACCAAGCAAGATATGCTTTTCACCTTCTGTTATGATTGTCAGGTTTCCCTACCCATGTGGAACCATGAGTCCATTAAACCTCTTTTTCTTTATAAATTACCCAGTCTTGGGAATGTCTTTTTCAGTAGCATGAGAAGGAACTAATACACCCCTAATATGAAAGTAAAAGGAAATATGCATAAACTAAGCACGTAGAATATTTTCACTGATTTTAGTCACTAACATCAACTTTTATCAATACCTTAATAAGGGTTTTTAAAATTACTAAGTTGAAAGGTTTTCATATCATATACTGTGAAACCTTGATTGTGATTTGCATAAAGTGGTAGTGAATTGAGGGCTACACTGTATGTGGGCTGGGAAGCAGAGAGCCAAGGGAATGGATAGTCAGCCATTGAATCATATATACAAAATTCTCTATGCAGGAAGAGGGGATAAAGAAAAGTTTGAAAAATATAACAATATGTCCATAAATATTTCGTATGCTCTCTGTGTCCTGTTTTCTTTCCTGCGGATCATAAAATTTCTTTTGAGGGATCCACATTGTGGGAACATAATCACATCCCTTAGACTAAGAAAAAAGTGAGGATGTGAAAAAGCATTTCAGCAACTCTGGAGAAAAGTTCAAAACTTTATAGCTCTGTCTCCTTCCCAGAAGACTGGAAAACTTCATGCAGAAGAGAGGGAACAAATTGGAATTATTTTCTTATAAAATGTGTTCTTGAGTTGACCCTACTTCACCTCCCCCACTTCTCTACCCACTCTGTGCCTAACCCTAGCTGTAATTCTGTGATTCTAGCCTGCTGTTTATTTAGGCTTAGAACCTCACAGCATTGATTTCTTGGTTGGCCTGCTTCTCCAGTCTTTAGCCCACTACTTTTTCTCCCAGCTCATAGCTGGTCTTTCAACAAGTGCTCCATTCACGTAAACAATGGGGATCCAGTGAAAAAAGAAAGCATGCTCTATCAGGGAAGGTGAACATTGAATAATTACAATACAGGGAATGAGTATTGTGAAAAGGAAATTAGGGGAGAAGATTCTGGGTTAATTGTATCCCTCAGAAAGATATATTGAAGTCCTAACCCTAGGTAACTGTGAATGTAAACTTATTTGAAAATAGTGTGTTTGCAGATATAATAAAGTTTAGCTAAGGTCATTAGCATAGGCCCTAATCTAATAAGACTGATGATCTTGTAAGAGGAAAATGCCACATGAAGACAGAGACACACAGAGAATGCCACGTGCTGACAGATGCAGAGATTGGAGTGATGGCAGCTGCAAGTCAAGGAACATCAAGAGTTGGCAGGCACCACCAGAAACTATGAAGGAAGGATTCTACCTGAGTCTCAGGGAGCATGGTCATGCTGACACCTTGATTTTTCACTTCTAGCCTTAAGAACTGTGAGACAATAAAAAGTTTGGTTGTTTTAAGCCACCCAGTTTGTCGTACTTTCCTGTAACATTTCTAAGAAATTAATATAGGGCATTGTGGGAGCATAGAGCGCTGGAGACCACACCTAATCCAAGATTCAGGCAAAATTCCCAGAGAATTTATATTTAAGCTGAAATGTAAAGCATGGGTAAGAGTTTGCTAGGAAAGGAGAGAAAGGAGAAATACTTCAGATGGAGGACACAGGCTGTGGAAAGGCCTAAAGGCAAGAGAAGCAAGGCCTCCTTAAGTAAGTGACTAAGTTCAAGATGGCTAATGGCCCAGTGTCCCTGAGAGTGGACAGAGATGAGTCTGGAGATCTGCACTGGATCCAGGTCCCAGAGAGCTCTGAATTATGTGGTAAGGAATGAAGACAAAAAGACGGCCAAAACAAACATTGAAAATATTTAAGCAGAGCAGTATCATCAGGAAGCATGCTTGATGTAATAAAACCACTACAGCCATAGTGTGGAGAACAGACTAGACGAGGGCAAGCTTGAAGGAGAGGAGGACAGTCAGGGTGACTGCAAAGATTACTTCAGACGTGATGGTGGCCAGAGCCAAGGTTGTAGCCACAGGAATGGAAATGTTAGGTTGCTGCAAAAACAATTGCAGTTTACTTTTTATAAAAAGAAAAAAAGAAAGTTTGCTTTTTACATTAAAGCAATGATAAAAACTGTGATTGCTTTTGAACCAACCTAATAAGTGGATAAATTTAAAGAATGAAGAGAGATTTAGAGGATTTAGTCAAATAGGAGTTGATGACACTAAATGTGGGGATGAAGACAAGGGAGGAGGGCTCACTTCCCAAAGAGTCTCAAGTCTCAGCTTTCTGCTTACTAATTTGTTACACAGTAATAGATGATTATATGGGAATTTGGTTATAAATGACTTATGTATTAGCTTTTAGATCACTAGACTACAAAGAAGCACATTGGAAGCTGATACAATGGACGGCTCATCACTTATAATTCCTGGACTCTAAACTGGATGCAGAAACTTAATGAGACTCTGGATTGTCTCCTGGGAGAGAGGGTGAAGGTATCCTATGAGTGAGAATAAGTGTGCATATAGTTACTTATGTAGTCCTAAGAGTTACTCCTTGTCCTCCAGTATCCATTTTCTCTTTCTTCCTTTTAGTAATTGGAGACAGTCACAGGTCTACAATTTAGCAACCTTTCCTACTTCTGTTTCCATGTAACCAGGTTCAAGTCAATAAAATATGAGAGGCAGTGCTGTGTGCAACTTCTGCATCATCTCTTTCACTAAAAAGCGGCTTTCCCTGGACTCTGTTCTTCCCTTTCCCAAGGTCAGGAGAGTGGACAAGTAGGTGCATCTGTCCAAACCATTCAAACAAGGACAAACTATATTGGATGGCAAAGCAAAAAAGTGAAATATTGTGTCCACAGAAGAGCTTGACTGTAGATGAAACTCTTTTTGTTTTTCCTGTGAAGACAGTAGAGCTGGAAGATGTGGTCCAATTCTACCTGACATACAAAATAATTCAAACGAAAGAAACTGGCCCACAAATATTTGAGAAAAGAAATATTTTTCTGTATACATTAGAGTGACACTTAATTGATTTAACAATCTAACCCCATCATTCAGTGCTTAACACAATAAAAGTTTATTTATTGCTCACAAAAGAGTCCAATTTGTATATTTTTGGTCAGGTAGCTTTTCTCCATGCAGTGTCAGGGACATAGATTTCTTTCCATTTTGTGGTCTTTTCTTCAATACCAGGTTTCCAAGGTTGCCACAAGAGTCAGTTATATTCCTACCATCTAGAAGTGGAAGAGAGCATGAAAGATTGTTTTGACAGGATCTGTTAACTTAGCCATGGTGTAGTGCATATCACTTCCATTCACAAGCTATTGGTGGAACTGAGTCATGTGGTCATATCTGATGGCAGAGAAGTGGGCTAAAATGGCCAAAATGCCCAGGGGAAGAGAATGAGTTGAGTAATCACCTAGCAATTTCTTCTACAAATTGGACACAAAAATAAAGGAACTTTTTTGAAACGCTGTAGATTTTTATCTGTCTCTTGGGATCTAGACCTTTCATTCACTGTTGCAGCACAAATGCTCTGTATCCTCCATTCATTTCAATGACAGCCATGAAAAAGCCAATGGGAAGGCTTGTTTTTATTTTAGGGGGTGTTAAAAAATTTTTTAACATTTTTATAAAAATGTTGTGATCATTTTACTGTGTATTCCCGAAACCTAATCCCTTTCGTATTCCCACTCAGCACTCATCTCAAAGCAAGTTTCCTTACCCTTAAAATTTAAAAGTAAAGCACTGTTCATGAAACCATTGTTAAAGTGACCAGTTTTATGGTAATTCCAAATATATAAAGCTTTAAAACCCATGCCTGTGCCTGATGTGAGATAGGCATATATACATACTGCATGATGTGATAAATGCTTCAGTAGATTAATGTGCAATCCACAGTAGGGTAGAAAACGGAATGGTTAAATAAGACAAGGTGAGATGAGGAGAATTCATAGATGAGAAAAGGGCTTTAGCTAAGGTTTGAAGGATGAACATACACTCACTATGAAACAGAGAAAGAATGTGTGAGGGCATGTAGGCACAATGTAATAATAGCAAGAATGTCAGTTGGCTAAACCAATCAGTAAATGGAAGACAGTACTACCGAAGAGATAGTCAGGATGCCATGTTCTGATTCTGGAAACATATACTGAGTCTACCAAGCTGGGTTTTCTTTGTAAGTTTGGGGGGCTCCTAAAGGATATTAAGCCACATAATTGCATGAGTAATTTCCATGCAGTGGCTGGGCTGGACAGTCTGAGACTGAAGAGAGGAAGTTTGTATAGACTGTTCTTCAATTATCTAATTGAGACATCATGGTCGATTGGATTAAGGCAGTGCCAGAGAAGCAAGAGAAGAAGAAGAAATATGAGATATAGTCTACTGAATATGTAGACAGACATGATAAAGAATTGGTGGTATTAAGGAAGAGGGACTCCTAGAGAGTCCTGGGCATCTAGCTGAGATTCCTAGGGAGTGTGTACTCCAGGGAACATAATGGAGGGAGCAAATTCTCCAAGGCAGAGGGAGATGATGACTTCAGCATGGATATGTTGAATTTGAGGTTTTCATGGGATTTTCAGTCAAAGATGTCCAGTGGGACATTTATAAAAAGAATATGAAACTCAGCAAAAGCCTGACAAGGAACTTAAGGTAAGTGATAAAGTCACGGTCACTTAAGAGATTGGAAGAGATTGGAAGAGAAAGCAAACTGGGCCCATGGATGAAATTGGGAATCATCATTCTCAGTAAACTATCGCAAGAACAAAAAACCAAACACCGCATATTCTCACTCATAGGTGGGAATTGAACAATGAGATCACATGGACACAGGAAAGGGAATATCACACTCTGGGGACTGTGGTGGGGTGGGGGGAGGGGGGAGGGATAGCATTGGGAGATATACCTAATGCTAGATGACGAGTTAGTGGGTGCAGCGCACCAGCATGGCACATGTATACATATGTAACTAACCTGCACAATGTGCACATGTACCCTAAAACTTAAAGTATAATAATAAAAAAAAAAAAGAGATTGGAAGAGAAAGCAAACTGGGCCCATGAAATTGATTCCAAAGAGAATGACAGCTTAATTTAGACTACATAACATGAATAATTTCATTTATGAATCTGTTTCAATGGGTACTCACCCCCATATCACTTACAGTCTAGTGCCTGTGGGAAGGACGTGACCGAGCAATCCCTGCTTGGCAGCTTGCTGAGCAAATGCAGAAGGCAAAGGACCAAAGGAGCTCAAAGTGCTAACACAAATGACAAATGTGATGTATCAGGGGGTCTCTATGGGGAAGGAAGTAGTCAGGACAAGGTTGGTGGCTTTGAAAAAAAAGCTAAAGGAATCAAAGGACTGAGGTGAAGTTGAAATCAGACACAAGGGAAAGGAGATGAGAAAGTCGGTCATGTAAAAAACTGTGGACAAAGAGTAAAATATTAGATTTCTTTTAAACCCTTTATTGTGAGAAAAATGCACATGAAAGTTAAGATTTTTAAAATAATTATAAAATGAACCACTATGTCAAAAAATAGAAAGTGTCCAGCCCAGAAGCCCCATGTGCCCATCCTTGATCAAATCCCCTTCCCTTCTTCTTTTCTTCCTTTCTTCTTTTGATATTTCTTCTTTCACTCTGCTGACTTTTATGAAATTTTTTTTATTTTTCTTTAGTAGTTTACCACCAATATACTTTTCATAAACAATATAGTTTGATTTTGTCTATTTTAAAACTATACTATGTATATAAATAAAATCATTTTATATGTATTCTTTTATAAGTGATATTCTTTTGTTTTTTCCTTATGTTTGTTATATATAGGCACATTTTTGTAATTAACTTATTCATTTGTACTGTTGAGGACATCGGGTCATTTCCAGCTTGACTTGTTAATAGAATACTACAATGAACATATTCATTTAAGTATTCTGGTGCATTTGTGTATGGATTTCTCGAGTACACGTAACTAGTAAAGAAATTGGAAGATGGCAGAATATGTGTGTTCTAGCAGATTATGCCAAGTGATTTTACCAATTTATACTCCCACTTGCAGTGTCTAAGAATTTGTATTGCTTCACACCCTCACCAACACTTATTTTTTAAAAAGTTGTCAGACTCTTTAAATTGTTAATCTGGTTGGTGCTTAATGTATCAAAATACATATGAATTTTCCATTTCCTTATGATTAGTGATACTGAACATCTTTTTGTATGACCATTGACTATTTGAAATTAGATTCTCATAAAGTGCCTACTTGAGTCCTTTGCCCATTTTTCTATTGGAATATCTGTCTTGTCCTTGTCAATTTATAAACATTCCTTATATACTCTAAGTATATGTACAATATATATTTATGAACATACAACATAGATTGGCTATATATGTTTT
The DNA here is from genome assembly GCF_000001405.40 of Homo sapiens. Lineage (NCBI taxonomy): Eukaryota > Metazoa > Chordata > Mammalia > Primates > Hominidae > Homo > Homo sapiens. The sequence continues at coordinate 143,723,817 of NC_000004.12, read as the reverse complement.
ATATATATCTTCATACATTCTGTGGCTTGTCTTTTCTCCCTCTCTTTATAATGGCTTATTTTCTTTCTTTCTTTTTTTTTGTTTGTGTGTGATAGTCTCACTCAGTTTCCCAGACTGGAGTGCAGTGGCACACTCATAGCTCACTGCAGCCCGGAACCCCTGGGCTCAAGCAATCTTCCCACCTCAGCTTACCGAGTAGCTGGGACTACAGGAGCACACCACCATGCCTGGCTAATTTTTTAATTTTTTTGTAGAAACGGGGTCTCACTATGTTGACCAGGCTGGTCTTCAATTCGTGGCCTCAAGCAATTCTCCTGCCTCAGCTTCCCAAAGTGCTGGGACTACAGGCAGGAGCCACCGTGCCCTGCCCTACAATGGCTTCTTATATTCACAGAGGTTCTTAATATCACTTTGCTAAAATTTGTCAGTCACTTCTTTTGCAGATAATTATTTTTGCATCTTGTCTAAGAAAACCTTGCCTACAACAGGGTCACAATTACACATTTTTATAATTTTTTACAAAAACAGTTTATGGTTTTGTCATTTCATTTATATAGCTAAATCTGGACCATTTAAGTATAAATGCTGTTTTGGGTTGAGTGCTTTGGAAGTAGTCCCTAAAATGAGGATTCTTGTGCAAGTGATTCATTAAGGACATGTTTTCAGAGAAAGCCAGTAGGAGAGTTGGAAGAAAGAAAAGTGAAAAAGCCAACCAAAGGTGTAAAGTCAGCAAAGTCCTACAGAAAGTAGCTTCAGCCTGATCTGTCAGAAAACTCTAGAGAAGTGTTTCTCAACAGGGGTGATCTTGACCCCCAGGGAACATTGGGCAATGCCTGGAGATATTGTTTGATTGTCACAATTGTGAAGGTGCTATCAGCATCTACGGGGTAGAGGTTAGAAATGCTACTAACCATGCTACAATGTATAGCCCCTCACAAGAGGAAACTATCAAGTCCAAAATGTCAATAGTGCCAAGGTCAAGAAACCTTTCTCTAGAATCTGACTTGTGTCTCAGAGCTCTCAGGTAAGAGAGCTGAGACTTAATACTCCTATACCTATCAGTCATTCACTAATGACTGCCAGTGAAGGGTTGGTGGGTGACACATTTCGAGGCATTTCTGGCTGTCTGAAGGATATGAAATAAAGTGGACTACATAGCTCAAGTCAGTCTTCTGGGGAGCAAGAGAGGAGTATGCTAAACCTGAAATATGCACAGAAATGGTAAAACAGCTATCCAAAGCATCTGAACAGAGAATGGACTTTATTTGCTATGGTCCACTCCATGAACTTCTCAAATGCACTCTATTTCAGTTTACCCAATTGCATTGTTCACAAAAAGACATAATTTCTTTTGAGAAAAATTAGAAGAGAAAGATTACTAGAACAAACTACAGTCCACACTGCTATGATTGGCTTTGAGGCAAAAATTAATTATACTACCTGCTTTGAATGGGCCCCTCAAAGTTCATGTGTTGGAAACATAATTCGCAATGCAACAGTGTGGAGAGGTGTAACTTTTCAAATATGATGAGGTCATGAGGGCTCTGCCCTCATCTCGGGAGTGGGTTAGTTATCATGGGAGTAGGTTCCTGGTAAAAGAATGAGTTCATCTCCCTCCCATTCTTTGTCTCACTCTCTCTCTCTCTCTCTCTCTCTCTCTCTCTCTGGCACTCTGACTCACTTGTTTGCTCTTGCACCTTCCACCATGGGATGATGCAGCGTGAAGTCCCTCACCAGATATGGACTCTTTGGCCTTGAACTTCTCAGCCTCTAGAACTGTAAGAAATAAATCTCTGTTCTTTATAAATTACTCAGTCTCAGGTATTTTGTTATGGCAGCACAAAATGGACTAAGACACCACCAACTCTACATTTCCTCATCATTGGGTAGACTTCTGCTGTCATCAGTTGTTCTTCTGATGGGGTGACTTTGGCCTTCATCTTTGTGGGGTTGATGGTTCTCATAGTCTCATCAGGTAGTGGTTGCCTAATTGTCCATTCACAATTAAATTTAAGTATAAGAGTACCAAGAGATGCCCCTGTGGATCCCACAAATTGCAAAATGCCAAGCAATTATTGTAACAGCAGTTATACCTCTCATGATGAGTGAAATAAATTGTCAGCACGAAGTGACCAAAATGACTAAATAATAACTGGAACTTTAGGCTTGGTAGGATTCTTATTGACTCTCCTCTCTGGGAACCAAATCTCTCCATCCATACAACCTAAAGCTATTGAAACAGAAAGCAAAAATTCCTCCAAAGGGGACACTGTGAATGATGGTGAGGTGATTCACACTTCCACCATTTGGTGGACTGTTTTCCTGTCTTGGCAGTTTCAAGGCTGTGGGGCAAAGGGAAGTCAGTTTTAGCAGCTTTCACTCAGTCTTTTACTATAATGATAACCTTTATTTTATGAGTCAATGAATCAAAATTAGAGTTCTTCCAGCTGCCAAACATGTCCATTCCATGTCCAATTGATCAGCTGAACTCTACATTCCTCTATTCGAAAAGGGAGTCATATTAGTGTCTTAGGTCCCTTGGTAGCAGTGTGAGCTCAGACCCTGATCTGACCCTAATCCAGCAACTCTCAGAACATCTAGTGCCCAGTTGGTGCACAGTTGCTGGAAAAGAGACCATAGATCCCTTTGGGGGAAATACTAGGGGAACTGCTCTTCTACATATTTGCTGTGATATTGTAGCATCCTTCTTCCAGGGGATGCAGCCACTCATTCAATGAACTTCATGTCTGATAACTGGCTCATTTATTAAAACCCACTAGGGTAGCTGACATTTTGCTTACATTCATCCATTCTGTTATCTTTGATTATATATAGTAAATAATACCTTTTCCAAATGCCCCTAGGATATTATGCTCTATTAGCAATTAACATGTATTTCTACAGGTCAGAGCTCCCGGGCTCCCATTCTGACTCAAGCCATCCAACACTTAGTTCCATTTTGCCTCTGATGATTCAGTGTTATCATTTGCCCTCTTCTTCTCTGAAATCCTATCATTTTTGATACACTAAAAAACATTCAAATTCCATAACAGAAAATCCTACTAACAGCCATAACCTACAAAGGACAACTATTTCTGAGTTTCTAAATGATGCCAGGGATCTAAATGTTACCAGAAAATTTCTTAACATCTTAGTGAAGAGAGTGTCTTCTGGACCACTCTGAAGAATGTAGTCATCTGATAGATTCTCAGGTCTTATAGAAAAGATTCAGTCAAACATTTCTATTTCTATAAGCCTTTTTTTGCCCTCTCTCAATTCTTAGCCAAGGGAATTATGGCAGCTCCACTTCACCTAACATGGGCTGTCTTTTCTTCCAAGTTTAGGAACCATCCTAGCAGTATATGAATGTCTCTAGATGCCCTTGCCAGAGCATTCCATCCTAAATTATTGGACAGTGGCCTGCATTAATAAATTGATCCCTGTTCAGCCTTACATTATGTCTCCATGCCCCAGTCCAGCACCCTCAAGATCTATTTTCAGGCATGTTCTTCAGTGTTTTCCAGTATATGTCAGTCAGGTCACAGATCTTCTGTGGGTCATTCCTTTCTCCCTTGGCATTGCAGTCACTTTCCTAGGAGAGCCATGCTGATACTTGACTCTAGTTACTGGTCTGGAAGTCAGGAGGATAGGTAGGAGGACGAATCTTGAGAAGGACAAATATTATCTTATGAGACAGCTACCTCAGTTGAGACTTGGTTGCTATCCTCTAGCAAAAGATGCAGGTGGCTTCTGCAGGCCCAGAGGATTTGGGGGAATCTTTTCTCCCCCACATCTACCCTGATGCTCCTATCCCAGGTCTCACGGTCCCAACACTTCCTTATTGGGATCCTACTTGGGCTTAGCAGACTTATCAAAGGTCCCAGTTCAACCTCCTCAATTCCCCTTTTCTAAAATTCAGATCCTAGACCAGAGTTTATAAGAGACTTAAAAGGCATAACAATCAAACACAATGATTAGTTCTTGATTGGATTCCAAACAAAACAGTTACAAAAGACATTTTGAAAAAATTGGAAAAATATAAATAAAGACTGCATTCAATGGCATTATAGGGTTTTTGGTTTTGTTTACTGTTTTTTTGTTTGTTGGGGGTTTTGGTGCAGTGGTGGTGGTGGTGGTGTAATTGTGAAAGAAGGAGTCTTTACTTCGGGAAATGCAGGCTGTGATATGTGAACATAAAGTGAGGTGATATTATATGGTTTCCTCAGAATACTTCAGCAAATATGGCAAAACATTAATAATTGTGATATCCAAGTGTTGCAGATATCAGTGTTCATTATACTGTTCTCTCTACATTTCTGCATGCTTGAAAGTTTTCATGACAAAAAGTAAGTGAGAGATATTTTTATAAGAAAGAAAGGTTTAGCGTGATGCCTCCAGCTTTGTTCTTTTGGCTTAGGATTGACTTGGCGATGCGGGCTCTTTTTTGGTTCCATATGAACTTTAAAGTAGTTTTTTCCAATTCTGTGAAGAAAGTCATTGGTAGCTTGATGGGGATGGCATTGAATCTATAAATTACCTTGGGCAGTATGGCCATTTTCACGATATTGATTCTTCCTACCCATGAGCATGGAATGTTCTTCCATTTGTTTGTATCCTCTTTTATTTCATTGAGCAGTGGTTTGTAGTTCTCCTTGAAGAGATCCTTCACATCCCTTGTAAGTTGGATTCCTACGTATTTTATTCTCTTTGAAGCAATTGTGAATGGGAGTTCACTCATGATTTGGCTCTCTGTTTGTCTGTTATTGTTGTATAAGAATGCTTGTGATTTTTGTACATTGATTTTGTATCCTGAGACTTTGCTGAAGTTGCTTATCAGCTTAAGCAGATTCTGGGCTGAGACAATGGGGTTTTCTAGATATACAATCATGTCTGCTGCAAACAGGGACAATCTGACTTCCTCTTTTCCTAATTGAATACCCTTTATTTCCTTCTCCTGCCTAATTGCCCTGGCCAGAACTTCCAACACTATGTTGAATAGGAGTGGTGAGAGAGGGCATCCCTGTCTTGTGCCAGTTTTCAAAGGGAATGCTTCCAGTTTTTGCCCATTCAGTATGATATTGGCTGTGGGTTTGTCATAGACAGCTCTTATTATTTTGAGATATGTCCCATCAATATCTAATTTATTGAGAGTTTTTAGCATGAAGCGTTGTTGAATTTTGTCAAAGGCCTTTTCTGCATCTATTGAGATAATCATGTGGTTTTTGTCTTTGATTCTGTTTATATGCTGGATCACGTTTATTGATTTGCGTATATTGAACCAGCCTTGCATCCCAGGGATGAAGCCCACTTGATCATGGTGGATAAGCTTTTTGATGTGCTGCTGGATTCTGTTTGCCAGTATTTTATTGAGGATTTTTGCATCGATGTTCATCAAGGATATTGATCTAAAATTCTCTTTTTTGGTTGTGTCTCTGCCAGGCTTTGGTATCAGGATGATGCTGGCCTCAAAAAATGAGTTAGGGAGGATTCCCTCTTTTTCTATTGATTGGAATAGTTTCAGAAGGAATGTACCAGTTCCTCCTTGTACCTCTGGTAGAATTCGGCTGTGAATCCATCTGGTCCTGGACTCTTTTTGGTTGTTAAGCTGTTGATTATTGCCACAATTTCAGATCCTGTTATTGGTCTATTCAGAGATTCAACTTCTTCCTGGTTTAGTCTTGGGAGAGTATATGTGTCGAGGAATTTATCCATTTCTTCTAGATTTTCTAGTTTATTTGCGTAGAGGTGTTTGTAGTATTCTCTGATGGTAGTTTGTATTTCTGTGGGATCGGTGGTGATATCCCCTTTATCATTTTTTATTGCGTGTATTTGATTCTTCTCTCTTTCTTTCTTTGTTAGTCTTGCTAGCGGTCTCCTACCTGACTTCAAACTATACTACAAGGCTACAGTAACCAAAACAGCATGGTCCTGGTACCAAAACAGAGATATAGATCAATGGAACAGAACAGAGCCCTCAGAAATAACGCCGCATATCTACAACTATCTGATCTTTGACAAACCTGAGAAAAACAAGCAATGGGGAAAGGATTCCCTATTTAATAAATGGAGCTGGGAAAACTGGCTAGCCATATGTAGACAGGTGAAACTGGATCCCTTCCTTACACCTTATACAAAAATTAATTCAAGATGGATTAAAGACTTAAACGTTAGACCTAAAACCATAAAAACCCTAGAAGAAAACCTAGGCAATACCATTCAGGACATAGGCATGGGCAAGGACTTCATGTCTAAAACACCAAAAGCAATGGCAACAAAAGCCAAAATTGACAAATGGGATCTAATTAAACTAAAGAGCCTCTGCACAGAAAAAGAAACTACCATCAGAGTGAACAGGCAACCTACAAAATGGGAGAAAATTTTTGCAACCTACTCATCTGACAAAGGGCTAATATCCAGAATCTACAATGAACTCAAACAAATTTACAAGAAAAAAACAAACAACCCCATCAAAAAGTGGGCAAAGGATATGAACAGACACTTCTCAAAAGAAGACATTTATGCAGCCAAAAGACACATGAAAAAATGCTCATCATCACTGGCCATCAGAGAAATGCAAATCAAAACCACAATGAGATACCGTCTCACACCAGTTAGAATGGCAATCATTAAAAAGTCAGGAAACAACAGGTGCTGGAGAGGATGTGGAGAAATAGGAATACTTTTACACTGTTGGTGGGACTGTAAACTAGTTCAACCATTGTGGAAGTCAGTGTGGCGATTCCTCAGGGATCTAGAACTAGAAATACCATTTGACCCAGCCATCCCATTACTGGGTATATACCCAAAGGGCTATAAATCATGCTGCTATAAAGACACATGCACACATATGTTTATTGAGGCACTATTCACAATAGCAAAGACTTGGAACCAACCTAAATGTCCAACAATGATAGACTGGATTAAGAAAATGTGACACATATACACCATGGAATACTATGCAGCCATAAAAAATGATGAGTTCATGTCCATTGTAGGGACATGGATAAAGCTGGAAATCATCATTCTCAGTAAACTATCGCAAGAACAAAAAACCAAACACCGCATGTTCTCACTCATAGATGGGAACTGAACAATGAGAACACATGGACACAGGAAAGGGAACATCACACTCTGGGGACTGTTGTGGGGTGGGGGGAGGGGGGAGGGATAGCATTAGGAGATATACCTAATGCTAAATGACGAGTTAACGGGTGCAGCACACCAGCATGGCACATATATACATATGTAACTAACAGGCACATTGTGCACATGTACCCTAAAACTTAAAGTATAATAAAAAAAAAGAAAGAAAGGTTTAGATTTAGGTGTGATTGTTCAATATACAGGAATAATGGAAAATCTCAAAGTAAAAACCTCCAGGAGGGAATGGTCCCAGAGTGTCATAGGGAAACAAAGTGACTATTTCACAGTCTGTCTACAGGTCGTGTGGTCCTTGGAGAGTGAACCACCTGCAAAGGAATCACTCCACTAATATTCAGAGGAAATAAAGACTTTCCATACCCTATGAGGTGTAACTTTAGAATATGATGAGTCATATTCAGAGAGTCAGTTCTCTGAAATCTTAACTTCAAATGGAAATGAAGCATAATAAATATATCTGCTCCAAAATTTAGTACTTTCTGTCTCCTCCCCACAAAATTTTAATTTAAAAATGAGCCATTAACTCCACAAATTACCAAGGTGCCACACCAAGTCTTTCTGTAGTCATTTCTCATAATCAGAATACCTTAAACTCAGGGAGAAGGTCAAAGCAAAATTGCCTTAAACTAAACTCAATTTTAATATTAAGATTTTGCTGTATAGAGAGAAGACAATGGCTTACATAGCTATTAATAAACATAGTTTTTTGGTCAGATTAAATCAATTTGATAAATTATCTTTATTTCCACAAATTACCTTTTTCTATGACGTTGAGACTTTGGAGATTCAAATTCTACTTATGACTGCATTTTGATTACCTTATGTGGATTTCCAAAAGCTTAGGCCATGAAATAACAAGATTCCTAAAATATTGACTACTGTTCGGTCTGATTTGCTGTGTGCTTAATAGCTTTATCTTGTAACAATATACACATCAATATGAATATTCTATTACCTCAATCATTTTTATCTCATGATGAATAAACTTATTTAAGCATACTTGCCAGCTCTTTACACAAAGTGAGATTTATGTATTAGTTATCTCAGTGAAGTGTTGAAGCCAGAGTTTTATCCCCTATTTCAGCCAATGAATAAAATTCTGTTGCCCACTCTCCATGTGCCAGACACTGTACAATCCACCAGAAACCCTGTGTACACAGTGCACACCAGGATCCTGCTGTCATAAAGCTTACACTTCTGCAGAAAATAGATCATTAAAGATCTCCAAATAATTAATTAAATCATTATTAGTGTTGCAAAGTGTTTTAGAAGAGAAAAAGAAACTCAATCTCCTGAAATCGTAAAAGACAGAACTGATAGTATCTTTGTGGCATTTCCAAAGTGAATAATGCTAGGAAGTCGAACATAGTTGAGCAGAAAAATAAAATTACATGTTTTTGGCAAAGTAAAGCGGATTAAAAACAAGGAAAAATGCTTTAAAAATAGAGACCATAAATCCCCTTTCCTCCAGTAGCCAAATTGAACTAATACACAAAATAGAGTGCACAAAATATTGAAAGGCAGATATTTCCTCCAGCACATTTGGCTTGTGACGTTTTGCCAAATTAACTGGTATAACCGTAGTGAAACTGTTCTACTCTTATTATAAATCAACATCAAATGGTGTTTCACAGATCCATCAGAGATCATATTACAAATGTAACACAAATGATCAAATACCATACAAAGGGTCTACTCCCAACTACAGATATCTTAATTTTATTCCATAGTTCTATGTTCTGTGGCAGAAAGATCAAACATGGTCTTTCTATCCATTCCCAAAGATTTAGATTTTTTTTTTGCAATAGCACACTGAGGAGATAATTATGATACAATTTCTTCTCCAGCAAACACTCAAAATATAATTTCTCCTACTTGCTTCAAGTTCTAGAAAACTTAATTTTTATTCCTTTTAAACAGTAAATACAAGTCTCTCAACATACAGTGAAAATTTTAACTCGTTTTTATTTTTTAAAACATAGAAACTGAGGCAAAGACAGCATTATCTTCTCCATTGTTATCAGTGACATTACATTTGGATGCACTAAAATCCTTTAGCTCCAATGAAAACAGAAATGTTTGAAGTGCCTAAAAAAGAAGTGTTTCTGCATTTAAAAATCAGAAAGAATGGGTTATTGCCAGCAGACTTTCTGGAGCTGGGTAAAATTTCAGTCCCAGACATTGGTGACCCTGAGACCAATTCTCCTTGCATTTAACATTGAAATGCTAATGTAGAAACTGGATCTTTTGTTTTCTATGGCAGAGCAAACAAGGCACACAGCAAGGGCAACATCTAATTCACAGCCCTTTACCAGACCCCTCATTTCAGGAAAATAACACATCTCATGCCAAAAATCCACAGCTCAACATTAAAAACCCACCACAGATGATGCCTGCAGGTGAAGCGGGTAGGGGTCGGGGGAAGAGCACCAAAAGTAACAAAGAAATTCCCAATAGCCAGGTCAAGCCAGGGGACAGAGGATAGTCCTAGAGGATAAAAGTGAGTTTGCTATAGGGAACATGGGAAGGATGTAGAACAACACTTCTGGGAAGGAATGCAGAAAATAGGGCACCAGATCTGCAGCCAAGAACCTGTTCTGTTTGTGGTAGTTATTTACATTACAGAGGATTTCACATATAGCAATGGGCTTTCACACCCATTGCTTTATTCACACCTCATGATGGAGAGACAGGTATTATTAAGTACATATTGCAGGCAGGAGAGCCGAGATTCAGAAGGGTCATGTACACGAGTTGTGGCTCTTGCCTAAGGAAACGTAACTAATAAGCAGAGTCCAGGTCTCCGAGACACCACAAGGCCAGGATTCCTCCAGTACCTCCTATTTGGACTCCAAAATCATAATCAGAGGCACCAGGCCTTACTTACTGCAGGCAACTACAACAACTTCACTTGCTTAGCATACACATTTCACCATATTTCATCAGCTTAGGATCCAGATTCTTTCTTTATTCTCCTTTGATTGCACAGTATATAGAAAGTCTGATTCAAACAGATACACATTATAAATAACTGGTTTTTATAAGCTTGCCTTGTAATTTCAGGAAAATTCCAACTAAACAAAGATGGCAGGATTTTCCGATAGCTGTGCAAAAATGAATTAAGCTGGCAGCACAAATTATAGCATTGATCATCTCCAATGTGTTAACGTACAGAATTCAACTCAATATGTCTGTTGTTTTTATGTCACAGTTTAAATAGTATCTATGTGTGTACACACACATATGTGCATATATATGTATTATATATAGTGTATGTGTATTCATATATATATATATATATATATATATATATATTGCCCGCACCTATTAAATTGTGCTTTGCCTGAAACTGCAGCACCAAAAAGATTCAATATGTAAGAGTGCTGTCTGGCCATGCTAAACAACCAGGGGGATAAGACGTCACCCTGGCAACAACACTACAAATCTCAGAATTCAAGGACCTATCATTATGCCAAACATGAGATATACCTGACATGCCTTAGATTGTATCACAAGTACAAAGAAGTAGTGGTTAAACTGTTACCCAATGAGCACTACTCACGGATTTAGCTATTTTAAGACCAGAAAAAAATTTTGTATTCCAAAAACAAATTATTTAGTTAGAATTATTATTTCAATTGTTCATCATTTTTATTAATGCTCCCATTGGTCTTTATATTGAAAAGGACATTCTCTAGTTCTTCCAAGTTTGAAAATATTGAATTCTTTCTCATAAAGACCACAGTTTGCAAACTTAGTTCACAAATTCAAAGAACTATGGAATTACCAACTGCATCTTAATTTAGAGTGTCTGATGTTATAAGGCATACAAGTTAAAGTAATGATACTGAACACCATAAATGTCTGGATAACAAATACGCCAATAAAAATATTTCTCATGATAATGTGTGCAATAACAAAACTCACAGAATTTACACATATGCTTAAAGCATCTATTCAAAACTTGCTTTTACAATCACTGTAAATGAATAGTAAACACGTTACATTACTAAATATAAACCCATTCAATGACAATAACCAAAAAGGAAAGCAACTGGGGTGATCACTCCACTCCCACTGCCGCTGTTTTGTTATTAACATTTCCCATTTTGCAACTGACACAAAAGCAATCTAGACTTCTTAAAATGCAGTGTGGGTTTGGATTACTTTAAATGTATTTCTTATAACTCAAAGATACAAGTTTTTTAACTTAAAAACGTGAATTTTAATCTCTAGATTATGAAGGGTGTACATGTTCAAATATAGGAAACAGATGGGGCCAAAAGCTTCATAAACTTCATATCCTGCCTATTTACATCTGGTTACAAGACTTGTCTTTCAAGCAGTCCTGAAGTGAAAGATAGACACAATCTTCAAAGCACAACTATATTCCTCTACATACTACACAGAAACTAAAGCCAAGCCTAGAAAGATCTTTATTCAAAATACCAAATTATTATGTGAGATATGACAGCTAAACATAAACTTTGGAATGGTTCACTTAAAAGAAAACCACCTACGGGACATCTACTATGTGTTGGGTCCTAGGAAGACACAGAAATGTAAAGCCAATTCTTAACCCCAAATGAGAGCAATGAGCAGGGAAACAGCAGATGCTGGGAGGCCAGGATGCCAGGCACTCCCATATGTCATTTCACTCAACTCTGACCCCAGGTGGTTGGTCCCAGTGCCTTCAGCATTTCTCTCCCTATGACCCTTCACTTCCGTTTTGTTGTCTTCTCCATCTCTGTTTCCCTTTCCCTTCTCTTTTCATTCCCCTAAAACATCCTAATTTTCCCCACACATCCTCTGAAATAGAAAAATGAGGCACTAAGTGGATGTTGATCCAAACAGATGGCCTGCATACAAAATCTAACTAAGATCAATCCACAGCGAACCCCCTGTGGAGCCCCCTCATGGCTTCAATATCCCTGCTTGCTACATCACAGTCCACCAGGGGCAATAACTGAGTGCCTGCGTGGCTTCTTTATCATCCCTACTATGGAGTCACTTCTTATGATTTATATTTAAAATGAAATTGAACATGTACAAAGATCCTTTCTTCCTAGCCCATGCCATGCTATATACCCCAGTGGTCTAAATATTCCTTTAGTGCCAAAAGATGAACTATCTTCCCCCAAAATCTTATATCTTAGAAGGCAAAAGATACTTTGTGAAACAATGTCATGTCTTTCATATATGAGAACAATGCTTGACTGTAAAGTATGTACTTCTTGATTACTAGTAGAGACAGAGATGTAGTCCCTTCCTTTTTTTTCTGACACCCTATGGTTTAATTAATATACGTTACTTGTCTAATCCTGTAAGTAATTGAATTTAGAGCCCCTTCAAATTCTCCATACAGAGTCTTATTACAACCATTAATCTTGTCAACCCTCCAAATTCTTAATGCAACTTGGCTTTAATGACTCAAAAATGTATTTCTTTTCTAAGCCAATTTTTGGAAGTGACTCCAAAGTGCTCACACCTATCTTTTAGGGGAGGGGGAAAAGAATGAAAGGTTGTACTACCTGCCGTGACTCCAAGAAGCCCTGATTACTATTCTAAGTTAGTCTGCCTTTACCAATTAGAAGCCTCTTTGTTGCTGAGAAGAGAGAATGCACACACATATGCAGATGAAAATTTAATCTCATGTGACCATCCTGCTACTATTAGAATTTTCTTTTAAAAATGTCTTTAATATGCCATTTATAAATTAGTTTTTAACAAATGATTAAGTCCCTTTCCTTTGGAACTTTTCTTTTTTGTTGAGACAAGGTCTCACTCTGTTGTCCAGGCTGGAGTGCAGTGGCACAGCCATGGCTCACTGCAGCCTTGACCTCATGGGTTAAGCGATCCTCCCACTTCAGCCACCCAAGTAGCTGGGACTATGGCATGCACCACCATGCCTGGCTAGTTTTTTTTTATTTTTTTTAAGAAGGGGTCTTGCTATGTTGCCCAGGCTGGTCTCAAACTCCTAGGCTCAAGAATCGCTTGAGCACTGGGATTACAGATGTGCTGTAAAGTGCTGGGATTACAGATGTGAGCCACCACTTCAGCCCTTTGAAACTGTTAATAGAAAAGATTTAATAAACTTTGTACAAGTTTATTGAATGTATTTAAAATGTCCTTGAAAGTCAAAAATAAATAAATAGATTCTCTAGTTGTATTAATCAGTCCTCTGAAGAAACAGAGCCAATAAGATACATATATATATATATATATATATATATATATATAAAGATTTATTATAAGGAATTGGCTCATGCAATTATGGAACTGAAAAGTCCAACGATCTGCTGTATGCAAGTTGGAGACCCAGGGAAACTAACACTGAAATTCAGTCCAAGCCTGAAGGCCTGAAACCAAGAGCACCAAGCATGGGAAAAGACTGATGTCCCAGCTCAAGCAATCAGGCAGGAAGGGAAAGGGGTTAATTCCTTCTTCCTCTGTCTTTTTGTTCTATTCAAGCTTTTAACGAATTAGATGATTAAGCACCCAGCGCATTGGGTAGGGCAATCTACTTTACTGAGTCCACTGATTCAAATGCCAACCTGATACCATCCAGAAACACCCTCAGAGACACACCCAGCAATAATGTTTAACCTGGGCACCCCATGGTGCAGACAACTTGACACTTAAAATTGACTGTCACACTGTTTTTAAAACATTCTAAACATAATAATTAAAATATCCTTGCAGTTACCCTGGATAGCATTTCAAAAATAATAGGTCAATTACTGAAGTGACATTTATATGACAGGCTTTCCACCACATCCCTGGATTAGTTTAAATCAGAAAATTACAGTTTTTAATCCTATCTGAGGAAAATACATATAGCTATAACCTCAGTATTTTCCATAGGTCAGTTTGGTATCGCTTAATAATTTGGGTCTATATAAATAAATTATTATGAAAATAGATGTGACTATATGGCATATCATTGATAGTTTTTATTATCATTATTGCTGGAAAGAATCTAATAATAAAGTGACAATTTGCTCTCACATATAAAAGTTTCCAAAGTTCATTTCCTACCTAACCACCTATTGCATTAAGCACTGCCTTGACGCTAAAGTTGAACAAAACAGCCCCTTATTAATCAGGTAGAATTCAGGTAGATGTTTTTTTCCCTCCCTAAGACTTGCCTGGCAAAAATTTTCCTATCACGGTAACATTCTTTGTAGCTATAACTAGTTAAGAATATTACCACATATCCAAGCAGGGCTGAGGGGCAGAGCTGCCACTCAGGTGGGCCTGGAGAACGGAGTAGACAGAGCATCCAGCCAAAGAGGATTCTCAAACCTCCAAATCTAATGGAATTTGCTCTGCCAGGTTTCAGACTTGCCTAGGACCCATAACCTCATTTTTCCATCTGATTTCACCCTTTCAGAGTGGAAATGTCTACCCTATGCCTGTCCTACTGTTGTATTTCGGAAGCAGATAACTTGTCTAGTTTCACAGGTTCACAGCTGCAGAGGATTTTTTTCCTGGGTGAGTCATTCTCCATATCTCATCCATAATTGATTAAGATGATATCTGGATGATATTTGGGACTTAGAGTTGATGCCAGAATGGTTTAAAACTTTGGGAGATGTTGGGATAAGGTGAATCTATTTTTCATGTGAAGAGGGCACGACTTTTAGAGGGCCAGTGTGAGAGCTCTATGAGTTAAATTACATCTCCTAAAATTCATATGTTGAAGTTCTAACCCCAAGTACTTGAGAATGAGACCTTATTTACAGATAGGGTCTTTACAGAGATTATCAAGTTCAAATGAGGTCAGTAAAGTGGGCCCTAATCCAGTATTACTGGGGTTCTTAGGAAAAGGTGAAATTTAGACACACAGACACAGATAGAGGAAAGACAATGTGAAGAGACATAGAAAGAGGCCACTATCTAAAACTCAAAAAGAAAGACCTGGAAGAGATTCTTTCCCCAACAGTCCTCAGGAGGAGCCACCTCTCAATATCTTCATTCTGGACTTCCAGCCTCCAGAACTGTGAGACAATAGATTTTTGTGGTTTAAGCCACTCCTAAACCTGTAGCGCCTTATTACGGCAGTCCTAGAAAACTAATACCACACCATTTAATATTAACACAGAGTATTTTACAGAATTAGAAAAAATTTTTCTAAAATTCATTTGGAACCAAAAAAGAGTCCAAATAACCAAAGTATCCTAAACAAAAATAACAAAACTGGAGCTATCACATTGCCTGACTTCAAACTACACTCTAAGGCTACAGCAGCCAAAACAGCATGGCACTGGTTTTAAAAAACAACAACAACAACAAAAAAAAAACATAGACAAGTTGAATGGAATAGAAAACCTAGAATTAAACCTGCACACCTACAAATATCTGATCTTTGACAAAATCAACAAAAATAAGCAATGAGGAAATGACTCCCTATTCAATAAATGGTACTGGGATAGTTGGCTAGCCATATGCAGAAGAAACTGGACCCTACCTCTCACCACATATAAAAATTAACTCAAGATGGGATTTAAATGTAACACTTCCAACTACAAAAATCCTAGAAGAAAACCTAGGAAATACCCTTCTCAATATAGGCTTTGGCAAAGAATTTATGACTAAGTTCCCAAAAACAATTGCAACAAAAAAAAAATTGACAAGTAGAACCTAATTAAAGAGCTTCTACACAGCAAAAGAACTTACCAATGGAGTAAACAGAAAGCCAAAAGAATGGGAGAAAATATCTGCAAACTATGCATCGCATCTGACACGGTTTTTTTTGTTTGTTTGTTTGTTTGTTTGTTTTTTGACAGAGTCTTGCTCTATCAGCCAGGCTGGAGTGCAGTGGCACAATCTTGGCTCACTGCAACCTCTGTCTCCTGGGCTCAAGCAATTCTCCTGCCTCAGCCTACCAAGTAGCTGGGATTACAGGAACGTTCCACCACACCCCGCTAATTTTTGTATTTTTAGTAGGACGGGGTTTCACCATGTTGGCCAGGATGGTCTCAAACTCCTGACCTCAGGTAATCTGCCCACCTTGTCCTCCCAAAGTGCTTGGATTACAGGCATGAGCCACCGTGCCTGGCCAACACAGTTCTAATATATAGAATCTACAAGGAACTTAAATCAACAGCAAAAAAAAGAAATCAAAGTTCAATGAAAAAATGGGCAAAGGATATGAAGAGACACTTCTCAAAAGAAGACGTGCATGCAGCCAATAAACATATGAAAAACGCTCCACATAACTAATCATCAACGATATCAAAGAAATGCAGATCAAAACCACAATGAGATACCATCTGACACCAGTCCAAATGGCAATTATTAAAAAGTCAAAAAATAACAGATGCTGGCAAAACCGCAGAGGAAAGAGAGCACTTATACACTGTCAGTGGGAGTGCAAACTCATTCAGCTACTGTGGAAAGCAGTTTGGAGATTTCTCAAAGTACTTAAAACAGAACTGCCATTCAACCCAGCAATACCACTACTGGGCATATACCCCAAGGAAAATAGTTTATCCTATCAGAAAGACACCTGCACTCATGTGTTCATTGCAGTGCTATTCACAATAGCAAAGACTTGGAATCGATCTAGGTGTCCATCAATGTGGTACATATACACCATGGAATACTATACAGCCACAAAAAAGAATGAAATTGTGTCCTTTGCAGCAACATGTATGCAGCTGGAGGCCATTATCCTAAGCAAACTGACACAGTAACAGAAAATCAAATATCACATGGTCTCACTTACAAGTGGAAGCTAAACATTGAGTACACATGAGTGTAAAGACGGGAACAACAGACACTGGGGACTACTAGACGGGGAGAGAGGGAGAAGGATGTGGGCTGAAGACCACCTGTTGGTTCTTCAAAGTGGTGGTTTTACTTTGTTTTACTATGCTCAATGCCTGAGTGACAGGATCATTGGGATCCCAAGCCTCAGCATCACACAATATACTCACGTAACAAACCTGCTCATGTACCCTTTAATCCATAATAAAAATTAACATAAAAACATGTTAATGTTTTTCCCAGTTTTACTGATATATAGTTGACAAATAAACGTTTTTTACATTTAAAGTGCATAACATGATGCTTTGGTATACAAAGTCATTGTGAAATAATTGCCACAATTAAACTAATTAACTTATTTATCACCTCACATAGTTTGTGTGTGTGTGTGTGGTGAGAATATTTAAGATCTTAGCAAATTTCAACTGTACAGTACAGTATTGTTAACTATAGGCACTATGTTATACATTAGATCTCTAGAACTTATTAAACCTGCATAACTGAAACTTTGTACCCTTTGACTAACATCTTCCAAAAACATATTAATGTTTAAATGATAACATTTATATGATATTTGAACATCTATTCAATAGCTACTGGTCATATTTTGTAGGTATGATAATAACATACTGTATGATGCAAAATCATATAGTAAAATATTGCTGAAGACATTAATGATCTCTTAGAAAACATATTTAATGAAGGTAGAATCATATTTCAATAGTCATGTATTTCCTACCCATATTCTGCACTTTTACTATTGATCAAAGGGGGAAACATCACAATGGAATGCTCTGAGAGGACATGCAAAATAAAAAAATAACTGAGAAGTAATTGTAATTTTATCTAACTGACAAATATACTAACAAGTCATTTTCAGAATTTATCTGAGCTTTCGACTTCAGTGCTAAAGTCATGATTATAATGTGGAATGGATCGTATTTTAAGAAAGACAAAAGCTGATCTAGTAAAATTACATAATTCTTCATCAGACAAAACCTGTAGACTAATAAATAGGACTATGCCTAAAAGCCAGACTTTTATTAACTCATTCAAATTGAATTAATGGAGACCCCAAATAATGTGCAAAGTAATGTTATCTTTAAGTCATTTTGAGATTAGATTCAACAAAAAGTTCTCAAAAAAACCAGTGCCAATTAAGTACTATCACTCTTCTTCATCATCATTTTTCTTCTAAAATTTGAAACTATTTAAAAGGAAATCTCTATTTAAATAGGCATTGTATTTATATATACTATAAATAGAACAAAGAATATATTGTACATTAGAAAAATACCCTATCTTTTAGCTTTGATTCTTGTTTTACATCTGTTCCTAGTGCTTTTCTTTGAAATAAAAGTTACTTCTTTTATATGTTGTATGATTTAAAGGAAGATGATCAATTATCATGTTTTAATTTAGTGCTGAATAACCCCTTTTCTTCTTCCAAGGTCTTATTTTCTGCCAATATTGAGAGTTTGAATCAGCTCTTTGTGATGGTCCAGAGCAAGATAGAGCCTTCTTCACCTACCTCGCACATGCTGCCCTCTTCTGAATGCCTTGCTGTCCATCGTTTTCTCTGAGTAGTGACAGCCTGAACAGGACTTTGAGAATCAGGGATCATGTAGCCAACAGCCTAAAGGATGGCTCTTTCTAGCATGAGAGAGCTCCGGACACCTGCTCTATTCTAGATGCTAGTTGATGTCTCAGAAGAACAAGCAAAACATTCATTTCCCTCTTCCCTCTTTTTTCACACCACTCAGTTCTCAAATGGCTCTGACGTTACCAATGGACTTGACTTTCTTTTTTATTTATTTATTTATTCATTTATTTATTTATATATTTTTTGCGATGGAGTCTCACTCTGTCGCCCAGGCTGGAGTGCAGTGGCACAATCTCGGCTCACTGCAAGCTCCGCCTCCGGGGTTCACGCCATTCTCCTGCCTCAGCCTCCCAAGTAGCTGGGACTACAGGCGCCCGCCACCACGCCCGGCTAATTTTTGTATTTTTAGTAGAGACGGGGTTTCACCATTTTAGCCAGGATGGTCTCGATCTCCTGACCTCGTGATCCACCTGCCTCAGCCTCTCAAAGTGCTGGGATTACAGGCATGAGCCACCGTGCCCAGCCTGTACCTTGACTTTCAACCACCTTTCTGAAGGCAAGCGAAATAGGATGACTAGTAGTTTGTTGGGAATGTTTTAAAAGTTAATGAATGCAGCATCACTTGTTGACATATGCTAACTGGTTATTCCCATTGGGTATGATGATCTTCTCCTTGCTCCACTGTATGGAGCCTGCCTTTACCAACATCCTATCATGTGTAGAGGCACAGAGAATAATGGTGCCCATCCCGGAGGGCATGGAGAACCTAGCCCAGATTTATGCAAAGAAAGACATGGCCCTGAGATGTAGTTATTGAGGTGGAGCTGCAGCTACTGCATTCTTCAGGTTGGGAGAGACTCACAGAAAATGCAGGCGCCCCACGGAGTCCATATGTAATGGAAGCAAAGGTGGCTTGGCCACTGACAGGCTGTGTGACTTAGTTTAGTTAACTTCTCTTGAAGCTGCAGTCCCCACAGGTTACAAATGGTTTGGATGCCATTTTAATGTTTTGTTTTCCATGTTTTGTTTTGTTTTGTTTTACTTGTAGTCTCCCTGGAGCATGTTCTTCTAAGAGCCCACTGGTGACCCAATTAGAGCAAAGCCTCTAGGCTTTACTGAAGTACATCAATGCTAAACATTTGCAGGCAACCTGATTCAAGGCATTCATGGTGTGACATGTGGGGTTTAAGATCTTTTGTTTCTCCAGCTGGTAGAGAAAAAATAACTTCCACAAAGAAAAGGTTAGATAGCTGGTCTTGGCTCCATTAGTTTGGGGGAATGCGGACTGCTGTTCTAGCGCTTCCTGGTTCATGAGGTGAGAACTTTTCCTGCTTGTTCCCAGTAACTTCTGAAAGCTGGATGTGACTTTTCTAAAAATGGACTCTCTCTCTGCCAAAGCACACTCAGGATATTTGGACACATAGTCTCCCTTCTATGACCTATTTAATGCCATTTATTCTATGTACCTCAGGGCAGAGCCAGTTATTTATGAAGTGTAGCATGACGGAAAGTTGTCCTGAAGTGATGGGGGTATTAAGAAGTCCTTCCCTACAGGACATACTTTTAGTTATAGTGGAATTAACTCGCAAGGTAAAATTTTTCTACTTAACTCCTGTAAGTCTCAGTTTCTTATCTATAATTATAATAATTACTTACATTTATTGAGTGCTTACTGTGTGCCAGGCACTATTCAAAGCATTTTATGTGTAGTAATCTGTTTAATTCTTATGATAGCTGTATGAAGTGGGATCTGTTACTATATATAAATTAGAAATATGACACATAACCAGCTTTCAGGGGTTTTTCACAATGATCCCATAATGTAGGGCTTATGAAAACCTTGGGCATCCTTCCCACTTAATGACAGACTTGATGCAGCTCAGGTTTAAAGAATAAATTTGGATTAATGAGAGAATGAAGTACAATATGGATAGTGAAATTACCCTGTGAAAAGAAAATTTGGGTAATATAAATATTTGGCTAGAAATCAAATTTGAATTTTCTAAACAGAGCTTCCACTGACCTCTAATGAACTGGCATATTCTGAGGAAAGACGAAAGAAGTCATCCTACGCTTGCACTGGTTTCTCCTGCCTGACACCTAAACTGCAAAGTATGTCGATCACTACTTCTGATTCCCTTTCATTTTTCTATTTATTCATTCATTCAATCAATCAATCAATCAACAAATACTTATTACATACCTGCTATGTGCCAGTCCTTGGCATAAGCACTAAGTATCAATGGTGAACATTACATACTCCCTGCTCTCCTGTAGCTTAAAGCCAAACAGGGAAGACAGACACTAATCGACCTGTACATGAATAGATAACTACAGAGATTTTGCAACATGGTTTGAAGAGCATTTGAAAAATGCTTCCTGAAGAAATGAGACTTAGACTGGGAGGTAGAAAAGAAACCAGAAAGGTGTGGCAACATTAACAATATGAGAGATAGTTATAGGAGTTTGCCAGATGGAAGTTACTAATGACCTTAGTGAAAGTTTTTTTGGTGTGTCTAAGGTGGAAACCAGACTGGGAGTGCCCTAAAGAGACAATGAGTGAGAGGTGAAGAAATGGAGACAGTAATGAAATAAAAAACTCTTTTAAGACATTTAATGGTGAAAAAGAGGTGAAGGGAATATATGCTGAAGAGGGAGGGTCAGAGGACAAAAATATAAACATAGTAGTTCAGCTTTCTGTTATCTCAGCTGCCCACATCCATCTCTACTTCCAGTGAAAATAGCATAGAAAAAAAGGTACTTGTCCCAAAGTGAGTGAGTGTGCTTGAAAAAGAACCAAAACTGCACTCCTATAGGAATATTCATTTGGTAACTTTAATATATGCAAACTAATAAAAGTTCTACCATTAAAAACCCATCCTTTGGACAAGGCAGCAGCTTTATAAAATATAATATAATGACTCATTTACAATGAAACTTTACCTGTGTTTCAATTAGAAATATATTTTTAAATAATATTTTTCCAGATACACTGAACTAATACTGTATCATTAGGCTAAACACATATTGATTCAAACTTATTATCTCAAAATTCTGTTATATGAACAAATCTGTGTGCTAATGGGGCACACTAACATTCAACTAAAGTGAATTGTATAGACCCATAGCATTTCACTGGATGATTAAATTAAATGTTTAGAGAGAAAATTAAATCTTTCAAGTCACTAGCAGATTATTCTTGCCCTGAAAATCAGCTGATGCCGTTGCTGCTGTGAATAAAACAGGCATTTGTAACACGGTAAAAAACTAAAAGAATAACATGGGGATAACATTTAAAGATTTCTATTCCCCCTTGAAGCCATTTCTATCAATATAGTTTGTAGACATCTATTTTTACTGTCATCAAAAAGTCTCTCACATTCACATTAATTTTATAAGGAAGCACGTTACTATTACTACTACTTTATTTATAGAAAAAGATTACTCTGCACTGTAACTAAATTGGCTATTTTAAAACTTAAAAAATTAATAGGATTCTGTTAAGTACCTAACACTACATCCATAGTCACCTTCATCTGAAAGCCATGAAGAGACTGATTCCAGGTGTTAAATGATTGAGCCACAGAAATTGATCCAAGTATTCTGCTACTGTTTCCTTTGACATCCTCCCCTCTGGCTACTGTCTACGAAGAAAGTAATTAGAAAACAGCATGTCTAATAAACTAACAGGCAAGTCATTGTTGATCAGATATGGAAACCACATTCTAAGAAAACGAAAGGAAGCCGAGCCGCACACCTGATTTTGTTATGTGAGACCCAATGACAAAAAAAAAAAAAAAAAAAAAAACCCAGATTACAAGCTGTTCAAGTAAGTTTGGGTGCTGATTTTCTTTTTCAAAACCTGAGCAGAAGAAAAACGTCAGGGTTGTTTGGAAGCACCGAATTACAAGATCCTGAATAAGCTGCTTCATCAGACAGACAGCTAGAAAATCCTATTTGCAAAATAGCTCCCACCAGCTTCTTTTATGTCCGAAGTGAGACTCAGTTTTTGGCTAGAAGATACACTCCTGTCAGCGGTAAGGAAGAGGAATGGTGTCTCTCCCCCTTTTCAGAAACACCAATCCCTGGATGAATGGACAACAGGAGCTCAATCTCACAGACGCAGGACTGACCCGAGTACAGTCACCGTCTCTCTCCCAACCCTGAGGGACAATCCCTTTGTGGCACCTGGGGAAGAGAGTATCCAGACAGCTGGTCGGAGTCTGGCAGCGCGGGCAGCAGTGCGGCGGCCACGGCTCCCGGCGAGAAGGTGTGTAAGGTAGGCTGGGTGAAGCGCCCAGGAGCGGAGGGGACAGCGCTGCACCCTCGCTAAGTCTCGCCGCGCTGGGCGCGTATCTGGGGTCCCCAGAAGCCAGCAGAGAGAGACTTGCGACCGGGGCTGAGCAGGAAGTGGGCAGAGCCCCTTCCCCCGCTGCCGTTACCTGCAGCAGCCGAAGCGCAGCCGCTGGCTCTTGCTGGATCCGCAAGTCGGCTACCGACTGGACAGCAGCTACTGCTTCCACTGCCTGCACCTGCCGCTCAGCAGATCCCTCTTTGCACAGGGCACCCCACCCCGGGAATCCCAACGCCAGGAGCCATCCGTGGCCATGGCGGGGGCTTCTCGGCACCCGACTGGGACGCCCCGGCAGCTCCTTGTGGCGCTCGCCTGCCTGCTCTTGAGTCGCCCCGCGCTGCAGGGACGGGCATCCTCACTTGGGACCGAGCCCGACCCGGCGCTTTACCTGCCCGCCCGGGGTGCGCTTGACGGCACTCGCCCCGACGGCCCCAGCGTGCTGATTGCCAACCCTGGACTCCGGGTGCCCCTGGGTCGTTCCCTTTGGCTCGACCCGCTCCGGGATCTGGTGATTGGAGTGCAGCCGGGGGACCGGTGCGAAGTCACGGTACTGGACGCCCTGCCGCGGCTCAAGGGCGCGCTCTCCCCGCGCCGCTTCCCCTGCACCTTCGGGCCCCGCCAAGTCCAGTACACTCACTTCGGCTCCCACAGCCCCGGACGCGCCCGGGTGCTGCTGCAGCTGCGCTACGACGCCCCGACTCACACTCTGGTGCTGCCCTTCACGCTGGCGGTGGACTTGGTCTTCTCCCAGCTGGAGCTGGTGACGCGTAACAGGCCTTTGGTAGTGGAGAAGCTGCGAAGCTGGAGCCGCGCCATAGACAGGAGAGTGCTGGACTTCGCCTCCCTGAAGTCTGGAGCCACGGCCACCCGCAGGTGCCGGCTTACCCCACTTCCTCACGAGGACGGCCCCCTGCCCAAGTACGGGCGCTTGGTGGACGCGGTGGGGGCCCCTCTCCCCAGGGGCAAGGGCGTAGACTGTGAGGCTTTCCTCCGTGCTGGGGTGCGCTATCAGCACACAGCCACCTCCTCGCCCAACCGTGACTACGTGCCCATGATGGTGGAGCTGCTGGGGCCTGAGGGCCAAGACGCTGGGTCCGCGGGTGTGCTGGTCCGCGAGCACTTCCAGCTGCTCGTGAGGATCCGCGGCGGAGCCGAGAACACACCGCCCAGGCCCAGCTTCATGGCCACGATGATGATGGAGGTGGATCCACTGGTGCTGACAGCCCTGACGCCTGACGCACTGGCCGCGGAGGACGTCGAGTCAGACCCTGGTGACCTGGTGTTCAACATTCTGAACGCCCCCACTCACCCACCAGGGCACCCGGGGCAACAGGGCTACGTGGTCAGCACCGACGACCCTCTAGGGCTTCCAGTCTCCTTCTTCACCCAGCAGGAGCTGAGGGAGCTGAAGATTGCCTATCAGCCCCCTGCAGAGAACTCCCATGGGGAGCGCCTCTTTCAGCTGGAGCTGGAGGTGGTGGACGGAGACGGCGCCGCCTCAGACCCCTTTGCCTTCATGGTGACAGTGAAATCCATGAATACTCTGGTCCCAGTGGCTAGCCATAACAGGGGACTTGTGCTTTTTGAAGGTCAGTCAAGGCCCTTGTCCAGCACCCACAGCATTCCTATCAGTGATAAAGATAACCTGGAAGAGGTGAAAATGGCTGCAGTCAGGGGCTTGAGACATGGGCAGCTGGTGGTGTTTGGGGCACCTGCTGGGTGCAAGTATTTCACACCAGCGGACCTGGCAGCAGGGCGAGTGGTGTATCAGCATGATGGCAGCAACACCTACAGTGACAATATCATCTTCCGGATGGAGGACGGGCACCACCAAGTGGACTTCCTCTTTCCCCTCACCATCCTACCTGTGGATGATGAACCACCAATGGTCAATACTAACACAGGACTCTCACTCACTGAAGGGCAGGTGGTCCAGATCTCTCCCTTTGTACTGAGTGCTACTGATATTGACTCTGAGGACTCAACCATCCACTTTGTGCTGGAGAACCAGCCCCTAAAAGGAAATGAGGAAGAGCCTCAGTGGGAGTTGGCCCCTGGTTCCTCCCACTCAGGCCACTACCTGGGGGACCTGTTGCTGCAGCAGGCTGAACTACCTCTCTCAACTGAAGATGAAGACTGGCACTACATGGAAAAGGAAGGGCTTTATGAGAAAGTGGTGACTGAGTGGCTACAGAGAGACATAATGGAAGGGAGACTCTTCTACCGCCATCTTGGACCACACAGCCCTCAATCTGTAATGGTCCAGCTGGCTTTCCATGTGCAGGATGACCATGACCCACCCAATCTCTCCAAACAGCACATTTTCACCATCAAGGTCCAACCAGTGGATATACTGAGTCCACAGCTGTATCCAGGAACTACACTAGAAATGACTGTACAAGAATACCAACTCACTCACTTCCAGAAGAATTTCCTCCGATACATTGACCAGGACTCTGATGACCAGAACCTATGGTACACCCTACTGACACTCCCGACTGACACAGATGGCAACCACCAAGTCCGGGCTGGAGAAATTGTGCTCACTGATTCACCAGACACACTCATCATGCACTTTACCCAAGCCCAGGTAAATCAGCATAAAGTTGCCTACCAGCCTCCACAGAAATTGGGTATTGCACCACGGGTTGTGCAGTTTACTTACCAGGTGGAAGATGCTGCAGGCAATAGCGTGCCAGGCACATTCACATTATTCCTGCAACCTGTGGACAACCAGCCCCCAGAAGTCACCAACAGAGGCTTTGCTATCTTAGAGGGAGGCAGCTTTAACCTCAGCAGTAATGAGCTGCATGTTACAGACCCAGACACAGACATTGACCAAATTGTCTTCATATTAGTCCGGGGTCCCCAACATGGACACTTGCAGTACTTTAAAAGATGTATGGTCCCAGGGGAATCTTTCATGCAAGCTGATGTTATTAACGGGAGTGTCTCTTACCAGCATGGCAGAGACCAGACGACTACCAGTGACACTTTCCATCTGGAAGTAAGTGATGGGGTGCACCATATACCCATCACCATCCCAATTTCTGTGCATCCCAATGTGGCTAACAGAAGTCCTAGGATCTCTCTCAGAAGTAGTTCATTATTGGATGTTTCTATAGACGTACTAGAGAATAAAGCCACTGAAATTACCATGGGTGTCATCCATGGCAAAAGGAAGGATGTAGGTGACTTGATGCTGTCTTTCATTGTAAAGGACAGCCCCAAACTGGGCACTATTCTGGTAAATGGTTTGCCCACAGAACGATTCACCCAAGAGGATCTCATCAATGGGAGAGTAGCCTATGCCCACACTGCAGGTGAAGTTGGTTTTCAAAAGCAGCACGATGCCTTCAGCCTCATCCTCTCCAAAGATTCTTACCAATGGGTAGTGGGGAATAGCATAATAGAGAAAGTACAGGTACAAGTAACTGTGCTGCCTGTGGACAATGTGGGACCCAAGGTCTTCGTCGGGGAGTCCTTCATTGTCTATGAAGGTGAGAAGAACTCCTTGACCTTACAACATCTCCATGTTGAAGATGTGGACACTCATCAAGATGAACTCCTCTGCACAGTGACTAGTCAGCCAGCCTCTGGCTACCTGGAAAAGATTGCATCAGCTCCTGGTTCAAAAATGTCCCAGTCTGGTAGCCCTATCAGTGCTTTCTCCCTCAGAGATATCCAAGTGAGGCATATCAATTATGTACAGAGTATTCACAAGGGAGTAGAGCCACAAGAGGACCAATTCACCTTTTATTGCTCTGATGGCATCAACTTCTCCCCAAATGTCTTCTTCCCTATAATCATCCTACCCACCAATGATGAGCAGCCTAAACTTTTTGCCCATGAGTTTAAGGTACTAGAGGGGATGAGCCTGGTCATAGACACCCAGCTGCTTAATGGAGCAGATGCTGACCTGCCACCAAATGAGCTCCACTTTCAACTCACAGCCCTCCCTCGGCATGGACGAATCATACAGCAGCTGGCTACAGGCAGCCAGCCCATCCACAGCTTCACCCTCAAGGAGATCCAGGAGGCCTCCACCATTGTGTATGAGCATGATGACTCAGAGACAAAAGAGGACAGTTTTGAGGTCTGGCTGAGTGACGGCAAGCACACAACCCACAGGAAGGTACCCATTGTAGTGACCCTAGTGGATGATGAAACTCCTCACCTGACTGTCAACAATGGGCTGAAGGTAGAGAAAGGACACTCTGAGATCATCACAAATCGGATCCTCAAGGCCACAGATCTTGACTCAGATGATAAAAGCCTCAGTTTTGTCCTCCATTCTGGGCCTCAACAAGGGCTTCTACAGAGGCTGAGAAAACCCAGAGGAGAAGTGAGGAACAATCTTACTCTGGGAATGAACTTTACCCAGGATGAGATTAACAGAGGCCTCATCTGCTATATCCACACAGGCCAAGAAGGGATTGTTGACATTATCAAGTTTGATGTTACTGATGGGGTTAACACTTTGACAGACCACTACTTCTATGTCACCATTGGCAACTTAGACAGCGTCTTCCCTGAGGTAATCAGCAAAAGGATCACCTTGATAGAAGGTGCCAGAGTGACCCTTACCAACAATCTGCTTACCAACAGTGACATCAACAGCTCTGATGAACATCACTTTAGCATTACACGGGCTCCAAGCCTGGGTCACTTAGAAAGTTCTGACTATGCTGGGGAACCCATTGCCTCTTTCACTCAACTTCAATTGGCTAGCAACAAAATATCCTATGTCCATACTTCAAATGATGAGAAAAAGATGGACAGCTTCGAATTTCAAGTGATCGGCGAACTCTACCCTGTGTTCAGAACCTTCAGGATCTTCATCACTGATGTGGATAATAAGAAACCTATCTTGACCATCCATAGACTAACACTACAGAAAGAGGATAGCCAACTGATCACTCTCCTTGAGTTGACAGTGGAAGACAGTGATACCCCAGATGACCTTATTCTCTTTACCATCACCCAGGTCCCCATGCATGGCAAGATTTTGTACAATGGTAGCCGTCCCGTGACCACTTTCACCAAGCAAGACCTGAACAAGAACCTGATTAGCTACAAGCATGACGGCAGTGAGACCACTGAAGATAGTTTCTCCTTGACTGTGACAGACGGCACTCACACTGATTTCTATGTCCTACCAGACACTGCCCTGGCGACACACAAACCTCAAGTAATGAGGGTCCAGATAAGATCATTAGACAATAGGCTTCCCCAGATTACTACCAACAGGGGTGCCCCAGCCTTGAAGCGCCTTCACACTGGACACATGGGCTTCCTGATTACCAGCAAGTCTCTGAAGGCAGAAGATCAGGACAGTCCCCACAGGCTTCTGAAGTATAAAGTGACCAGAGGACCAGAGCATGGCTTCATTATCAAAACTGGCCTTGGAAACCAGAGCACTCGAGTGTTTACACAAGGTTAGTATGTATTCTTCCCTGCCTATTCTGTCCCTCTCCTTCATTGGATCAGATCTCTCAGCTTTGTGTAAAATTGTCCTGATCTCAGCCATTTGCAGTAAGATTCTTGTTCTAATAAAATACAGTGAAGCGTGAAACTATTCCAAAAACAAAAAAGGCAACAAGTCCTTTTTCATCAATTTCATCAGAATGCCCATTTAACAGAAACTCACAGATATTTCATAAAGTTGTAGTTATACCTTAAAACTGCTAAACACGGGAGGACAGCTTCTGCTTCTGAAATATTAGAAGATAACATTATATTAATTCTGATAATATCAGATTGATTTTGAATTTTAAGAATGACATATAGAAATCATTTGTATAGTTATTAGTAAGTCCAGGTTTTTGAAGATGTTTGGTATCTAGATTTTGGATATAAATTCCTACATTGTTCATTTTTATTATACTATTCAAACGTAATTTCTACGTCTAATAAAAGCACAGAACTATGTTTGCCTGAGATTATTTTTTCTTTTATATTTGGTGTCACTACTAATCATGAGCTAGAGGCAGGTCCCTCTACTTTCCCAGGTGATGTGATACCCACTGGCTTTTAAATGCTCTTTATGTTGTCATAACTTTTTTAGATAGCTCTGTGCATGAAATTTCCCACACATGATACATGTAAACCTAGATGCAAACTCAGAGGAAAACTTACACATGTTTAAAAAATAGTTGGGTTACATTTTCAGAATTGCTTCTAAAGCAAATGAAATCATATGTGGTTCTCCATGGCACGTGTATACCTATGTAACAAACCTGCACGTTATGCACATGTATCCCAGAACTTAAAGTATAACAACAACAAAAAAAGAAAGAATGCAATCACAACAGTGATAACATTTTCAAATATTAAACTTATATAAACTTTAAACAATAAAATCATATGTGGTTCTATAAGAATTATTCTATAAACAAACACCCCTGAAAGCAAATTGTTTTTAAAATACTAATAATTACCAATATAAAAACATAATTATAGACCTTCATAACAAATTATTACCCAAGAGAATAGCCAATAGGAAAAAAAATCATGATTTTATTCTCATTTTCTTTTTTCTTAGGATGCAGTAATTATTCTTGTTTAAATTCATTTTGACAAGTAGTTCATGAGTATCCACAGTTATGTCAAGCTCTATACTTGTGCAGAAGATTCAAAACCAAATAGACCTGGCTCTCCATAGAGGGCCAGGATGTTGTAAAGCAGACGTAACTAGACTGCCCTCCTTGCTGGGCTTCAGCACCCAGAGAATATGCACATAGTAGCACTGTGACAAAGTCAGGGTTTCTTAACTTTTATTTTAGGTTTGGAGGTACATGTGAAGGTTTCTTACATACTTAAACTCATGTCATGCTGGTCTGTTGTACAGATTATTTCATCACCCCGGTATTTAAGCCCAGTACCCAGTCGTTATCTTTTCTGCTCTGCTCCTTCCTCCTACCCTCCACCCTCAAGAAAACACCACTGTTGATTGTTCCTTTCATTGTATTCATGAGTTCTTATCATTTAAGAACTCCCCTTAGAATTATTATAAATTCCCATTTATAAGTGAGAATATGCAGTATTTGGTTTCCTGTTCGTGAATTAGTTTGTGAAGGATAATAGCCTCCAGCTCTATCCATGTCCCTGAAAAAACAACAACGAGAAGAAGAACAACAAAAGACATGATCTAGTTTTTAATGGCTGCATAGGATTCCATGGTATATATGTAATATATTTTCTTTATCCAAGATGTCATTGATGGACATTTAGGTTGATTCAATGTCTTTGCTATCGTGAGTAGTGCTGCTATGAACATTTGCATGCATGTGTCTTTATGACAGAATGATTTATATTTTGAGGGTGTATACCCAGTAATGGGACTGCTGGGTTGAATGATAGTTCTGTTTTTAGCTCTCTGAGGAATCTCCACATTGCTTTCCACAATGGTGGAACTAATTTACACTCCTACCAACAATGTATAGTGTTCCTTTTTCTCTACAATCTCACCCAGCATCTGTTATTTTTTGGCTTTTTAATAATCACCAGTCTGACTGGGGTGAGATGGTACCTCATTGAGACCAAATTTCAAACTAAAGTTTTGTTTTTGACATTGTAGCTTTAAGAAGATTCATGTTCACTCAATCACTATTTTAAAATTTATTAATTGGAGTATTTCTATGCCTAATTAAAACTTTGAAGTTGTTAACATACTCATTTTCATTTGTGCCAATATGACTTTGTGTGATGGTTGCTTTTTTTTTAGCTGACATTGATGAGATGAAGATATCCTATGTCTTGAATGAGGGCAGCAACGCATCAAAGGACATCTTCTATTTCTCTGTTGAAGACAATGGTAAGTCATAATAAACCCTTCAAAAGGATTCATGGTTAACTAAAATCAACATAAAATTGGAAAAAAAATTAAATCATTTCTGGGCAAGTATAGGCATCATGTAAGCAAGTAATCACAATAAATAATGTCATAATACAAACAAATTAATTCTTTTTGTTTCACTTATGGTCCTGTGCCAAACGATTCTTGATAAATAACTTTTTAGGAAGAAAAAGCAATGAGGAATTTGATGAGTGAAATGTGAAGTATTTTATCTGATCTGGATCATGTGTGACATCATATAGGCAAGTGAATCTTACCTTCAAGAGATTCTGTGAATCTAGCTAGTGGTTTCTATCATTCTGAAACAAATTAGAAAATACATCTTCAGATTTTGTTGGGATTTTTATCTGCAGAACTGAATCTTATGGCTCCCTGATCTTAGACTTGAAATCTTTCTGGATGGGGTAGATATATATATATTTCTCCCGGCATAGAGGAAAGCTTACTTAAAAACTGCCTGTTTATGCTGCAGCTTGGTCTGTCTACTATTAACTTCAAAGTAGAATAATGGGCAGCATCTAGTTAACAGAAGCCACTTTCTTTACACACCTAGGGATTCAATGATTATGTGGTCAGAAGAAAAATCATTTTGCAGTATGACAGGATAATAGCAGAAATTATCTCTGTGTGCTGCTTGCCACTCAGTAACCTCTTTCAATACAAATCATTACTCATTCCCAGTAAGTAACCTGCATTTTCTGCCTAAATCATGTGTAATCAGTCAGGAACTGAATTTATTGTAAAGTAGTCCTATATGAGAGGCCATATGGTATACTGACTGGGTTTGAATCCCAACTTGTCCCGTGTGACCTTGAGTAAGTGACCTTGTCCTCTTCATTCATTCCCCCATGTATAAAGTGGTGGTCTTCATACCTATGTCAAAGAGTTGCTAAGAGGATTGACTAAGATCATAAATGTAAAGCACTTCATAAAAAGTAGGTGCTTTCACCTGATTCTTGTTCTTTTTAAAAAAAATTAATTTAAAGATAGGTGCCCATTAACTAGGTACTTTCTCCCCTTCTGATGAGACTAACTACAGTTGAAACTACTGATCCCTCCTATCCATTTTCTCCCTTAAAGTTTAAAATCAAATCTTCCTTCCCTTTCCCAAGTTCTCAAGAACCATAAGTTACTAAAAAGATGAATTTACACCTTTAAACAGGTTCATAAATAAATGTAAGACAAATATTTTATATTGAATATTTTCCTTTCTGTTTTTGAAAAGAATGTCACTCTAAAAAGATGCACCTCTGACTCTCACACTATGCTTTGTGGACAACGTTACAAACAAAAATCAGTCTGTGATGACACTGTAAGGTGAATATTATGTAGCTACCATGTTTTAACTTTTTTCTGTGAGCTAGCCAGTCCCTAAAGACATTATGACTTTTGATCCTCACTACAAAATAAAAAGTAAATGTTATGATGCCCATTTTAAAATGAAGACACCATGGTTGAATAACTTGCCTGAAGTCATACAAGTAATAGGCAAGTAAACTGGAATCAAATCCAGGTCTTGCCAATTCCAAAGCTAGGGCTCTTAACTGCCAACGCAAATCTGTCATCTTACAGTTCTGGAGTTCAGAAATCCAAAATGGTCCTTACTGGAATAGAATCAAGGTTTTGACAAGGCTGCACTTTCTTTTTTTTTTAATTTTTCCATAAGTTTTTGGTGGTACAGGTGGTGTTTGGTTACATGAGTAAGTTCTTTGGTGGTGATTTGTGAGATTTTCATGTACCCATCACCCGAGCAGTATACACTCACTCTGCTTTGGGAAGCTGAAGCCGTGGACAAAAGTTAGAGAACAGGGCCAAGACTGCACTTCTTAACCTGATAAAGAAGCACCTTGAGAATTAAAGTGATAAGAATGATCAAACACAGAGTCCAAAATATTTGAGGATACATTCATTCATAGCTGTATCTTAAAGTACATATACATAAACTAATTAAACATTTGCACATTCATTTATCCAGTGGATTTTTTTCCCTTAGATCCAGGGACAAACTGGAATTTTAAAAAATCATTTCTTTAAAGATTTTTTCTAGAAACAGGGTTCCTCTATGTTGCCCAGGCTGGAATGCAGTGGCTATTCACAGGTGCAATCATAGTGCACTGCAACCTCGAACTCTAGGCCTCAAGTTGGTCCTCCCACATCCACCTCTCAAGTAGCTGGTACTACAGGCATGTGCTGCCATGCCCAATGAGTGAATTTTTCAGTTGCCTTCCATGTACCATGCATGGAGCTAAGATCCATGTCTGCTGTTGATGGCATTCCTGGAACAGCTGATAAAGGACTCACTTTAAACATTTTTTTATCTGTTATTTTGAAATATTATGAATCCATTGCTTTACAGTGGCTGACTTAATCTTTTTTCTTTCAAAATGCCCTCACCTTAAAAAGATTTCCCAAATGGAATGTTGAAAATTTCCATTTGATCTATTAATAATTGTTTTTTCCTAATAGCACATAGCACTAACAGAAGGTATTATACCCTTCTAGAAATAGATCTTTCACCATCGGGCTGAAGGAGATGTTGTTGTTGTTGTTGATGTTGTTGTTTCCCATACCAGTATTCAAACTGTTAAAAGAAGACCCTGCCCTGCCTCCAGAACTGGACATTAGGTGTATGCTGCAGCTTAGCTCATGGGCCTTAAGAATGGAAATGCTGGCAAAAATGACCCTAGTGCTCCAACTTTACTAAAATCTCAAGAGTGATACCATGAAGGTTTCTAATTAATAGGCTCTGGACCCAGGCTGTCTGTGTCCAAATCCCAGCTCAACTCTTGTAGTCTTGCATCTTTGAGAAACTGCCTGTGCTTTAGTTTGCTCATCTATGAGCTGAAGATAATGATGGCATGTGTTCCTTAGAATTATTATGAGGATTTTATTAGTTTCCTATTGCTGCTGTAACAAATTACCACAAACTTAGTGGCTTGAACCAACGCAAATCTGTCATCTTACAGCTCTGGAGTTCAGAAATCCAAAATGGTCTTTACTGGAATAGAATCAAGGTTTTGACAAGGCTGCATTTCTTTTTTTTTTTTTTTTTTAATTTTTCCATAAGTTTTTGGTGGTACAGGTGGTATTTGGTTACATGAGTAAGTTCTTTGGTGGTGATTTGTGAGATGTTCATGTACCCATCACCCGAGCAGTATATACTATTTTTTGCCCCCCTCCCACTCTTCCCCCCAAGTTCCCAAAGTCCATTGTGTCATTCTTATGCCTTTGCATCATCATATCTTAGCTCTCACATATCAGTGAGAATATATGATGTTTGGTTTTCCATTCCTGAGTTAATTCATTTAGAATAATAGTCTCCGATCTCATCCAGGTCACTGCAAATGCTGTTAATTCATTCCTTTTATGGCTGCATAGTATTCCATCATATATATATATATCACAGTTTCTTTATCCACTCGTTTATTGATGGTCATTTTGGTTGGTTCCACGATTTTGCAATTGTGAATTGTGCTGCTGTAAACACGCGTGTGCAAGTATCTTTTTCAAATAATGACTTATTTTCCTCTGGGTAAATACCTAGTAGTGGGATTGCTGGATCAAATTGTAGTTCTACTTCTAGCTCTTTAAGGAATCTCCACACTATTTTCTGTAGTGGCTGTACTACATTCCCACCGGCAGTGTAGAAGTGATCCCTGATTAACAAACACATCCATGCCAAAATCTACTGCTTTTTTTAATTATTTTTTTGATTATTGCCATTCTTGCAGGAGTGAGGTGGTATCTCATTGCGGTCTTGATTTACATTTCCCTGATTATTAGTGATGTTGGGCATTTTTTCATGTTTGTTGGTCATTTGTATATCTTCTTTTGAGAATTGTCTATTCATGTCCTTAAGCCCACTTTTTGATGGGATTGTTTGTTTTTTTCTTACTGATTTGTTTGAGTTCGTCGTAAATTCTGGATATTAGTCCTTTGTCAGATATATACATTGTGAAGATTTTCTCCCACTCTGTGGGTTGTCTGTTTTCTCTGCTGACCGTTCCTTTTGCCATGCAAAAGCTCTTTCGTTTAATTAGGTCCCGGCTATTTATCTTTGCTTTTATTGCATTTCCTTTTGGG
Source organism: Homo sapiens (assembly GCF_000001405.40). Taxonomy (NCBI): domain Eukaryota; kingdom Metazoa; phylum Chordata; class Mammalia; order Primates; family Hominidae; genus Homo; species Homo sapiens. The sequence goes on along the minus strand of NC_000004.12, from coordinate 143,688,987 downwards.
ATCTTGATCATGAAATCCTTGGCTAAGCCAATGTCTAGAAGGGTTTTTCCAATATTATCTTCTAGAATTTTTATAGTTTCAGGTCTTAGGATTAAGTCCTTAATCCATCTTGAGTTGGTTTTTGTATAAGGTGAGAGATGAGGATCCAGTTTCATTTGCCTACATGTGGCTAGCAAATTACCCCAGCACCATTTGTTGAAAAGGGTGTCCTTTCCCCACTGTATGTTTTTTGTTTGCCTTGTCGAAGATCAGTTGACTGGAAGTAGTTGGCTCTATTTATGGGTTCTCTGTTCTGTTCCATTGGTCTATGTGCCTATTTTTGTACCAGTACCACGCCGTATTAGTGACTATGGCCTTATAGTACAGTTTGAAATCAGGTAATGTGATGCCTCCAGGTTTGTTCTTTTTGCTTAGTCTTGCTTTGGCTATACAGGCTCTTTTTTGGTTCTGTATGAGTTTTAGAATTGTTTTTCCTAATTCTGTGAATAATTATGGTGGTATTTTGATGGGAATTGCATTGAATTTGTAGATTGCTTTTGGCAGTATGGTCATTTTCACAATATTGATTCTACCCATCCATGAGCATGGGATGTGTTTCCATTTGTTTGTGTTGTCTATGATTTCTTTCAGTAGTGTTTTGTGCTTTTCCTTGTAGAGGTCTTTTGACTCCTTGGTTAGGTATATTCCTAAGTATTTTATTTTATTTATTTATTTTTTGCAGCTATTTTAAAAGGGGTTGAGTTCTTGATTTGATTCTCCACTTGGTAGCTGTTGGTGTATAGAAGAGCTACTGATTTGTGTACTTTACTCTTGTATCCGTAAACTCTATTGAATTCTTTTATCAGTTCTAGGCACTTTCTGGAGGAGTCCTTAGGGTTTTCAAGGTAAATGATCATAGCGTCAGCAAACAGTGACAGTTTGACTTCATCTTTACTGATTTGGATGCCCTTTATTTCTTCCTCTTTTCTGATTGCTCTGGCTAGGACTTCCAGTACTATGTTGAAGAGGAGTGGTGAGAGTGGGCATCCTTGTCTTGTTCCAGTTCTCGAAGGGAATGATTCAAACTTCTGCCCATTCAGTATTATATTGGCTGTGGGTTTGTCATAGATGGCTTTTATTACATTAAGGTATGTCCCTTGTGTGCCAATTTTGCTGAGAGTTTTAATAATAAAGGGATGCTGGATTTTGTCAAATGCTCTTTCTGCATCTATGGAAATGATCATGTGATTTTTTGTTTTAATTCTGTTTATGTGGTGTATCACATGTATTGACTTGTGGATGTTCAACCATCCCTGCATCCCTGATATGAAACCCACTTGATCATGGTAGATTATCTTTTTGATATATTGTTGGATTTGGTTAGCTAGTATTTGATTAATAATTTTAGCATCTATGTCCATCAAGGATATTGGTCTGTAATTTTCATTTTTGGTTATATCCTTTCCTGGTTTTGGTAATAGGGTGATGCTGGCTTCATAGAATGAATTAGGGAGGGTTCCGTTTTTCTCTATCTTGTGGAATAGTGTCAAAATAATTGGTACCAATTCTTCTTTGAATGTCTGGTAGAATTCTGTTGTGAATCCATCTGGTCCTGGATTTTTTGTTATTGTCGTCAGTGGTGATGGTGGTAATTTTTTAACCATTTCAATCTCACTGCTTGTTATTGGTCTGTTCAGGGCATCTAATTCTTCCTGATTTAAGCTAGGAGGTTTGTATTTTTCCAGAAATTTATCCATCTCTTCTAGGTTTTCTAGTTACGTGAGTAAAGGTGTTCGTAGCAGCCTTGAATGCTCTTTTGTATTTCAGTGTTGTCAGTTGTACTATCTCCTGTTTTGTTTCTTAGTGAGGTTATTTGGATTTTCTCTCTACTTTTCTTGATTAGTCTTGCCAATGGTCTATCAATTTTATTTATCTTTTCAAAGATAATATCTTTGAAAAAAATATATTTTTTGTTTTATTTAACTTTTGTATTTTTTGTTTGTTTGTTTCAGTTTCACTTAGTTCTGCTCTGATCTTGGTTATTGCCTTTCTTTTGCTGGGTTTGGGTTTGGGTTTGGTTTGTTCTTGTTTCTCCAGTTCCATAAGGTGTGACCTTAGATTGTCTGTGCTTTCAGTCTTTTTGATGTAGGTGTTTAGGGCTATGAACTTTTCTCTTAGCACCACTTTTGCTGTATCCCAGAGGTTTTGATAGGTCGTGTTATTATTGTCGTTCGGTTCGAAGAATTTTTTAATTTCCATCTTGATTTTGTTTTTGACCCAATGCTCATTCAGGAGCAGGTTATTTAATTTCCATGTATTTGCATGGTTTTGAAGGTTCCTTTGGGAGTTGATTTCCAGTTTTATTCTACTATGGTCTGAAAGAGTGCTTGATATAATTTCAATTTCCTTAAATTTATTCAGGCTCATTTTATGGCCTATCATATGATGTATCTTGGAGAAAGTTTCATGTGCTGTTGAATAGAATGTGTATTCTGCTATTGCTGGATACAGTGTTCTGTATATATCTGTTAAGTCCATTTGTTCCAAGGTATAGTTTAAATCCATTGTTTCTTTGTTGACTTTCTGTCTTCATTACCTGTCTGTTGCCATCAGTGGAGTATTGAAGTCCTTCACTATTATTGTGTTTCTGTCTACCTCATTCCTTAGGTCTATTAGTAATTGCTTTATAAATTTGGGAGCTCCAGTGTTAGGTGCATATATGTTAAAGATTGTGATATTTTCCTGTTGGACAAGGCCTTTTACCACTATATAATGTCTCTCTTTGTCGCTTCTAACGGCTGTTGCTTTAAAATTTGTTTTGTCTCATATAAGAATTAGCTACTCCTGCTCGCTTTTGGTGTCCGTTTGCATGAAATGTCCTTTTCCACCCCTTTACTCTAAGTTATGTGAGTCTTTATGTGCTAGCTGAGTCTCCCGAATGCAGCAGATAGTTGGTTGGTAAGTTCTTATCCATTCTGCGGTTCTGTATCATATATATATATATAATTTAAGTTCTGGGGTACATGTGCAGAACATGCAGATTTGTTACATGGGTATACACATGCCATGGTTTGGGGCACCCATCAACCCATCATCTACATTAGGTATTTCTCCTAATGCCATCCCTCCTCCAGGCCCCCACCCCCTGACAGGCCCTGTTGTGTGATGTGCCCCCCACAGCTGTGTCCATGTGTTCTCATTGTTCGACTCCCACTTATGAGTGAGAACATGCTGTGTTTGGTTTTCTGTTCTTGTGTTAGTTTGGACATGGATGAAGCTGGTTCTGTATCTTTTAAGTGGAGCATTTAGATCATTGACATTCAATGTAAGTATTGAAATGTGAAGTACTATTGCAGTCATCGTGCACTTTGTTGCCTATGTACTTTGATTTTTTTGGTTATTTGTTTTTTGCTTTTTTACTTGTATTTTTGTTTTATAGGTCCTGTCTGATTTATGCTTTAAAGAGGTTCTGTTTTGATGTGTTTCCAGGATTTGTTTCAAGATTTAGAGGTACTTTTAGCAGTTCCTGTAGTGGTGGCTTGGTAATGATAAATTCCCTCAGCACTTGTTCATCTGAAAAAGACTGTGTCTTTCCTTCATATATGATGCTTACTTTTGCTGGATACAAAATTCTTGGCTGATAATTACTTTGTTTGAGGAGGCTGAAGATAGGCCCCCAATCCCTTCTAGCTTGTAGGATTTCTGCTGAGAAATCTGCTGTTAATCTGATAGGTTTTTCTTTATAGGTTACCTGGTGCTTCTGTCTCACAGCTCTTAAGATTATTTCCTTCACCTTTGGATAACCTGATGACAATGTGCCTAGGTGAAGATCTTTTTGCAATGATTTTCTCAGGTGTTCTTTGTGCTTCTGGTATTTGGATGTCTATGTCTCTAGCGAGGCTGGGGAAGTTTTCCTTGATTATTCCCCCAAAAATGTTTTTTAAATTTTTGGATTTCTCTTCTTCCTAAGAAACACCGATTATTCTTAGGTTTGTTCATTTAACATAATCCCAGACTTCTTGGAGGCTTTGTTCATATTTTCTTATTCTTTTTTCTTTCTTGGATTGGGTTAATTTGAAGACATTGTCTTTGAGCTAGAAATTTCTTTCTTCTACTTGTTCAATTCTGTTGCTGAGACTTTCCAGAGCATTTCACATTTCTAAAAGTGTATACAAAGTTTCATGAATTTTTGATGGTTTTTTCTCTAAGCTATCTATTTCCCTGAATATTTCTCCCTTTACTTCTTGTATCATTTTTTGGATTTCCTTGCATTGGGCTTCGCCTTCCGCTGGTCCCTCCCTGATTAGCTTAATAACTAACCTCTTGAATTCGTTTTCAGGTAAATCAGGGATTTCTTCTTGGTTTGGACCCATTGCTGATGAACTAGTGTGATTTTTGGGGGGTGTTGAAGAGCTTTGTTTTGTCATATTACCAGGGTTGGTTTTCTGGTTCCTTCTCATTTGGGTAGCCTCTGTCAGAGGGAAGGTCTAGGGCTGAAGGCTGCTGTTCAGATTCTTTTGTCCCACAGGGTGTTCCCTTGATGTAGTACTCTCTGCCTTTTACTATGGATGTGGCTTCTGTGAGCCGAACTACAGTGATTGTGTTCTCCCTTCTGGATCTAGCCACCCAGCAAGTCTACCAGGCTCTAGGCTGGTACTGGGGGTTTTCTGCACAGAGTCCTGTCATGTGAACCATCTATGGGTCTCTCAGCCATGGATAGCAGTTCCTGTTCCGTTGGAAGTGGTGGGGGGTGCAATGGACTCCATGAGGGTCCTTAGCTTTGGTGGTTTAATGCTCTGTTTTTGTGCTGGTTGATCTCCTGCTAGGAGGTCACACTTTCCAGAGAGCATCAGCTGTGGTAGTATGGGGAGGAACCAGCAGTGGGCAGGGTCCTAGAACCCCCAAGATTATATGCCCTTTGTCTTCCACTACCAGGGTAGGTAGGGAAGGCCCATCATGTGAGGGAGGGGCTAGGTGTGTCAAAGCTCAGACTTTCCTTGGGTGGGTCTTGCAGCAGCTGCTGTGGGGAATGGGAGTGAGGTTCCCAGGTCACTGGAGTTGTGCACCTAGGAAGATTATGGCTGCCTCTAGTCATACAGGTTGTCAGGGAAGAGGGGGAAAGCCGGCAGTCACAGGCCTCAGCCAGCTCCCACGCAAACTGAAGGGCAGTTCTCACTTTCACCATGCCCCCCACAACAGCCCCAGACCATTTCCAGGTGGAGAACCACACAGGCTTGAAAACCTGCCCCAGGCTATCTGCCTCCCAGCTGCGAAAGAAAGGGGCTTGGTTCTTTCCCTGCCTGTGGAGTTCTGCTCACTGGATTTGCTCCCTCCCCGGGTTCTGGCCAGGAGGCTTCTCACCCCGTTCAAATTGTTACAAAGTTCACCTAGAGATTTCCTTGTCCCTGTGTAGTTCTCCCCCTGCTCCTCTCCCGTTGGATCCCTGTGATGCCAGGCAGGAATGGCCTGCTAGGGGAACCAGCGAGCTCCCAGGGCCTTTCTGCTGCTTCTTCTACCCCTGAATTTTGCTCAGCTCTCCAAACTGACTCAGCTGCAGGTAAAGTTGGAAACTTCTGCAAACAGACCTTCAGCTTCTCCAATGGGGGTGTGTGTTTAGGAGAGGAGGGTCTCCCTTTACCACTTCCATAGTTGGGGCACTCACAGTTTGGGGGGGACTCTCCCAGGTCCTGCAGGAACAGTCCGCTTCCTTCAGAGGGTCTGTGAGTCCTCTTGGGATTGCTGGTTTGTTCTTGCAGTAGATCTGGAGCTAAAATTCACAATGCAAGCCCCTGCTCGCTCTGTCCGGAGCTGCAATCTAATCCTGCATCCCGTCTGCCATGATCATCCGCCTCTCTCCAGCCTAGTTTTTAAAACCTCAAGACCGCATGTTCTTGTGCGACTTTAGGGTAGAATCCATTTCCTGGCCTTTTCCAGCTTCTATAGACTGCCCATTCCTCCGTCTTCAAAGCCGGAAGTGGGTGAATCTTTCTCCTGCTGCATCACTCTGACACTCCCCTGTCTCCCTCTTTCACTTGTAAGGACCCTTGTGATACACTGGGCCTACCCAGATAATCCAGCATAGTCTCCCTGTCTCAAAAGCCTTCATTTAATCACATCTGAAAAGACCCTTTGGCCATGCAACATATTCATAGATTCCAGGAATGAAGATGTGGATGTCTTTTGGGAAACATTGAACCATTGTTCTCTACCACAAGTATTAAAGGAATCAACACACATAAGGCACTTAGAAGAGTGCCCGACACATAGTAAACACTCAATAAACACTATCTTTACAATTATCAGCTAATGTTAATGGTAAAGGGTAGTGACTACAAGTTGTCCAGGTTCTTTGCATTTTGAACTAAGAATTGGACAAAACCCCCAGCAAAGCAAATAAGGAATGATGCAACAAAAGAACAAAAGCAGGGATTTATTGAAAAGAAAAGTACACTCCACGGTGTGGGAGCAGACCCAAGCAGTGGCTCAAGGGCCCGGATACAGAATCTTCTTGGGTCCCAATACCCGCTAGAAGTTTCTCATTGGCCACTTCATGCTCACCTCATGTAACAGAAGTGGTAGCCCGCAATCAGTCTGATTGGTTGCAGACAGCAGCCATTCAGTGCGGGGAGTGAAGTTACAAAGTTACAAACCAGGACTCAACCGCACTCATTATGATTTGTTGCGGACAGCCAATCTCCTGTCTGCTGGGCAGAAAAGGTCAAAGGGAGTAGCCTCTGGTCCTTTTGTTACTTAGGCCTGGAAAATTAGGATTTTCCTTTCAGTTTAGTTCTAGGAAGTTGGTGTGAAACAGCCTTAGGTCCCCTGCCTCCAGACCCTATTCTCTTGCCTCACTAGGATACCAAATTTTGTATTTTTCTTCTTCTAGCTGAAAAGAAGTTTATTAACTTATTCTTCTTTATATGAGGTCAATTTTAGACTATTTTGGTGAATTATTTTAGTGGGATACTGCCTTAAACCCTTGGTTTCTCACCTCTTTTTCTCTGCCTACTTATAAACTGATTTTATATTTATGCGACATCCAACAAGTAGACAAAAGAAGGAGAGGAAGTAAGTCAATCCACTGTTTTAGTCTTTGATGCTACTTACTGAGCTGATGCACAGTGAATATCTTACCTATCCACATCTTGTTGTCTCTATCAATTTTGCCTTTTTCTTTTTGTTCTGCTATAGTTAAATGAACTAACATATACCAAAAATGTAATATGATGCTTAACATATATCAATTTCCCAATAAATACAAGTTTTCTTCTCTTCTCTTCTTTCCTCTCACATAGTCATGGACCTAACCATACTGGTGTATAGAGTTTAACTGGCAATTTAAATGGAAATTTTTGACAATGTGGTGGATTTATGTGTTTCATCAATTTCTGCAGTTTTTGAGTAATCCGGACTAAGGCTACTTCACCATAAGAGATCAGTCTACTTTTTAACATTAATGATAAATTTCATTATATTCAAGGTTACTATGAAAGCCACTGGCAGAATAGGGGATACAGTTCAGATTTCTAAAGCTCTGAACTGTGCCAATTAAGCATACTGTCAAGTTTATTAATCTTCCTTCCCTAGGTCATTATACTCATGGAATCATAGATTTATATTGAAAATTTTCACATCTCTACTATATATAACACTAAATGGGTCTCTTCCACTTACCATATAATAATATTACTCTAAACTTGTATAGCACTTAATATATCAATAAAGTGTTTTATAGGAGTTATTTCATTTGCTCCTTACTACAAATTTTAAGATGACAAAATGGGCTTAAGGAATAAAAATCATCTATACAAAGAACAATTTAGAGGAACCAAGTCAATTCCTTCTAATAAGCCATACTGAACAGCTAGCTATGTGCAAGAAAGACTATTTTAATTTTGTGATGTACTATAGATATTTAACTATCCTATTAAGACTAGAAACAGATTGTTCAATTTTCTCTCAAATGATTTGGTGTTTAAAGTTCATGTGATTAATATTATGCATTTTGATATTTAAATTTGACCTGATGGAATTTGACTTGCCTCGTGGTCCATATGAATTCCTATTTTCTGTTTAGGTGGCTGTCCTTTTCAAGCAAATTATGAAAATAAATTAATAAGAGATTTAAAAAATATTTATCAGGACAGTGACAGTGATAGAACCAACCAAGAGTTCAATTAATCTCTCCATGCAGTTAAAGTAATATCACACTTACTTAGAACATTAAACTCTTTAGAATACATATGATAATTCAAAAGCAAGTTAGAAATGTCTCTAGGTAGTCAAATTATGAGATCCATGGCCCAAAATTTTCACGCCTGATTCAAAAATGCTTGAAGTCTGTTTGCTCTTATTTTTCAAACAACTCTAATTATATTTTAAATAAAAACAGTGGTAAGAAAAGTATAAGTGTCAAAGGCAAAGACAGTTATAAAATACAGATGAGGTAAAAATTAGCAGATAAAGAATTCAAGAAGCAATGTAAATGTAGTGATGAGACAAAATGCCCGACATATTTCTACAGCTCCTTATAATACAGAGGAATGCATAAGTGTGGTAAGTCTGTAAAACAAGTCTATGGGCCTTAGAAGATGATACAATAATAAACCCATATTTGTTTATATTGGAAAAGGTTCAGAATGTACTGTTAAATGAAGAAAAACAAGTGGAAAACAGTGTGTAAAGATGTAAAGGAGATTACATTGTGATATATATAGATAGATATGCATATATATTCCATATATATATATATGCATTATTCCCTATTCCATATATACATATATATATATATAGGGGAAGGTCTAAAATGTATACAGCAAGATGTTAAGATAGGTTTATAATGGCAATGATGGATAATAAATTGTTTTTATTAATATTTCCTTTTGCTTTTTTTTACATTTTCTTGTGTAAATGCTTTACAATGACCATTTTATTATTATTAGAAGGTGGCAATTTCCATTTAAGAAAAAAAGAATGCTTGAATACATCACAACCAACTTCGTTCAATAATATTGATTAATATGACTAACCACATTATTCTAGCTTATACATACATCAGAAATGTCCCCATTATAATAATGTAATGGGTTCAAAAATCCAAACGAGAGAATCAGGGCGATTTATCTCAGGCAGGAAGGAATCAGCAATTGGATTTGTTGCTAACTTGTTTCCTCATGAGTCCTTCTTGTTTGGTTCTTTTATTCCTGTATACATGGTGAACAAAAATGAATTGTTCGCCCTGGACAAGCTATAAGCAAGATAGTTCCAGAGGCAATGAGAGGCAATGGAGCAGATAAGGCTCACCAACAGCATTCCCAGGTTCTGTAAAGCCAATCTGGGGAAGAATTAGCTCAGAGCTGTGAAATATAGGAAATTGCTGCAGAGGGCTGGATGTGCAGATCCTGTGCTGAGCAAAGTGACATCATCCACTCTCCCATATGAGATATGCCAGATAATTTTCCCTTTGTGTGATTTAATTTTATTGTTTTTCTTTTATGCTGAAACCGCTGATTATATAAAGATGAGAAAAATATTTTCTATTTACTTTTGATCATCTTATAAGTTATCCAGCAGTCCAGCCAGGCCTGGAGTTCAACTGTTGCTGTAGGCAATTTTTTACTACAAATTGCTCTTTTCTAAAAGGCAACACTTTTTCACACCATCCAAGATTGAATCAGTCTTAGAAGAGAATTCAACGAATGAGAGAATGGTAAGGAACAGTATTTTGAAAATTAATGGGCACACTCGTAACCTTCTTTTTAGCATTGGTAATTGTACCTCCAAGTGAAAGTGTTAAGTCTAAAATCCTGCAAATAAATACCTGAATTTAGTGGTATTTTTTAAATAGTCCGAGAAATTTTAAATGACCTATAATTTCTGGTGGAGACCAGAAGACTGCTATCAACATTTTTAGAAAGTAAAATAAATGCATATACATGGTTAAACAACAATTAAACTGTGCATTGACACCTAATTACTTTTCCAAAAGTGAACTTGTTATGTATCCTTAAAAAAAGAAAATTATTCACAGAGCAGAATATGTATATGTGCATCCTTTTTATACATGTAAGAGTTTTTTTATGCTTGCATCTAAACCTTACTTGCACCTACTTAAAATATGTTCTTATTACTTGAAATACAGTTCATCATATATATAATAAACTAGCACAAATGGATTTACCTAAGCTGCCTTATTCTTTTTAAACAGTATGTATTTCATTTTATGACTATATTGAAGTTTAATTAAGAGGTTATCTAATAAAAGGCATTTTTCTCTTTCATTTTCAATGTTGTTTTGAACTTTTAATCTTGGCTGACTGTGGTACATACTTGCATACTTTTTCTTAGCACCAGAAATATTGATTTAACCTGGATATTTGAATCTCTAAAACATTCTGGCATTTTCCTAAATTCCATAGTTGCTTCAAACACAGGCTTTTTCTTCTTTTTACATATATATATATATTTTATTATACTTTCAGTTCTAGGGTACATGTGCACAATGTGCAGGTTTGTTACATATGTATACATGTGTCATGTTGATGTGCTGCACCCATTAACTCATCATTTACATTAGATATATCTCCTAATGTTATCCCTCCCCCATCCCCCCAACCAACAACAGGCCCCGGTGTGTGATGTTCCCCTTCCTGTGTCCAAGTGTTCTCATTGTTCAATTCCCATCTATGAGTGAGAACATGCGGTGTTTGGTTTTTTTGTCCTTGCAATAGTTTGCTGAGAATGATGGTTTCCAGCTTTATCCATGTCTCTACAAAGGACACGAACTCATCAGTTTTTATGGCTGCATAGTATTCCATGGTGTATATGTGCCACATTTTCTTAATCCAGTCTATCATTGTTGGACATTGGCATTGGTTCCAAGTCTTTGCTATTGTGAATAGTGCCCCAGTAAACATACGTGTGCATGTGTCTTTATAGCAGCATGATTTATATTCCTTTGGGTATATACCCAGTAATGGGATGGCTGGGTCATATGGGATTTCTAGTTCTAGATCCCTGAGGAATCGCCACACTGACTTCCACAATGGTTGAACTAGTTTACAGTCCCACCAACAGTGGAAAAGTGTTCCTATTTCTCCACATCCTCTCCAGCACCTGTTGTTTCCTGACTTTTTAATGATAGCCATTCTAACTGCTGTGAGATCATATCTCACTGTGGTTTTGATTTGCATTTCTCTGATGGCCAGTGATGATGAGCATTTTTTCATATGTCTGTTGGCTGCATAAATGTCTTCTTTTGAGAAGTGTCTGTTCATGTCCTTCACCCACTTTTTGATGGGGTTGTTGTTTTCTTGTCAATTTGTTTGAATTCTTTGTAGATTCTGGATATTAGCCCTTTGTCAGATGAGTAGATTGCAAAATTTTTCTCCCATTCTGTAGGTTGCCTGTTCACTCTGACGGTAGTTTCTTTTGCTGTCCAGAAGCTCTTTAGTTTAATTAGATCCCATTTGTCAATTTTGGCTTCTGTTGCCATTGCTTTTGGTGTTTCAGACATGAAGTCCTTGCCCATGCCTATGTCCTGAATGGTATTGCCTAGGTTTTCTTCTAGGGTTTTTATGGCTTTTGGTTTAACATTTAAGTCTTTAATCCATCTTGAATTAATTTTTGTATAAGGTGCAAGGAAGGGATCCAGTTTCAGCTTTCTACATATGGCTAGCCAGTTTTCCCAGCACCATTTGTTAAATAGGGTATCCTTTCCCCATTTCCTGTTTTTGTCAGGTTTGTCAAAGATCAGATAGTTGTAGATGTGTGGTATTATTTCTGAGGGCTCTGTTCTGTTCCATTGGTCTATATCTCTGTTTTGGTACCAGTACCATGCTGTTTTGGCTACTGTAGCCTTGTAGTATAGTCTGAAGTCAGGTAGCGTGATGCCTCCAGCTTTGTTCTTTTGGCTTAGGATTGACTTGGCAATGCGGGCTCTTTTTTGGTTCCATATGAACTTTAAAGTAGTTTTTTCCAATTCAGTGAAGAAAGTCATTGGTAGCTTGATGGGGATGGCAATGAATCTATAAATTACCTTGGGTAGTATGGCCATTTTCACGATATTAATTCTTCCTATTCATGACCATGGAATGTTCTTCCATTTGTTTGTATCCTCTTTTATTTCATTGAGCAGTGGTTTGTAGTTCTCCTTGAAGAGGTCCTTCACGTCCCTTGTAAGTTGGATTCTTAGGTATTTTATTCTCTTTGAAGCAATTGTGAATAGGAGTTCACTCATGATTTGGCGGTCTGTTTGTTTCTTATTGGTGTATAAGAATGCTTGTGATTTTTGCACACTGATTTTGTATCCTGAGACTTTGCTGAAGTTGCTTATCAGCTTAAGGAGATTTTGGGCTGAGACAATGGGGTTTTCTAGATATACAATCATGTCATCTGCAAACAGGGACAATTTGACTTCCTCTCTTCCTAATTGAATACCCTTTATTTCATTCTCCTGCCTGATTGCCCTGGCCAGAACTTCCAACACTATGTTGAATAGGAGTGGTGAGAGAGGGCATCCCTGTCTTGTGCCAGTTTTCAAAGGGAATGCTTCCAGTTTTTGCCCATTCAGTATGATATTGGCTGTGAGTCTGTCATGAATAGCTCTTATTATTTTGAGATACGTCCTAACAATACCTAATTTACTGAGAGTTTTTAGCATGAAGGGTTGTTGAATTTTGTCAAAGGCCTTTTCTGCATCTATTGAGATAATCATGTGGTTTTTGTCTTTGATTCTGTTTATATGCTGGATCAAGTTTATTGATTTGCATATGTTGAACCAGCCTTGCATCCCAGGGATGAAGCCCACTTGATCATGGTGGATAAGCTTTTTGATGTGCTGCTGGATTCAGTTTGCCAGTATTTTATTGAGGATTTTTGCATCAATGTTCATCAGGGATATTGGTCTAAAATTCTCTTTCTTTGTTGTGTCTCTGCCAGACTTTGGTATCAGGATAATGCTGGCTTCATAAAATGAGTTAGGGAGGATTCACTCTTTTTCTATTGATTGGAATAGTTTCAGAAGGAATGGTACCAGCTCCTCCTTGTACCTCTGGTAGAATTCGGCTGTGAATCCATCTGGTCCTGGACTTTTTTTGGTTGGTAAGCTATTAATTATTGCCTCAGTTTCAGAGCCTGTTATTGGTCTATTCAGAGATTCAACTTCTTCCTGGTTTAGTCTTTGGAGGGTGTACGTGTGGAGGAATTTATCCATTTCTTCTAGATTTTCTAGTTTATTTGCATAGAGGTGTTTATAGTATTCTCTGATGGTAGTTTGTATTTCTGTGGGATCAGTGGTGATATCCCCTTTATCATTTTTTATTGCATCTGTTTGATTCTTCTCTCTTTCTTTCTTTATTAGTCCTTCTAGCAGTCTATCAATTTTGTTGATCTTTTCAAAAAACCAGCTCCTGGATCCATTGATTTTTTGAAGGGTTTTTTGTGTCTCTATCTCCCTCAGTTCTGCTCTGATCTTAGTTATTTCTTGCCTTCTGCTAGCTTTTGAATGTGTTTGCTCTTGCTTCCCTAGTTCTTTTAATTGTGATGTTAGGGTGTCAATTTTAGATCTTTCCTGCTTTCTCTTGTGGGCATTTAGTGCTACAAATTTCCCTCTACACACTGCTTTAAATGTGTCCCAGAGATTCTGGTATGTTGTGTCTTTGTTCTCGTTGGTTTCAAAGAACATCTTTATTTCTGCTTTCATTTCGTTATGTACCCAGTAGTCATTCAGGAGCAGGTTGTTCAGTTTCCATGTAGTTGAGCGGTTTTGAGTGAGTTTCTTAATCCTGAGTTCTAGTTTGATTGCACTGTGGTCTGAGAGACTGTTTGTTATAATTTCTGTTCTTTTATATTTGCTGAGGAGTGCTTTACTTCCAACTATGTGGTCAATTTTGGAATAGGTGTGGTGTGGTGCTGAGAAGAAAGTATATTCTGTTGATTTGGGGTGGAGAGTTCTGTAGATGTCTATTAGGTCCACTTGGTGCAGAGCTGAGTTCAATTCCTGGATATCCTTGTTAACTTTCTTTCTCGTTGATCTGTCTAATGTTCAGTGGGGTGTTAAAGTCTCCCATTATTATTGTGTGGGAGTCTAAGTCTCTTTGTATGTCTCTCAGGACTTGCTTTATGAATCTGGGTGCTCCTGTATTGGGTGAATATATATTTAGGACAGTTAGCTCTTCTTGTTGAATTGATCCCTTTACCATTATGTAGTGGCCTTCTTTTTCTCTTTTGATCTTTGTTGGTTTAAAGTGTGTTTTATCAGAGACTAGGATTGCAACCCCTGCTTTTTTTTGTTTTCCATTTGCTTGGTAGATCTTCCTCCATCCCTTTATTTTGAGTCTATGTGTGTCTCTGCACATGAAATGGGTTTGCTGAAAACAGCACACTGATGGGTCGTGACTCTTTATCCAATCTGCCAGTCTGTGTCTTTTAATTGGAGCCTGTAGCTCATTTACATTTAAGGTTAATATTGTTATGTGTGAATTTGATCCTATCATTACGATGTCAGCCAGTTATTTTGCTTGTCAGTTGATGCAGTTTTTTTCTAGCATCAATGGTCTTTACAATTTGGCATGTTTTTGCAGTGGCTGGTACCGGTTGTTCCCTTCCATGTTTAGCGCTTCCTTCAGGAGCTCTTGTAGGGCAGGCCTGGTGGTGACAAAATCTCTCAGCAGTTGCTTGTCTGTAAAGTATTTTATTTCTCCTCCACTTATGAAGCTTAGTTTGGCTGGATATGGAATTCTGGGATGAAAATTCTTTTCTTTAAGAATGTTGAATATTGGCCCCCACTCTCTTCCGGCTTGTAGAGTTTCTGCAGAAGATGGGTGATTTCTGCAGAAGATGGGTGATTTCTGCATTTCCAACTGAGGTACCGGGTTCATCTCACTGGGGCTTGTTGGACAGTGGGTGCTGGACAGTGGGTGCAGCACACCAAGCGTAAGCCAAAGCAGGGCGAGGCATCGCCTCACCCAGGAAGTGCAAGGGGTCAGGGAATTCCTTTTCCTAGCCAAGCAAAGCTGTGACAGAGGGCACCTGGAAAATCGGGTCACTCCCACCCTAATACTGCACTTTTCCAATGGTCTTAGCAAATGGCACACCAGGAGATTATATCCCGCGCATGGCTCGGAGGGTCCCACACCCATGGAGCCTCGCTCATTGCTAGCACAGCAGTCTGAGATAGAACTGCAAGATGGCAGCGAGGCTGCGGGAGGGGCAACTGCCATTGCTGAGGCTTGAGTAGGTAAACAAAGCGGCCAGGAAGCTTGAACTGGGTGGAGCCCACCAAAGCTCAAGGAGGCCTGCCTGCCTCTGTAGACTCTACCTCTGGGGGCAGGGCATAGCTGAACGAAAGGCAGCAGAAACCTCTGCAGACTTAAATGTCCCTGTCTGACAGCTTTGAAGAGAGTAGTGGTTCTCCTAGCATGGAGTTTGAGATCTGAGAACGGACAGACTGCCTCCTCAAGTGGGTCCCTGACCCACGAATAGCCTATCTGGGAGGCACCCCCCAGTAGGGGCAGACTGACACCTCACACGGCCGGGTACCCCTCTGAGACGAAACTTCCAGAGGAACAATCAGACAGCAACATTTGCTGTTCACCAATATTCGCTGCTCTGCAGCCTCTGCTCGTGATACCCAGGCAATCAGGGTCTGGAGCGGACCTCCAGCAAACTCCAACAGACCTGCAGCTTAGGGTCCTGACTGTTAGAAGGAAAACTAACAAACAGGAAGGACATCCACACCAAAACCCCGTCTGTACGTTACCATCATCAAAGACCAAAGGTAGATAAAACCACAAAGATGGGGAAAAAACAGAACAGAAAAACTGAAAATTCTAAAAATCAGACAGCCTCTCCTCCTCCAAAGGAATGCAGCTCCTCACCAGCAGTGGAACAAAGCTGGATGGAGAATGACTTTGACGAGTTGAGAGAAGAAGGCTTCAGACGATCAAACTTCTCCGAGCTAAAGGAGGAAGTTCGAACCCATCACAAAGAAGTTAAAAACCTTGAAAAAAGATAAGACAAATGGCTAACTAGAATAACCAATGCAGAGAAGTCCTTAAAGGACCTGATGGAGCTGAAAACCATAGCACGAGAACCATGTGACGAATGCACAAGCTTCATTAGCTGATTTGATCAACTGGAAGAAAGGGTATCAGTGATTGAAGATCAAATGAACGAAATGAAGCAAGAAGAGAAGTTTAGAGAAAAAGGAATAAAAAGAAATGAACAAAGCCTCCAAGAAATATGGGACTATGTGAAAAGACCAAATTTATGTCTGATTGGTGTACCTGAAAGTGACGGGGAGAATGGAACCAAGTTGGAAAACACTCTGCAGGATATTATCCAGGAGAACTTCCCCAACCTAGCCAGACAGGCCAACATTCAAATTCAAGAAATACAGAGAACGCCACAAAGATACTCCTCGAGAAGAGCAACTCCAAGACGCATAATTGTCAGATTCACCAAAGTTGAAATGAAGGAAAAAATGTTAAGGGCAGCCAGAGAGAAAGGTCAGGTTACCCACAAAGGGAAGTCCATCAGACTAACAGCTGAAACATATGCTTTTTCATACAAAGATGCCAAGGCAGACAAGTGGTTGAGGTCCAAAGTATGACAGCAGTTTATTCCAAGATTAGCTTTTAATCCTTAGAAGTAAAAAAGTATGAGCAAAGAAACAACCAAACAAAGTCTCTTGCTGGTCGATGTTCCAAGAAACTCCTTGAATAGTAAACTGAGTTGTTGGCATTCTTGCTTCTTTGGCTTTAGAGGGGTTGAACTATGTTGGACTCTCTACCTTTGGGGTTTCGAGGTCATTTATGCTGAACTTATAAGGATTAAGTCTGCAATTTAGAATCAAGTTAGAATCAAGTCTATAGTTACAGTGAACTGCCTGAAGATACACTGCTGCTCTGAGTACACATTTCTAGCTCGCTAGCCAGTGGAATGCCAAACATCACTCTGCAGTGACAATGGGAGAGAGAGGGGAACCTTGACAACTCTATGTCACATGATAGAGCTGGGTGTGGTCTCAGCATTTTATAAAATATTGTACATCCATCCCCAGTGCTTGACTATAAAATCTCATTCAGAATGTAGGAATAAATGGCTTTAAATCTTACTAATTTTAGATCCTGCTCACACGTTTATTTCGTGTGATGTAGACTTGCCCATACTTTTACAAAGTAGCTGCATTTCTCATGTATCAATTTTAATTTTTAACAATTAGAATTCTTCGCACCTAGTTTCCACATAGAAAATTAAATGGGGTTTTGAGGTGAAAGTTTTTTAGATATTGAGTCAAAAGTGGGATGATTTCCAGATGATTATTTCAGTTCTCTATTTTATTCTGAAACATTCCTGTGGTTTTCACCATACTCTTAAAAAATAAAAATAATATATGCACAAATAAAATGAGAATTTTAGTACAGAAAAGTCAAAAAACAAAAGTTTTCTTTCCTGCCCCCATCTGTAGTCCTATTCCAGAGAGAAAAAAAATTGCTTTTATATAAGCAAATATGTATATGTGTGTGTAACTAGTACACATAGCTGTAGCTGTAATTACATCTCCCATAAATAAAGAGCTGGAAGTATGAGAGATGGATAAATTTACATTTTATTTATCTATGGCCTAAATATTCATCTTTTTTGTAAGAGGATGCTGTTTAGAATTATATCTTGGGCTGTGTATACGAGTTAAAGCGGAGAGGGAGATAATTTGGTTAATTCAATTGATATAGTCAATCAAATCATATACTCCTAATCATAATCTATGTTGGAATTGAAATGCCTGCCTGACATATAATAGGTGATCAAATCATATTAGTTGAATAAAAGAAGAAACAATCAAAATGATGGAAAAATTATTAAATTTCAAGTTCATTTTGTGATTTGTAGAGGCTGAATATTTAATTGTGATTTTTGAAGTAATATTGATTACCATTGTGGATGATTTGGAGGGAGACTTTTTGAAAATAGAAAATGAATATATTGTGGCGTTTATGAGCCAGAACAAATAGCTTTAAAGAAAAATAGCTTTGGTCTCTTTATCTTTTAGTATTTGCATTAAAACATTTGCATTCATGTTTCTCTCCATAAAAATGAAACACAGGCTTATTTTTTCATTATAATTTATTTTTTTAATCATGTGATTCCATGTATAAAAATAGAAAGTTGGTGTGATCATGCAAAAACCTAAGAAAGCTCTGATATAAGAAAATAATCACACTTCAGAAAATCTGGCTAATCAAAAACTATTTTGGAAAGAAAAAGAAATATTATGAATGATTTTTTGAAATATTCTCAACTAGTAAATCAATACCTACTATACTCAGGGATTGTGTCTTTTAGATTACATTATTGTGTATTTCTTGCCTTTCATTTTCCAGTTGCTAAATATCCTGATTGCCACATACGTCAATTTTAAAAACGTCGTTTTGCTTGAAAAGAGTTTATTGCTTGAAAAGTCAAAGCTGTTTTTGTTTGCTTTATGTTAACAGGTTATTAAATAATCAATTCACAGATAAATTTAAAATATAACTTCAACCTCGGGATGAAGTCTTAAATTCCATGTACATACACATGTGCCTAGTAAGTAGATAATTATAAATACATATGTGTATATTAATATATGAGGCATGTATATACAACAACTCTTCAGAAGTGAAAAGTATTTTCACTCATTTAGAATGGCTAGTTAGCATGTATCTTTCCTATTGGTAGTAAAGTAAAATACTTCATTTTTCAGGATATTTTTAATTCTTCATTCTCAAATTCAAGTTCGGCATTTACTGAACACATATCTTGTCCCAGGTATTGTGCTAGATGTACTTAATTTCTCAGTGAATCTCCTCAGGAGATAGATATTATCCTCTATTTTTTAGATGAAGAAACAATTTGATGAGATTGAGTGAATGGTTACATTCTATGCAGTCACAGGGAAGGACAGGAAGATCACAAAATTCTAATCCCTTTGAAATTAAGTCAATATCAAAATTATCTTTAAATATGTGGAACTACTGTTAGTTTAAAAATTACATAGTTCTTGTAACAATAGACAGAGTGGACTACTTGAGAAGGGAGGAAGGGAGCAGGGCGTGGGCTGAAAAACTTCCTATTGGGTACTATGCTCACTATCTGGCTGCAATATACCCATGTAACAAACCTGCACATGTACCCGCTATGTCTAAAATAAAAGTTGAAATTTAAAAATATATATATATTACATGCTTCTGTAGAATGCAAAAGACATTTAATTTAAAGCAAAAACTATAGGCAAACATCTGGAAGCTGATGTTTGTATACAATACATGCATAAAGGACAAGTCCTTAGGTGACTTGTGGTTTTTTTTTTTTTTCCGAACTGAAAAAGCAGTTGAATACATGTATTAGTGTTACATAAAACTTCATATAAAATTGAATGAAGAGTTAGGGACTGGGCATAGTGGCTCAGGCCTATAATCCCAAAGTAGGCTGAAGCGGGAGCATCACTTGACGCCAAGAGTTCGAGACCAGCCTGGGCAACATAGGATGACCCGGTCTCTACCAAAAAAAAAAAATTGTTTTAAACAATAGCCAGGCGTGGCGGTTCACGCCTGTAGTCCAAGCTACTACTCAGGGGCCTAAGGCTGCAGTCAGCCATGACCAAGCCACTGCACTCCAGCCTGAGTGACAGAGCTAGACCCTCTCTCTAAAGAAATTAATTATTAATTCATTAGTTAAGAATTAAAAGCACAGCTAAGAATAGAGTTATGATCTGTGTGAGAGAATTCATAACGCACCCTAGTTCCTAATGTGGTTATTTTTTCTGGTTCACAGGCCTCTCAGTCTTAGACTCATTTTTATTTTAGAGAAAATAAAGCCACTCCTCTGAGTTTTTGCCTCTCACTAAGCAAGTAGCATAAACAACTGAATGAAACCACTGCCACTTTTAGAAACCAAAAATCACTGTTTCAATACGTAAATGACTTAACTATATACACTCTTCATTGTCTGGAGTCACAGAAGACAGACATTCTTCAGTGTCTGCTGAACTGAAGACAGTATTTTTAATAGAAAAACTACCTACAGATTGCTTTCTAATTGAGTTTCAACTAAGCTGAGCTTCTGAGCAATTTGCTTACAATTCCCTATCAAGGCACAGATATACTGGGTTGTCTCCATGTATGAGAATGATTCGGGTTTTTCTAAAGTAATTTACAAAAAAGTAGGAGTGACTATGCTTATGTCCACTTGCACACTTTTCTTCAGCCTGTGTTTATGAGAAATTGGCAGAGAAACAAAATATATGTATGAAGCATGGGGTGGATATCAAACCCTGGCCTCATTAGAAGACCATATAGTAAAACATGAAAGGCACACCTGGTATCTAACCGTGTCAGGTTTTCAGAGGCCCATGCCCTAGCAATAGCACCAAACTGGAAAGTCAGTGGCAATAAAATTTCAGCCCTTTCATGAATTGAAGCCAAACAAGCCAACATTAAGGGTGAGGGATGCGCTAATCAAGTGATCAAGGAACACAGTGTTTTATTCATTGGGTGTGTTATTAGATATAGACATGCAAACAGAAGTTTCTGCTTTTGCTTCTATTTTTTGGCAGTTGTTTGAGAAAGTGAATACAGGAATGTATTGTTATGCAGTGTGGCAAAAGCAGAGGAAGGTTTAGGGCCTCAGATCATTGTTAGTGATGCCATTGAGGTTCCAGTTCTTTGCTTTTACTTTTTTCTTCTTTCTACCTCTGCTTCCACCTTCTCTTCATTTGCTTTTTATTTCTTTGACCCAGCTTGTAGAATAAGCTCTGGATACTCATCATGTTCATCGGTTCTTGAGTCACTTTCCAGCCCTGTAGTAATACTCCACCTGTGACTTTATTTACATTACTTATGCCTTATCTTTCATTCTGCTAAATAGTGTTTAGAAAATATAAAACACTTTCATCTATTTACTAAAAAGTGTTTGCATAAGATAACAATTTTATTTTAAAAGTAATTTCTGTAAGTTATAATAAGCAACTTTTATTATATCTGACTATAGTCATATCTAATAAATGCACTGAAGAAGGTGTGGAATTTGTTATTTTTATAAGTACAAATTCTCTGAAACAGAATGCCTTGTTATGATGTTTACTCAAAAAAAGCTAAGAACATCAGAAAACTCTGCTAAGAAAATCCTACTAAAGAGAGGGAAATTGAATTCCCTTTGAGACTAGCTAGGGAAAATGTTTCATTCACACAATGAGTTTCAAGGAGCTAGACATCCTCTTTAATTATCGGGGAAGGCACTAAGCCCTACTCCGGGCAGACATTTTGTAGTGCTGGCAGGATTACAGCTGGAAGCATTCTTGCTTAGGAGAGCCAGTTGAGTTACTCAACTGAAAAAGTTATGATGGATTGAAAATGGCATGTGGTCTCTACTTCCTCTGATTAAAACAAAGCAGAATGTGTGCCAGTTGGCAAGGAACTGGGAGAAAAAAAAATGAGTTTCCTGAGACAATGATTTTCTAGTCTTTTTAAGCGACTGATATAATGTTGGAGTTCAACGATTATTTGAGGCAAGACTTGTAATAGATTTCCCAGTTCCTTTTTTTTTAAAGTAGTTTGATTTAATATGAAATGTTAATTTAATAAACACTGCCCAGCATTAGATTCTCAGTTGGCAAAATTATTTATGCAGATAAATTAAAGAGAGAAAAGACAAATCAATTTTTTCCTTAAGTAGTTTATTTTCAGTAGAATAAATCTATAGATCTTAATTTAAGAGATCTGTATATAGAATATAGTGGTGAAATTGAATTTAAATTTTCTGTTAATTTTTAGTAACTTCCACATAAAATACAGTATTCCTCCAATAAAATATATGTTGGTAACAAAAATACTACTAGCATTACTTGTGACTTCGCAACTATTAGAAATATCAAATTACAGATACTTTATTATCAAATTACAGGTATTGCAGAGATGTCAAAATACTCTTCACAGCCATTATTACTTTAAATTTTGGTAATAATTTTATTAAAAATTGTTTAACAGTTTTCTTGAGATATAATTCATATACCATACAATTTGCCCATTTAAAGTCTATAATTCAATGGTTTTTAGTATATTATACATTTTTTTACATTGTGGTAAAATATATATAACATAAATTTTGTAATTTTAACCATTCTTAGGTATACAATTCAGTGGCATCAATTATATTTACAATGTTATGCAACTATCATTACTGTTTTCACAACCTTCCATCACTCCAAACAGAAACCCTTTATTTATTAAACAGTAATACTCCCCCTTTCTCCAGCCTCTGGTAACCTCTAATCCACTTTATGTCTCTATGAATTTACCTTTCTAGATATTTCACATAAGTGGAATCATACAATATTTTTCCATTTGTGTCTCGCTTATTTCACTTAGCATATTGTCTTAAAGGTTTATCCATGTTTTAACATGTATCATCACTTTGTTTTACGCTGAATAATATTCCGTTGTATGTACATATCATATTTTGTCTATCCACTCATCTATTGATGGACATTTGGGTTGTTTCCACCTTTTGGCTATTGTGAAAAATGCTGCAGTGAACACTGGCATACAAGTATCTTTGAGTCTCTGATTTCAGTTCCCTTGGATATATACCTAAGTGTAGAATTTCTGTATCTCATTCAATAATTGTATGTTTAGCTTTTTTAGAAACTGCCAAACTGCTTTCCATAGCAGTTGCAGAATTTTTTTAATATCCTAATAATTGTGTTGTAATATAATTGGTTTTTGCATATCCTATGCATTTTCTTTTATGCATGTAGAAACATTGTTCTATGAAGGGGATTGTAGGCTTTCCCAGACTGCCAGCACGCTCCATGGCACAAAAATGTTCAAGAACCTCTGCACCTATCTTCTATTTTATCTAAGACAAAATAATTTAAGTTTGTAAAACCCTGGCAGGTATTTAAAGCCTGAAACTAAGAAGAGCAATCAATATAAAAATAGTGACTTTGCATAATCTTAGAAGGTTAGTACAGATAAGCTAGACTGATTACTAAAATGAAAAATGCTTTCAGAACAAAATGTGCTGGATTGATAGTGTAAGAAATATCTTTAACAATAAACATGTTGAGAAAACATAATATGCATTTCAGTGGGTAATTATGATAAATCAGGCCTTTGATATCCTAGAACACAAGGGCTAGTTAGATGAGTACACTTTGAAATCCAGATAGTTCTTGAAACATGGTTGATTTAATCAATCAACTTCTACTGGAGTTCTGAAAAGGCAGAGGGGAAACAATTTGTATCTCTTGCATAGAACTGTATTCAATTTAAACATCTCAAAATTCATTATGGTTAGCATTACTGTGTCTTTTATATAGGATTTCACTTAAATCTTGTGTTTTATAATGAGAAAATACCTTAACCACTTGCCCAACTTAAGTGTTTAGGATTCAGAAAAGGATTGTCCTCAATATGTAAAGAAACACCTAGCTAGAACTTGGGCTGAATTTCAGAAATGGCCTAACAGTATTCTGACTTTACTGTAGCATTATTTTATAATTAACAAATACTTATTAAGTACCTCCTATATGCTAGGCAACTGGGATATGACACAGAAAAAGACATAATCCTT
This sequence comes from Homo sapiens, assembly GCF_000001405.40. Taxonomy (NCBI): domain Eukaryota; kingdom Metazoa; phylum Chordata; class Mammalia; order Primates; family Hominidae; genus Homo; species Homo sapiens. The sequence goes on along the minus strand of NC_000004.12, from coordinate 143,665,398 downwards.
GCTCTCAAGAACTTACAGTCTAATGGGGGATAAGTTAATAAGGCAGGGTAAATGCTATGGTAAGAGTAAGCTTCAATTACTATGAGAATAAGTGGGTAAGGCACCTTATTCATCCTTGATGACTCAAGGAAAGCGTCCCAAGAAAATGACCAATAATCGGGGAGGAGCCAAGATGGCCAAATAGGAACAGCTCCAGTCTACAGCTCCCAGCGTGAGCAACGCAGAAGACGGGTGATTTCTGCATTTCCATCTGAGGTACTGGATTCATCTCACTAGGGAGTGCCAGACAGTGGGCGCAGGACAGTGGGTGCAGCACACCGTGCGCGAGCCAAAGCAGGGTGAGGCATTGCCTCACTCGGGAAGTGCAAGGGGTCAGGGAGTTCCCTTTCCTAGTCAAAGAAAGGGGTAACAGACAGCACCTGGAAAATCAGGTCACTCCCACCCAAATACTGCACTTTTCCGACGGGCTTAAAAAACGGTGCACTAGGAGATTATATCCCGCACCTGACTTGGAGGGTCCTACGCCCACGGAGTCTCGCTGATTGCTAGCACGGCAGTCTGAGATCAAACAGCAAGGCGGCAGCGAGGTTGGGGGAGGGGCGCCCGCCATTGCCAAGGCTTGCTTAGGTAAACAAAGCAGCTGGGAAGCTCGAACTGGGTGGAGCCCACCACAGCTCAAGGAGGCCTGCCTGCCTCTGTAGGCTCCACCTCTGGGGGCAGGGCACAGACAAACAAAAAGACAGCAGTAACCTCTGCAGACTTAAATGTCCAAGTCTGACAGCTTTGAAGAGAGCAGTGGTTGTCCCAGCATGCAGCTGGAGATCTGAGAACGGGCAGACTGCCTCCTCAAGTGGGTCCCTGACCCCTGACCCACGAGCAGCCTAACTGGGAGGCATCCCCCAGTAGGGGCAGACTGACACCTCACACGGCAGGGTACTCCTCTGAGACAAAACTTCCAGAGGAACGATCAGACAGCAGCATTCGTGGTTCACAAAAATGTGCTGTTCTGCAGACACCGCTGCTGCTACCTAGGCAAACAGGGTCTGGAGTGGACCTCTAGCAAACTCCAACAGACCTGCAGCTGAGGGTCCTGTCTGTTAGAAGGAAAACTAACAAACAGAAAGGACATCCACACCAAAAACTCATCTGTGCATCACCATCATCAATGACCAAAAGTAGATAAAACCACAAAGATGGGGAAAAAACAGAGCAGAAAAACTGGAAACTCTAAAAACCAGAGCGCCTCTCCTCCTCCAAAGGAATGCAGTTCCTCACCAGCAACGGAACAAAGCGGGACGGAGAATGACTTTGATGAGTTGAGAGAAGAAGACTTCAGACGATCAAACTACTCCGAACTACAGGAGGAAATTCAAACGGAAGGCAAAGAAGTTGAAAACTTTGAAAAACATTTAGATGAATGTATGACTAGAATAACCAATACAGAGAAGTGCTTAAAGGAGCTGATGGAGCTGAAAGCCAAGGCTCGAGAACTACGTGAAGAATGCAGAAGCCTCAGGAGCCGATGCGATCAACTGGAAGAAAGGGTATCAGTGATGGAAGATGAAATGAATGAAATGAAGCGAGAAGGGAAGTTTAGAGAAAAAAGAATGAAAAGAAATGAACAAAGCCTCCAAGAAATATGGGACTATGTGAAAAGACCAAATCTACATCTGATTGGTGTACCTGAAAGTGATGGGTAGAATGGAACCAAGTTGGAAAACACTCTGCAGGATATTATCCAGGAGAACTTCCCCAATCTAGAAAGGCAGGCCAGCATTCAGATTCAGGAAATACAGAGAATGCCACAAAGATACGCCTCGAGAAGAGCAACTCCAAGACACATAAATTGTCAGATTCACCAAAGTTGAAATGAAGGAAAAAATGTTAAGGGCAGCCAGAGAGCAAGGTCGGGTTACCCACAAAGGGAAGCACATCCGACTAACAGCAGATCTCTCGGCAGAAACTCTACAAGCCAGAAGAGAGTGGGGGCCAATATTCAACATTCTTAAAGAAAAGAATTTTCAATCCAGAATTTCATATCCAGCTAAACTAAGCTTCATAAGTGAAGGAGAAATAAAATACTTTACAGACAAGCAAATGCTGAGAGATTTTGTCACCACCAGGCCTGCCCTAAAAGAGCTCCTGAAGGAAGCACTAAACATGGAAAGGAACAACCGGTACCAGCTGCTGCAAAATCATGCCAAAATGTAAAGACCATCAAGACTAGGAAGAAACTGCATCAACTAACGAGCAAAATAACCAGCTAACATCATAATGACAGGACCAAATACAGACATAACAATATTAACTTTAAATGTAAATGGACTAAATGCTCCAATTAAAAGACGCAGAGTGGCAAATCGGATAAAGAGTCAAGACCCATCAGTGTGCTGTATTCAGGAAACCCATCTCACCTGCAGAAATACACATAGGCTCAAAATAAAAGGATGGAGGAAGATCTACCAAGCAAATGGAAAACAAAAAAAGGCAGGGGTTGCAATCCTAGTTTCTGATAAAACACACTTTAAACCAACAAAGATCAAAAGAGACAAAGAAGGCCATTACATAATGGTAAAGGGATCAATTCAACAAGAAGAGCTAACTATCCTAAATATATATACACCCAATACAGGAGCACCCAGATTCATAAAGCAAGTCCTGAGTGACCTATAAAGAGACTTAGACTCCCACACAATAATAATGGGAGACTTTAACACCCCACTGTCAACATTAGACAGATCAATGAGAAAGAAAGTTAACAAGGATATCCAGGAATTGAACTCAGCTCTGCACCAAGCGGACCTAATAGACATCTACAGAACTCTCCACCCCAAATCAACAGAATATACATTTTTTTCCGCACCACACCTATTCCAAAATTGACCACATAGTTGGAAGTAAAGCTCTCCTCAGCAAATGTAAAAGAACAGAAATTATAACAAACTGTCTCTCAGACCACAGTGCAATCAAACTACTACTCAGGATTAAGAAACTCACTCAAAACCACTCAACTACATGGAAACTGAACAACCTGCTCCTGAATGACTACTGGGTACTAATGAAATGAAGGCAGAAATGAAGATGTTCTTTGAAACCAATGAGAACAAAGACACAACATACCAGAATCTCTGGGACACATTCAAAGCAGTGTGTAGAGGGAAATTTGTAGCACTAAATGCCCACAAGAGAAAGCAGGAAAGATCCAAAACTGACACCCTAACATCACAATTAAAGAACTAGAAAAGCAAGAGCAAACACATTCAAAAGCTAGCAGAAGGCAAGAAATAACTAAAATCAGAGCAGAACTGAAGGAAATAGAGACACAAAAAACCCTTCAAAAAATCAATGAATCCAGGAGCTGGTTTTTTGAAAGGATCAACAAAATTGATAGACTGCTAGCAAGACTAATAAAGAAAAAAAGAGAGAAGAATCAAATAGATGCAATAAAAAATGATAAAGGGGATATCACCACTGATCCCACAGAAATACAAACTATCATCAGAGAATACTACAAACACCTCTACACAAACAAACTAGAAAACCTAGAAGAAATGGATAAATTCCTTCACACATACACCCTCCCAAGACTAAACCAGGATGAAGTTGAATCTCTAAATAGACCAATAACAGGAGCTGAAATTGTGGCAATAATCAATAGCTTACCAACCAAAAAGACTCCAGGACCAGATGTATTCACAGCCGAATTCTACCAGAGGTATAAGAAGGAACTGGTACCATTCCTTCTGAAACTATTCCAATCAATAGAAAAAGAGGGAATCCTCCCTAACTCATTTTATAAGGCCAGCATCATCCTGATACCAAAGGCGGGCAGAGACACAACCAAAAAAGAGAATTTTAGACCAATATCCTTGATGAACATTGACGCAAAAATCCTCAATAAAATACTGGCAAACAGAATCCAGCAGCACATCAAAAAGCTTATCCACCATGATCAAGTGGGCTTCATCCCTGGGATGCAAGGCTGGTTCAATATACGCAAATCAATAAATGTAATCCAGCATATAAACAGAACCAAAGACAAAAACCACTTGATTATCTCAATAGATGCAGAAAAGGCCTTTGACAAAATTCAACAACCCTTACCTTCATGCTAAAAACTCTCAATAAATTAGGTATTGATGGGACGTATCTCAAAATAATAAGAGCTATCTATGACAAACCCACAGCCAATATCATACTGAATGGGCAAAAACTAGAAGCATTCCCTTTGAAAACTGGCACAAGACAGGGATGCCCTCTCTCACCACTCCTATTCAACATAGTGTTGGAAATTCTGGCCAGGGCAATCAGGCAGCGAACGAAATAAAGGGTATTCAATTAGGAAAAGAGGAAGTCAAATTGTCCCTGTTTGCAGATGACATGATTGTATATCTAGAAAACCCCATTGTCTCAACCCAAAATCTCCTTAAGCTGATAAGCAACTTCAGCAAAGTCTCAGGATACAAAATCAATGTACAAAAATCACAAACATTCTTATACACCAATGACAGACAAACAGAGAGCCAAATCATGAGTGAACTCCCATTCACAATTGCTTCAAAGAGAATAAAATACCTAGGAATCCAACTTACAAGGGACGTGAAGGACCTCTTCAAGGAGAACTACAAACCACTGCTCAATGAAATAAAAGAGGATACAAAAAAATGGAAAAACATTCCATGCTCATGGGTAGGAAGAATCAATATCGTGAAAATGGCCATACTGCCCAAGGTAATTTATAGATTCAGTGCCATGCCCATCAAGCTACCAATGACTTTCCTCACAGAATTGGAAAAAACTACTTTAAAGTTCACATGGAACCAAAAAAGAGCCCGCATCGCCAAGTCAATCCTAAGCCAAAAGAACAAAGCTGGAGGCATCACGCTACTCGACTTCAAACTATACTACAAGGCTACAGTAACCAAAACAGCATGGTACTGGTACCAAAACAGAGATATAGATCAATGGAACAGAACAGAGCCCTCAGAAATAACACCGCATATCTACAACTATCTGATCTTTGACAAACCTGACAAAAACAAGAAATGGGGAAAGGATTCCCCATTTAATAAATGGTGCTGGGAAAACTGGCTAGCCATATGTAGAAAGCTGAAACTGGATCCCTTCCTTACACCTTATACAAAAATTAATTCAAGATGGATTAAAGACTTAAATGTTAGACCTAAAACCATTAAAAACCCTAGAAGAAAACCTAGGCATTACCATTCAGGACATAGGCATGGGCAAGGACTTCATGTCTAAAACACCAAAAGCAATGGCAACAAAAGCCAAAATTGACAAATGGGATCTAATTAAACTAAAGAGCTTCTGCACAGCAAAAGAAACTACCATCAGAGTGAACAGGCAACCTACAAAATGGGAGAAAATTTTCACAACCTACTCATCTGACAAAGGGCTAATATCCAGAATCTACAATGAACTCAAACAAATTTACAAGAAAAAAACAAACAACCCCATCAAAAAGTGGGCCAAGGACATGTACAGACACTTCTCAAAAGAAGACATTTATGCAGCCAAAAAACACATGAAAAAATGCTCATCATCACTGGCCATCAGAGAAATGCAAATCAAAACCACAATGAGATACCATCTCACACCAGTTAGAATGGCAATCATTAAAAAGTCAGGAGACAACAGGTGCTGAAGAGGATGTGGAGAAATAGGAACACTTTTACACTGTTGGTGGGACTGTAAACTAGTTCAACCATTGTGGAAGTCAGTGGGGTGATTCCTCAGGGATCTAGAACTAGAAATACCATTTGACCCAGCCATCCCATTACTGGGTATATACCCAAAGGAATATAAATCATGCTGCTATAAAGACACATGCACACGTATGTTTATTGCGGCACTATTCACAATAGCAAAGACTTGGAACCAATGCCAATGTCCAACAATGACAGACTGGATTAAGAAAATGTGGCACATATACACCATGGAATACTATGCAGCCATAAAAAATGTCCTTTGTAGTGACATGGATGAAATTGGAAATCATCATTCTCAGTAAACTATCACAAGGACAAAAAACCAAACACCGCATGTTCTCACTCACAGGTGGGAATTGAACAATGAGAACACGTGGACACAGGAAGGGGAACATCACACTCTGGGGACTGTTGTTGGTGGGGGTAGGGGGGAGGGATAGCATTAGGAGATATACCTAATGCTAAATGACGAGTTAATGGGTGCAGCACACCAGCATGGCACATGTATACATATGTAACCTGCACATTGTGCACATGTACCTTAAAACTTAAAGTATAATAATAATAATAATAATAATAAATAAAAATAATAAATAAAATAAAGAAATTCAAGTGGGGGCACATAAAAAAAAAAAAAGAAAATAACCTATAATCTGAGACCTGAATGAGTAGGCATTAGCCAAGTGAAGGAGAAAGAAAAGATCAGTGGAGATGCATAAAGGGAGAAACAGCAAAAGCAAAGGAGATTTGGGGCACTGCTTGAATTCACCGTAACTTTGTAAACCTGACTGCAGAGGCTGCGGCCAGAGTTGAAGTAGTGAGCATGCTCCAGACCATGAAGGATATTCTAAATCAAGGGTGACAATCTGTTGGCTTTTCTGGGCCACTTTAGAAGAAGAATTGTCTTGGGCCACACATAAAATACACTAATGATAATGATAGCTGATGAGCTTAAAAGAAATTCTCATAATGTTTTAAGAAAGTTTACAAATTTGTGTTGGGCCACATTCAAAGCCATCCTGGGCCGCATGCCGCCCAGGGGCCACAGGTTGGACAAGCTTGTTCTAACTGATGTCGATAGACTTCATCCTAAGGACACTGAGGAAACAGGAAAGGTTTAGACAAGGTGGTGGGTGACATGCTGACTCTCTCAGTCCATTCAGGCTGCTGTAACAAAACACCATAAATTAGATGGCTTTTAAACAGCAGGAATGTATTTCTCACCATTCTGGAGACTGAGAAGTCTCCAGACTTCCCAGTTGGCACTAGATCATGGTGCCAACAGATTTGGTATCTGGTGAGGGCCTGTTTCGTGGTTCACAAATTCCAAATTCTTACTGTGTCCTCATGCTGTTGAATGGTTGAAGAGTCTCTTTTATAAGGGGACTAATCCCATTTGTGAGGGCAGAACCTTCATGACCAAGTCACCTCCCAAAGGCCACGTCTCCTAATACCATCTCGTTTGGGGTTGGAATAGTAACATCTGAATTTGAAGGGGACACAAATGTTCAGACCACAGTACTCACAATGTGCTTTGCACACATAACTTTGTTTGCACTATGAAGACCAGATTATGCAGGTAGAGACAAAACTAGAAAAGAGGAGATGGCAGTAAAATAATGTGAGACTGATGTTAGTAGAAACTTAGGTGGTGGCAATAAGGGTGGAGAGAAGTGGATTGATTTTTTTATTAAATAAATGTGGTGTAGGAGTTGGAAGTGACAGTTATTGAACTCGAGGAGGTAAAGAGAGGAAGTCAGGAGGGGCACCCAGATTTCTGGCATGGGCACTGGGCAACATGGTGGCAGAGAATAATGAGTTTAGCTTGGGAAGTGTTGGGTATGAAGTTCTTATTCCATATCTAGTATTTACTATGCCTATGGCTTTGGGAAAATCCTATAACCTTTTTTAACCTAAAATTAGCATCTCTAAAAATTAGCTAATTCTAAAATAGAGATGCTAATTCCTGCCTGGCTTATATGGTGTGATGAAGCACTAATAAAATTATGTATATGGAAGTCTTTTATAAACTGTTAACCACTGTACAACTGAAAAGTGCTACAATTCAGATCACTGTTCCAGTAACTGATTAAAACCTTCTGCAATATCATCATTACTATCATGAATTATCATTTGGGTAAGTACAGGCCTAGGAATCAGGAGACTTAAGGGTCAGTCCCAGCTCTGCTGTTTGCTGGCTCTGGGATCTAAGGTCCTGATTTGCAAAATGAAGAGGTTGAACAGCTCATCTCCAAAGACCCTTCCAGTCCTAAAATTCTGAGAATGCTATTGACTGTTCTATTGAATATTCAGCATGATCCCAGTAGGTCTATTTGGATTATTCTTATGGAAAGCATTTTAAGAAAACTTTTCAGTCACCATTAACCTACTTTATGGAGAAAAGAAAGCTTAGGCTTTCTGAGAAACTATTATACAAACAAGTACATATGTGATTAATAGGTTACTTGATAAATATGAGTGTGTTGCAGAAACAGTTTAATTGAGTATGACTAGGAAATGGTAAAATGTGATTTATTTGCTGCAATGAACAGTCAGGAAAGATATGAAATAATTCTAGCATTTCTTATTGAATTTCATTTTGTGAATGTGAATGCATAAACAATGCTTTGGATTTTTTTCTCATGCCATTGATGCAAAGAGCGAAAGTATATAAAACCCTAAACAATTTCCTTCATTATTTTATGTTCTATGTTGTTGAATATAAACAATCAGACACTTCTGGGGCTTTGCCTTCCCCTTAGTTTTCACTTTTTTGTTTTTTTAAAATAAAATCTATTTATTTACATGAAAATACATACTATATCATATTTTTAACAGTTTTATTGAAGAAAACTCACATCTTATACAATTTACCCACTTAAAGTATGCAATTGAATGGTTTTTAGTATATTCACAGGATTATGCAACCATCACCACAATCTAATTGTAGAACAGTTTATATCCTCCAAAAATAAATTTCATACAGTCATTTCCATTTCCGCCACCCCTCTCCCTACTCTCGGCCTTAGCAACCACTAATCTACTTTCTCTCCCTATAGATTTGTCTATTTGGTCTTTCACATAAATAGAATCTTGCCATATGTAGTCTTTTGTCTGGTTTCTGTCACTTAGCCTAATGTTTTCAAGGTTTATGTTATAGCATATATCAGTACTTCATGCCTTTTATGGCTAAATAATATTCTATTGTATGTATATATGGTACTGCTTTTTATTTACTCATTTATCAATTGATAGACATTTGGATGTTTCCATTTTGGGGCTATTGTGAATAGTGCTATTTGAACATTCATGTAAACAAGTTTCTGTGTGCATATAAATTTTGCACGGAGGAATTTCTCTTGAGTGTCCACCTAGAAATGAAAGATAGTTTTTAGAACTCAGGACTTGATATCTGCTGTCATCACTGCTTGGGGAACTCTTTATTTCAGTAGAAAGAGGAGTAATGAGTGGTAACTGATAGAAAAACAATGGATTTCTTTTGAAAACATGTTTAGGCTTGGGTGTTTATCTAATTATGCATGAATTACTTGTTTTCAAATTTATAATTACTGTGGGGTAAGAAATTTTTACTGCAATACATTAGACAGATTCAATAACCTATGCCTGAGATCTGTTTTCTTAAGAGACTTCACAACTTCAATAACACTTATTGTAGGTAATATTGGTCATTTAATACAGGGGTTATGCCTATGAGCTAGGGAGTGTGGGAAAACTTGATAAATTTATTACACATCCTCTGAGGAGTTTTACTTTTATATTAATACAAGCACTGATAAAACTGAATACAAAATTCACAGTGAATTTTTAAGCTATTGCTGTGACTTCAAAGCTTATAGCCTCTAGCTATGCCCTGGGCCCCTGGTCCTTGCCCCTTGTAGGGACAGGTTCACTCCGATTTGCTCTTAGGGTATTGGCTGTAAGGTTTGAGAAGCACTGATGAAATGAATTTATTTTTTTCCACATGGTTTTTGATACGAATTCAAAATAACTTAAATGGTATTTCCTCAATGGAGCCATATGGACCTAGAAGTTAAGAGATGCTGCATTAAAAGATGCTGCCTTTTGTTTCACAAGTTTAATTGTAAATTGACCAAAACCATCAATTAGAAATCATCTCCAATGTTAACTTCAGAGTACTGAGAAGAGATTCATGAGAGGGTACTCTCTAGGTGTAAAACATTCTAATTTTATTAACCACTAAATACAGTTTTGTTCACCTGCAATGTTTTTCTTCCCTCATTTTGTCGTGTGTAGCCAAGTTGAGCTTGGTAATGCTATTTCCCTGTTTCGCCTGGGCTACTTTCTAATAAAATGGCTTCAGGCTGGCAGACACATTTTCTGTGATTACTTAGGCATAAAAGGGTGATATTTTTCTACATAATTTCACCTTTCGTGCTTTAAATTGATTTTTGCCTTTACAGCTTCAATTTTTCTCTCCCCTGAATTTATTTGCTAGGGAAAAAAGTCCTAAGGAGGAGTACACTGGTGCACAGTACAATGAAGATATCTGGAAGGGATTACTGACAGATTTCTACACAAATTACAGATCCTTTCTGCTGCCTTGCACCCCTCCCTGACCCCTATGCCTCTGTCCTCACTTACCTGCCTGGGCCTCCTGGTGTGGAAATGGAGGATGGAGGGAACAGCTGCACTTCAACTGTTCCTGCCAGCCGTGTGCTCCTCCATGCTTACTCTGATTCCTTCATTTGCTCACTGTCTTCAACTCTAACTTGTTTCCTTACTAGGCCCAACATGCTCTTACTTTACAGTTCACCACGAAGTAGTATGACATAATAGAATGAACACAAGTTTGCAAATACAGTTTAAGAGTCATTGCATGACAAGTTCAGGAAAGATGAGTCTTCCCTTTCCTTGGGCAAGAATTCCAAATGTCAAAAAAAATGGGGCCCCTCCAGATTAGTAGATGTCATTGCCTTATTCAGAGTTGCTTAGGAAGAACTTGCACAATACAGCAAAATATATAAAACACATTTAGTGGAAAACAAGTGCAGCTAGAAGATGGGAAGGAATTGGATTCATCCTAGTTTAGTGCTTCTTTTTATTCTTACCAACAATCATTTTCCCCGGAGAATTTGGTGAATCTTTTTTACTGAGTCTTGTTTCCTAAGTGCACTTTACATGAAAACTCTTTCCTAGCAGATACATCTCACTCATTTCAATAACGTCTTTTATTACATTCCAAGTTATTAATGTTAATTTTTAGACAGAAAGATTCCTTAGTTTGGGCCTGGCATGCTGGTTCATGCCTGTAATGCCAGCACTTTGGGAGGCCAAGGCGGGCAGATCACTTGAGGCCTGGAGTTCCAAGACCAGCCTGACCAACATGGTGAAACCCTGTCCCTACTAAAAATACAAAAATTAGTGGGCCGTGGTGGCACAAACCTGTAATCCCAGCTACTCGGTAGGCTGAGGCAGGAGAATCACTTGAACCCAGCAGGCGCATGTTGCAGTGGGCCCAGGTTGCACCACTGCATTCCAGCCTAGGTGACAGAGTGAGACTCCGTCTCAAAAATAAAAAAATTTTTTTAATTAAAAAAATAGAAAGATCGCTTGGTTTGTTGTACTGGATTTAGACCAGTAGTCCTCCTAAAGGTATTAGTTCAACTACCTAATATTGTTTTGCTTGTTCAAGAATTCTCACTTTATGAACCTCCTACTGAAAAGAACTTAATTTAAAAAACTTTTTTCTCATGTTTCATTCTGGTAATCAAAAGAAGAGTCCCCTAATTCCAGAATTACTGAATAGGCACACATGGTCCTTGTGGAAATATTTGTTGTATAATTACATTACCTGGGAAGTTTTTTGAAAATACAAATCTGGGCCCAACCATCTAAACGCTCTGATTTAATTTGTCTGGAGTAAATACTGGGCATCAGTATTTTGAGTAACTTCCCCAGCAATTCTAATGTGCAGCCAAGTTGGAAACAATGGGGTCAAAATGTTAAGATAAGCCCCATGTACACTTCTTGTATAACCTCTCGTCCTTGAGTGTTATGTGGGACCTGTGACTTGCTTCTAATCAACAGAATATGTTAAAGGTGATGGATATGGATGCCACTTCTATGTTTAGGTTTACACATGTGCATACCTGTGTGTATGTGTGTGTGTGCATCTCTGTCTTGCTGGCACACACTAGAGAGAATCTCCATTGACCTTAAAGAAGGAAACAGCCATGATGTGAACTACCTATTAAAAGAGCCACATGACACGGAACTGCCGGAAGCCTCTAAAAGCTAAGGGCAGCCTCCAGTCAAAACCAGTAAGAAGCTGTTGAATGACCACAAGTAAATGAATTCTGCCAAAAATCTAAATGAGCTTGGAAGTAGATTCTTCCCTATTTGAGGTCCCAGATGAGAATGCAGTCCAGCTAATACGTTGACTTCAGTCTTTTGAGACCCCCAGCAGGGGCTCTAGCTAAGTTGGGCTTGGACTTCTGACTCATTGAAGCTGTGAGATATGTGTTTTTTCAGCTGCTGAGGTCATGGCAATTTTTACATGGCAATACAAAATAGGAACCACTCTCTAATAATTATATCAGAGCCATTTGTGTTTGTGTTGCTCCTTTATGCCTTTTAGAGTTTGCCCAAAACATAAAAAAATAGAGTCAAGCCCTATTATTTGCTGCATTCTAGTATCAAAACCTTGTACAGCTTTTTTCTCCAAGTTCTGCATGTCACTGTTAAGAGAAGGCAGAAAAGGCCCAGGTGTGGTGGCTCATGCCTATAATCCTAGCACTTAGGGAGGCCGAGGCAGGCGGATCACTTGACCTCAGGAGTTCAAGACTAGCCTGGCCAACATGGCAAAACCCCATCTCTATAAAAAATACAAAAATTAGCTGGGCATGGAGGCATGCAACTGTAATCCCAGCTACTCAGAGGCTGAGGCAGGAGAATGGTTTAAGCCCAAGAGGTGGAGGTGGCAGTGAGCTGAGATCGCACTGTACTCCAGCCTGAGCAACAGAGCCAGACTCTGTCTGAAGAAAACAGAAAGAGGAAAAGCAGGAAAGCATGCAGTCTTCACCTCAATTTACCTAACTCACAAGACCCAAAGGGACTGAATGGGATTTTTTTTCTATATTTCATTTCATTTGCCACTTTCATTTCTATTGCTCGTTAAGGCTTTTAAAACTCTTTATGTATTACTCTTTTTTTAAGAAAGGAAAAAGGGCCGGGCGCGGTGGCTCACGCCTGTAATCCCAGCACTTTGGGAGGCCGAGGCGGGTGGATCATGAGGTCAGGAGATCGAGACCATCCTGGCTAACAAGGTGAAACCCCGTCTCTACTAAAAATACAAAAAATTAGCCGGGCGCGGTGGCGGGCGCCTGTAGTCCCAGCTACTGGGGAGGCTGAGGCAGGAGAATGGCGTGAACCCGGGAAGCGGAGCTTGCAGTGAGCCGAGATTGCGCCACTGCAGTCCGCAGTCCGGCCTGGGCGACAGAGCGAGACTCCGTCTCAAAAAAAAAAAAAAAAAAAAAAAAAAAGAAAGGAAAAAGACCATTTGAATGAATAGTTATTTTTAAATTTATATATTTAGGGCACACCAGGAAAACCAAATGAACAGGGAAGAAACTGGCAGCGTGTAACATTAAGCACAAAATGGTAAGATGTTATACACAGCTAGGGACTTGTGCAGAAATACAATACACAGAAAAATCTTTTGAACTATTAGTTCTTCAGATATTACAAAAAATGCAGCTCCAAGAATGAGTCCATTGAAAAGAAAATAATAGTAATGCTGAATTAAAGTACACTATTCCATTCAGCACATAACTGATTATTTTATATGAAAGTGACCTATGTCATCTTTACTTCCTTCTCTCCTTCCATCTGTTAAGAAGTATAAATGACTTAAGGGTGGGCTTTATTATTTTCTCACAGGTTAAAGCATTTCCTGATGTCGACATTGGATTTGCACAATTTCAACTAATATGGGAGTGTGTTGGCCGAGTCTTTTTGAGGGTCGCATTAACTCATTAATAAAAGAAACCGACTTATAGCATTTCAGTTGACCACTTTACTAATCAGCACTCACTGAAATTAGAGCACAGTTACCATCTGTTGAGGAAGGAGCAGATAGTGCAAATGAATTCTAAGCCCCTCCAGACTCCAGCATTTTGTTCCGTGTGTGCATTTCCATGTCCCCATCCAGGGCACTGGAGTGCTTGCCAGTGAAACTCTGAACCATCTTATCCAAAACCTTTGAATATTTAAGAATTGGGATTTCGGTCTTTTGTAATGCCTTTCCACCCATCCTCTGAGTTCCTATTGAATTCATAGGAAATCAAAAGTCTCTATCTTGCTTGATTCTTGTACAGCAAGCCAAACGCTGAAAAGATTTAGCAAACGGTAATTAGAGAAATCATCTAATAGACCAGCATTAACTATTTGTTTATAGATTCTGTGAAAATTATGGTGAAATGAGCAACCATTTAAAAAAGCAGGGAGATACGTGTTTTTAAAACCACTCAGGAATCCCATTGTTTCTTAAGTCCTGGTTAACACTCTGGAAATATATTACTTGTCTGACTAAAACCGAATCAAATTACTATCCCCTATTTAAATAGTAAGTAAAATAGAAACATATGAATATTATTAAAAGGAATACCTAGACCACTATAGTGATCAAATAAATGAGCACTGAGTTTGTTTACTTGCCAGGAAGATAATCCCATCATTGAAAAAATTCATAGTTCATTGAAGATGAGAAGTCAGGGACTGACATATCCCAAGGAAAGAAAAGTCCATTGTGATTATGCTAATTAAGGACTGAAGCCTGTACACTGGAGAGGGTGGGATGAATCCACAGTACTGATATAAATGATTAAAACAAATCCCATGCTGGCTGTGGTGGCTCATACCTGTAATCCTAGCACTTTGAGAGGCCAAGTGAGGAGGATAGCTTAAGGCCAGCAGTTCAAGATCAGCCTGGGCAATATGGAAAGATGTCGTTTCTACAGAAACTTTTAAAAATTGGCTGGGCATGTTGGCATGTGTCTACAGTCCCAGTTACTCAGGAAGCTGAGGTGGGAGGACAGCTTGGACCCAGGAGTTCAAGGCTGCAGTGAGCTATGAGTGTGCCACTGCACTCCAACCTGAGTGACAGAGCAAGGTCTCTATAATAAATAAGTAAGTAAGTAAGTAGCAATTCCATGTTCACCATTCACAGAAGACTCGTCAACTGGGCCTGGTGAGGGTTTAGATACCACAGTCATTGATCATCTTTGGCTGATAGTTCATTGTCATTTATAAGATATGGCTGGTTAGAACCAACTGTGGGGAAGGTCAAGTATAGCATCCGGCTTTTAATATCTCCTGAACAAGAGCTTTGTGAGTGAAAACTGCTTTTACAGTGCCTTCTATTGGTTTTCATCTATTCAGGCAAAACAACATGGCTACAATAAGATAGGCAAATTATCAGATTTTTAGGTCTACACTACTACCTTTGTTTGGAGAGAGAATTTCACACACTATTAGTGTCTTTTCAGTGTTGTTTCAGACTTCTTTTGTTATAGAATCATCAGATGTATGAACTGGTGGAATGCTGACTGTGCGATAGCATTTATGATTTTGTTAACAATTGACATGACAAAAGCAATGAATGGGAACAAAGATAGAAACAGCATAACTAATATTTATAGAATGCTCCCCAGCTAAATTCCTGTTTTGCCAAACCCAAACTGTAAGAGTAGATATCATGGACTAGTTTGTTCAATTTGAACAACCAATTGATTTGTTCTTAAATTTTATGCAAAGGGTCCTCAACTGGTCCTGAAACATTCATTCAGAGGAAACAGAAGGTGCTAACCAGTGTGTAAACAGACCTTAATTTTTCATAAATAATCTGCAATTCTGTTATCTAGTGCCATTGTAGCAAGTACATGGAGCCTCATTTGCCAAGCCTGTAATGCAAATATAGTTTCATTTGCAATGACAGACAAGGTGAGAAAAAAATTTATATACAGCTTTCTAAGGCAAGTAGTCCAAGCCAAGGAAGAAAGTCCCATTGAAAGCCATGAATATCTTCAACTCTTCCAGGAAGGTCTACCTATCATCAAAAGTGTAGTCAATAGGTATTACTAATGCCTGAAGAGAATGGGAAATTTAAACCTTGTGAAGGATCTTATTATTAACACTCCCAGGTTAACATTTTTCTTTCCCTGGGTTGGTATGAGTATATTTAATTTTCACAAAGGAAAAACAAACAAGAGTCTATGCAGTCTGTAATGGGATCAGGAGGAATGCAGAGGTTTCCAGAAAGCTGAAGCACTGATCCAAATATTGTCTGATGCACAAGGTGAGAAGAACATAAGGTGTGGAGCATGTGTGACAAAGGAGAATTTAGTGATGATGAAGAGTTGATGGTGTTTTCAGGATTTCCATACTGGTAAGGCAGAATCTATGACTGCAATAGAATCCATTTAAAACTTTACAATGAAATTTAACAGATATAAACATTTTTGGTAAATGATATTCTCTGTTCTACTATCCTTATTAAAATTAAATTGGCTCTATTTTATACAACTAAGATTTTTAAGCCATGGAATTTCAGTTAAAGAAAAAAGCTGGCCAGCTTTGGTAGTTTATACCTGTGATCCCAGTGCTTTTGGAAGCCAAGACAGGAGGATCACATGAGGCCAGGAGTTTGAGACCAGCCTAGGCAACATAGCAAGACCCTATCTCTATTTTTTTAATGCTTTAATTAGCTGGGTGTGGTGGTGCACACATGTAGTCTCAGATCCTCAGGAGGCTGAGGTGGGAGACAGCTTGAGCCCAGGAGTTTGAGGCTGCATTGAGCTATGATCATGCCATTGCACTCCAGCCTGCGCGAGAGAACAGGACTCTGCATTAGTCCATTCTCACACAGCTATGAAGAACTGCCCAAGACTGGGTAATTTATAAAAGATAGAGGTTTAATTGATTCACAGTTCCACAGGGCTGGAGAGGCCTCAGAAAACAAATCACAGCAGAATGGGAAGCAAACACGTCCTTCTTCACTTAGTGGCAGGAAGGAGAAGTGAGCGTCAAGCAAAGGGGAAATTCCCTTATAAAGCCATCAGATCTCATGAGAAGTCACTCAGTATCATGAGAACAGCATGGCAGGAACTGCCCCCCCATGATTCACTTATCTCCACCTGGTCCTGCCCTTGACACATGGGGATTATTACAATTCAAGGTGTAGGTACACAGAGCCAAACCATTTCACTCCATCCCTGGCCCCTCCCAAATCTCATGTCCTCACATTTCAAAACAAAATCATGCCTTTCCAACAGTTCCCTAAAGTTTTAACTCATTCCAGAATTAACCCAAAAGTCCAAGTCCAAAGTCTCATCTGAGACAAGGCAAATCCCTTCTGCCTAAGAGCCTGTAAAATCAAAAGCAAGTTAGCTACTTCCTAGATACAATGGGAGTACAGGCATTAGGTAAATACACCTGTTCCAAATGAGAGAAACTGGTCAAAACAAAGGCGCTACAGGCCCCATGCAATTCCAGAATCCAGCAGGGCAGTCAAATCTTAAAGCTCTGAAATGATCTCCTTTGACTCTATGTCTCACATCCAGGTCATGCTGATGCACGAGGTGGGCTCCCATGGCCTTGAACAGCTCTGCGCTGTGGCTTTGCAGGATACAGCCCCCTTTCCAGCTGCTTTCATGGGTTGGCATTGAGTGTCTACAGCTTTTCCAGGCACACGGTGTAAGCTGTTAATGGTTCTACCATTCTGGGGACTGGAGGATGGTGGCCTTCTTCTCACCGTTTAATCAGGCAGTGCCCCAGTGGGGACTCTGTATGAGGGCTCCAACCCCACATTTCCCTTCTGCACTGCCCTAAAAGGGGTTCTCCATAGGGCTTCACATCCACAGCAAACTTCTGCCTGGACATCCAGGCACTTCCATACATCCTCTGAAATCTAGGCAGAGGTTCCCAAACACCAATTCTTGACTTCAGTGCACCCACAAGCCCAACACTATATGTAAGCCACCAAGGCTTAGGGCTTGCACCCTCTGAAGCAATGGCCTGCGCTGTATGTTGGCCCCTTTTAGGCATGGCTGGAGCTGAAGCAGCTGGGACACAGGGCACCAAGTCCCAAGACCACACAAAGCAGCAAGGCCCTGGGCCCATCCCACAAAACAATTTTTGCCCCCTAGGCCTCTGGACCTGTGATGGGAGGGGCTGCCACAAAGTTCTCTGATATGACCTGGAGACATTTTTCCCCATTGTCTTGGTGACTAACATTTGGCTCCTCATTACTTATGCAAATTTATGCAGCAGGCTTGAATTTCTCCCCAGAAAACAGATTTTTCTTTTCTATCACATTGTCAGACTGCAAATTTTCCAAACTTTTCTGGTCTGCTTCCTCTTGAATGCTTTGTCACATAGAAATTTCTTCTGCCAGACATCTTAAATCATATCTCTGAAGTTCAAAGTTCCACAGATCTCTAGGGCAGAGGCAAAGTGCCACCAGTCTCTTTGCTAAAGCATAGCAAGAATCACCTTTATTTCAATTTCCGACAAGTTCCTCATCTCCATCTGAGACCACCTCAACCTGGACTTCATTGCCCATATCACTATCAACATTTTAGTCAAAGCCATTCAACAAGTCTCTAGGAAGTTCCAAACTTTCCCACACCTTCCTGTCTTCTTCTGAGCCCTACAAGTCTCTAGGAAGTTCTAAACTTTTCCACATTTTCCTATCTTCTTCTGAGCCCTACAAGTCTCTAGGAAGTTCTAAACTTTTCCACATTTTCCTATCTTCTTCTGAGCCCTACAAACTTCCAACCTCTGCCAGTTGTCCAGTTCCAAAGTCGCTTCCACATTTTTGGGTATCTTTATAGAAGAACCCCACTCTCTGCAGTATCAAATTTACTGCATTAGTCTGTTCTCATGCTTCGATGAAGAACTGCCTGAGACTGGGTAATTTACAAAGGATAGAGGTTTAATTGATTCACAGTTCTGCAGGGCTGGGAGGGCCTCAAGAAATTCACAATTATGGTGGAAGGGGAAGCAAACATGTCCTTCTTCACTTGGTGGCAGGAAGGAGAAGTGAGTGCTGAGAGAAGGAGGAAGCCCCTTGTAAAAACCATCAGATCTTGTGAGAACTCATTCATTATCACAAGACCAGCATGGCTGAAACTGCCCCCATGATTCAATTATCTCCCTCTTGTCCTGCCCTTGACATGTGGGGATTATTACATTTCAGGATGAGATTGGGTGGGGACACAGAACCAAATCATATCAGACTCTGTCTCTAAAAAAAAAGAAAACCAACTAATGCTTAGTACATAAAAATACAGCATGTCCTAATACCTTAAGTAATGTTTGCTAATGCATCAATTTTGCAACTCAAGTTTTCCTCTGAAGGATCTTTGAATGAATATTCAGTGTATTTTATGTAAAACATTCTTAAGCTTTCATGTTGTATGTCTTATTCTTCCTCATATTTTCCAATAATTTTAAATGTTGGGCAACTTTTATAAACAGAGGATTTCTTTTTTTTGTTATTATTATGTATTCTCCAGTGAAGGATCTGAGTTTCAATCTTCATGAAAGTGCTTTAGGCAAATTAGGTAACATTAAAATACTTCATCTCTCTCACTGGGGAAGGGGCAAATCTCCCCCTACAAAGGGTTCTTGTTGCAAAGAATACATATACAAAATGCTCCTTACTGAATTAAAACAAGCAAACAAAACATGAAGACAGGGTCCAAACATGTAAATAATAATTAAAAGTAATTAAGATATGAGATTTTGTAAGATGCCTGTATCTAGCAAAGTTTCACAGATGAAGAAAAAAAGGCAAGCGGTGAATATCATAGTAGCTATACTAGTTGGGATTCTCCAGAGAATCAGAAAAAGAACCAATATATTGATAGATAAGTAGATAGATTGATAAATAGATAAAACATAGATATTTACTGGCTGACACAGTTGTGGGGGCTAGCAGATACAAAATCTGTAGGAAAGGCTGGAAATTCAGTTAAGAGTTGATGTTACAGTCTTGAGTCTGAAATCTGCAGGACAAGCCAGCAGGCAGGAAAGTAAGGCAGGGTTTCTATGTTTCAGTCATGAGGTAGGATTGCTTACTGGGGAAACCTTAGTCTTTGCTCATAAGGCTCTTAACTGATTGAATGAGGCCCACCAACATTATGGAGGGTAATCTGCTTTACTTAAAGTCAACGAATTATAAATGTTAATCGCATACACAAATACTGTCACAGCAACATCTAGACTGAGCACCATAGCCTAGCTGCATTGACACATGAAATTAACTATCCCAGTGACTATTCCATCAAAAAGTTGTCACCATTCTTGAAGCAAGTAGAGGTACCCTGAATGAAAATTCAATCAGAGTAAATTGGTGCCTCTTTTTCTCAGGTTTAAGTAGAGAGTTTGCAAGAGCTACGAAACAGTTCCACAGACCATGAATGTCTTCGCCCCACACTAGCAAAACCCCTAGGCTTTCAATGATTATCTTACCATCCTCACGGAGCACACAGTTCCTCTTCTGTTGAGGTGGGCCACAGTCCTGCTGGACTCTCGTGTACAAGCTGCATGAGAAAAGCAGATTCATGTGTCTTCACTTAAGAAATAGTTATCTTTTCACTAGTGATGCTTATCCCCAGTTCGCTTTATCACCCATTACTAATACATAGAAAGAAGGCCAGAATCAGAAATTATGGTAATAATAATTTTGGAAAGGACAGATTTGAGGGGAAATGGTGCATTTTAATCCTCAATCTATAACTTCTTCCTGGGCTTTCCCTGGGAAACCAAAAGGCCACCTACCCTAATATAACTATGGAACCTCTATGGCTGGGCAGAGGACCTTGGCTTGCCAGAGCAGTCATATTTTTGTTGTATAGCTTGTACTATAAAGTTTATATGTTCTTTGTGAGAAAATGTTTACTTTCCTTATAAACTCCAAGAAATGCTTTTTTAAAAATTATATGCTTTGTAGATTGAACTTGCCTTTTGTTATTTTTCAAAAAGGTAAAATTATAGAAGCTATTATTATAATTATTACTATACTCAAAGTTATTGATCTAAAGACTGGAAACAACCTCAGAGATCATGCCCATTTTTGTGTCTGTGTTCAATTAAAGATGTGGAAGTGAAGCATTACCTTGAGATTTTATCACAAATTTCCAGGGATCTACAAGGTTTGACTCCAGAGACATGGTAAAGGAAACAAATACATTGAGAAATCTCTTCGTGGATGCTTATTATTAGATACTCATTCTTTATATTTTAGATTTTTTAAGGATAGTGTATACAAAACTAAATGACCTTACGGAAAATGGAAAGAGCTCACGTATGCATAAAGACAAAAAAGTAGAAATAGGAAGATGATGCAGATACACGGAGAAGGGCAAGATAAAAGAAACAGAAAGCGGCCCTGGGAAAAGAAACACGTGTGCAAATGCACACGCGCACACACACACACACACACACACATATGCAGAGCAGGAGGGGAATAAGATTAACAGAAAGTTACAGAGACCAAGAGCCTGGATTGTTCTCTTGTCAATTTCTGTCCGTGTTTGGATGCTCCTGATCATCGTATAACAGTATCCTATGTTAAATTATGCAGCAGCATAATTCATAAAACAGTATATACAATCCAAAGTCCCCAAAACTATTTTCATTTTAATAAAATATATTTTAAATAATTTGTAATTGATATGCTGTACTTGTACATATTTATAGGGTACAATTTGATAATTCCATAATGTATGTGTTAAATACTGATCGAATCAAGGTAATTACCGTATCCATCACCTCATGCATTTCTCATTTCTTTGTGGTGAGAACATTCAAAAGCCTCTCTTCTAGTTATTTTGTAGCATGCAATACCTTACCATTTACCAGAGTCACCCTACTGTGCAACAGAACACCAGAACTTATTTCTCCCACCTTATTGTAACTTTCTGCCTGTTGACCAGCCTCTCCTCATCCTCCCCTCCCAACTGCCCTCCCCAGTCTCTGATAACCACTGTTCTGCTCTCTGTTTCTATGACACCAACTTTTAAAAAAAAATCCCACAAGTGAGACTGTGCAGTATTTGCATTTCTGTGTCTGGTTTATTTCACTTAACATGAAGTCTCCCAGGTTCATTCATGTTGTTGTAAACAACATGATTTAAAAAACAAGATTTTTCCTCTTTTCTATGGTTGTGTTTATATTTATATACTTTATATATTATATAATAAAACATTGTGTTTCTATACCACATTTTCTTTATCCATTCACCTGTTTTGGGACACTTACACTGATCCAATATCTTGGCTATTGTAAATAGTGTTGCAATAAACACTGGAGTGCAGATACCTCTTCAGCATATTGATTTTATTTCCTTTTGATATATACCCAGCAGTGGGATTACTGGATCCTTTGGTAGTTCTATTTTTAATTTTCTGAGGAACTTCCAAAATACTGTTTCCCATCATTGCTGTACTACTTTATATTCCTACCAGCAGTAAGTGTTCCTTTTTCTCTGTATCCTCACCAACACTTGTTGACTTTTGTCTTTTTGATAATAGCCATCCTAACTGGAGTGAGGTGGTATCCCATTGTGATTTTGATTTGCATTTCCTTGATAATTAGTGATATTAAACACTTTTTCATATACCCGTTGGCCATTTGTATATCTTCTTTTGAGAAATGTTTATTAAGGCCTTCTGCCCATTGTTTTCTGGATTATTTTGTTTGTTTGTGTTTTTTTGCTGTTAGGTTCCTTATATATTCATATATTAACTCCTTGTCAGATGTGTAGTTTGCAAACACTTCCTACCATTGTGTAGATTGTTTCCTTTGCTGTGCAAAAGCATGTGAGTTTGATGTCATTCCATTTGTCTATTTTTGCTTTCATTGCCTGTGCTTTTAAGGTCTTATTTAAAAAACCCTTTCCCAGCCCAATGTTATGAAGTGTATCCCCTATGTTTTCTCCCAGTAGTTGCATAGTTGTGAGTTTTACACTTAATTCTTTAATCCATTTTGAGTTGATTTTTGTACATGATGAGAAATAGAGGTCTAGCCTCATTCTTCTGCATTTGGCTATCCAATTTTCCCAGCACCATTTATGGAAGAGACTCTTTCCCTCGATGTGTGTTCTTGTTACCTTTGCTAAAAATAAGTTGGCTGCAGGTGCACGAATTTATTTCTTGGATCTCTATTCTGTTTAATTGGTCTGTGTGTCTGTTCTTATGCCAGTACTATGCTGTTTTTGTTACTATTTCTTTGTAGTGTATTTTGAGGTCAGGTAGTGTGGTGCCTCCAAATTTGTTATTTAAGCTCAGGATTATTTGGCTACTCGCTATATAAATTCTATTATTGTTATCTCTTCTGTGAAGAATGTCATTGGTACTTTGACAGGGATTGTATTGTGTTAAATCTGTAGATTGCTTTGGGTAGTATGGCCATTTTAACAATACTAATACTTAGAATCCAGAAACACAGGATATCTTTCCATTTATTTGTGTCTTCTTCAATTTCTTCAACAATGTTTTATAGTTTTCAGTGTAGAGGTCTTTCACCTTTTGGGGTAAGCTTCTTTCTAGGTATTATAAATGGTTTTTGAACTGAATTTCTGTTTAACATGACTGCAGGCAGTATCCAAGTTTAGTCTGCCACTGAACATGATTCATCTATGATTATTCTGCCATCTTTAAAATTTTTCCTCTCTATACAGCATCATTCAAAATGATGCCTAACAGACCCAGTTCTATTTTCCTTAAGGGTATATAAGATTTATGAATTTGACAGTTTATTGCTTTAGTGGAACCCTTTGGGATCATTTATAGCTTATGCTATATAAAGGGCATTTTTATTTCTAGAAAAAGGAATATTTTACCCAAGAGTGTGTAAGTTAAGTGGAAGCTTTTTATTTAACTAACAATTATTGATTTGTGGTCTGGCAGGAAGGAATTTCTGGCAAATGGAATGCTTCCCCTGAAAAGAAAAGCTCAGCTTGTATTCTTAGCCTGATAAGTGTTGGCCAAGAACTTGGCTAATGACATCTGTTACATCTCTGGTTTGGCTATTTTTGCAATGTGTGGACTAACAATGGATATTATGATTACAGAGCTGTGCTGTGGTTTACTTAACTTCCAACCTTTCCTCGCTAATTATTGTTTTATTAAACCTCAAAAAGAAGTCTCAACCAGAGGTCATCCATCCCCCATTCACTTAAGGATTTGTTAGATAGATCCAAGGTTCAGCCAAACTCACAATTGTTAGTGAATACACTTGGTTCTAAAACCTGGGCTGTGTTCAGTAGAACTTTATTTTTATGCCTCTACAAGGCTTCTTTTTTATCTCCTTTTTTTCATGTAGACCTTCAGGTGGCTTCCCTTTTCCTCATATCTATGAATCAAATTGTTGTTGGAGTCATCTTATTTCTCCTTTGAGTACACTGTGTACATAAGCTGTGTAGGGATATGACATTTATCTTTGTATTCTTAGAAAAATAAGTGTTTCTGGCTTTTACACCTCCTATTTTCACTGACATTAGCACAGGCACCCTTGGGCTGTCTGCTATGTGTATAAGGAAGAAAAGGGGCTTAGTTTGATTGGGACCAGGTGTTTCTAAGATGTACAGTGCATTATGGCTTTCAGGAAATATTTGTTTTTATTTATTATACTATCTAATTTTAATGCCAATCAAGTACAACTCTATATGACCAATGTAACATGATCAATTTATAGAACATGAGAATGCTAGATTTTGAATAAAAAGTTAAATAATATATACTACGGACATGTAAGTCATTTTTATCATTTTTTTAAAGATTGCTCTAGAATAAGACCCTCATAACTTAAAGATTGGTTCACAGCCTGGCTGTACATACAGTATTTTATGGAAGCTCTAAGCTAAGAATCTAAAAGCCTGACTATAGGTACTGGTTCTGTTGCTAACTAGAAAAAAAAATGGCTTTATATTATATTACTAAAATTCTTTCTTTTGAGATGAAGTTTTACTCTTGTTGCCCAGGCTGGAGTGCAATGGCACGATCTCAGCTCACCACAACCTCCACCTCCTGGGTTCAAGTGATTCTCCTGCCTCAACCTCCTGAGTAGCTGGGATTACAGGCATGTGTCACCACGCCCAGCTAATTTTGTATTTTTAGTAGAGACAGGGTTTCTCCATGTTGGTCAGGCTAGTTACCAGAAATTTTTAACCCATTATCTACATAGTTATGTAACAAGATAACTAAAGTAATACATTTACAAACTATACATGGGTTGAATTATTAGCAGTGCTCATTCTATTCTTCTTTGAGTCTACATTTAGGTCATTTTTTTCTCCAGAAAGCATTGTCATTCAACAGGTATTGATTAAGCCCCTGTTAATTGCCAGGAACTGTGCTTGTGTGCTAGGGACTCCAAAGTGAAAAGACACTTGGAGTAATTTGGAGCAATCAGCTCCAAATCTGGAAAGAGACTGACATGTAGACAATCAACTGCAGTACCCTGAGAGGTGCAAAAAGGAAGTATGTGCAAGGGTAGCAGAGACAAACCATTACCCATGGAAGCTTCATTAAGAAGCAACATTCAAACAGGGCCTTCAAGGATGAATAAGAGTTTTCAGAGATGTGAAACAGCATGAGAACTTGGTATCGCTGGCCTGTGTGCTCCAAAGTCAGTAAGAGAGGTAGGAGACGATGGAGAGGTAGAAAGGATCCAGACTGTAGAGAGCTTTGCCTATTTTTACATTTTTTTTTTACTAGCACTGTGACCTCAAGAAAGGCACAGTTACTAAACTGCAGGTACTCCATTTGTCAAATATCAAGTATGACTGTTCCCACTCTTGAAAGTTGTTGTAAGGATTGGATTTGCACATGAGATAATGGATATGAAAAGACTTGGTGATAATATGCAGTCAATGTTAAGATTACACCTCTAGATTTGCCAGTGCACTTCTGTTCCCAGACAGTTTGTATGCCTTCTAGGGAATTCACCCTCCTCACACAGCTTAGACCTCCAGGGAGCTTAAAGCTCACTTAATATATCAAGTTACAACAACTTTTGCTGAGTGATATTATTATTTGTCCAAAATGAGACATAATAAGTTAATCTGTTTTCTGGATTGCTGTAATGGTGCCACATGCTAAGGGGGGCAGAAAGAATCACAGAACGTTAAACCTGAAAAGGAACTCAGAAAGGTCCTAATTCCACTCCCTCATCTGAGGGATGGGGAAACGATGCCCTGCGAAGTAAGTGATTCACCCAGGGCCACACCTTTAGTTAGCGGTGTTGCCAAGACTCCAGCCCAGATCTCCTCACTCAGTCCAGTTCTGTTCCCACGACATGCTGACACTGCCCGTATGTCAAGTTGAACTATTTGAAATTTCTGAACATTCACCCATTTTTGACCTGAAGAAAATAACAATTTCCTCTGGATCAATCTAACAGAAGGACTCACCCTGCTGATTCCCTCCCAAATACTATCTCCTTCTATGATTTCTGCGGGTGAAGAACTGTTCTCTTCTTACTGAAAACTCTGCAAACTTAGGTTTAGGAAAATTCTGTTTTCTAAAACTTCCACATCTATCTTCATATTTGATCCTTATAACAACACAGAAGGATCCTTACATAGCACAAAAAGGAAGAATCACCAGAAGAAAAAATTTAAGATACTACCAAATTAATATTTTGGAAGCAAATGTAAATTATTTCACACAGCAATCACAAGATCGACTATGAAATAAGTGATACTAAGGGCAGATGATGTACTTGGGTGTGGCACTCACCTGGGCAGTCATGAGCTCTCTGTGATGCTGATGGCCACATTTCCTTTTGCTGCCTCAGAGCCCTGTTTAGTCTACTACGCAGAGTCACAATACTCTGTATCTGTGTCTTCTCAATAATGATAAATCAAGACTATGTTCTGGACAGTATGTTTAATTGGTAGATTGGTAAGGACACAGCAAACTCTGGTGTCCCTGGCCCTAGAGCATAGGGATCAAACATAGTCTTTACCGCCAATGGGGAAGGACAAGAAAATAGAGTGAGATTCAAAAGGAGAAGAGGACCCTCTAGTTCAGTACATGAAAGTTCACAGTCACTTGCTCTGGACTCAAGATCGTATCCGAAAATGAGCATGATTCTTTTTATCTCTAAATAAGTTGCTATATTAACTATATCATATTACATTATATTATATTGTTTTCTCTGGAATAAAGAGTTTGTTTCAACCTCCTCCTTAAATCTTGTATGCTCCTGAGAAGGTACAATGTTTTCTGCCTTCCAGTTAAGCCATGTGGAGCCTCAACTCCCAAAAAGAGATGGCCCATGTGGGCACGCAGTGTATTTCCACTTTGCTACTAATTGAAAGCTTCTGCTAATATAATCGTTTTTAAAAACTCTCTAATGTCTTGCTTTGAGACTTCTTTGGGTAATTTTATTTTGTGTCAAAAGCAGAATGTGGTGTCCCTGTTGAGGCATGCAAAAGAATCTAAGAAAAGCTTGTGGTCTTTATTATTTCACACTGTTTCCGCTGTCCTTATATTGAAGAACACTAATTTAAGAAGGAGAAAAAGGGCACGAAAACTTGTATTGTTATACATAGCATGACATATTGGGTTTTTATTCTCCAAAACGGAGAGCCAAATATATCATCAAGACAGTTTGGGTACATCTCCAAAAAGAATACACCAAACACCTCTCAGTGAACAGAATTAGAGCTAGCAGTCTTGACACCTGCCACCTTCTTCTCTCCCCACCCACCAACCATGTGAGCACAAAGACCTCTCCCTCCACCACCTGCCCCACATGTCCAAAGATTGCAGAGGTGGATTTAAGAGCATTGTCTGTGAGTGGCATCTCTGCGGCTTAGGAGAATACAACTAGGAAAAGGACCACATAAATCTCATATCTTTGTTGTTCTTTTGGTTTTTTCCCTCTTTTCTGAAAAACCTATGGGTTATTTTGTACGGTTGCACAAAATAGCCTATTGTTCCTCAAGAAGAGAATGGATATGAGCCTGTAATGTTGCAGTCTCCAAAAAGAGAGCCACCTGTCCCTCCAAGCTCCAGGATGTGAGTGGTGGCACCCTGAAGCACTAAGAGGGCACAATCAGGGAGACCCGGTGAACAGTTGAATAAATAGAAGTGAATTAAGCAAAAGCCTGAGAAATGGAACTGGACAATCAAGTGGAATAATACCCTTATTTGGGAAGGGAATATGGCAAATTTCAACCAATAAGACACATTTTTGAAATTGCTACCAACAGCTCCAGGAACATGGGAGATAGCCAGAGGAAGAAAATGGAGACCTAGCTGACATGCAGTTTGGCTTTTTCTGTTACCTAATCTGCCAATTCTTCTATTCCAAGTTACTTTCTTTTCCTTAAATTTATAGTTCTATTGGAAAAAAAGACCATTATATTTATCATCTGTAGACATGTAACTGGAGCTGTGCATGTGAAGTCACAAGTCAGAGTAACACATTTCTCACTGTGAAGCATTTTCCAAATGACAATGATACTAACTGACACTATGTGACAATTGCTAAGTAAAGGTATTGTTTCCAAATGCATGATGAATGGGTGCTTATGGAATTCAAATACACTTTAAAACTACATTATGGTGTGAGCTGTAGAAGCTAAATGCTTATGACAATGAAGCTATTTGAAAATGTTATGAAGTATTAGAAAACATAAGCATATATAATATTAATTTTTCTTTAAGTTATTAAGCACTCAAGATAGAATATCCTAGTCAACTAAAATTTTTTCCAAGTTTAAGTCATAAACATTTAACATTTGACAGTGGCTGCCACTTTATCATTTGGTAAATGACTTTACCTATTTGAGAGTCAGCATTTATTAAATGCATTTTCAAAATTTATTTAGTGGTATATAATCTTTTTATTTTGTTTTTATTTTTGTGTTTATTTTTCAAATTATTGCACTTTTAAAAGAGGAGATTATATTAGAAATTAGAATTAGTAATTAAGTTATATCAAAATTAAATCTTCCTAAATATAGTATTTAGGTAAAATACTTGATGTCTTTTTCCCATATTTTTTAACCTAATGGGAAATAATTGTGAAAACATAAATGCCATTATGCTCTTCACATTTTGATAAGTTAAAAATTCTGCAGTTGGATGTTTTTCTCTATTATTACTTTAATAGTCACTTTCTAAGCCATTCCTATTCCTCAGATTTCTATTTTTCTTCACTTTACTGTGCACTCAAATCATTTTCTTGTACTGGCTGGTCCTATCAGAGCCTTTCTACTGATTCCTGTCTCCTTCAGCTTGACCATCTCTCCATGTCTTTTTTTTTTTTTTTTTTTTGGACAGGCTGCACAGTGCCCAGCCCAATATTTACCTCGTAATGGGCATCTGGTGCATGTTGGTCCCTCTTTACTCTCATTTCCCAGTATGAGGTTATATGTTTTCCTTTCTTTTTTTTTCTTTAGAACATTAGGACATCAATTTTATTCTATGTAGTTTAAAAAAAAAAACAAAAACAATGTTTTCTACTGTTTTATGATGTGAAGAAAGGAATTTAATAATAAAAGCTTAAGTTATAAAGATGATATTTGTCCTGCACTCCCCTACTTCTGAGGTCTCTCACACACAATGTTTCTTTGCACCTCTTTACCCCCACTTTATAGATGAGGGAGCAGATGAGAAGTTGCCTAAGGCCAGAGAGCTACTGTGTGAGTGAACAGTGTCAGGTCTTGCCAACTGAACCTGACAACCTGATGCTTCCACTTCAAAATACTGTCTGAAAAAAGTGTGATGGTAAATCAAACCCCACTAAATAGCTCTTCTTCATGACTTGTAAACTCTGATTTTCTCACATGGAAAACAGTTTTATATTATGATTTTCCTTGGATTAATTTAGGCAATGCTAAGACTACCTTTTGAATTCAATAGAGAGTGTTTGATTATCTACGCCAAATTCAAATCTAAAATGTTTTATCATTCT
This sequence comes from Homo sapiens, assembly GCF_000001405.40. NCBI lineage: Eukaryota > Metazoa > Chordata > Mammalia > Primates > Hominidae > Homo > Homo sapiens. The sequence continues at coordinate 143,635,693 of NC_000004.12, read as the reverse complement.
TCTAAAACACAGTCATGTGAGATATATGAAGATTTGTATCAGATTCAGTAAAATTATTTCATTTCACCTACACCAGTAGTTCTTAATCAGTGGTGATTTCCCCCCAGGGGACATTTGGCAATGTCCGAAGATAGTTTTGATTGTCACAATTGAGGATGAGGAGGAGCAGGGAGGGAATGCTGTTGGTATCTAGGAGGTAAAGGCCAGGGAGGTTGCTGAGCATTCTGCAATGCACAGGGCTACCATCACAAAGGAATTATCTAGCCCATAATGTCAGTAGTACTGAGATGGAAAATCATGCACTAGAGTATAACTACATACGTAGCTACAACAGCTTAATATAGCAAATAACAAAGTGTCATGCTTTGATGTGAAAATTATACTTATGCTTCAAGCTATTCTTTTTTACTTCTAGGTGATCATTTTATACCAGACTTCCACATTGTGATAAAACTAATTCAAATATTTCTTATTCTCTATTTTGTAACTGATTTCTTTTTCTTCACTGGTTTCCAAATGAAACTGTCCCCAAAGTTTAGTTCTTGGTTCTCTTTTTCTACAGTGTCTCCCTCATTGAAGTACATAGTGTCAGCTACACAAAGTCCCTGACTTACATAAATTGGGTTTTCATACAGTCCAGAATCTGCACTCTTATTTATTACACAGTAAACCACCTCTCACACACAGAATACAATTGTTAATGCATCATCTGGCTGACTGCCTGCTGCTAGGTCTGAGGGAGGAAGTTGAGTTCTCCCAACTGAAGCCTGTGGGGGCATAGCTAAGGTCTAGGCAATGATCTCTCTGGCCTCCATTTGGAAGGACCACAGTGACATCCCCTCATCCCACACCTCCTCACAATTTCCTGACTTCAGAATCCCACACCCCCTCACAATTCCCTGACTTCAGAAGTCAGGGAGCCTGTAACTGACCCTCACACAACGAGCCTTCGTCTTAGCAGTTTCCCTGGCCCAGCCCAGCTTCTCCCTTTCTAATATTTCATTTCCTTCCCCTCACACCCTTTCTCCAGCAAGTGATTATGCACAGCCAGAAGGGGACTCTCAGTCGGAGCCACACATGAGGAGGCAGGATGTGTCATGAAGACGAAGCCCTTTCCTCCATCTTGCTTCTGGCTTGGAGCTTCAAAGTCCAGGGGTGGCCAGCTGTCCATCAATACCCCAGTAGCAGGTCTGAGAGAGGGTGAAAAAGGGTGATGGCTGAATCAGCTAACTCAGAGCCCCTGGGGTATCTTATGTCAGATAAGCCGCTGGGGTCCCACTAGCTATAAATCTTCTTATCCAACTCCACAATTGCCTAGATCATTTGAGAGTAATGCCTAACAAAATACAAAGATTGTACAATATATATTTAGCTCTCTATTGTTAAACTTTCAGAAACCCAACTTTAAACCTCTCTCTCAGAAACTCCCTGCATAATAATTACTCCTGAATTTACGTGTCTTGCCTTTGGCTGTCCCCAAACCTTTGTCCCATATATCCAAATATCTGATGAGTTTTTGTACTTGGGCTTCTTATCATCACATCAAAGCCAAATTAAAACCAAACTCCCAAGCTACCTTCCTTCCTGGCTTCTCTAAATCAGCTATTGCTATATCTATACTGCTGTACTACTATACCTACACAACTCCTCCAGCTGCCCTGTTTGGGCTCTGTGAGTCATTTTTTTTACAGTCCCCATAACTCTCAGAGCTAGTCATCTCCTACAGCCTGATGGTTCTTCCTTCATTTTTCTTTAACCCATCTTTTCCCTTTCCACTGTCACTGTTTTAATGCTTAAGCTCTTATTATTTCATGAAGCCTGTCAATATCCTCTCTGAAGAGCCCATACCTGACATGTCTTTTTATCTGCGACGCTTAGGATTGTGCCTGATGTACGGTTTGACTTCAAAGTAATTATATATTGTGTAAATGAGCAAATAATCAGTTCTCTGTATGTAATTGATTTATGCATTCCAAAACACCAATTTGTACTTATTTTCTCCTACATGTCCATTAAAATGTGTGCATTGCATCAATATTAATATAGCTTTAATGTACCCAGTGTCTTGAGTGCCTACTGCATGCCAGGCGTTATGCTAATCATTTTCACCTTCACTATTCAATGTCTTCTTATTCCTTTACAAACACAACAAGACAAAAACAAGTTCATTGCTGTGGGATTTTGTTGTTTTCATTGTTCTATCCTCAACACTTAGAAGAGGGAACAGCATATACCAGGTGATCAATAAATATTTATGCAATAATTGAATGGATGGCTTAGTTAACTGTAATATTTCATAAATCATCCTTCAGAAACCTAGAATATAGTTAGATCTACAAGAGAATTTTCCTAGTTGCAAACCTACCATTGCTATTTAAGTCCTATTAAATATCATTGCTATTTAAATAAACAAATATATTATGGCATAGTGATAAGCTTTAGTAGTATCTCTAGGATGCCAGAGAGACAGAATGACAGGACATGCAGCTAGAAAGAATGCCAACAGCACTCTGTGGATGACCGTTGCCACTAGGTACAGTTGTCACTGGACACTAGATCTCTGCTACCAATGCCCATGAAAACCAAGTGCCTCCACTGCAACCCTCACCAAAATATGGACTCTATGCAGTTGACCTGCAGCCTCCTCACATTGTACACTTTTAAATCAAAGTCTCAAGCTACATTGGCAAAGCCTAAGTGACAAGCTTATGCCCTAGCTGTAAGAGAGGCTGCAAAATGATATTTTCTAATTCCTTCCTGTAGGTCAAGCTTGTCCAACCCATGGCCTGTGGGCTACATGCAGCCCAGGATGGCTTTGAATGTGGTTCAACACAAATTCGTAAACTTTCTTAAAACATTATGAGGTTTTTGGATTTTTTTTTTAGCTCATCAACTATTGTTATGTAGTGTATTTTATGTATGACCTAAGATAATTCTTCTTCCTCCAATGTGGCCCAGGGAAGCCAAAAGATTGGACATTCCTGCTATAGGTGAGGGACTCATCAAATCCCAAATCCTCCAAATATGGACAGGGAGTTCAAAAGCTGCAGAATAGTTACAAAACAAAATCATATTAACTAAATGTCCCTAATGAATACTACTGGCCTGAAAAAGCCAGACCACCTTCTTAAGTACTGATTGATAGGTACTGATTGATAGGAATAAAAAGGGCACCCGAAGGGAATGGAGACCAAGTAGCCTTTGACCATGACAGAATATTGATTACTTTTAAAATATGGACATATTTATTTTTGTGCTTGTTTTCCCTCTGCCTGAAATATTCTTTCCCCCAATCTCTTATCAAATATCACCCCTTTAGGAAAGCCTTTTCTAACCACTCTATATAAACTATTACCTTCTGATTCTCCCAGTTATGCTTTATCCAACTATCCTGATTTTTGCATAGCACTTTCACCATCAACTATATTATACATTATTTGCTTATTGGCCCACTGGAAAGTAAGCTACACAAGAACAAGGATTTTTTTGATTTCACTGTTCTATCCTCAACACTTAGAAGAGTCAATAGCATATAACAGGTATTCAATAAATATTGGTGGAATAACTGAATGGATGGCTTAATTAATTAATTGTAACTTTTCATCAATCATCCTTCAAAAACCTAGACTATAACTTAGATCTACAAGAGAATTCTGGAGTGCATTAACACATTTTTTATTATAATTGTCAAGCCAAAGGAACTGAAAGGGTGCCTGAAATGTTTTTAGGTTATCAGAATTACTCTTTTTGTGGTAAATGCACATAAGTATTTTGACAATCAGAAATCTTCCTGAATTCATTCTGAAGTAGTCTGGTCATGCCTTAGAAACAGTACGTTTTACTAAAGAATACCATTACAAATTTTTAAGAATGTACCATGCCCTTGTAAGTTTCCTTCAGTCTGCTTCCCCTAAGTCTACCTTCTTCTCCCTCCATATTAAAATGGCCCCTCCTTCTCTGCAAAGAGAATTCTACCCATCTCTCCCAGCCCAGTCATCCCAGGAAGTCTTCCTTTCTACTTGTTTTGCTCCATTCATTTCTATCCACAATCATATTGCCCTTGTGTTGTAATTTAACAGTTTCATATACACGTCTTATTTTCTAGTTGGATTAGAGAATCCTGAAGGTCAATGCACACACTAGGGAAATAAAAATGTATAGATATTATCTCTACTATTTAGAATTAGCCAGGCATTGTAATGTTTGCCTGTAATCTCAGTTACTCAGGAGGCTGAGGCAGGAGAATCACTTGAACCTGGGAGGTGGAGGTTACAGTGAGCTGAGACGGTGCTACCGCACTCCAGCCTAGGTGACAAAGCAAGACTCTGTATAAACAAATAAATAAATAAATAAATAAATAAATACAGCATTATAATAACACAACTTTTCTGGATGTTTATTCCTGTAGTAAACTGGAAATTGCAATGGTAGCTCCTTCAAGATTTAAGCATTAGGAACTAAGCCAGCCCCAGAATCAAATAATATTGTCTTTGGCACAAATTCACATTTAATTGGAATAAAAGAACCTTTTTAGCAGATAACAAGAAGTTGGTATTTGGGATCAATTTGTAGGATATGACCAATACACCAGGGAGCCATTTATCTCTGATTTGTGTTGCTTCATAGAGAAGGGAAAGAGAAAATACTTTAATGAAAACTCTCTTCTGCTCTATCATCACCATTATTTTGACTTCTGATGGACAGTCTTTTTTCTGGCCAATACATGTACTTACTGCATTTTAGCCACTGGTATCTTTAGGCCAAAACCCCATTGAGTTGTTACTTAGCTATTTACTTCCCTATTTCTAAGGTTAATTTTATTAAGGAATATTAATAAATAGGGCTTTAAAACATCTGTAGATGGACTTCACCTTCTTGGATTCATCTAGAACTAGAAACAATTCCTACCAGCCTCTTTCTCCTAACATACTTGGTTTAAAGTAGGTTCCCTTTAAATGTTTTGAAACACAGAATATTTCTTATTTATCCCAGACCATGTTTGTCTTTCTCATTTCTCTAGAAAGTGAATTGATATGGTGCCTAACAGCAAGCATGTGGTCACAGAAAGCATTGATTAGCCGGTGATGTCAGGTTACAGTGACTAAGGAGCTCATGCTTGAAGAGGATGATGCTTTCATATTTTCTTATCTTGCTCAAGGCATACTAAAATTTCAACAAAATAGTAACAATAGTGTTGTCTGGTATGGGGGCAGGCAAAATATAGGCAGATTGCAAAGGAATATGAAATGTGACAAGAAAGTGCTTTAAAAAGAAAAATGTTAAAATAAAAGAGGAGTTCAAAGTTCTAACACAGGCTGTTCCTATGAAACTAGCCACTTTTTAAAAGATGTATTAACCAGTCAGTAGTGAAAGCAAAGTCAAAAGCAGCAATATAGCCTAGTGTAAATTAATCTTATGCTGTTTTAAAACCATGATGATAAGAACCCACATTTATTGAGCACCTAATTTGTGCCGGTCATTTGGTAGCATTATTTTCTTTGATTCTCACAACAATCCTATTGAGCACATAATGCTATTATCACATTTACAGATGAAGAAACTGAAGATCCATAATTTGTTCATGATCAAATGGCTCATAAGTGGCAGGCCCAGAACCTGGGTCCATGTGACTCAGGAGTCTATGCTCTTCATCACAAGACTACAAATTAGCTGTTTGGAATCTGGAGGTGTATCTGTCTCTAATTGTTAAACCCTTCTCACTGTGCATGTTTTTATTCAGAGGGTCTGATCTGCAATAGATTTTTCCTACTTTGCTTTTGAAGCGTTTGTGTTGCATTGATCTCTAACCCACAGGAATGGCAGCTCAGAGTGAAAGACAGAGCACTGGACTAGCAGACTGCAAAACTGGCCTCACCACTCACCTGTGGGGACCTGGTCAAATTGCCTCATCCTCCTGAAACTGTCCAGTTATAAATTGAGATTAATATTTGCCATACTCTGTAATGGGTTTGTAGAATAAAACATGTGACAGTATATAAAAGAACTATGAAAAAGACACAAAAAAAGTAAATATAAACTATTGTCATGACATGGGATTTCAAAATCTAAAGGACTACATACATGAATAATTAAAGTGTTTTCAAACTGTAAAAAATATGGTTTTTAAAAAATAGCAGTAGGATTTTGAGCGCTTTTGTCTTGTATTTTTCTGTATTTATCAGAATATCCACAATAGTATCAATAATGTTATTTTTTAAAGAGAGAGAAAACTATAGAGAGTAAACATGAAAATCAACATATGCATTTATCTTGCAATTACACATCAGTGAGTTCCTTTAAGCCCAAGTAGGATTAAATCTCAGTGCTTGTTTTCTACTGATCCTTCTTTGCAACTATAGATCAGAACCTGCAGTGCGAAGGAGGGCTGAGGCCAGCTTCCCTCTTTCCATGCTCATGGTTCCCTTTACTTACTAGCAAGGTATTGCTCTTCCAAGGTTGACTCTAGAAAGAGAGGAGATAAGGTAGGCAGAGCACAGTCTGGTATAGAAAGTATCATTGCCATCTGCTGTTGGAGGTCCCTGGGTGGCAGCTCTTTAAAGGGGACCCCTTCCTTACTTGGTGTTTTCATGGGTTCCTTGAAGATTCCTATCTTTAGAGCCTCCTTGTCTCTTACCGCCTGTGCAACCCACGGGAATCTGGTGGTTGGCTCCCAGCTTCCTTTCTGTGGAAACCCTGTTGCCTCCTTAACTGGCCCTACTGGACAGATGACCCACCTCTAGTCCATATACCTGCTTTCTTTGTCCTGCTCTTCAAAGCTACTCGACTGCTTCCCAATGCAGCGCTCTCCACTCACTCCTTTACCCTGCCAATCTTTTTTGGAAATGAGTAAGTCACATGGACTCCAACTATAGAAGGAGATGTCAAGCTCTCCAGGAGGTTCACTGAAGCCCTGTAGGCTGGAGGTCAAGGCTGTAGCCCCATCTCATACCCATACCCTTTTTGGTGATAATAGGGATTTCCACCATGGCATCAGCTTTTTCTAAAGTACTCTCTTCACAAATTCTTCTTTCTAGTCCACACACTGCCCCATTTTGATATGCTTGATCTCATTAAGGGGTCCAGTAACTGTGGAACTGGTTAGTAAAGCTGTATTTGGTAAAGTTCATACACAGTCACTTTGGTATCTGGTATCTATCATATTGGCCCATCAGTTGAAACTCAGTCATAAAGACTTCTACTTCAACATCTTTTCACGGGTGATTATTTGTAGCAACCACTCCCCAGATTAGGGAGACCTTCTCTTGCTACCAATACACAAACATTACACAGCCACAATAAGGGGCTGGGTTGATCTTTCAGAAAGAGGCCAGTGACTCGGTGTGGACAAGAGGAAATAAGATAGAGCCCTTATATCCCTTGTCTATTGTCCTCTTCATGGGTAGTTTTTAAACATTAGAGTGTATAAGTTCAATACATCATACTATGTCCTGAAAGTGATAAAATAGGTAAATATAATGTTGGTATTGCCTTCAAGGAACTTCCAGACTAATATGAGATCAAATGGATGCTCAAATAATATAAAGGAGTAAGTAAGGGCAGAGAAAAAATGGAGGAGGCAGAGGGAGTGAAAGTGAAGACAACAGGCAGGGAGGAAACGATAGAGGTGTTGAGTATGACCTGAATTTAAAACTACCAAGCTCTGGCTCTTTGGAACCCTGATGCACAAGACCCTTTGGGAATAGGAGGCACCTGGCTCCCTCCAGATTAAGCAGGAGGAATAGGGCTTAAGATGCCACTCATGACATCCTCTAGAAAAGCAAACAACATTTCCTCTCTCTACCAAAAAAATAAAATAAAATAAAACGAGTATGTTTTGAAACCCTTGGTTTCAGAAGTAAAATGCACACATTGATCATTGAATATTGCCATCAAATACTCCAGCTGACTTTTCCTTTGCCCCTATCAATTGCAGGAGGAAATAAACTAACAAATCAGCCTTTCCATCTAAACTGGGCTTGGATTTGTTTGGAGAAAGAGTACTACATTGTGGATGAAGATTCCACATTCTTAGAAGTGACCCTTACACGCAGAGGATACCTTGGAGAAACATCATTTATCAGTAAGTAACTTTGGATTGGTTGTTGGTAAAAGGTCATGGAAACATGAAATCTGGGACTAAAAATAATTACAAGAAAGTATACTGAAAGAGAATAAAGAACTGGTTTGGAGAAATCTCTAAAAAAGTGTCTGTGAAAATGTGCCGTGGTTTTTGCTCCATGTGAGTTATGGGGCTTAGATATGTATCAATTTTTATCATCTTTCCCCTGTTTTCCTCTTTCTAGCAAGTTACATCTTTCTCTCTTTTATAACTCACCAGTCTCCAGGAAAATTAAGACACTTCATAGCCATCCCACAATCTTCAAGTCACTCAATTTCCTTAAAAGTTGTTTTAAGCATATATTTTTAGCTATTTCTTTTGAAAAATTATTTATGAGTACATGATCCATTACTGTGTTTAGTTCTATATATTTCTTTTGATTATGTATAATTGTTTTAACCTTGCTAGTAGGTTATAAATTCCTTGAGGACATGTACGGTGTCAAATTTCTTTATGTTCTACAAGGACCTAGTACAGAAATATGTTTTCTTGGAGTAAACACATACATAATGCCGGTATACTATATCTGATTATCATCATTAACAATTAACAGTAGTTGTTCTAATAAGGCATTGTATTTTCATAACATCTTTAGCTGCCAGAACTTTCAGAAATCATTTTGCCTTTATTTACATAATCTATTAAGAAGACAGATAGGGTTATATTGTCTTCATTTTACAAATAAGCATTGAGTTTCCTCGACATGCAGGACCCCACTCAGAGCCGAGGCAGTATATCAAAACTGTTGGAGAGAAGCCAGGGAAGAAATGAGCTGGAGAGAAAACAAGCAATCAAGGAAAGGGAAGCTTTCCCTAGTCTCTGCTCCAGGCCCAGAGCTCCTAAAATAGGACTGTTCTCCTAGGAGAAGGGGTCAGCCAAAGAGCACCCTGACTTCTGGGTGGCCCTCAGCCTCGGCCTACATTCCAGGTTACTACATCAACACATGGTGGAACTCGCTGCCAGGAATGTCAGCTGAAATATGCCTCCCTCCTCTTGTCAGGCCCTACTTCCACAATTCTTTATCTCAAGGCTTTCTTGTGAGTTTGGGTTAAAATGTCAAGAAGGATATTTGTATCCTGACCCAAGAAAAAAAAGTTCATCTGCTCAGAACCATTTGAATGTTTGCCCTAACTGAACCCTTTGGAAATCCTTCTGGCCACCCTGTCCAAACCAGCACCCCTGCCATACTCTATCTACATGCACTGCTGTATGGTTCTTCACAGCACTTACCATAATTGGCATGGATCATGTGTCTATTTGTCTTCCCAAGTAGATTTCAGCTTTATAAGGTCAGGAACTACATCTTGGGTTATGTCCAACCTCAAGAACAGCATGGGGCATATGGTAGTCACCAATATTTGTTGTTAAGTAAACTACAGCCAGCCCTTCTGTTCCGTAAGTACTCTTTAAAATCACAATACTACTCAACATCACAGACAGGAACCTCTAAACCATCTCAATCAGACACTCCAGAAAGTCCTTCTGATACCCCAACTCCACCCCAGGCTAATAGTCGAACCACAGGATCCAGAAGAAAAAAGAAACAAAATGGTGGAGTTCGACTTCCTGCTCTGTCACTTACTCTTTTTTGTGACTTTCAAAAGAGTTCAGTTTCCTTATGTGTAAGTAAATTATCCATCTCACGATGTGTTTGAGGGGAATTCGTAATAATGATTATAAATCAATCTAGCACAGTTCTTGGCATACCGCCAATGCTCAAGAAGTGATAAATACCATTCTGTGGCACTCATCAAACACAATTAAAATCACCTGTTTATCTGTTTGCCTCTCCCAAAATTGAAAACCTCTTGAGGGTAGTGGTGGCTGTGCCTAATTCTGTGTGACATCCTCAGCACCTCACACAGAGACAATGTTCATCAAACATTAAGTAAATCACCATGTGCCTGCTTCATTCCTATAGCAGCTCCACTTAGCTCTACCTAAGCTTTGGCTGAGGACACCATTCACTCTTTTTTATGTTCCCCACTTCCAACATGTGGCCAAAGGAGGCTCTTCCTAAATATTGGACATTCAATCTCAGTCACCAAACTAATATTAATGCAGGCTTTCTTCAGCAGATTTGCAAAGGCAACACTAGCTATCCTACCTTTGAAATTATTTTCAGGCTCTATAGCTTCGGGTATCTTTTACAAGTTTCAGATTATTTGAGTATGAGGCCAAGGAATTGCATGGGGGGGCTATTAATCTTATTTTATATCAAGTTTTCACCATAGCTGGTGTCAGGTTACCATATTTGATTTCACACATCCACACAACTGCAGAATGTAACTAACCCTTATAATGGGACTTAAGTGGTGAGGCATGGGTATTGTTTTCTTGGTATGTTAAAATCAAGACCAAACAATATTAGAATGCTGCTTGAACACTTTGGGTTGAGAGGAAGGTCTATTTAGTCTTGATGGGGTAGCACTTTTCACCATTGTATCTCACATTGGGTATTTTAACACTATTTTGTTGTTGTTGATGTTGTTGTTGTTGTTTCGTATCTTCAGTAAGTTACTAATTACTATTTCCTAACAGAGCTCAAATCTCTTGCCTCTCTCCATTTTCACCAACATTGCACTAATTGCCTGAAAAATTACTAAGAGTTCTCTTACAATCAAAAAATCACTAAACATATGAGGAAACAAGCCACCATGAGTAAGAATCAGCAAGAGGAAACAACCTTCAGGGTCAGTCTTCCAAAGGCTGCAGAAATTGAAATTATCAGATACAAAATATTCACTCAAAAATTTGTATTGAATACCTACTACCTGCCATGCACTGTCCTAATTCCCAGGAATTCATCAGTGAACACAACGGTCAAAGATCTCTACCGCCATAGAGCTCATATTCTAGTATCTTTCTCTTGAGACTATGAACTTTCTGGGGGCTGGGACAATTTCTTATTCATCTCTGAATCCCCAGCATCTGGCAGAGTTTGGCACATCAAAGGATCTCAATAAACATGTGCTAGAATAAATAAGTTAAATAAGATTGCTCTCTGTTCTCTTCTTTCTGTCAATCCCCCTTCCATGTTTTCTTCTCAATTCTATTCAATTCTGCTTACTTACACTCTCTTAGCCAAGAAAGATCATTTACAAGTGTCTTTTGGGAGCATTAAAAGAAACAATTTCTATGTTATCTACTTTTGTTAACAATAGAAACCACTTTGAAAGGAGACTATGCCTTCAGTCACTTGGCTTTATATTTATAGTTTTCTGATTTTTATTCAGGCATTGGTACCAAAGATGAAACTGCAAAAAAAGACAAAGATTTCAAATGGAAGACCAATAAACAGATCCAGTTCAATCCTGGACAGACTACAGCCACATGGAGGGTGAGAATTATACCTGACAATGAATATGAGACTTCAGAGACCTTCCAGATCATTCTGTCTGAACCTCTCATGGCTGTACTGGAGTTTCCAGAAATGGCAACGGTTGAAATTGTAGACCCTGGAGATGGTATGTGACACTGATTGATTTGCTTTATTAACCAGTACAGGTTCTTGGCTCCATTTCCAGCATTCATACTTCCCTCAGGCTCTGTAAGCCACTAAATGCGTTCATATCCATTTAGGATTTAAAGTGAAGTAAATTACTTTATAGACAATAATTTTTCATTTGCTCTCAGGATTTTTGAAAGACAATACAGGACGATTAAAATAGAGAGGATCTGTATCAGCATTCCTGTAATATATATACAAGTCCTTACTGCAGGCTTTCTGCACGCCATAGGTACGAAGCAACTCTGCTCCCAGATGGCTAATCCTCAGGGCTCATTTCAGGGCCACCATCTTTTCACAGTCAGATCAAATGGGGACTTAGATATCCATTGTCCTAGATGTGGCTCCTGGATATCAGCCAACTCATTTGTTTTAACATGTGTTCCCTGAAGTTCTGTTATTATTATACATAATATCCTTGAATTCATTGGTTCGTTTTTTGTATTCATTCTTTCAGCAAGTATCTCCCCAGATAAATTTAAAGGAAAAAAAATCTAAGCAGTAATCATGCTGCTTGCTGCCCCTTTTTTTGGAAGTAGAAGAATATTCCCTAAATGGTGGGGGGGGGGGGGGATTAGTATTCATCTTTGAATTTCAATTAAGCACATTGATTATACACAGTAGTTAAAAGAGGTCATGTAGCACCTGGAAGTGCATAGCTTACAACTAGGGAGCAGGCCTTAAGTTCCACAAGACTTGATGAAGAATCCCCTGCATTAGTGTGCTCTGAACTACGTAAGAGAATGTTAGTGTAATAGACATCTACAGGGGATGGAAAGCTTTCCATGATCAAACAAGTCTAGGAACTATTCCAAATTTCATCCCTCTTTTGAGGCATCATAATTCATGTTAGCATATTAAAGATTCTGAGAAACTCTCCTATAAAGAAACCCATTTAATTTTGTTTAATTTTTCCAAACTGGACTGTGGATTTTCTTTTCATCATCTCCAAGGAATATCTTTTAAAATCTCTAAGTTCCAGTTTTCTTAAAACATAATTTGAGAAGTAGTGTTCATATGCTCTGCACTTTGGCAGATACAAAAGAAGTAGAAAACACTGCCCCCACCACCTAATGAACAAGGTATCAGACCAGTTTTGTTGAGAACAACACTTTGATACATGAATCAGTTATGAAGTAAATGTAAGACACATGGGAGAAACACTAAGAGTTCAAGGAGAAGAACATAGATCATCATGGTCCCAAGTAATGAAGGCTCATGGAAGAGGCAGGGTTTGAGCTGAATCTTGAAAAGTAAATGGGATTTTTATTAGAAGGCAGATAGAAACAGGCTTTCCAGATTGGAAAAAATAGAGGGCATGACTGAATAACTTAGTCCTATTGTATCAATTTTTTCATATGACATTGATAATTTTAATTTACTTTTAGCTTCTTCCATGATGCCAACGTTTTGAATCGAAAGGTGTCAAGATAGTAGACTACCATACAGGTAAAATGGAGGAAAGAAAACTATCACTGGTCTTTTCTCCCTGTGACTCAGGGCCAGTGTCTTCCTGGAGGTTGATACTTATATCTGCTGAAGCTAATGTAGGCAGGAAAGTAAAGAAGAAAAAAATTAATATACAATAGCTAGATAATTTAACATTGAATTCTGAATTATCATTTAGTAATAGTTCCAAAATGGGAAAAAAAAAAAAAAAAAAGATGATTGCCAGCCGGGTGCAGTGGCTCATTCCTGTAATCCCAGCACTTTAGGAGGCCGAGGCAGGCAGATCACTTGAGTCCAGGAGTTCGAGACCAGCCTGGCCAATGTGGCGAAACCCCATCTCAACTAAAAACACAAAATTTAACCAGGCCTGGTAGCGCATGCCTGTAATCCCAGCTACTCAGGAGGCTGAGGCACGAGAGTTGCTTGAACCTGGGAGACAAAGGTTTCAGTGAGCTGAGATCACGAAATTGCACTCCTCCAGCCTGGGTGACAGAGCAAGACCCTGCCTCAAAAAAAAAAAAAAAAAGGTGATTGCCTACAATCTTTTCCCTTTTTGCTTGCATCACTAAGAGGAAGAATCTACATGTATATGTAACATAAAGAAAAGAACTGAGGAAATTAAATGTGGTTTCATAGATAGTTACTGCAGTTCTCCACTTCACACTATAAGTCGGAACAATCTCCTCTAAAACTTTGTAAACAAACACCTATATTTTAATTGCACAGTGCATGCTTAATAAAAAGCCTTAGAAAACATCTAAAATCTCTCCCCACCAAAGTAGTACACATAATCCCATCAACAAGACATGACCAATATTCATACTGATATTTCAATGAATGTTTTGATTATGTCTAGGTGTATGCACACACACACATACACACACACACAAACGTGTGTGCACATATACACAACTCAGTAAATTTCAGCAGCAATATGATCTTTAAAATTGAGGGAAGGACCTGTAGCTTATTTTTCTCAGCATATTAAATGACCAGCACAGTGTCTGCTCAATAAATGTTAAATAAGCAGTTTGTTGAATGAAGCATGAAAACAGTTTTCTTCATTAATGAATTAGATTACTTGATTGTTAAAATATTAAAAAATAAACAGTAAAAGTAAAGCAAGTACATAAATATGTGATCTCCATTTAGAAGACTTAAAATTTGATCTCAGAAGAAAAAAAAGACATGAAATTGCTGCAAGATTTTTGTTTTCCTTTTTAATGCTGGCTGTCCTTTCTAACCTTTCAAAAGAGGTCTCCTAAAACCCAATTCCAATGCCTCTCCAGCTCCACTCAATAATAAATAATGCTTCCCATTCTCACTATATTTAATACAGTTAATCATGTTGGAAAATATAAGAGTCAAAGGCTTTGTACATTTCTGCTCAGGTGTGTTTAAATATCACCGATCAAATCTAAATCTTGGTGAAAAGTCTTCTGCCATCTTTTCTAGAATCAACAGTTTATATTCCAGAGGCGGAATACAAAATAGAAGAGGACATTGGGGAACTTTTGATTCCAGTAAGACGATCTGGAGATGCAAGCCAGGAACTAATCGTCATTTGCTCCACACGTCAAGGTATGAGGCTCTGTGGGGTCCTGTTCATAGGAATAAGATGATGAGAACAAGACTGTGGTAATGCTGGGAGTACCACAGAGGGTGAGCAAAGCAGAGTTAAGATGCTGGATGCCTGGGCCCCTCATTGTCCATGCCCTGCTGCGAACCCCCTTTCCTGACTCTGTGCAGGTGCCCTACTCCTCTGAGCTGGTCTCCTCAACCAGGGATAACGCTTTATTCAAAATTGGGATTAAAATATCTATTTTAACTACCCCACGAAGGGGCTAGTCAAATGAGACATTTGTGAAAGTCAAATGAGACATCTTGTGTCAAAAGAGTTTATATATGCTAGTCAAAAATTTATAAATTAAAGATTCGTATTTTTAATAGTCAGCATTGCCTCTGGGCAATATTGTAAAATAGTCTGTATATACTACTCAGTTTCTCTTCTCCTCCTCTCTCCCCATCTCACAACCACAGATGCCCCCCAACCATGAGTTCAGGCATCTTCGCACCGAAAACAAGTTTCCATTCTTTTTGACCACTTCTATACAGCCAGATTTAGCTGTCTCATGTCTCATCCCCTCAGGATCATATTCTCTAACATCTTATTAGCAACTATGCAGAAAACGAAAATTACGGAAACAAATGAAGCCCACCCAAATGACAACAAGAAAAGGCTATTTAGAGCTCGCTGTAGTATGTCAGCCACCATCACTTTCATGTGGCAGAGACTCGCCCCAACAGGCAGAAGCATGAGAAAGCTTTATAGTGGAAAAAGGAAAGGTATCAGGTATGTCCTGATTGGAAGCTGTTGGCCTGGGAATCTGGAGATTGGCTCAGTAGAAGCAGGCATCCTATATGATTGGTTATGAGGGCATATTTGGCTCTCTGTGGTTGGTCTTAAATTAGAAGTGGGAGCAGAAATTAGGGAAGCTGGCAGTTATTTAGTAAGTCTTGACCATTTGATTGCTGATTGCTACAGAGGTGGTGGCTTGGCTTCCTGGACTAATTGCTGCAGATTGTGGGTCAGAGTTCTCTTTTTATGTATGGTATGGCCATTTTCCATCTGTATATTCAGTCTCTCAAAATCAGTGCTCCTACTTGTTGATATGTCAGCAAGGGAGAATTTATTCCTCCAGCTTTTCTTCCTCTCCCAAACAATGTTTTGGTTTTTTTTTTAAATAATACCCCCACAACATTGTTTGTAAACACTGATGGTGCACTAATCATTTAGTAGGGGCAGGCAGTACCTTGGCAGATGGAAACTTTAATAGTAGGGCCTTGAGGTCCCCAGCAAAACACAGCATAAAACTAGTTGCCTCCTTCACTTACCTGTAGTCATGTTTAGTATTTGTGAATTATTAGTAACATACAAAGCATGAGTCTGCTTTCCACTGCACTGTGTATGTAGCTCATGTTCATTTTATTTATGAAAATAAGTAATTGTTAAACATTTACTTTAACATGACTTCCAGAGATGTTTAAATAACCGAATTGAACTTTCATCCTATACATGGGGAGTAGGTGAGGACAAATACCACAATGGCACACGATATGAGTATGAGAAGATTTACAACGTTCACACTTATAATTCTGTTACTGGCCAGGTTCATTCTGCTTGCGCACAGCAAGACAATCACTGTGGTGACAGGTTTTGCAAAAGAGAAAAAATTTCCTTCACAAGGCTGCCATACAAAGATACAAGAGAACGAATCAAAATTTGGGAGTACTTATGAAATAGAAAGCAGGGTCTTCTAAAGCATGGGGAAAGGTGATTGGCAAGTAGGAAAGGTGAGGTAATTGGGGTTTCTGTGCAAAACTAATCAAGCTACATGGTAATTCATAGGACACATATGCACAAAATGGCAGTGTTAGCATAATCTGAGGTTGGAGCTTTTGGCCCTCTGACATCAAAAGATCACTCTTTGGGCACTCAAGCAGGCCCAGTTAAAGGTCAGTGGTCTCGACAGCTTGAACTGGACAAGAGCTGCCCCCTAGTTCCTGAAAAACAACTTTAAGCAATGTTATTATAGTCCCCACAGTTAGAGATGTTATCTATAAGGAAGCTAGTGGGAGTTTAGTTATGCATTGTTTGGCTAAGTGATTTGCTAGTGGGAGTTTTTTGTTGTTGGTTTCTTGGTAGGTTGGGGGAGGATTTTGAGACAGGGTTTCACTCTATCACCCAGGCTGGAGTGCAGTGACTCCATCACAGCTCACTGCAGGATCAAACTCCTGGGCTCAAGCCATCTTTCCACCTCAGCCTCTGGAGTAGCTGGGACTACAGGCACCAACCTGTATGCATGGATAATTTTTAAAATTTTTTGTAGAGACGAAGTTCTCACTATGTTGCCCAGGCTGGTCTCGAACTCCTGACTTCAAGTGATTCTCCTGACTTGGCTTCCCAAGGTGCTGGGACTACAGGTGTGTGCCACCATACTTGGCTGCTAATGGGAGTTTTACCATAAGCCATAAGTAAGCTGTTAAAAGCAAGCAAGGCAGGTTAAGTTTGGCAAACTTAATCAGCTTAGCCCTCAGTTTCAGTTCCACCAAGAGATATGCAAGAGTCAAGATGCTACCTTGCATACAGTGGCTTAGTGTTCCAGGAAGGGCCCCGACCCTGTTGTATCCTATTTTTTCTTTTTCTTTTTCTTTTTTTTAACCACAAACATGAAAATACCTTCTTATGTGGGGATCTCGGGGTCAAGGCTCAGGTGTCAAGCAGTCTGAGTTGTGCACCAGCTATGCAGGGAGTTTTCCAGGCATGCCAGCTTTCACATCTGGAAATCATGTGGGAAGTTGGATTACATAAGGGAATCTTATGAGAAGCTAAAGTTAGGTGTAGCCCTCCTACTTGGGGAAGCAGCACTCCTCCATCCTAGCTGACTCCGTGCCAGACACTGAGCCTCGCTATTCATTTGGATGGTCCTTCTGCAGCATAGCTCTTTCCAAGGGATGAACAGACAGACACTCGGTGAATTTTTCTAGCGTAGCAATTACATATGATCTATTCAACTGGGCTGTTTACCATCTCATCTCTTTCATTCACATCTAAGAGACTTTAGCACCATTGTCTGCTGGACACTTTGGTTGTAGACAGAGAATGTGTCACTAATACCAGAAGAAGCCCAGCTTGAAGCCCAGAGCAAAGCATGAGTACACTTTCTACAATAGCTGGTCTGTCCAGCCTCAACCACACCCCGTAGCTCCCACATACTTGCCCATTATTGCAAGACCCAAACTAGAGCCCCAGTGCACCAATGGAAGAAAGAATTAGGCACATCCTTTCAGTGATCAGCTAGCTAAGGAGAAAGGCCTCAAGGAGTACCTCACCTAGCTTGTTTTTTCTCCTCTTCACTTTTTCCTTCCCAAATGTAAAACTAGCTTAAACCCAAGAGTTGCTAACATTATATGGAGCTGGCTATATCTGGTGCTTTCAAGAGGAAATCTTAGTTAAAGAATAGGCAATAAGCCTATCTCTGGATATATAGCCAAACGCAACAAACATGAAGATCTTGAAGATGCATTACAAAGGTTTGTCCTTGTAGTTGGTTTTAAATATCTTAAATTATCTGTTTACTGCCAAATCCTCTGTCTTCCAGGGCAGAGGAGAATTTATTCTTGTTCCTCTTCTCAACCTTGGCACCATTAATGTTTTGAATAACTGTTTATTGTGGGGGCTGTCCCATGCTTTGTAAAATGTTAAGCAGCATCCCTGGTCTCTATATACTAGATGCAAGTATCTAGCATCTAGACGCATCTACCACCTCCATCTGTGACCCCCAAAAATGTCACCAGACATTGCCAAGTGTCCCCTAGCAGGTAAAATCAGCCCAACTGAAAACTCTTGCTCTATAATGAAATGTTTTAAGCGCAAAGATTCTTTAAGTAAAGACTTGGAAATTAGACATTTCTCGGCATTATTTCATTCTTAAGAAAAATCTCATCCATCTTTTTCTTCTCATTAGTCACTCTCTTGTTAAAAAACTGCCTTATTGGAGGAACAGCCAATGAATAGCAAACCACAGAACCTAAAACCAAATGAGTAGGTACAGCATTGAATCATCCTGTGGTTTTTGGTCAGGCCCAAGTCAAATACGTTGCGGTTTTTAATGATCTACTCTATCCAGTTAAAAAGAACTGCGTAGTAAACCACAAGCCATGGACCTCGCCCCACTTCTCCGATTGGATTTTTTCTGTGGGTCATCCCCTAAGATGGAGGTAGAAAACAGATGATTCTTTTTTCTTTCTTCCTTTTTTTTTTTGAGACGGAGTCTCGCTCTGTTGCCCAGGCTGGAGTGCAGTGTCGCCGTCTTGGCTCACTGCAAGCTCCGCCTCCCGGGTTCACGCCATTCTCCGGCCTCAGCCTCCCGTGTAGCTGGGACTACAGGTGCCCACCACCACGCCCGGCTAATTTTCTTTTTTGTATTTTTTTAGTAGAGACGGGGTTTCATAGTGTTAGCCAGGATGGTCTCAATCTCCTGACCTCGTGATCCGTCCGCCTCGGCCTCCCAAAGTGCTGGGATTACAGGTGTGAGCCACTGCGCCCGGCCAAAAGTGGATAATTCTTAAAGGGTTCCAAGCATGTCCAGGTGAAAGACTTTCTTTTTTCTTTCCTTTTAAAAAAGATTCTCTGTGTTGATTTATTTAGTTGTAGATGTGTTCATAGGTTATAGAAGTTAAACTTTGCATCTCAGACGGTTTGGGGGGATTATAGTTTTCTGTTCCTGAAGTACAAATCATATGGTTTAAAAGTCCCCTTACTGAAGGTTTTCTGGGCGTAAACTCTCACCATTTTCTGTTTATCAGAACATGTCTTTATTTCAACTCCAGTCTTGAAATTCTAGGTTGGTAGTAATTCTCTCCTAGCATTTTAAAGTTATTATTCCAACATATTCTGGCTTCCATTGTTAAGCACTTTGTTTTTCATCTAAAAGTTGTCTTTGTAGAGATGTTTTTTCTATGCATCTAAAATCTTACATGTATTTGATCTGAATCTGTGAAAGATCTGAGGGCTTCACTTGAAAATGTTTTCCTCCAAGAAAGGTTTGCTTTGCTTACTCCAGGATTCAGAGGGTACTACTGATCCAGACACACTCCTGCTGCCCTGTATCCTCAGGCATAACCATAGCTTCCAAGTCAGCTCTGTGAGGTGCCCTTGCCCAAGGCCTGTCTCCACCTGCAATGGTGATAGTGCACCTGCTCTTGGGGGGATACCACCTTCTGAATGGGAATCCCTTCTATGGGTTATGGGATTTCAGGTTGGGGGAGGGTTTTTATGGTTTGTTTTAGTTATTTTTAATTTCAATTTTGTTTTGTTTGTGGGTTTTTGGGTTTTTGTTTTTTTTTTGACACTTGACGATATTCCCTACACTTGACGATATTCCCTATGAGAACAGAAAAGCCAGAATCATTATTTTTTCTAGTTGTTTTTTACTGTACGGGCATCCCAGAGTACCTGACTGGCCAATCTGCTGGAAACAAAAGTACCAAAGTCCCCTCTAGATAGACGCTCCCATGCTGCTCCAGCCGAGCCTTTGCTACCCTCCTCCTCTCTCCTCTGGTTCTCCCACCACCCTTCAATCATCAGCCCTCCTGGGGCATGAGGTGACTTGTGCCTGGGGTCCAAAAGCCTCCTGCTCCAATGAGGTGTTAGCTGCTGCACTTTAAAGAGGGTGATTGCTTGTCTTGCTGTCCTACTAAAATGTACATATTAAAAGAAAATTGTGTGTTTAAAAGAATTTATAATCAACTAAACAAACAACTAAAGACAATGTGAGAAAGTAAAAAGTGCCCCAGGCTGACTATCAGGAGATGGGTCTTTGACTCCTTGGATATCATGGGGCATTCTCTGCCTCAATTTTCTCATTGATAAAACGCCCTGGCCACCTCATAAAGTAACCAAACAACATAATATAATGATTTAATTACCCTTTAGTGTAGTTCCTTAATAGGACTTTCTCTCTGATTTTAACATTTATGATTTTTGTAAAGCAAATGTAATATGTAGCCACAGAGACTGAGCCATAAATACTCTTTTGTAAATAAGTTATTAATTTTTAAAGTAACTTCACAAATTCTCAGGCTGCCAGTGAGGTGAGGGAGGCCTGGACAGGGGCAATCGATGCCATCATCATCATGGATAGAGTGGTATGCTGGATCCAGCTAGTAACTGCTCCTGAAAGCTGATTCTGTGCACCTCTTCCCTACTCTATGCTCAGTGACTTCACATTGATAGTTGAAGTTGGCTATGATGGGAATATTAATACAACAAAAATCAGCAAAGTTTGCAAATCAGCTTTCGCGTGCCTTGTTTGGAGAGCACATCACCATGCTAAGGGAGGGAACTCCTAGGTTAACATGAAATGAATCTTTGGTTCTAACCCTTAATTTTGGAGAACTAAACCCATACCCATTAAAACTGTCATTCATCATGCCTCATAATCTACCTCTGCAAACAATGAATCTTTAATATTTCTCACAAAGATGCTATGCTCTACCACTGGTCAAGCCACCCAAACAAGGCTTGAGACCCAATAAGTGTCTTTGATACCAGCCTGGAAATCATAAATTTATACTCCTTGAAGCCTCTTCACTGTAAAATACGGGATATGTACAGACAATCGCCAGGGACCTTATCTTTTATCTCAGAATATATTTGATGTTTTCAGAACAGAATTTTTCCAAGTCCTGAGGATTCTTAACTTGTTGCAGATAAAATATTGTTTGTTTTTTACTTAAATGAATGTCAGTATTCACATTCTTAACTATTGAATATAACTGCTCAAAGAGTTGCCCAAAGTAAATTTTCTAGAATCCTAAAAGGAATGTTCCATTTAGATCAACTGAATTTTTTTATTAAATACAATTTACTTAGACAACTTTTTTCACCAACTCTTGTTTAAAAATCTTGCTAAAACATATTGTCTTGATTTCTGCTTTAGCAGAGTTCAATCGCCAAATGATTTTCAAGAAGTATTATATTTCAGTCTTTCATTTAACCCAGAAATCAACCTACTTGAATGTCATATCTATGTCAACCAGTGGATTGGTCAAATATAAAAAAAAATTAAACAGAAAAAGAAAAAATCTCAATTGCTTTTGTTTCATGAACTACAAATAAATCATTATTTGAATATTCATTAGGTGACATATATTGAGAAAGAGGTTTAATACAGATAGTTATATTTAGTGAAGATAGTGTTAGTTACTATGCGAGCCTAGTGTCTACAGTATCTGCTTTTGGCATTCGTCCTGAGGAGTTAACATGCAGTTTCTGACAAGGTTCTTTGTCATATAGCCTGTCATACCAACATAATGCACACTTGATGGCTAGGCAAAATTGAGAACTGTGTTCTCCAAAGGTATAGTTCTGTTTAAACATCTGGCTCTTTAAAAAGACATTCCAAAAGTTGTATGCTATTTAATCAGATTGTTGTAAGAGCTTAAGACCTTTTTTCCTTTGTCTGTGTGCCAGGAACACAGAAAGTCTCCCTGACAGTGTTTCATCTCATCTTGAGAGCCTTTCTATATTGCTAACCACTTACCTCTTTCCCCATTTAACTGGAGAGTGCCTGTCTTAGGCATTCAGTGATAGCACTATGTCTCACATCCCAAGAGCCAGCCTATCCTGGTTGACTTGAGTGTGGAGACCTTTTTCATGCATAGGTTTCCCCAGAGAAGGAATCTCATGAGATAATAAGGTTTCAAAGCATAGACCGCCACTGAAACTCAGCTAGCTTCCCCACCAAGTGATAGTTCCCCTTGTGCCTGTCCATTTTGATCAGTTTCTGCCCTCTGCCCTAGCAAACACATTTTGTTCTCATCAACTCTCCAGCTCTAACAATTTTTATGATTCCAGGATAACGAAACAGTCAATTTGTTACTTCCGAATAATTCTAAAATTTTTGTTCTTTCAAAAAAACCATTCTGAAACACTTTGTGAGTCAGTGCCCTTCCGAGCAAAACATCTGAAGTCGGTTGGAGCCCACTATCATTTTTTAGCAACTTAGATCTATACAAGCAACATGCAGTGATGGACACCAACTTGTACGGATGTTTAGATGACAGTGGGCATTGGTGTCATCTTGCATATGTGCATTTACCATAGCTGTAAGCAAGAAAGACTCTTACAAGACTGGAGCATCCAGTCCAGAATCTCACTGTCATCTCCTCATTGCTTCTTATTAAAGTGAGGTATGGTGGGAAATATTTATACTTTTCAAAAACTTCTTATCTGGTATAATAGGTTATTATTTCATAGTCTTTGTTCTGCCTAAATCTGGTCTGCCTAAATCATTTAAATTACAATGAATACTGTTCAGTCTTTTAGCCCTAAACCTATGTGTTGCTGTTTTAAAACTGCAAAAATGCATCAGAACCTAGCAATCCTACTCTTAAGTATTTATTCTAGAAAAAAAATTATTGGGTTGGTGCAAAAGTAATTGTGGTTATTGCTATTAAAAGTAATGGGAAAACCGCAATTGCTTTTGCAACAACCTATACATACCCACTCAAAGACTCGTACTTGAATATTCATAGAAGCATTACTCACAATTGCCAAGAACTAGAAATAACCCAAATTATCAGCCAGTAAATAGATAAACAAACTGTGGTATAGCCACACAATGGGAAACAATAGTCAGCAATAAAAGGGAAAACATATCATGGTACATGGATGAATCTCAAAAGCATTGTGCTAAATGAAAGAATCAAAACATATGCTTCATTTGTATGAAATTTCTCATAAAGGCAAATAAATCTATAATGATGCAAAGCAGATTTGTGATTTCCAAGGCCTGGGAGACAGGGAAGGAGATGGATTGCAAGAAACACAGGTCAACTTTTGTGGATGGATAAAAACGTTTTATGATTGTGGTGGTGGTCACATGATTATATGCATTTGTCAAAACTCTTCAAACTGTGCATTTACATTGGTGAATCTTAATGTAAGTAAACTATTAAAATAACATTTAAAACACACTGAATCTAAACCGAAATCCTCTAATCAATCCTGCACTCCTTGTAAAATAAGATATAATTTTCTGGCTATATTATGGTGTCATACAAAGAACTCTAGTTGGGGTGTGTGATGATCAGATTACATAGATGCTGCTCACAGCTATGCCACTGTGGGTAGAGCAGTAGCAGGAAAAAAATCGATACTATTTTCATGCTGTGGATTCTCTAGTCCTAATTTTACTACACCTCAGTTTTCTCATCTGTAATATGAAATAATTGAGCTAAGCCAGCCCTAGCATCCTGTGATCTTGTTTATTTAGCCCCTAATATAAACAAACCTTATTCAATATACTCTATTTAAAAATCACTAAATCTAGATCATGTCAAAATACCAGAGTCTATTCCAAAAGCCTTCTTCTTACAGTATTACTATTTGTGAGCATAAGAGGTAAGTGTGTTGTATCATTCAGATAGCTATTATCTAAAAATACATTAAAGAAAACAGACAGGCTTCTTGTTTGGAATTCCATTTCTTCTTAACCTCCCTGTTCCTTCTCATATTTCTGTAGGTTCTGCCACAGGCACGATTTCTTCCACAGTGTTATTCTCTGATTACATCTCACGTCCAGAAGACCACACCAGCATCCTCCACTTTGACAAGAATGAGACACAGAAGACCTGCCAGGTCCTGATCATTGATGACTCCCTTTATGAAGAGGAGGAATCCTTCAGCGTTTCACTTAGGCTGCCAGTGGGAGGACAGCTGGGAGCCAGATTCCCCACCACTAAGGTGACTATTCTGGCTGATCGTTATGATGGTAAGTCCATTTGTTGCTTTCCAACCTTTGGCAATAGCTGCCTTCTCACACTTTCCTCCAACAGTTGAAAGGCAAATGTAGCTTAAATTATCTTTTAAAAGAATATTTGATGTTCTTTTATCTCCAAAAACTGTGAGTAGCTCTTCAAATGCATAGACATCACCAACACCAATGACAAAACAGCCATGCGAGTAGATTAAATATTTGGGTACGACTTTACTTGACACAAGAAAAAGCACAGCCCAAGGAGGTGACTTAAGACTTAGAAGGAAGCCAGGGAGAGGACCTAAGTCAAGTATCTAATTACCCAACCAGGACTACCCCCAAGAGGACCTTCATCTTAGCAGCACAAGGATCATCCCTCACAGTTAGTGTGTGAGTTGTCAAGCAGCACAAGGATAAGATGGAGCCCAGTGTGTCAGCATCTGGACCTCTTTTTATGGTTACCTAGCAGGGCGTTTGCCTCCAGTCCCTGGGGAGCCCAGCTGAAATTTAGCCAGAGAAGAGAGGGGCGCCTCATTCCTAAACACCAACTCCCCTCCCAGACACGACACAAAGTATCAAGCCCAGTATGACTTTCCTAGGTCTCACCTGCCCTTCTATAAGGAGCACTTTTAACAGAAAATGGTAATAAAGACAGGGCCAGGATCAGACTGTTTTATTACTACTCTCAAATTAGTGTGACTGCTTCATCTCTCAACCATGCTTCTGTCAGGATTTGAGTGGCTGTGAGTTGCTAAGCTCAGACCTAAGAAGGGTTAGACTGGGCTGTTATTAAGGACCCAAAATTAATGTGACTGCTTTATGGATGCACCACAAAGCTTACATTAAACTGAGAGCTGTGCCAAGAGATAAACACAGATTTGTAAAGTCTGAACAGTTTATACTCTCCAGGTAGGTATGGTAAATTTATCGTGTACTATCATGTTCTGTTTAAAATTATGTCTTCATAACAACCATAGAACAAGAGAAAATATGAGTGAGATTAAAGGCGGTCTTCTGTTTGTTGTTTAATCTCCTAAATGGCTTTACTTGGGAATATTTCACCCTGTGGACCAGATCTCTGAAATTTTCAGTAGACTACTTTTGCTCCATTAAAAATAAAAAAGAATTTTCTAGGACTAATTCCAAAACACATCTTTACAAGTATCAAGAGCTAAGAATAAGGACAGGCCCTGAGATCCATGCTTTCTTCGTCATGTACTTTTCTTTTCAAAAATTTCTTCATTGGAATTAAAACAAAGATTGTTTTTCTTAAAATAATTTGAGTAAATTTTCAATATATTCCTTTATGGAAATGTATAATTGTATATATTTTCTGTTAAACCAAAGAGATAGGAGGAAGTGTCCAACAGGAAAATTAGCCTTGATTTTCCAGTTTCATTCGAAAGAAGTTGTTTTGGAAAGAGAAACACTACTCACGTTATCTTATAAAAAGTATCTGCTGTTTTCCCAACAGAAGAGAAGTAGAATCTGAGTAAATTTGTCTGGTTGAGACATCTGAAAAATCCCTACGTGGTCAAGTCTAGTTGATTAATATGAAGAGCAAATTGAGAAATGAGGACACTCTGAAAGACAAAAAAATGATGACATGGCATTATGTGGTTTTTGAAGCCTGCTTGAAATATTAGAATTTTTTTTTAATTACAGGGCTATGATTAGGATATTGAAGCAACTATCTCTTACCAAGAGGTTAGGAAAGATTTACCCACACCGAGTGCTACAGACCAAGAAGGTGTTAACCAGGCAGAGTGAGAAGGGAGAAAGGGAAAGTTACGGAAGTGGAGACTTTTTTTTTACATTTTCTACATAGTCCACTTCACAGTATATCCTTCTTTTTATAATCAATGCTTACTTTTCCATGATAATGAAGAATTAATATGAAAAGTTGAAATTTGTAAACACATAGCTTCAAATTCCTTTTCCCTTCACTACCACACCTTTTCTTATAGCCAGAAAGATTGGCGTCAGAACAGTCTTCGTTATTCTTCTCTACTGGAGCTAGTAATAGGTCTAGGTACACAACGAAAGAAATGGGAGAGAAAAGGAAGAGAATCAAAAGTGGAACAACAGAGTCAGCAAAGCTTGTGCTGGGGGTCTGGAGACTTGGATTCTAAGCCTGAGACACACTCTCTCTGGGTAACCTTGGCTAGGTCAAGCTATCTGTGGCTCTGTTTCCCAATCTTGAAATAAGGAGATTGATTGGGTTGTCTCTAGGAACCCTTTCCCTCCATAATTCTATGATTCTTAAGTCATTCTAAGAAAAAGGCATTAGTTAATAAACACCACCCATACACAAAAATGATGCATCCTGTAGGCTGAGTTTTTCCATTAAAATTTTGTCATGAACTTAGAAAAATATATGTCAAAGTTTTGCTCTAAACAAGCCAGGTAAAAAAGAGAGTTAATTAGTGAAGCAAGAACTTGAATGGTCTTGTGTTTTAAGCTATCTATTTTGTCTTTTATTTTTCCAAGGCCTAACCCTGTTTGACTCATGCTATTCTTTCCAACATAAGTGCCAGAAGACATATAACTGGAGTGATATGTCTATACCCTGGACATGCTCTAACATTTTTTGAGCACATACTGAGTTACATTTTGATAAGCAAGTGCATTATATAATTTTACCCAGATAATTAGAAGGAAATTTCTTTTAAAACTATCCTGAAATTTTTAAGCAAACATGAAGAATGAAGTTGTCTGACCTTCAATTATTCTATCTCTTCTTCCTCAATAAGATGTATGTTTTCTGCAAGCTCTTTACCTAACAATTAGAATAGGCTCAAACACCAGAGCTTACCTGAAAACTACAAAAGCTAGAGACAGGCATAAAGCACCCAACAGATATTAGATCTAAACAAGCAATTTAATGGGATTCAGGTGCCATTATATGACTTTGTTGGTATGCTCAGAACTGAGGTGACTCTGGGGACCACCTTACAAAAGAATGAGACAGCTTCTTAACCAAAATATTAGTGTTTGTATGTATAATAACAAGCAAATGGCTGTCAAAAAAGCAGACATTCAAGTCCTTTGGTCATTAACGTAGGCTGAATAATGGACCCCAAAGATATCCACATTCTAACCACCAAAATTGTGAATGTGTTACTTTACATGGCAAAACGGACTTTTCAGGTCTGATTAAGTTAAGGCTGTTGAGATGGTGCGATTATCCTGAGTTACCTAAGTGGGCCCAGAATAATCAGCAGGGTCCCTATAAGAGAGATGCAAGAGGATCACAGAGAAAAAGGGGAGCTGATGACTGAAACCAGAGGTTGGAGTGATGCACTTTGAAGCTGGAGGAAAGGGCCACAAGCCGAGGAATGCAGGCAGCCTTTAGAAGCTAGAAAAGGCAAGGAGATGGATTTCCTCCTGAAGCCTCCAGTTAGAACACAGCCCTGGCAACACCCTTTATTTTAGTTAGACTTCTGACTTGTAGAACTGTAATGGAATAAATTTATGTTGTTTTAAGCCACTAAATTTGTGGTAATTTATTACAGCAACAAAAGGAAACTAATACCATCAGTATTGTTTCTGGAGGAAACGTCTATATAAGAAACCAATTTATAATTAGAAAATTTAGTGACTGGTGTGGAAATGAAATGAAAAGATGATCTCTTCTTGTCTTTAAGAAAATACAGCCTTCTCTGCTACACTCATAATCCTACAAGAGTATTGAACATTTGAGTGTAAGTCAAGGATTCTCAACCTAACTCTTAATCATTGAGTTCCCCCTTCTGACTGCATGCCCTTTTCCTAAATCTTCAATTCCTCTTCTAGTAACACTGTGAACCAACTACAGAGCAAGGTAAAAAGTGATTAAGGCAAGAAAGGCTCAGATGAAGGACAAAGGGAATCAAGAAAAGGCAGAGATTCCTTCTAACTGGAGGAGCTCAAGAAAAAAAGTACTATTAAAAAGTACCATTTGTGCTGTGTCTGGATGGGTAGGTGGAACTTGAGGATAGAGAAAGGAAGGACAGTAGCATTTCAGCTGGAGGAAACAGCTTGAGCAAAGTCATAAATGAGGAGATATCCAGAATGTGATTCAAGACTGTGCAGGAATGACATAGGCCAATTCTTTTATTCAATGGGATTGCGAATTAGCCTCATGCTTTACATTTATGAAGAACTACTCATTTATTAATGTATTAGTTCCAAAAGCATTTGTTGAGCCCCTACCATGTGTCAGGAACTCTGCTAAGCATAGAGGATACAGCAGTGAAGAATATAACCATTATATAATCAAGGGGAGAACACTATTCTGGAGTTTTCCTAGAGACTAAATAAAGGATATTAATAATAACTTTCAGCCATTGCAACTCAGGTTCGAACTTAAGAAAATTTTTCTGGTAAAGTTCTAGCTATCAAAATATACTGCAGAGAGATATTTTTTGGAATACTTTTAAGAAGAGAATATGCAATATAGTATTACCTAAGTTGTTTGTATGTAAGTCTTGCTAAGGACAAGAAATACATAAAAAAAAATCCTTCTAGATTCATAGAAGCATGAAATCTTAGAAATAAAATGGGAACTAGAGATCATGTGGTTCAGCCTCCTCGTTGTTGAAGCTAAATGTACTAAGTGGTTTGTCCAGTTTGCCCAGTCAGTTAAAGCCCAGATTTCTGCCTCTGAGTCTGTAACTCTTTCGTACTCTACTACATCCTTCAGTGATATGGTTCTAGGATGCATTTACCCCTAAGAAATAACCAAATCTTCCATAGATAAATATTTTCTTCCTTTTAAAGTTACTAATTGCAGTGATACTGGTGGCCATCTAGTGTTTCCTATAACGAAAAGCTACCTTCATGTTCAAAACCCACAGGAAATCACCAGTCACCAAAGTTTAACCCCATTGTTAGTTTAAAAGGGTTGCAGCTTTCTTCAAGTGTTTGCAAAAAAAAAAAAAGTTACTATATTCCATAATATAGTAATCTCACAGGTACCATTTAGCAAGCAAACCCCTTGAAGAACATGTTTTCATATGCACATAGCCAAAAAGTAGATAATTTGGAGCAGATGCCAGCCCTTTGATGTTGGCTCTCTCCACACAGGTGAACAACAGGATTTTGTAATGCACCTTGATCCTGTTTAAATACTGTGGGCTCTGTAGCATCGTCTCATTCTATGTGGAGACCTGCTGACTGTATGCAAACAACTGAACAAAGAATCCAATTGTTTATCAGTAAAAATTTTGAAGAAAGAGATGCAAACAGCATGCTACTTAATAAGTGAACAAAAAACTGAAATAAAAGGGGCTGGCACATTTTGCCAGTCATCTCATAGGCTGAGCAGATGTCTGTGTAGAAATGAACAATGGCCACAAGGGAAAAAAGAACCATGAGCCAATATAAGTAACCTACCCAAGAAAACATCTGGGTACGCTTGACTTTTCAGAAAAATAGAAATGGCATTAAATTACCACTTTGTTTACGAAGTAGTAAGTAAATAAAGATTATAAGATAATAAAAGGAGACTTTTTGCTCACTTATAAAGTAGTAAATTTTTTGCCTCTCAGTATTTGGAGTTAAGTGGTAGGAAATTGAATTGATAGTGTCTTTATTGGCTGCACATGAAAGTCAGAGGGAGGAAGAGAATAAGGAATGTAAATGGCTTTCTTTATAATCACCACTTTCTTAATTAATCCAGTGCATATCCTGGCAAACCACTTTGGCTACATTTTTCTCCCTCTTTGACTCTGTTGTTTATATTTCAAATAATAAAATTACATCTGCGAATCATAGTGGCCACTGAAACAATAGAATAACACTAAGTAAATTCCAAAAATGAAACCAAAGCACTTGAATTTTGTTAGTGCCACAGCATTGTATGAACAACAAAGCCATCAGGTGAACAATAAAGTTAGTAAGATGAGCTAAATTGTACTTAACTGTAAGAGTAGTTATTTATACAGGAAGGAGTACGTAAAAACAAGTAAAAGCCTTAATATCTATTTCTTGAAGAAATAGTATACCCTTGAGCCGTGCCATATTCCTACTTAATTTTTACTTAAAACTTGGTAGTTTTAAATCCTCTAATGTTCATAAGAGAACTTGAGAAAATTTCCAATATTAAATATAAAAAGGAAGGAAAAATACAAAGAAAGGAAGAAAATTACACAAAATCCAGTACATGACCCAATTGTTAATTTACAGTGTTGTTTGAAATGGTCTTAGTAGACTCTTAACAGGTAGATAATTCATTCAAGAGACATTCACAGTGACCTGCCACTTGCTTAGTACAGGACTACAAAGTCTACCCTTGCCTTCTATCCTACCCAATTTGATCTTTAATTAGATTATCCTTGAATGAATTAAGCCTTTTTAATGGAGGAAAAAAATTATGCACAGAAATAATGATGGAAGATTCATAGTTCAGTGTAAACAATCAACAATCTGAATTGCTACATACTTATCTGAGCAAGTCATTATTTATAATTACTGGATTGTGGGAACTTGCATTCAGATTCTGTAACATTTATTGAGGATCAAGCACATTGCTAAGCTTAAAATGTAATGCTAGAATCCACATACATGGTCATCTGTGTGATTTGTTCATGAAGTCACACTAAAATATTATTTAATTTAATAAGGAGGCAAGTTCCCAAGTTTTGGCTTCTAGTTACCTTTCAGGAGCTTCCTAAGTGTTTTGATTGTGCTCTTGAATTCTCAGCACCCCTGAGATTTGAGATCTGCCCTTATTTTTATCACTTAAGATATTAATAATTAATGAAAAAAATATAACTTTTAAGTATTTTATTAGTATCCTGAATATGTTCACCTAAAAGGAAGAAGCTGAGGCAAAATTAATATAGAGTTTATCTGAGCCAAGGTTGAGGACTGCAGCCTGGGACAACCTCCAGGTTGCCTTGGAGAGTGCTCCAGAGAGTGAAGAAGAGGTTTAAGTTTTTAGAGAAAAAGGAACAAATCAGGAGATGGAGTGTCTTAGTCCTTTTGCGTTGCTATAAAAGAGTCCTGAGGCTAGGTAATTTATAAAGAAAAAAGATTTATTTGGGCCATGGTTCTGTGGGCTGTATAGGAAACATGGTGCCAGCATCTGCTTCTGGTGAGGGCCTCAAGAAGGTCCACTCCTGGCAGAAGGGGAAGGGGAGCTGCCATGTGCAGATCACATGGCAAGAGAGAAGCAACAGAGAGGGGAGGAAGTGCCAGGCTCTTTAAACAATCAGATCATGTGGGTACTCATACAGCAAGAACTCACTCATTACTTTGAGGATGGCACCAAGATGTTCATGAGAGATCCAACCCCCTGACCCAAACACTTTCCACCTGGCCTCACCTCCAACACTGGGGATCACATTTCAATAAGAGATTTGGAAGGAACAATATCCAAACTGTATCAGAAGGCAATTACAAAAAGTGGTTTGTCAGGAATTCGCATTGGTTTACAGAAATAACATTGGTTAGTGGTTGGCTATACACTGTTGAATTACAGGGGGTATGACATTTTATGGCTGCTCGGCATGAGTTAGTCTAGAGTCCCCACAGCAAGTCACTTCAACAAGTATATTATTTAGGTCAAGAGGGAGTGGGATGTGACAGGTGTTACATTTTAAATGCCTCTCTGGGCTGGATAATTTAAAGGGACTTGCATTTCTCAGATAAAAAGGTTTTTTTTTCTTTCTCATATAGATAATACACAAATTATTTCCAAATCAACATATTTACATTAAGTTGTTCCTTTATCTGGCACTCCTCATCTCAGAAACATGTCATTCTACTGAGGCTACAGAATGTATTAAATGGATCAACTATGTCTAAAGAGCAGACCGCATTTGGCATTTCACACGTGAGGTCATCATAATCAGAGACAACTGGGAGAAAAGAAATGAGACAAACAATAACAGTTGATTGCCACTGGTTTTTATCCCAGAAATCTGAGAAAATGTATCAAAATCATTTTAAGGTTAGATATTCATAAGATTATGTACATTACACAATCTCTTTACAAAGCCAAGTGATGCAACACTCTTTTTAGATTTCTAAAACCACCTAGATGTCTTCCAGCCATGTAGAAGCAGTTCCTTGGCTCATCACTGCAGTCCATGGCCTGTCAGAGTCAGAGGTCTAGAAGCTCAATTTTGTCTGTGGGCACAGAGACAGGATGCAGACCCACAAGAGACATGATATATGTGCCAAAATGACAAATTATAAATTACAGTGAAAATCAAAGTCAAAGAAAACTGAAAATCAGAGTCCTCTGGTTAATAGATTCTCTCCTTAAAGGAGGCTCTACTGGGCAACCACTTCATAAGCAGGAAACTGATGATAATGGGATCTGAGAAATCCCATCAAGCCAATAACAGCCATCTCCATCCTGGGCAAAATAACTGCTGACGGTCCTGAAGACTCAGCATCCAAGGTCAGAATACCTTTTGTCTTAAGATAGCTAGAAACAGGCAACCCATTTTTCCTTCTTTTGGCTGCTTGCTCTTCTCTAGGTTTCATGCAGAGCTAACTTCAGCTAACGCCATTTTCCTTTAAATACAGGACAAAACAGTTGGCCGTGCTGCAGATGTAACCATGCTAACCTAGCCTGACTCTACTGAAGTTACATTTGGTCACATTCCTTTAAGCCCAAGCTTGACTCTACTGAGTGCCCTAAAACAGCTCAATCTCCAGAGTTAATGATATTTAACTCTGACAGAATCTCCTGTCAGAGTTAATGATATTTCAGAGCAGGTATTGGTTTGTAAAATTCTGAGGTGTGACTTCCTCCCATCTTCATGTCCCCCATGGGGCACTCATTTGGCAGCTGTAGTGTATGACTTTTTTGGGAGATACTTCTGCTTTAGTCCCTACCCTACAGATATTCACATTTTGCCACTCGTGACTCTAATGATCCCTTTGAATGGTATCATTTTATTTTGGCCTTGAGGAAACAACCACAAGGATTATTAGTGCACTTCCCACGTAATTATATCTTTTTTAGAATAATGACATGAAATGATAATTCTGTTAATTCGAGTTTCTAAGCATTAGCCAACTGTCAAATTCCTGTGTGTGGTGTGTCTCCAGCAGCAGTTTAGTCGTCATTTCAGTCAGAAATAAAACATGTGTCCTTCAAAATTGACTATTTGAGAAAATATCGGGAAAAGCACACATTCATTTCCCAGGGTTAGGATTTTACATATAGTTTACTAGTTTAGGCACATGTTAGATACCAATAATGCTTCCTTTTTAGGAGAGTCAAATACATCATCTTGTAACGAAAGCATGTTTTCATTTAGGCCAAATGATGACACAGTATCTAGCAACCTAAAGATATACCCAAGTTGCTCAAGGGCAAGCTTTTTTTTTTCCAGATGGAGCTGAGGAATTTTATTCTATTTTGCTGGACTCCAGGAAATGTTTGCTTCCTTAAGCAGAGATTGAATATCCCCCTGTCAAATGGATCACCTGAAGAAATACTTTTATAAGGACAACTATCATGGAGTAAGACAAAGAAAAGAAAAAGTATAGGAGCAACCACAGACTAAGATTACCCCAGGCCAGGGACGACAGACTCCCTGGCCCACACTGCCAAGACAGCCATTATAAAAACATCAGCTCCATGAGAGTGGAGGCCACAGTATCTGCCTAATAAATGTTTGCTGAGTGAATGAATGGCAACTTTACATTTATTCACCTGGCTTTAGAACCTAACTTCCACTGGCCCTGTATCAAGGGCAAGATAAAATTGAGAACACTTGTTAATCTGAAAAATGTGTCTGTTCTATATATAAGCACTTTATACTATCTCCACTCAACTAGTAAAGACTTTCTTTCAATTTTTAGTACGTGATTTGAGAACTCTAGTAACCTGCCACAAAAAGAAATGTCCAGTTTCACAGAGGGTTATATATTTTGTCCTGAGGCAGTAGGATTTGGAAAACTTGCGTAAAATTTCCCTATAAATATTACCAGCTAGTTTAGTATCTTTGTCATTAAATGGGCATCTAACAGAATGTTGACAGATTTAAGAAAACATTGTAAGGAAAAATTGTGCATAAACAAAGTGTCATTTTGGTGAAATCAGCATATTCAACTTTTTGAAAATGTGGTTATGGACCAAGATAAACTTCAACACATAAAAGTTTTTAAAATGTGAAAGACATATATTGCTATGCTGTAAAAACCCAGGAAACTGTTCAGAAGAAATAGTATCATTATGCTTTCTAGGGCTAGTCATATTATAAAACAAGTGCTGTAAGCTTTAAAAGTATCACAATTTTAATTTTGGATCTTATTTTTTAGTTTAAAGTTAACGAAAGGAAATATTTTAGAGGCCATTACCCAACATCTCAAAAAAAAAAAAAAAGACTTTAGAAACAGAAAGGAGAAAAGAGCATTCCCAGAATGAAGTGACTAGTGATCACCCTTGCTTGCAATAGAAATGATAGCACTGATAAAAAGTTCTCAGGCAGAGATGTTGGCTGTGCGTGGTCTTTTCAGCCTCCATGATATCTTAAGTTCTTCTGCATTTAGTAAACAAGATATTTAATCACATACAGCCATATTTGTTAGTTATGTTACATTTATTTTAGGTTTTATGCTGAATCTTAAAGAAAATGGATTACATTCTCCTAGCCATTATAAGATCTTTTTATGAAGTTTCACAACTTTTATATTTGAAGGTAACCTTGGGAGAAGTAGACCTAGGATTATTTTACTGTTAGACACATTATGCTGACAGCATATTATAGTTTAAATGGCAACTGCAAAGTTCAAAACAACTTTTTTATTTTTTATATAGAAAGCACACAAGGTTAAGGTCTAAATTAATGCATTTGTCATTTCTTTTTTTTATTTCAATAGGGTTTTGGGGAAGAGGTGGTGTTTGGTTACATAAATAAGTTCTTTAGAGGTGATTTTTGAGATTTTGGTGCACCTGTCGCCCGAACAGTGTACATTGTACCTAATGTCTAGTCTTTTATCCCTCACCTACCTCCCAGCCTTTTTCCTGAGTCCCCAAAGTCCATTGTATCCTCAAAGTCCTCATGGTTTAGCTCCCACTTATAAGTGAGAACAAAATGATGTTTAGTTTTCCATTCCTGAGTTTACTTCACTTAGAATAATGGTCTGCAATTCCATCCAGGTTGCTGCAAATGCCATTATTTTGTTCCTTTTTATGCTAGCCACTGTCAGATTTAATAAGACCACTACAACCAGTTGGAAAGATTTAAGGGCTTCTTTAAAAATTCCTATGCCTCTGCTCCAGGGCACAGACTATTCTCCAGCTCATGCTGGATGCCAGCATGACTCAGAAAATGTGAAGACCAACCACTAGATTTTTAAATAGCTCCCTAAGTTATATTTCTCTCTTCAGATGAGGTGCTTCTGAGCCCATAGTCCAGGGCCAAAGTCTTCCATCCTACATTTCATGTGTGGATAGCTGGTCTTATGCCAGGAATTCTTTTTCCACATCCTGCGCTAGTATCAACAAGACCCTGGTCTCCACTCTTAGGACTTGATATTTCCCTGGAGGCTAGAATGTATGTACCCCTGAATCTAGCCCAAGAATAGACCCTTTCCCTCATCCTCTATTTTTCCTGCTCTGGATTTCCCCATTCTTTTGTTCTAGCCTAGTGTTCCTTTGCCAGAGGTTACACTTTAAATTACTACATTCTTTGGACACCATGCCTTGCCAAGTGGTTGAATCTCCACTGGTAGGTCTGACATGATTCAAGTCAGATCTGTTTCTACCTCCACACCTCCTACCATAATCCTCTAATATCCACCTCAATAAATTATAAGGATGACATCCCAATGCAGAAATATCTTCTGCATCACAGAATCATTAAGACCAGAAGGAACCTCAAAGGTCATCTAGTTCAACCTCTTCATTTTACAAATGAGGAAAGCAAGGCCCAGAGAGTTAAAGTGACTTTCCCAAGTGTCCATACTGAGTCAAGGCAAGAACAATCTGAGAAGCCTATTATTTCCAGATTCCAGGTTCAGTGCTCTTTCTCTAATATCGTGTCCCTTAGCCTCTCTGACAGCTAGTTATTTTTCTTTGTTCTGAAAAATCCTATTGACCCAGAGTTTGCTACTTAAAATAAAGCCAAATTTATGGTTAAATAACTTTAATTAACAGAATGCCCTTATTCTGATCCAAAATTCTTTTTTAAAAATCAGCTTTCTGAGCAAGATGGCAGAAGACCCTCCTACACTTTTCTTCCCTCTACAGACATACTGACTCAAGAGCAAAATACTAACATTCTCTTTATGAGAAATCCAAAAACCAGCTGTAAGACTCCCATATCCAGGCTGAGTACAAAACCAGCTACAGTCATGTGTCACTTAATGAGAGCAATATGTTCTGAGAAATGGATCTCTTAAGGAAATTTCAATGTTGTACAAATATCATAGAGTATACTTACACAAACCTGGATGGTATAGCCTACTATGCACATAGGCTATATGGTATAACCTATTACTCCTAGGCTACACATCTGTACAGCATGTTACTGTACTGAATACTGTAGGCAACTGGGACACAATGGCAAGTATTTGTGTATCTAAAATAGAAAAGGTATAATAAAAATACAGTATTATGATCATATGGGACAACCATTTTATATATAT
Source organism: Homo sapiens (assembly GCF_000001405.40). Lineage (NCBI taxonomy): Eukaryota > Metazoa > Chordata > Mammalia > Primates > Hominidae > Homo > Homo sapiens. The sequence goes on along the minus strand of NC_000004.12, from coordinate 143,598,696 downwards.
GGTCAACCATTGAGCAAAACATCATTATGCTTATACATAAAAACTGGTAGGAGAGTTCAAGACACCCTCTTGTCCAAAGCCCCTAGCACAGTGACATACAACTGGGAGCTCCAAGCTTTTCTTTGAGGAAGGAGGAGAAGAGAAGCACCATATATCTAATGCCTTGACTTTTCTGGGGCATGCACAGAACACTGGCTTCTGTGTCACCTGTCACTGAGCACTAACAATCTCACATACTATAGATGTCCAGAAGCTATTACTGAGAACAAAACTAGAGTTCATAATAGCAAGCTAGCATATGCCACAGCTGCAACCTTCAGCTCAGTGCAAAGTGAGTGGACGGGGAAAAGAAAACAGCTCCAAGCTGATATTACAGCTTGTACCTGGGCAGGGAAGAAAAGGATGTGACCACACATAAATGCTCTGATTTTTACTGGGGCCTGCCCAAGTCACTGGCTTCTGTCTACCTGCCTCAGACCACTGATGCAACCCACTATACTCTAGATGCTGAGGGCCACTGCAGTGGACTGAATGTTTGTGTCTCCCCCAAATTTATATGCTGAAATTCTAACCTCCAAGGTGATAGCATTAGGAGGTGGGGACTTTGGAAGGTGATTAGGTCATGAGGGCAGAGCCCTCATGAACACTACTAGTTCCCTTATGTAAGAGACCTGAAAGAGACCCCTCACCTCTTTTGTCATATAAGTGTATAGCAAGAAGGCAACATCTATGAACTAGAAGGTGGACCATTACCAGATGCTGCATCTGCCGATGCTTTGATCTTAGACTTCCAAGTCTCCAGAACTGTGATAAATTTCTGTTGTTTATAAGTTACTCAGTTTATGTGGTATTTGAATCTGTAGATTGCCTTCAGTAGAATGGATGTTTTAATGAACACAGGATGTCTTTCCATTTGTATGTCTTCTTTAATTTTTTTATCAATGTTTTGTAGTTTTCAGTGCAGTGTACAAGTCTTTCCCTGCCTTAGTTAAGTTTATGCCTAAGTGTTTTATTCTGATAGTATTTGAATGTAAATGGGGTTGTTTTCCTAATTTTCTTTTCAGATAGTTTGTTATTAGTATAAAGAAATGCTAGTGATTTTTGTATGTTGATTTGTATTTTGCAACTGTACTGAATGTATTTATTGGTTTTAAAAGCCAAAACAGTTCTGAGAAAGAAGAGCAGAGCTGGAAGCATCACATTTCCTGATTTCAAAATATTTACAAAGCAACAGTAGTCAAAATAGTAAGATACTGGCATAAAAACTGTGTTTATCTAAGCAGGTCTTCCTGAGTAGATTTTCTATCTCCTTTCATTTGGGCACTATAGTTAATTTACCTTATTCAGCTTAAAGTTTCATACGATGTGTTTTGGGTTTTTGCCGTTGACGTCCACTGTTGGCTTACATGTATCTTTCTGGATGTGCTCGCTGCGTTTGACATTGTCACCACTCATTCTTCTCAAGATTCTTTACTCTCTTGATTTTCCTGTTTCAAACTCCTCTCTCTCCCTCTCGCCAACGATTTTTTGCTTGTTTGTTTTTGCTTGTTTGCTTATTTTTCTGTCTGTTTGTTTTTGGTCTCTTTTTGGGGCTCCTGTCACTCGGTCTTTCTCCCCAAGGGTTGATGCTCCCCGCTATGATCCTCTTTTTATTCATCCATAGTAGACGATCATACCATCTAATATAGGATTAACCCCAATCTGTATGCTTAAGACTTCCAAATCTTATCTCCAGCCCTAGCTTGATTTTTTATTTTTTGAGACAAAGTCTCACTCTTTTCCTCAGACTGCTGTGCAATGGTACAATCATGGCTCACTGCAGCCACAATCTCCTGGGCTCAAGTGATCCTCCCACCTCAGCCTCCCACAAAGTTGGGACTACAGGCATATGCACCACACCCAGCTAATTATTTCTTTATTTTTTTATAGAGATGGGATCTCGCTATGTTTTCCAGGCTGGTCTCGAACTCCTGGTCTCAAGTGATCCCCTCTCCTCGGCCTCCCAAAGTGCTGGAATTACAGGCATGAACCACTGTGAGGCTTGATTTTGAACTCTAGATTCATGCATGAAAGGGTTTTTCCAAAATATCTACTTAAATGCACCACAGGCCATTCAAATTCAACTTACCTATAACCAAACTCATCATCTTTCTTTCTCTTACCCTCAGTCAATGCTGTTCCACCTGCTTTATTCCCAACTGAATTAGTGCCTCCCACTCCCACCCACAAACACTAGAAACTTGCAGGGCATCCCAGAAGTGCTACATTAGTCAGTGGGTGCTGTTCAGGGCATTTCTTACATTCACCTCTTCCACTCCATCACTAATACTACTGCCTACTAGTAGTATCATCAATCATCATCATGTCTCACATGAATAATTGCAATACCTTTCTAATGGGTTGCACTAATTCCTCCTAAATTCATGGCCCACACTGACACTGGACAGATGTGCAGAAAACAAAAACCAAACACCTTTTCACTGCCTAAAATTGGTTTCCACATTCTATAAAATCTAAAATATCAAGTCCCATCTACCTAAAATGATTATGTTCCTCTCTAAATTCATTCCAAACATTCCTCTGTTCTCACCTTACACACTACCAATAAACAAGTTCTTGCATCCCTTCCTAAACGGTAGGCTTTTTTCATGCTTATGTGTCTTTGTTCCTACTAGCCACTCTACCTGGAACATTTTTCCCACCTCTCTCATTGGTCAATTCTCACTCATTTTTAAAGACATAGCACCTTATTTTCTCCAGGACTCCTTCTGAGCCTCAAAGGCAGTTCCTTCTTTTTTTTTTTTTTTCTGAGATGGCGTCTCGCTCTGTCGCCCAGACTGGAGTGCAGTGGCGTGATCTCAGCTCACTGCAAGCTCTGCCTCCCAGGTTCACGCCATTCTTCTGCCTCAGCCTCCCAAGTAACTGGGACTACAGGAGCCTGCCACCACACCTGGCTAATTTTTTTGTATTTTTAGTAGAGACGGGGTTTCACCGTGTTAGCCAGGATGGTCTTGATCTGCAGACCTCGTGATCCGCCCACCTTGGCCTCCCAAAGTGCTGGGATTACAGGCAAGAGCCACGGTGCCCGGCTCCCTTCTTTTGCTATAGCATAGCTGAATGAAATCCTAAGTGCTACAGCAAAAGAAGGAACTGGTGTGGAGGCCCTGTCATACCAAAAATATCTCAAAAACAAGACTGTATATCTGTTTACATTCCCAGTAACTAGCACCATGCTTACAGCACATAGGGGATGCTCAATAGATGTTCGTTGAACTGAAGTAAAAAATATTTTTTAAAAAAACATTGAATTGGCTTTGCCAAATCTGATATTACAGAACCAATACTGACCAATGGGCATTGTCTTTCTTTTCTCAGAATTCAAAACCTGTTTAAATAAGCAGCTCTAGAATTGTTCTAAAGATTAAGCCTACCCGTCTGTTTCTAGAATCTGTTTTCTATCCTGAGACAACTGGAAAAATATTTTCCTATCTTCCATTTTTTGGCATCCATTCTGTTCTGTATGGTTTCTCAGTTTACCAACAGTGTTTCTGTTACCTCACCTGCAAAACCTGGCATTAAGCGTCTCCGAATATGAACACTGAACTCATTTTAAATGATAATTTTATCTCTTTGAGAGCTTAATTTCTGACCTTGTCATATTTATTTTTCCTATTTTCATTTAAAGAACATTCTCTCTTAAAGGAGATTAAAACACATCTATGGCTGTGGAATCCATTTAACATAAATGTGATGTGGCCAAAGCATCATATTCTTCTAATTGCCCATCCTTTAGAATCACTGCTAGCATCTCAGTTTCTCAGACAGAGCTAAGGTAAAGAGTACTTGGAAACTCTTCTGTGCTACATGGAGGAGCTGTTTTCTCTGTTCTGACAGATCTCCTGATGCTCAATACCTAGAGCATCTAGAAAGAATTTCATGACATTTTTTCCAAGTGACACTACCCTCCTCTCATGTCTTATATCTTAGTGTATTCAGAGGCTTGAGTTCTGACATTTTTTTCTCTAAACAACAGTACAACTGATCCAAATGTTTTTTACCTTTCTCACTTCTTGCCCTTCCCCAATGCCACACAATATAATTCCTCTGCTAAAAATGTAGGTAACTTTGTTCAAAGTTTTTTTCAACAAACTTTGTAATAAGTTCAAAATACATCAGAAGAGAGTTAAAAATGTCCATTTGACAAATTCTTGAGACTTTGTCAATATGCCAGCCACTGCATCACTAAAAATACAAGGGCATATAGAATATGGTGCCTGACCTTGAGAACAGTTCATAAGACTCTGATAAAAACACAGGACAGAGGGTGGAGCCAAGATGGCCAAATAGGAACAGCTCCAGTCTACAGCTCCCAGCGTGAGCGACACAGAAGACGGGTGATTTCTGCATTTCCAACTGAGGTACCAGGTTCATCTTACTGGGGAGTGTCGGACAGTGGGTGCAGGGCAGTGGGTGCAGTGCACCGTGTGTGAGATGGAGCAGGACCAGGCATCGCCTCACCCGGGAAGCACAAGAGATCAGGGAATTCCCTTTCCTAGTCAAAGAAAGGGGTGACAGACGGCACCTGGAAACTCGTGTCACTCCCACCCTACTACTGCACTTTTCCAACGGGCTTCTCAAACGGCACACCAGGAGATTATATCCTGCACATGGCTCAGAGGGTCCTACGCCCACAGAGCCTCGCTCATTGCTAGCACAGCAGTCTGACATCAAACTGCAAGGTGGCAGCGAGGCTGGAGGAGGGGCACCCGCCATTGCCGAGGCTTGAGCCAAAGCGGCTGGAAAGCTCAAACTGGGTAGAGCCCACCACAGCTCAAGGAGGCCTGCCTGCCTCTGTAGACTCCACCTCTGGAGGCAGGGCACAGACAAACAAAAGACAGCAATAACCTCTGCAGACTTAAATGTCCCTATCTGACAGCTTTGAAGAGAGTAGTGGTTCTCCCAGCATGCAGCTTGAGATCTGAGAACGGGCAGACTGCCTCCTCAAGTGGGTCCCTGACCCCCGAGTAGCCTAACTGGGAGGCACCTCCCAGTAGGGGTGGACTGACACCTCACACAGCCGGGTACTCCTCTGAGACAAAACTTCCAGAGGAACGATCAGGCAGCAGCATTTGCAGTTCACCAATATCCGCTGTTCTTCAGCCACCGCTGCTGATACCCAGGCAAACAGGGTCTGGAGTGGACCTCCAGTAAACTCCAACAGACCTGCAGCTGAGGGTCCTGACTGTTAGAAGGAAAACTAACAAACAGAAAGGACATCCACACCAAAAACCCATCTGTACGTCACCATCATCAAAGACCAAAGGTAGATAAAACCACAAAGATGGGGAAAAAACAGAGCAGAAAAACCAGAAACTCTAAAAATCAGAGCACCTCTCCTCCTCCAAAGGAACGCAGCTCCTCACCAGCAACGGAACAAAGCTGGACAGAGAATGACTTTGACGAGTTGAGAGAGGAAGGCTTCAATAGATCAAACTACTCCAAGCTAAAGGAGGAAGTTCGAACCAATGGCAAAGAAGTTAAAAACTTTGAAAAAAATTAGATAAATGGATAACTAGAATAACCAATGCAGAGAAGTCCTTAAAGGACCTGATGGAGCTGAAAACCACAGCACGAGAATGTGATGAATGCACAAGCCTCAGTAACCGATGCGATCAACTGGAAGAAAGGGTAACAGCGATGGAAGATGAAATGAATGAAATGAAGCATAAAGAGAAGTTTAGAGAAAAAAGAATAAAAAGAAACGAGCAAAGCCTCCAAGAAATATGGGACTATGTGAAAAGACCAAATCTACGTCTGACTGGTGTACCTGAAAGTGACGGGGAGAATGGAACCAAGTTGGAAAACACTCTGCAGGATATTATCCAGGAGAACTTCCCCAATCTAGCAAGGCAGGCCAACATTCAAATTCAGGAAATACAGAGAATGCCACAAATACTCCTTGAGAAGAGCAACTCCAAGATACATAATTGTCAGATTCACCAAAGTTGAAATGAAGGAAAAAATGTTAAGGGCAGCCAGAGAGAAAGGTCGGGTTACCCACAAAGGGAAGCCCATCAGACTAACTGCTGATCTCTCAGCAGAAACTCTACAAGCCAGAAGAGAGAGGGGGCCAATATTCAACAATCTTAAAGAAAAGAATTTTCAACCCAGAATTTCATATCCAGCCAAACTAAGCTTCACAAGCAAAGGAGAAATAAAATACTTCACAGACAAGCAAATGCTGAGAGATTTTGTCACCACGAGGCCTGTCCTAAAAGAGCTCCTGACGGAAGCACTAAACATGGAAAGGAACAACCAGTACCAGCCACTGCAAAAACATGCCAAATTGTAAAGACCATCAAGGCTAGGAAGAAACTGCATCAACTAATGGGCAGAATAACCAGCCAACATCATAATGACAGGATCAAATTCACACATAACAATACTAACCTTAAATGTAAATGGGCTAAATGCTCCAATTAAAAGACACAGACTGGCAAATTAGATAAAGCGTCAAGACCCACCAGTGTGCTGTATTCAGGAAACCCATCTCACGTGCAGAGACACACATAGGCTCAAAATAAAGGGATGGAGGAAGATCTACCAAGCAAATGGAAAACAAAAAAAGGCAGGGGTTGCAATCCTAGTCTCTGATAAAACAGATGTTAAACCAACAAAGATCAAAAGAGACAAAGAAGGCCATTACATAATGGTAAAGGGATCAATTCAACAAGAACAACTAACTATCCTAAATATATATGTACCCAGTACAGGAGCATCCAGATTCATAAAGCAAGTCCTTAGTGACCTACAAAGAGACTTAGACTCCCACACAATAATAATGGGAGACTTTAACACCCGACTGTCAACATTAGACAGATCAGTGAGACAGAAAGTTAACAAAGATATCCAGGAATTGAACTCAGCTCTGCACCAAGTGGACCTCATAGACATCTACAGAACTCTCCACCCCAAATCAACAGAATATACATTCTTTTCAGCACCACACCACACCTATTCCAAAACTGACCACATAGTTGGAAGTAAAGCTCTCCTCAGAAAATGTAAAAGAACAGAAATTATAACAAACTGTCTCTCAGACCACAGTGCAATCAAACTACTACTCAGGATTAAGAAACTCACTCAAAACCGCTCAACTACATGGAAACTGAACAACCTGCTCCTGAATGACTACTGGGTACATAACGAAATGAAGGCAGAAATGAAGATGTTCTTTGAAACCAATGAGAACAAAGACACAACATAGCAGAATCTCTGGGACACATTCAAAGCAGTGTGTAGAGGGAAATTTATAGCACTAAATGCCCACAAGAGAAAGCAGGAAAGATCTAAAATTCACACCCTAACATCACAATTAAAAGAACTAGAGAAGCAAGAGCAAACACATTCAAAAGCTAGCAGAAGGCAAGAAATAACTAAGATAAGAGCAGAACTGAAGGAGATAGAGACACAAAAAACCCTTCAAAAAAATCAATGAATCCAGGAGCTGGTTTTTTGAAAAGATCAACAAAACTGATAGACTGCTAGCAAGACCAATAAAGAAGAAAAGAGAGAAGAATCAAATAGACGCAATAAAAAATGACAAAGGGGATATCACCACTGATCCCACAGAAATAAAAGCTACCATCAGAGAATACTATAAACACCTCTATGCAAATAAACTAGAAAATCTAGAAGAAATGGATAAATTCCTCGACATATACACTCTCCCAAGACTAAACCAGGAAGAAGTTGAATCTCTGAATAGACCAATAACAGAATCTGAAATTGAGGCAATAATTAATAGCTTACCAACCAAAAAAAGACCAGGACCAGATGGATTCACAGCCGAATTCTACCAGAGGTACAAGGAGGAGCTGGTACCATTTCTTCTGAAACTATTCCAATCAATAGAAAAAGAGGGAATCCTCCCTAACTCATTTTATGAGGCCAGCATCATCCTGATACCAAAGCCTGGCAGAGACACAGCAAAAAAAGAGAATTTTAGACCAATATCCTTGATGAACATTGATGCAAAAATCCTCAATAAAATACTGGCAAATTGAATCCAGCAACACATCAAAAAGCTTATCCACCATGATCAAGTAGGCTTCATCCCTGGGATGCAAGGCTGGTTCAACATACAAAAATCAATAAACGTAATCCAGCATATAAACAGAACCAAAGACAAAAAACACGTGATTATCTCAATAGATGCAGAAAAGGCCTTTGACAAAATTCAACAATGCTTCATGCTAAAAACTCTCAATAAATTAGGTATTGATGGGACGTATCACAAAATAATAAGAGCTATCTATGACAAACCCACAGCCAATATCATACTGAATGGGCAAAAACTGGAAACATTCCCTTTGAAAACTGGCACAAGACAGGGATGCCCTCTCTCATCACTCCTATTCAACATAGTGTTGGAAGTTCTGGCCAGGGCAGTCAGGCAGGAGAAGGAAATAAAGGGTATTCAATTAGGAAAAGAGGAAGTCAAATTGTCCCTGTTTGCAGATGACATGATTGTATATCTAGAAAACCCCATCGTCTCAGCCCAAAATCTCCTTAAGCTGATAAGCAACTTCAGCAAAGTCTCAGGATACAAAATCAATGTGCAAAAATCACAAGCATTCTTATACACCAATAACAGACAGAGAGCCAAATCATGAGTGAACTCCCGTTCACAATTGCTTCAAAGACAATAAAATACCTAGGAATCCAACTTACAAGGGAGGTGAAGGACCTCTTCAAGGAGAACTACAAACCACTGCTCAAGGAAATAAAAGAGGATACAAAGAAATGGAAGAACATTCCATGCTCATGGGTAGGAAGAATCAATATTGTGAAAATGGCCATACTGCCCAAGGTAATTTACAGATTCAATGCCATCCCCATCAAGACACCAATGACTTTCTTCACAGAATTCGAAAAAACTACTTTAAAGTTCATATGGAACCAAAAAAGAGCCCACATCGCCAAGTCAATCCTAAGCCAAAAGAACAAAGCTGCAGGCATCACGCTACCTGACTTCAAACTATAATACAAGGCTACAGTAACCAAAACAGCATGGTAGTGGTACCAAAACAGAGATATAGACCAATGGAACAGAAGAGAGCCCTCAGAAATAATGCCACATATCTACAACTATCTGATCTTTGCCAAACCTGAGAAAAACAAGCAATGGGGAAAGGATTCCCTATTTAATAAATGGTGCTGGGAAAACTGGCTAGCCACATGTAGAAAGCTGAAACTGGATCCCTTCCTTACACCTTATACAAAAATTAATTCAAGATGGATTAAAGACTTACATGTTAGACCTGAAACCATAAAAACCCTAGAAAAAAACCTAGGCAATACCATTCAGGACATAGGCATGGGCAAGGACTTCATGTCTAAAACACCAAAAGCAATGGCAACAAAAGCCAAAATTGACAAATGGGATCTAATTAAACTAAAGAACTTCTGCACAGCAAAAGAAACCACCATCAGAGTGAACAGGCAACCTACAGAATGGGCGAAAATTTTTGCAACCTACTCATCTGACAAAGGGCTAATATCCAGAATCTACAGTGAACTCAAACAAATTTACAAGAAAAAAACAACCCCATCCACAAGTGGGCCAAGGACATGAACAGACACTTCTCAAAAGAAGACATTTATGCAGCCAAAAAACACATGAAAAAATGCTCATCATCACTGGCCATCAGAGAAATGCAAATCAAAACCACAATGAGATACCATCTCACACCAGTTAGAATGGTGATCATTAAAAAGTCAGGAAACGACAGGTGCTGGAGAGGATGTGGAGAAATAGGAACACTTTTACCCTGTTGGTGGGACTGTAAACTAGTTCAACCATTGTGGAAGTCAGTGTGGCGATTCCTCAGGGATCTAGAACTAGAAATACCATTTGACCCAGCCATCCCATTACTGGGTATATACCCAAAGGAATATAAATCATGCTGCTATAAAGACACATGCACACGTATGTTTATTGTGGCACTATTCACAATAGCAAAGACTTGGAACCAACCCAAATGTCCAACAATGATAGACTGGATTAAGAAAATGTGGCACATATACACCATGGAGTACTATGCAGCCATAAAAAATGATGAGTTCATGTCCATTGTAGGGACATCGATGAAGCTGGAAACCATCATTCTCAGCAAACTATCGCGAGGAGAAAAAACCAAACACTGCATGTTCTCACTCATAGGTGGGAATTGAACAATGAGAACACATGGACACAGGAAGGAGAACATCACACACTGGGGCCTGTTGTGGGGTGGGGGGATGGGGGAGGGATAGCATTAGGAGATATACCTAATGCTAAATGATGAGTTAATGGGTACAGCGTACCAACATGGCACATGTATACATATGTAACAAACCTGTACATTGTGCACATGTACCCTAAAACTTAAAGTATAATAATAATAAAAAAAACACAGGATAGCATGTTAGAATGGTAAATTTAACATTTTTGCATTTTAAAGAGGTGCTAAATCAAGAGAGGGGGCTCGAAGGAGACCATTTGGGCAGTATGATGTGTGCCACCTGCAATGTGGAGAACACAATGAACTGGGATCTGGCTCTGCCTGGAAAATCTGAATGTGGGAGATAAACTGGTTGGCTGCTTTGGTGGATGAACAAAAGAGAGGGACTGCATTGGGGTTAAGTGGTATTCCTGGAGTTTATCAAGGCAGAGGATGCAGGAAGGTTGCCATGGACCACATGTGAGCCATGCATACAAGAGTGAGCCAGAATGAACTTGTCCAAAGGTGCCATCTAGAGGGCTGAACAGAGGTACTTCCAAATGCTAAATAGGTTGAGGAATGATTAAGTGATCAGCCAGAATATATCTGTTTCATCCTCATCAAGAGAACTGCAGATAAGAGATACCCAACTGTGGGAGTGAGAGATCCCAAAGAACCTGCAGAAGTGCCCATGATAAACAGGATCAGCTTTTCTTCCATCTTCCAAAACCAAAGAGTACTGACATCCATGAAAGTGTTCAAGAAAGAACTTTCCTGCTACTCCTGCCTATCCTCCTTCTTTCCTGTCCCAACCGTGGAGGCATCAGAAACACCCATTAGCAATAATGAGGAGAAAGTTCTTGGTAAGAGAAGAAAGAATGGGATATGTGCATTACCCTGACCTGATCACTGTGCCATAAATATATCAAAACACCACTATGTACCCCATAAATACATACAATTACTACATGTTCATTAAAAAGAAAAGAAAGAATGACCCTACCACCCTTTTCTGAGTGCAGGCCACCTGCCTGCTGTATGCCTGAGGTGAGCAAATTGCAAGTGTATTCCATCACTACAGTTATAGAACTATTTGAAATGTTAGGGAAGCACAGAGTGAAGAATGATTATTTATTGAGGAAATAAATATGGCTTCCCAGAGAAGGCAACTCTTTATCAATAAAGTCTTAAAAAAATGAGTAGGCATTTGCCATATTGGCACATTCCAGCTCAGAGAACATCATCAACAAAGATGGAGGCTCACAAATGCATGCTGTGTTCAGTGTATTGGGAGCTGTTTGGCATAACCAGGACAGGAGAGGTCTTGCAGTTTTACTACTACTACTCCCTCAGCAGTTAAAAGATCTACTAAAATACATCTTGAAACAAATAATATTTACTAAATCTGATTCCTAGCCTCCAAAAATTTGAATTTAAATTCAGATACACTCCTGGTGCATTGCAATATATTTGCAAAGGTGTCATCTCCATAACTAATTTTCCGTTCAACAACCTCAAGGGGTTGTTCCTCCATGGTGAATCTGCTTCCTAATATTTACATTTTTTGCCTCCAGATGTCACAGCCAACAAAAGTATTCATCTCAAAATCTTTTTCATGACAGTACATATAGTAGGTATTGTTACAGCTAAGCCTTGTATATGCTTTAAATAATCACCTAAGTTCATAGCTACCTTTTAGAACAAGAGCGAACGGGGTATGGATAAGTGTATTTGCTTGGCCAAAGCAACATTCGCATTGTCAACCTCTTTCTCCTTTTAGAAGATGTACAATTCCCTTCTACCCACCGCTGAAGCCTGGTGTCTGTGCTGGTTGTTCTCCTTCAGCCTTCTTTTTCTATGGAGTCACTTCTTGGTCTCCTGGGGAAGCGCTTCTGGCATCTCAGCTAACAGGATCTCTCCTCCCCCTCATTCACTGCCCCAGGATTTCCATCTGTCCCTGTAATCAGCAAATGCCCTAAGAAAAGGCATAGCCATAGTGATCAAACTCAGAATTCTGGCTCAACTGTCCCTCCACAGGAAGAGCAATTTTCTCCCTGCCAAAAAAAGCCTCTCTAACTTCTCCACCATCTTTTCCCAAACAATAGTGGACTTGCCTGAGTTACAGCTGATTGGCCAATTTTCCCTAATAGGAAAATCTCTTCTATGTAATGGAAAGTTCTTAAAACAAAAAAATGAATAGCATCTCAACTGACTTCATCTCATGGCATTTCCTGGAGTCAAAGTCATGGTATGTGACTCTGATGTGGCTTTTTGTGTGTTTTTGTTTTTGTTCTCCCTGAGCTATATAAAAAAACAAGACCTATGGGATCTGTCATGTCTGACAATTATGACAAATGCCCAGGCTCACACAGGGCCAAAGGAGACAGTATACCAGGCAGGCTGAAGCATTCTTAGTGTATCTTTTTTTGCCTCTTTAGAACCTGTCCTGCACTTTGGGGATGCTGAATATCACGTCAATGAAAGTGCTCGCTACGTGGAGGTTTGTGTTTGGAGAAGAGGCACTGATCTTTCCCAACCATCATCCATCGCCGTGCGCTCCAGAAAGTCAGAGCAGGAGTCAGCAGAAGGTGAGAGGGCCACTTAAAGAATATATCATTATCATGATACATGTTTATGGTGGAGTCTAGTCTGTTAAGTGTAAGCATGCTTAGTCTTTGTTGATGGACTCTGAATGAAAGTTTCTCTGGCTTCAGCACGTAGATGGTTTGTATACATAATGACTTCTGCTGGTTACAAAATAAGTACATTATTCAAACAGCAGCCTTTATGATTCATTTATTACCCACTGGCTTGTCATGGGCTCACATTAATTTTTCCAAAGTTCAGAATATTTATAGATACCTAAAGCTGCTCATAAACAATATTTCAGATGAAATTACCCCCATAATGGCCAAGCAAGTCCCAACTCGTGGAAGAATCTCGTCACATATTAGACCTTTGAAGTGTAGGAGGTTTTCACTTCAGACTCAGGCATTTGCCTTAGCTTCAAACAGCATGTCTTCATGCCCTGCTCACCTTTGCATTTCCTGACATGGATGATCAAGGCCTAGCTGACAGCATGGCACAATTCTAGATATCATTTCCTCTAGAGTACCTGTCAGGTGCTTTATCAGAAAAAGAACAGGACCCAATAGGAAAAGAAAAGGACATTTCCATGTACATTGATGCCCACATTTTCTCATTTGCAGTTGTGACCTTTTGGTGTGGTGTTAGGTTGTTAATTTTATATCTTTCTAACTTTTTGATGTGAGCATTTAGCACTATAAACTTTCCTCTTAATACTGCTTTAGCTGTGTCCCAGAAGTTCTGGTATGTTGTATCTTTGTTCTCATTAGTTTCAAAAAAATTTCTTGGTTTCTGCCTTAATTACATTGTTTACCCAGAAGTCATTCAGGAGCAGGCTGTTTAATTTCCATGTAATTGTATGGTTTTGAGTGATCTTCATGGTATTGGTTTCTATTTTTATTGTTATATAATCTGAGAGTGTGGATGGTATACTTCTGAATTTTTTGAATTTGCTAATAATTTTTATGGCCAACGGTGTAGTCGATTTTAGAGTACGTGTATGTGCAGAAGAGAAGAATGTATATTCTGTTGGTTTTGGGTGGAGAGTGTTATAAATGTCTATTAGGTCCATTTGGTTAAGTGTCAAATTTGGGTCCCAAATATCTTCATTACTTTTCTGCCTTGATGGTCTGTCTAATACTGTCAATAGGGTGTTGAAGTCTCCCATTATTATTGTATGGTTATCTAAGTCTCTTCATAGGTCTTTAAGGACTTGTTTTATGAATGAGGATACTCCTCTGTTGGGCACATAAATATTCAGGATAGTTAAGTCTTCTTGTTGAATTAAACCCTTTACGATTATATAATGCCTGTCTTTGTCTTTTTTATCATTGCTGGCTTAAAGTCTGTTTTGTCTGAAATTAGAATAGCAACCCCTGCTTTTTTTGTTTTCCATTTGTTTGGTAGATTTTTTTTTTTTTTTTTTTTTTGAGACGGAGTCTCGCTCTGTCGCCCAGGCCGGACTGCGGACCGCAGTGGCGCAATCTCGGCTTACTGCAAGCTCCGCTTCCCGGGTTCACGCCATTCTCCTGCCTCAGCCTCCCGAGTAGCTGGGACCACAGGCGCCCGCCACCGCGCCCGGCTAATTTTTTGTATTTTTAGTAGAGACAGGGTTTCACCTTGTTAGCCAGGATGGTCTCGATCTCCTGACCTCATGATCCACCCGCCTCGGCCTCCCAAAGTGCTGGGATTACAGGCGTGAGCCACCGCGCCCAGCCTGTTTGGTAGATTTTTCTCCATCCCTTTACTTTGAACCTATGACTGTCATTGCATGTGAGATGGGTCTTTTGAAGACAGCATGTGGTTGGATCTTTCTTCTTTATCTAACTTGCAACTCTGTGGCCTTTTAATTGGGTCATTTAGCCTGTTTTCATTCAAGGTTAATATTTGATATGTGAGGATTTAATGCTGTCATCTTGTTGTTAGCGGTTTATTATGCAGACTCAATTGTGTAGTTGCTTTATAGTGTCAATGGTCTATGTACTTAAGTGTGTTTTTGTGGTGGCCATAATGGTCTTTCATTTCCATATTTAGTGCTCCTTTAAAAACCTCTTGTAAGGCAGGTCTGGTGGTAATGAATGCCCTTAACATTTGCTTGTCTGATGAAGATCTTATTTCTCCTTTTTTGATGAAGCTTAGTTTGGCTGGATATAAAATTCTTGGTTGAGATTCTTTTTTTTTTTTAATAATGCTTAATAAAGGCCCCTAATCTCTTCTGGCCTGTAGAGTTTCTGCTGAAAGATATGCTGTTAGCCTGATGAGGTTCTCTTTGCTGCCTTTCTCTTCTCTTTAGCTGCCTTTAATATTTTTTTCTTTCATGTCAACCTTGGAGAGTCTGATGACTATGTGTCTTAGGGATAGTTGTCTTATACAGTATCTTAAAGGGTTCTCTGCATTTCCTGAATTTGAATTTTGGCCTCTCTAGTGAAGTTGGGGAAATATGCATGGACAGTATCTTCAAATATATTTTCCAAGTTGTTTGGTTTCTCTCCCTGTCTTTCAGGGATGCCAATGAGTCGTAGATTTGGTCTCTTTACAGAATCCCGTATTTCTAAGAAGTTTTGCACATTCTTTTTTATTCTTTTCTCTTTATTTTTGATTCTGTTCATTCAGAGAACCTTTTTGCTATGAGATTCTTTCCTCAGCTTGGCCAATTCTGTTGTTAATACTTGCAATTGGCCCGGCACAGTGGCTCTCATCTGTAATCCTAGCACTTTTGGAGGCCTAGGCAGGTGGATTGCTTGAGTCCAATGTGGGCAACATGGCAAAACCCCATCTCTTCAAAAAATACAAAAAAATTAGCCCGGCATGGTGGTGTGCACCTGTAGTCCAAGCTAGTTGTAAGACTGAGGTGGGAAGAGCACCTGAGCCCAGGAGGTTGAGGCTGTGATGAGCCATACATTCCAGCCTGGGTGACAGAGTTCAAACCCATCTCAAAAAAAAAAAAGTAAATTAATTAATTTAAAAATAATAAATATTTTCAATCGTATTATGAAATTCTTGTAGTGTTTTCAGCTCTATCAGATCTGTTGGTTCTTTCTTCATTTCATCTTTCAGTTATTATATCATTTTATTATTATCCCTAGATTCCTTGGATTGGTTTTGACTTTCACCTGATTCTCGATGATCTTTATTCCTATCCATATTCTGAATTCTATGTCTGTTATTTCAGTCATTTCAGCCTGGTTAAGAACCATTGCTGGGGAACTAGTGCAGTCATTTGGAGGAAGGAAGACACTATAGCTTTTTGAATTGCCAGAGTTCTTACGCTAGTTCTTTCTCATCTGTATGGGCTGATATTCCTTTAACTGTGGTG
Organism: Homo sapiens; assembly: GCF_000001405.40. Classification (NCBI taxonomy): domain Eukaryota; kingdom Metazoa; phylum Chordata; class Mammalia; order Primates; family Hominidae; genus Homo; species Homo sapiens. The sequence continues at coordinate 143,582,529 of NC_000004.12, read as the reverse complement.
TAATTTTAATATAGTCAATTGACTTTGTTTCTGGACGTTTTCAGAGGGCCAAGGCTTTGTTCAGGGTCTTCATATGTAGCTGAATTCTTGTCCTTGGTTTCACAGGGTGTTATATGCAAAGTATTTTTGGTTTTGAAGTTTGGGCTGTGATCTAGTAGATGGCGTGTAAGTGTAACGGCTGGTAGGCAGGCTCTTACTCAGCCACATGGCTCCTCTGTGCATTTGCAGCCATGTTCCCTCTCAGCACTCTAACAGTGTGGGTTCCTCTCTTACCTGAGTGCTGGCTGCAGATCTTGGCTTTGCACTCCTAAGCTATACACCGCAGCCTTGAGGCAAGCTCAGGCTTTACACTCCCTCTCCAGCTTGGGGGTGACGAGGACAGAGACCTTAGCAGTGGTAATGGCAAAGGGCTTTTGACTTGTCTCTTGGAGCTCCACCCCAGAGAAACACAGAGCCACTACAAATCAGAGTGGCTGCATTGTGAGCCCAAGCTTGGGGCACTGGGGAGGGCCTGCCTGGTGATGGGCAGGGAGTGCAGGAAGCTCACAGGGAGGACAGACTGGCCTCTTCTCCTTAGGGCAGCTAAGAGCTGGAGGTGTGAGTAAAGCACTCAGAATCTTTGTTCCTTTTCTTCTCTGGGGGCAGCAAGGGCAGTACCACTACAGTGGCAGTAACAAAGGAACTTTCAGTTGCCTCTGGGAGCTCCACCCCAGAGAAATGCAGAGCCACTGCCAATGGAAATGTTCAGCCAGGAGGTGGTGCAGCTGTGCTGTGGTCTTGAGCCAGGAGCCCTGTCTGGTGAAGAGCAGGGGGTTGGGGTCTCACAGGGAAGAGAGACTTGGCTCCTGTCCATATGGCAACTGGCACGGTAGAGGTGTGAGTAAAGCCCTCAGACTCTTTGTTCCTTCCCCAGTCTGAGGGCAGCACTGGCAGAACCACTGCAGTGGCAGTGGCAGAGGGGCTGTCAGTTGCCTCTGGGAGCTCCAGCCCAGGAAGACACAGAGCCACTACCAGTGGGAATGCTCAGCCAGGGGCAGGGCAACTGCTTTGCAGTCCTGAGCTGGGGGCCCTGCCTGGTGAACAGTAGAGGCTCCCAGGAAACAGAAACTGAGCTCCTCTTCGTATGGTGTTTGTGCCATGCCGGAGGTGTCAGTGACTTGACCAGCCCTTTGTTCCTTCCCCAGTCTGAGGGCAGTAAGGGCAGTACCACTGCAGCTGCAATGGCAGAGAGGTTTTGCATTGTCTCTGGGATTTCCTCCCCAGAGAAATGCAGAGCCGCCAATGACTAAAGGGTTCAGATGGGGACAAGATGGCTGTGCTGGGTTCCCAGATCAAGAGGCCCTACCCAGTGAGGATAACAGTGGCAGGGACTCGCATGGAGAACAGTCTGGGCAGTTTTCTATAATCCTGCTGCACTGGGCTGGAGGCCTGAGTTAGTCCTGAATCTCTTTGCTCCCTCCCAAGCCTGAGCGCAGCAGGAGCTGGGGTTGTGGAGCAGCAAAAATGGTGGCACTGCTACTTCTGGGAGCTCTGTCCCAAGGAAGTGCGGAGCTGCTACCAGCCAAGAGCCTAGGTGGGGCTGGGGTGGCTGGTGTCCCAGGTCGGGAGGCCCTGCCCAGTAAGAGGTAGCAGAAGCAGGACTCATGGGGAAAACAGTCTATTTCTCCATAAGGCAGCTGTGCTGTGCTGGGGGTTACATTAGTTCTCAATCTTTGTGCTCTCTCCAGAGCCTGAAGACTGCAGGGGCAAGAGCTGCAGACCAGCAAAACTGACAGGCCTGCCTGCTACCACTGGGATCTCCATCCCAGAGAAGTGCAGGGCTGCTACCAGCCTGCAAGCTCAGGTGGCCATGCTGGGGTCCCAGGCCAGTGGGCTTTGTTTAGTGAGTTCAGTGGAGGCAAGTTGTGCAGTCCATCTGCTCTTCAGCTCTGTGAATTCACAGAGCCCCTATCCTGGGGGCATGTGAGGCAGCAGGAGCTCCAGAGGCTGGTACCAGTGTTCCCAGGGGTCCAAAGCCCCTGGGACTCCATGCATGCCTGAGCCTTAGCTCTGCCCAGTCTCCACACAGTTCCCTGTGTCTGTCTGGAGGCACCAGTGGTAGGGGTGGTCATGGGGGATTTCCAGAGCCCAGGGTTGCAAAGGTTCATGGAAGAACTGTGGGTCCCAGGAGGGTCGCACTCACCATTTACCCACGGTGGGGATCCTCCCCTGGCTTTGCCCCAGTCCTAGGTGGGCAGCCGTCCTGTCTCACTCTTCTATGTTCTCTGTGGGTCATGTTGCTTCCTTGATGAATCTCAACCTGTCCACCTAGAAAATCCAGCTGAAGAGCTTGTGTGTTTATTCACCACTCTCTGTCCTCTCCATGAGAGCAGCACACACTAACAGCTTCTAGTTAGCCATCTTGGCACTCTCCTCCCCTTTTTTTCATTCTTTTTTAAGTTTTCAGACAGGGTCATTTCTCACTGTGTATGTATCCATGAAACCAAGAGTGAATAAACCCATTTGGTTAGGTGGACTTCTTTGCCTGTGGTTTGAAAGAGAAATTTAGATTCCTTTAGATAAACCTCTTTGCATAAAAGTAATGACGCCTCTGCTAGCTGTCTGGTAGGGATGAACTAATAAAAGTAATGTTCATGCTTGGGATAGTGATTCATGGGTTTAACAAGTAGAGTTGTAGAAGTAAGGTTTATACTTGATAATCTATTGAACCTAGTAAATATTTGACATCCGCTAAGGTTAGTTAACTATATTAATCTTATGTATATATGTATAAGGTGTTACTTGTTACATTAATAATTATTATAACTTCTGTGTTCTTAATGCCTACTATTTGCCAGATACTGTGTTAGCATCCTTGCTCTACCATCCATAATCTTCACAATAAACCTTATAAGGTAGCTATCATTATCCCCATTTTGCAGTTGAAGAAAAGAAACTGAGACTCAAAGAAGTTAAAGAATTAGTACAAGTAAGCAATAAACCAAGATTTGAGTCAAAGTCCATGAGATACAAAACCTTATCCATTACTCTCCTGCCTTAGTAATTTTCACTATAACCTTGTTTTTGTTTTTGTTTTTGAGACAGGCTCTCACTCTGTCACCCAGGCTGGAGTACAGTGGCGTGATCTCAGCTTACTGAAATATCTGCTTCCCAGGTTCAATTGATTCTTGAGCCTCAGCCTCCCAAGTAGCTGTGACTACAGGCACTCACCACCATACCCTGCTAATTTTTGTACTTTTAGTAGAAATGGGTTTCACCAGGTTGGCCAGGCTGGTCTCAAACTCCTGGCCTCAAGTGATCTGCTCACATCGGCCTCCCAAAGTGCTGAGATTACAGGCATGATCCACCGGGCCCGGCTTTTTTTGTTTTCTTAATGTCACTATTTGGTGCCTTTTAGAAAATTTTTTGGAGTAATCTCAAACTTACAGAAGAGTAACAAGTAGAGTGAGACGCTTTTTTTTTTTTTTGTCAACTCTTGAGTTTAAGTTTGGAACCATGTCTCCAAAAACTTACAATGTAATTCCTTCAAAGACATTCTCTTGTATAACCACAAAACAAGCATAAACTGAGAAATTAACTTGATACACTTGCATAATCTACTCAGACCTCATTCAAATTTCACCAGTTGCCTCAAATCATTCTTTACAGCAAAAGAATCCAGTTCTAAATCATGCATTATATTTAGCTGTCATGTCTGCTTTTGTTTTCTTCAACCTACAACAGTCCTCTCAACACCTTGATGCTTTTGAAGATTACAACCCAGTTATTATACTATATAGAATGTCTTCCAAATTTGGGTTTGTCTGATGGTTTTTCATAATTAGATTCAGGTAATGCATCTTTAGCAGGAATATCACAAAGATGATACTATCCTCTCATTGTATTCTGTCAAATGGCACACAGTTTCCATTTATCCCATTACTGGTGGTGTTAACTTTGATCAGTTGGGTAAGGTAGTATCTGCCAGGGTTCCTCATTATATTCCCTTTTTTCCTTTGCAATTAATATTTTATGGAGGAGTACCTTGAGACAATATAAATATTCTGTTCCTCGATTTATTTTTATATTTATATCACTCAGGGGTTTCTATTTAATTCCATTGATTATCATGTTACGATCATTACATTTGATGACTTTCCAAATAAGTCGCAAAGAAGCTGTACGGTGAGGTGGACCAGCTTGAAAAAATGATTAATAACAACCGAGAGAATGGCAGAACTTCATGGCTTCATAAAATTGAGCAGAGTGTTGTGAGATTAAAACAGATGTCTGGCAAAAGTGAATGAGTGAAACCTAATCAAAATAAAATGTATTACATTTATCTTCAAGGTTAAAAAATTAAAAAGGCAAATCCTTTCATTTCAAATTGAAGCTACCTTCAGAGATCCTTCAATAATTTGGCAGAATCTTGGTGGAAGTAGTTGGAAGGTGATGTGCCTGGTCTAGACGTGTAAAGCCCTGGTGAGGATGGCACGTGGGCATGGCACAAGGGACTACAAGGCATTTGGTAGAATATGGAAGTTCCCCCTTCTGGGGATCAAACCCAAAGTATATGATCCTGAGAGTGTTGGGTACAAAGGTGAATGCCGCAGAGTTGGTGAGAGCTCTCATTTTTCTCTGAAGGAAAACTTATGACAAATCCTACTGTCTCACCAGTGCCTTTTCCTTTTTCACTAGCTGGAACAGATTATGTTGGTATCAGCCGAAACCTGGACTTTGCTCCAGGCGTGCGCATGCAGACATTCCAAGTGACCATCCTTGATGACCTGGGACAGCCTACCTTGGAAGGCCCAGAGAAGTTTGAATTACTTCTTCAGATGCCTATGGGTGCAGTGCTTGGAGAACCAAATAAAACTACCATTTTCATCGAGGACACCATCACGGACTGTAAGCAGAGTGCTTGTAGTTCCTTTGATTGAAAGACTTTAAGAGGGAAAAAAACAGCCAAGATATGTCTCCTAACAACAGAATGAAACTCTACTGTTTATAGATCTTAGCAATTCTGGGATATCAGTGATATTGTACTGTCATTGGTGTTATATTCTGGTGATATGTGGAAATGTAATTTATATGACTGCATGGAGATAGAAATATATATACCTAGAAAACATTGAGCCCACAAATAATTAGACTGTGTTCATGTTCTTTTTCTATTTTGTTTTACTTTGTTTCTGAGGCAAGTAAGAAATCCACTGTGATCAATTAAATCAAAAGTTAAGATCAAAGAATTAACCTCTCTTTACTGATTGATGCTGCATATGAAACACTTTTCAACTCTCTCTCTCCATATATAAAGTTCCTTTAGCGAATTCTTCGATTTTTGTTCACAAGTCTTTATCAGAACTACTTGGTAGGGAAATTTTTCAACTTTTTATTCCTTTGCACTCTTTTGTAAAAAAAAAAAAAAAAGGATAATAAACAGTAAAATGATGAACATGCAAGTAGTGGAAAGGAGAAGAAAGAAGAGTTGAAGATTTGCATAGTTCACAAACTGCCCAATTAGTTCTTAACTAATGTTAAATTGACAATATATATAGCCGTGGCTAATACCACATAAATCAAAGTTTCCAAATTATTTTGAAACCACATCTTTGTGCCCCATCATTACTTTTTAGGTATTTCTTATGCAAATCTTTTTTTAAAATTTGTGTTTCAGACATTAACTTATTCTCAAGCCAATATAGTGTATAATAGAAACCATTCCCAGATGCATTTTTTCCAAATATTGAATAGGGATAAAAAGGCTCTTGACTGTGATATAGTCTGCATATATAGGCCAAGAAACCCTTGTCTACTGTTAGCCCAGGTTTTGCTTCTTTGCTAGACTTTCATTTTCCCAACCAGAGGAAATATTTTTCTAAACTACCTGATAACTCTTGACCTCACTTCTCCCTCTGTAAAATGAGAAATTTGGACTCAATTTCTGTTAAGATCTCTTCCAGTTCTGTCTGATTCCTGTCTGAGTGCATATCCACCAACAGAAAATCACCCTCCCTCACCTTGCAATTTGCCCAACCACCAGGGGCAAAACTCTTTTAAACTCAAATTCAACAAATAGTTATTGGGCTTCTTCTTCAGGTCAAAGAGATATGTCCCCTTCACACACATTAGAAAAAAAGTAATAGAAAAACTACACATGGACCAAGATAACTCTCAGATATACCTAAGAGACCCCACAGATCCCCTGGTTTGGGCCTCAAATGAAGCAACAACTGAATTCCCTGCTGAGTACCTGTGTGCCCAGGGGAAATACACATTGTCGGCATTATGGAGGAATCTGTTTTGAACTCAAAATTAATTCCAGTCTTTCAGTGTTTTTCAGAAAATCACTCTTTTTCTCTCTCATTGTATTTTTTTGTTACTTAGGTACATTCAGATGAATGCAGTGTTTAGGCATTCATATTTTTGGGGGGAGGATATCACAAACAGTGCTTTTTATAAAGTCTGTTTCATTCCCAGTTTCTACCCATTAAGATATGCCAGAGAAGCAAAATTACATTTTTTAGGATAAAACCTAGTGTATTCTAGTTATGACTTATAGCATATTCTACAATTCAGTAATGAAAGTAATCTAGTGTCCTGAAAGAGTGAAAAAAATGCCTGATTTCCTACCAGGAATGGAATTGCACACTATGGAAAACTGGGCTCATTTGTCATCCCTTATATACTCTTCCCTATGCTAACATTTTTATAGAAAAAATATTAAGTATTTTTTTCTCACTTAAAACTTTAGTTTTCTCAGAGCTGGAAAGTGTAATGGAGATACACTAGATGTTGCTGTTCTTGTGTAAACGTTAAATGGAAAGTTGTTGTATATTTTATTTCAGTACCCAGGGCCCAATTTAAGGGCTCCACTGACAGGGTGAATGAAAAAGGCAGCTAAGGGCCATCATTTACTGGAGCAGAGACACCAGCCATAGGTCCTTGGTGAACTGCCATACCCACCAGGGCTCAGCCCAGGAGACAGTGAACTATGGGGAGCAACCCAACACTGATGACTCCACAGCTGGCTTTCTGCCAGCTAAGCATTCAAAAATTTGTTTGTCACTAAGGCAGCAGAATGTTGCTGCTCCTAACCTTATTTATAATAATAAATAATTATAAGCAGCCTAAATACCCAATACTCAGGAAATGGTTAACTGAATTATAGGATATCTACTTGATAGAATAGTATGAATTCTAGAGTATCCATGACCATGTGGCTATTGCAATCCTTAAACATATGGAAAAGACTAAAAGAAAATGCCTGGAAATGGTAATAACTTTCTATTAGGGTAATGAGATTATCAGTCATTTATTTTGTAAACGTACTTTAAAGTTCTGTCGGTAAATATATGTGCTCATTAGCAAGTTTTTGCTATTTATGAAATTGAGGAAATTAAACAGATTATAATGACCTCATTCTGTTATTGTTATTACAATTTGTGATGAAGTCTCATAGGGTCCCTGCAGGAATATTTAGCACTGACTTGTCCTAATCCCTGGAACCTACGGATTTTACCTTATATAGAAAAAGCATCTTTGCACATGTAATTAAGGATCTTGAGATAGGAAGATTATCCTGAATGGGCCCTAAATGTAATCACAAGAGTCCTCATAAGAGGACGTGAGATACAGGTTACATACAGAAGAGGGGGATGCAATGTGACTATGAAAGGCAGAGATTGGAGTAATAGGGCTACAAGCCATGGAAGGCCAGCAGCCACTGGAAGCTGGCAGGCAGGAAGTAGATTCTCCTGCTGGAGGCAGTACATCCCTGCCAACAACTAGGCTCTGTCCCAGTAATACTGATTTTGGACTTCTAAACTCCAGAACTAGGAGAAAGTAAATTTCTGTTTTTTTAAGCCATCAAGTTTATAGTAATTTGTTATAGCAGCCACAGGAAGCTGGTACCACAGGCAGGGAGAGATCAGGAGAGTTTGCTGGTATTGGCAACGAACTAAAATGAAGAACACTAGAAAGCACACTCAGGGAATACAGACAGAGGTTGACACTCAGTGTCTGCTGTGAGGGGATCTTTCTGTAGAGATTCAAGGCCCTGTCCTGAAGACATAACGCAGTCCATCTGACAGAGGTAATACTTGGAAGCAGCATCAGCAGATAAACAATGTCCTGAAAGCAATGGGAATTCCAACCTGAGGCTTTAGTAGACCTATGTTTCGAAAGAAGCTGTAGGCAGTCCAGCATTAGCCTAATCTACCAATAATGTAAGTATTAATAAATCTAATGAAATAAAAACTATTCCTCGGCTGGGCATGGTGGCTCAACATTGCTGGTGTAATCTCGGCACATTGGGAGGCCAATGCGAGAAGACTGTGTGAGCCCAGGAGTTTGAGACAAGCCAGGGCAACATGGTGAGACCCTGTCCCTACAGAAAACAAAAACTTAGTCAGGTGTGATGGCCCAAGCCTGTAGTCCCAGCTACTTGGGAGGCTGAGGTGAGAGGATTACTTGAACCCAGAAGTTTGAGGCTGCAGTAAGCCACTGCACTCCAGCCTGGGCAGTAGAGCAAGACCCTGTCTCAAACAAAACAAAACAAAAACACAACAAAACAGAGATAAAACTAAGATTCTATTCCTCTACTCACAACATTTCTTACACAAAATGTGTGGGTTCTTCCCACACCAAGAACCAATTCTCCCACCCTTGGGATACCAACTGGGTACCCTACCATTCCTACCTGGAGTTAGCATCAGATCCCACAGGTGAAGGGCTCAGTCCCTTAAGACTGCTCCCACTTCGGACACCATACTTCTGAACAACTTGGCTACAAATTGGAACTGCCCATAACCACCTCTCAGGTTTGATAATTTGCAATAACAGCACAGAACTCAGGGAAACACTTTTACTATTACTGGTTTATTATAAAGGATATTATAATAGATAGAAATGAACAGCCAGATGGGCCAGGCTCAGTGTCTTACACCTGTAATCCCAGAACTTTGGGAGGCCAAGGTGGGTAGACCACTTGAGGTCAGGAGTTTGAGACCAGCCTGGCCAACATGGTGAAACCCTGTCTCTAGTAAAAATACAAAAATTAGCCGGGTGTGGCGGCACGTGCCTGTAATCCCAGCTATGCGGGACGCTGAGGCAGGAGAATCATTTGAACCCAGGAGGCAGAGGTTGCAGTGAGCCAACATTGCGCCATTGCACTCCAGCCTGTGTGACAGAGCAAGAGTCCATCTCAAAAAAAGAAAAAGAAAAAGAAGAAAAGAAATGAACAGCCAGATGAAGAGGGACACCGGGCAAGGTCCCAAAGGGTCCTGAGCACAGGAGCTGCTGTCCCCTGGAGTTTGGGATGCACCACCCTCCTACCATGTGGATGCATTCACTGACTTGGAACCTCTCCAAACCCTGTTATTTAGGGTTTTTATGGAGACTCCATTTTATAGGCATGGTTTATTAAATCATTGCTCATTGGTGATTGACTTAATCTCCAGCTCTTCTTGCCTCCCTCGAGGTTTGGAAGTGGGACTGAAATTTCCAACCCCGTAATCACATGGTTGGTTCCTCTGGAAAGCAGCCCATCCTTCAAGAGTCACCTCATTAGCATAAACTCATATATGGTTAACAGGGGCCTATTAGGAATAGCAAAAGACTCTCCACTTTCCTCTATCACTCAGAAATTCCAAAGGTTTTACTAGCTCTATGACAGGAATCAGGAACAAAGACCTTAAATGATATTTCTTATTATATAACAATATCGCACTACTAATTTCAAGACTATAGAAAAAGACTCCAAATTTGGAGCATGACTAGAGAATACACACACACACACACATACATATATATATACACACACACATACACATACATATATATTTATATATACACACACAAACGTGTGTGTCTCTATAGATATCCCCCTCTATATATTCCTCTATAAATCAAAATAAAATAATGATCAGATAAAAAAGAAATAAAATTCGTTAATAAGAATCCTTATACCGTTAAAGAGTGTTTTCAGAGCAGGGTTCATACATCCAGCTGTATCTCCAATTTTCCTTCTGTCTTCACTTATTCACCAATCTCACTTCTTGACGTGAAGTTCATGCTGTCAGTTGATGGACCAGGGCCTCAGACTCCTCCATTCTCAGTATTATGGCATATCTTGACACTACAATAGATCAAATGAATTTTAATTCAGAGCTAGCACAAATATGTTGGACTTTTTACAAAGCTATGTTCTTTGATTCTACAATGGAGCATCACAAGAAAAAAATATGATAGGAAGTTATGAATCATCACAAGAGCTTACCTTCTCTACCATACCCCCATTAATTTTGTACATTTTAAATATTTTAAATGTAATAAAATATAATAAAAATCATATGGATATACTTCCCTGGATTAAGCACCATGACCATTTTATCACATTGGATTTGTCTCATTCTAAAGCTCCAGTTCTTTCCGGGTCACTCTGGTCCTCAATATTGTATTGTGCCATAATAAAAATCAAATGTAATGATGTCCCCCAAGTACTGTAAGACTGTAAGTGCCTTCTTACGGATAATAATTTTTATTGCTCTTACAATGTCAGAATCAATATATATCTCATGTATATTTTAATATATTACATAATATATAATATGCATATTAAGAGGTATCTTGAATTGTAAAAGTATCTGTTTTGAACAGAAGTGCTTAACTTAAATAGACATAATGCTACAAGAAATATATTAACTGAGGAAGAATGTTGAAATTAAGCAACTCTTATACTTATTCAAAGAATGTTAAAGCAAAGGTATAGGCACATCCCCCCTACAGAATGCACTCCTAGTGTCACTGAGTGAGGTCGACAGCAACTTTTTCTAAGATAGAACACCCCACTGGTGAGAGAGCATGCTTAAAGGGCCCAGTTCAGAGCTGAGTGAGGTGGGGCTCCCAGTGAGGAGGAAGCCTGAGCTAGGACCAGATCAGTGCAAACTCTGTGTAATGATTTTTAGCCCTAATGAATGTTTTTCACTGGGTCCAGACCCTGCCTCAGTTCTCCCCAGCTCTCTGGCCATGGTAGACACTAAGTATACTTGAGCTTCCACTTCTTTCTTAGGCCATTCTGAGTAAGTAAAAATGTATTTTTTTAACATAATAGTTAACAAGTATGAAATAATTTCACTAAATATGTGTTGTATGCATGTGTGTGTGTTTATGATTTTTTTACGTCCACAATTACATCTTCCAAGGACTAAAAGAAATCCCATCAGAGAGTCTCCTAAGCACAACCATTGAAGGAAGAGTTCCATATGTTTTCATCTTGTTGAAGCAACAAGAAATTAGGCCACATTTGAACAAGGAATTTTTTGAGAGAAGTACATTGATATCTCAAAAATCAGTAATTGATTATTATTAATCAATTTATTCCAAGCCTGTTTCCCTTATAATATAGAAGTCAATAATTCACAGAGGTAATTGTGTCAATGACTCAGTTTTTCACCTGCAAAATGAGAATATCTCCTTCATAGGATTATTGAGAATCAATATGATGATATATGTACACTAGTGTTCACTAGGCACTCAGCAAACTGTAATTACTATTCCTTGTTTTATTCTTATTATCCTGGAGTGGCCAGTCCCTTATGTTTTCATTAGCATCTGTTCTCCCAGGTCTCTGTCAGCCTCATCTGTCTGACACAGTGGGAGCTGAGCCTTTCTCAGCCAAGATTCAATATATGGGGCCTGATGACGCTGTTTACCTCAATTTAATCAAAATCATTGTGATGATACCGCACATGAATGATAGGTGTTACCACAAGACAAAAGGCACAGGCATGCATTCTCTGCAAGGAGAAGGGGGACCTCAGGGCCATGCCTCAGGCCACTGGAAGAACTGAAGATACAAGTAGGACCCAGTCACCCCAACCCCAAGCTCTGCCCTATGCAGGCTGTCTCCCTGGGTTCCAGGAATGCTGCCTGTCATGTCCACATGGCCTCTTGACAATTTTGAGCTCCCTCTCAGCCCTGATGGCAGGCCATGGTAGACACTAAGTATACTGAGCTTCCTTCTCTTGGGCAGACACTAAGTATATTTGAGATTCCTCCCATGTGGGCAAACGCAGTGCTCCAATCTTCTGGTGACAGCAAGCTCCACACCAAGGATGGCTTCACCACAAAGCACGCCAAGCACCTGGCAGTGCCCAGGCAGAGCCCCCCACCCTCAAACAGTGCAGTGCCTCCCTAAGACCTGCTGGCACCCTTTGCTTTCACTAGAACCTCAACCTGGAGGCCTACCCCTGTGAATTCAGCAGATATTATGACATGCCCAAACTGCTGACTGAGTGTGCTCCAGTGGCTCCTTCGCACTGATGGCCAGGTATGCTTCTGACAGGAGGACTGATGGGGATGGATGGTGGGGGACAGCTGGAGCAGAGCAGCAATCCATACTCATTAACTGGGGACACAATAATCCATTAAAGGCTTAGAGCAATCCTAAATGTGAGTGTAAATGTGAATGAACGCCAGATAAATCAACTAATTGAAGAGGCAGCTCCACATCTGAAATTTCAAATGGAGCTTTAGATACTATCATATTCACTTTCAACAGTTTCCTTACTTGGAATTTACAAGATGCCTTCATATCCTTTTCCCATTTAATTGTCCTTAGTCCAATGTGAGGTGCTTATTAATATCCCATAATAGAAATAAAAATACTCCTGAGTTGTTCAGGTATCAAGGGGTGGAGCTAAGATTTGAGCCCACATCACCTGACTCCTAATTTTACATTTCTTCCACATCTTGCCATAAAAGCATGAATTGAAGTACCTGTGATTTGTTGATGTGCTTATACTTATAGCTGATAAGTACAGAGTTATACAAAGAATCATGGAACCTGAGGAAACTGAGGCTTGAGTTGATTCAACTGAAATGTACAAGCAAAAGTGCTTTAAAATGATGAGATCCTAGCTGAGTGTTGTGAATCACACTTGTAATCCCAGCACCTTGGGAAGCCAAGGGAGAAGGATAGTTTGAAGCCAGTAGTTCAATAACAGCCAGGGCTATAAAGCAAAACCCTATCTCTACAAAAAAAATTTAAAAATTAGCTGAGTGTGGTGGTGCACACCTGTGGTCCTGGCTACTTGGGAGGCTAAAGCAAGAGTATTTCTTGAGCCTGGGAGTTCAAGACTGCAGTGAGCTATGATTGTGCCATTGTACTCCAGGCAGCCTGGATGAGACCCTGTCTCAAAAAAAAAAAAAAAAAAAGATGAGCTCCTGTTCCATTTCAGCAAATTATTTTTCCCAGCATCACATTGGCTGTGATATGGCTGAGACTATGACTCTATTCTCCTGACTGCTAGCTAGCCCAGTGCTTACTCCACCTAATAATGGAGGGTGATTTGAAAGATTTTTCCTAAAGCCTTTTTAGACTTCTTATCCTCTTCTTTTAAATGTAAAGCAAAGTATCAGATTTCTTGGCACCTTTTTTAAAGTGATTTAATGTTGGTAGTTGATATGGATTGGCTGTGTTCCCACTCAAATCTCACCTTGAATTGTAGTAATCCCCATGTTTCAAGGGCGATTACTTTGGACTGTGGACTTTTGAGTTAATGCTGAAGTCAGTTAAGACTTTGGGGGATTGTTGGTAAGGCATGATTGGTTTTGAAATGTGAGGACATGAGATTTGGGAGGGGCCACGGGTGGAATGATACGGTTTGGCTGTGTCCTTACCAACATCTCACCATGAATTGTAATAATCCTCATGTGTCAAGGATGGGGCCAGGTGGAGATAATTAAATCATGGGGGCAGTTTCCCCCAACTATTCTCATGGTAGTGAATAAGTCTTACAAGATCTGGTGGTTTTATAAACGGGAGTTCCCTTGCACAAATTCTCTTGCCTGTTGCCATGTAAGACATGAATTTGCTCCTCATTAGCCTTCCGCCATGATTGTCAGGCCTTCCCAGACATGTGGAACCGTGAGTCCATTAAACCCCTTCCTTCATAAATTACCCGGTCTCAGGTATGTCTTCATTAGTAGCATGAGAATGGACTAATACAGTAGTAAAGCTGTCTGATGGGCTCAAGTGTAAAAGTCAAATGGATAGCCTCACCTGATCCAGAAGTATCACTGCTGACATCTACCTATGAGCATTAACATGAGCCCAAAGTTTCCCTATATCCTCCTTTGGGGCAAATAAGAAGCAGGTTAGACAGCTGTAGAAGAGAAAAAAGACATACAGCCAAATGTGTAAAGCTTTGAAAACTGCTGTCTTAGTCCATTTGTGTTGCTATAAAGGAACACCTGAGGCTGGGTAATTTATAAAGAAAAGTTTATTTGGCTCACAATTCTGCAGGCTGTACAGGAAGCATGGCACCAGCATCTGTTTCTGGTGAGGCTTCAGGAAGCTTTCAATCATGGCAGAAGGTGAAGGGGAGCTGGTGTGTCACATGGCAAGAAAGGAAAAAGGGGGATGAAGGTGCCACACTCTTTTAAACAACAAGTTCTCCTGTGAACAAACAGAACAAGAACTCATTCATTCTGTAAGAAATGCACCAAGCCATTCTTGAGGTATCCACCTCACAACCCAGACACCTCCAGCCAAGCCCTGCCTTCAGCACTGGGGACCAAATTTAAACATGAGATTTGGAGGGAACAAATACCCAAACTATATCATTCTACCCCTTCCCTCCCAAATCTAATGATCTTCTCACACTGCAAAAAAGAATCATCCCTTCCCAATAGTCCCCCAAAATTTTAACTCATTCCAAGCATCAGCTCAAAAGTCCAATCTGAGACTGAGCATGGTGGCTCACACCTGTAATTCCAGCACTTTGAGAAGCCAAGGTGGGCAGATCACTTGAGGTCAGGAGTTCGAGACCAGCCTGGGCAACATGGTGAAATCTGTCTCTACTAAAAATATAAAAATTAGTGAGGTGTGGTGGCACACACCTGTAATTGCAGCTACTTGAGAGGCTGAGGCAAGAGAATCACTTGAACCTGGGAGGCAGAGGCTTCAATGAGCTGAGATCATGCCACTGCACTCCAGCCTGGGTGACCAAGTGAGACCCTTAACTCAAAAGAAAAAAAAAAAAAAAAAAAAAAAGGTCCAAAAGGTCCAATCTGAGACTCAAGGAAAGTTCCTTCCATCTATAAGCCTGTAAGATCAAAAACAAGTTATGAGAATTAAAAACAAAAATTATGTGATCATCTCAACAGATGCAGAAAAAGCATTTGACAAAACCCAGCATCCCTTTATGATCAAAACCCTCAGCAAAATCGGCATGAAAGGGACATAGCTCAAGGTAATAAAAGCCATCTATTATAAACCCATAGCCAACATTATACTGAAAGGGGAAAAGTTGAAATCATTCCGCCTGAGAACTGGAACAAGACAAAGATGCCTACTTTCACCATTTCTATTCAACATAGTACTGTAAGTCTAGCCAGAGGAATCAGACAAGAGAAATAAATAAAGGGCATCCAAATTGGTAAAGAGGAAGTCAAGCTGTCACTGTTCACCAATGATATGATCATATACTTAAAAAATCCTAAAGACTCATGCAGAAACCTCCTAGATCTGATCAATGAATTCAGTAAAGTTTCAGGATAGAAAATCAATACACACAAATCAGTACCACTGCTATACACCAACAATGACCAAGCTGAGAATCAAATCAAGAACTCAACCCCCTTTACAACAGCCACAAAAAAAATAAAATAAAATACTTAGGAATATACCTACCAAGGAGATGAAAGATCTCTACGAGGAAAAACTACAAAACACTGCTAAAAGAAATTGTGGATGATACAAACAAATGGAAACACATTCCATGCTCATGGATTTGAAGAATCAATATTGTGAAAATAACCATACTGCCGAAAGCAATTTACAAATTCAATGCAATTCCCATAGAAATACCATCATCATTCTTCACAGAACTACAAAAAACAATCCTAAAATTCATATGGAACCAAAAAAGAGCCCACATAGCCAAAGCAAGACTAAGCAAAAAGAACAGATCTGGAGGTATCACATTACCTGATTTCAAACTATAGTACAAGGCTATAGTTACCAAAACAGCATGGTAGTGGTATAAAAATAGGCTCATAGACCAGTGGAATGGAATAGAGAACCCAGAAATAAAGCCAAATACTTACAGCCAACTGATCTTCGACAAAGCAAACAAAAACATAAAGTGGGGAAAGGACACCCTATTCAACAAATGGTGCTAGGATAATTAGCAAGCCACAAGTAGGAGAATGAAACTGGATCCTTATCTCTCACCTTATGCAAAAATTAACTCAAGATTGATCAAGAACTTAAATCTGGCCAGCTGTGGTGTCTCACGCCTGTAATCCCAGCACTTTGGGAGGCCAAGGCAGGCGGATCACGAGGTCAGGAGATCGAGACCATCCTGGCTAACACAGTGAAACCCCGTCTCTACTAAAAAATCCAAAAAATTAGCTGGGCATGGTGGCAGGTGCCTGTAGTCCCAGCTACTAGGGAGGCTGAGGCAGGAGAATGGCATGAATCTGGGAGGTGGAGCTTGCAGCGAGCAGAGATCGCGCCACTGCACTCCAGCCTGGGTGACAGAGCGAGACTCCATCTCAAGAAAAAAAAAAGAACTTAAATCTAAGACCTGAAATCATAAAAATTCTAGAAAATACATCGAAAAACTCTTCTAGACATTGGCTTAAGCCAAGATCCCAAAAGCAAATGCAACAAATAGAAAGATAAATAGGCAGGACCTAATTAAACTAAAAAACTTCTGCACAGCAAAAGAAATAGCAGAGTAAACAGACAGCCCCAAGGGAAAAAAGACAAATACTCCTATCAAAGAGTGGACTAAGGATATGAATAGACAATTCTCAAAAGAAGACATGCAAATGGCCAACATCGGAAAAATTGTTCAGCATCACTAATGATCAGGCAAATGCAAATCAAAACCACAATGCGATACCACCTTACTCCCACAAGAATGGCCATAATTAAAAAATCAAAAAATAACAGATGTTGGTGTGGATGTGGTGAAAAGTAGAACTGCTGTTTGATCCAGCAATCCCAGTCTTGGGTATCTACTTAGAGGAAAAGAAATCATTATATGAAAAAGACACTTGCACATGCATGTTTATAGCAGCACAATTCACAACTGCAAAAATATGGAACTAGCCTAAATGCCCATCAACCAATGAGTGGATAAAGAAAATGTGGTATATAGATACCATGGAATGCTACTCAGCCATAAAAAGGAATGAAATAATGGCATTCACAGCAACCTGGAAAGAGACCATAATTCTAAGTGAAGTAACTCAGGAATGGAAAAACAAACATCGTATGTTCGTATGTTGTAAATGAGAGCTAAGCTACGAGGATGCAAAGGCATATATAAGAGTGACATAATGGACTCTGGGGACTTGGGGGAAGGGTTGCGGGGGTGGTGAGGGATAAAAGAGTACACATTGGGTACAGTGTACACTGCTTGGGTGACAGGTGCACAAAAATCTCAGAAATCATCACCAAAGAACTTTTTCATCCAACCAACCAGCACCTGTTCCTCCAAAACTATTGAAATAAAAAAAAAAAAAAACAGGCTGAGCATGGTGGCTCACACCTGTAATCCCAGCACTGTGGGAGGCCAAGGTGGGTGGATCACGAGGTCAGGAGTTCGAGACAAGCCTGATCACCATGATGAAACCCTGTCTCTACAAAAACAAAAAACAAACAGAAACAAGTAGTATCTGTTGATATTGTAAAGAGCAAATCAAACTACTGTTATAGCACATGTGGTTTTCTAATGAGAAAATGCTTATAAAGTATGTCTAGAGGGGAAAATCCTGCTCACTTAAATAGGATAAATTATATCTTCCAGAGGTCCTAATAAGAGTGAGTGAAGAACAATGAGTCAGGGACCCCAAGAAGATACTGAGTTATAATTACCATGTCCATATTAACAACATAAAAGAAAACTTATAATTTAGATGACTAATAAGGCCTTTCATTCTTTCCTACCACTTTCAGGTTTCTCTTACTGTTTCCGGGGTGTTAGTGTTGAAAATAATGATTCTTAGGCACTTTTACAGAATAGCAATATTTAGTAACCACGATTTGGTATAAAAGGATATCAGGTTAATTTATATACAATTTTGCAAGAAAAGTGTGGTAACTTACTGATCTTTTTCTGAAACATACACGAGCCACAAGAAATGCTAACAATTCTGTATAGTATAGCAGTTCGCCTCTCAGTTGTGTCTTATGCACTGCCATGTTTATACATGGGATCCTAACCTTTTAGACTGAAATACATTTAAAAAGTTATAATCTTCAGGTCTCAGAAACAACATATTTAGTTTATATATTTTCTTTCCATTAAGAAAAGGTTTAGCATTTGAGTAAGAACATGACACATTCTGCTTTCTTAATATCATATTGTCTTTAGCATATAACCACCTTTAGATTAAAAACCTGGAGGAAAATGGTTATTTGCCAAAAAATAATTTTCTTCCCTCAACATTTAGGTGAAAACACAAGGCACAAAGTGAAATACAGCCTGGAAGAATATTTATAGAAAGACAGAATTGTATAGAAAGGTATAGAAAGACAGAATTGCCTGACATAAAAATTATTTTAGAATATAAAACATAATTTTAGAAAATGATAAATATGATGGGGTATAATTATTTATTCATAATTCTGGAAAAGTAATAAAAATACATTCACTATATTTAACCAAAAGCATAAACATTCTTTTAAAAAGTAGTACTTGTTATTCATTATGTGCCTTTTTAAACTAATTCAATTATCTTTACTGTATATGATTTTCTCTATATAGATTTCTATTCTGTATGTTACATTCTATTTTTTACTTACAAGCAAATCATTTTTTAAACTCAAATGTGTTAACTCTCTTGAAGTCATGTGCTATCAATAAATAATAAATAATATTGAGAATATTACCTTGAAAAATCAAAAAAAAAAAGAAAACAAGTTATGTTCTTCCAAGATACAATGATGAAATAAAGACTGATAAACATTTCCACTTCAAAATGGAGAAATAGGCCAAAAATAAGGGGCAACAGGCCCCACAGAAATCTGCAACCCAGTAGGGCAGACATTAAATCTTAAAGCTCCAAAATAATCTCCCATGACTCCATGTCCCACATCCAGGCCACACTGGTACGAGGGGTGTGCTCCCAAGGTCTTGGACAGTCAGACCCCTATGACTCTGCTGGGTGCAGCTCACATGGCTGCCCTCATGGGTTGGAGTCGAATGCCTGTGGCTTTTCAAGGCTGAAGGTATAAGCTGGCTCTTCCACTCTGGGATCTGGAAGGCAGTGGCCTGTTCCTACAGCTCCACTAGGCAGTGCCTCGGTGAGGACTCTCCATGGGGGGCTTCAATCTCATATTTCACCTCAGCACTGCCCTATCGAGACTTTCTACAGGGCCTCCACTCCTGCAGCAGGCTTTTTCCTGGGCACCCAGTCTTTCCACTATATCCTCTGCAATCTAGAGGAAAGTTGCCAAGGCTCCACCACTCTTGCCTTCTGCCTGCCTGCAGAACTAACACCATGTGGAAACCTACAAGGCTTATGGCTTGTGCCCTCTAGAGCAGTTGCCCAAGCAGTATCTGGGGCCCTCTGAGCTGAGGCTGGAGCCAAAGCAGCTAGGATTCGGGGAACAGTGTCCTGACTCTGTACAGGGTAATGGGGGGCCCCAGGCTTGGTTCCCAAAATCATTCTTTCCTCCTAGACCTCTGGGCTTGTGAAGGGAGAGGCTGCCTTGAAGAATTACCTTCAATAATTTATAATATAACCAGGAATCAAATTTCTTATTACCTTTCTTCATGGGTTTTCTGGCCTCTAAAATGGAAAAAAGATTAATTCTGTTCCTAGAGATATGTATCCAGCAAGAAGATCTGTTAACAAGTCAGATACCAAGCAGAGTTAACCACACAGTAGAAAAATGTGCCCGTACACGCTGTCATTGGGTGCCCACATCAACCTCTAATGTGAAATTTAAGTAATAGAAAGAGGAAAAGTATTTTTTAAATGTACCAAAACATGAAAAAGTTTTATTGACTGGCAGAGGTAAAGTTAAAGTAATAGATTTACCAGAAGGTAGAAATACTAGTTGAGGGTGTTGTTTCCCCCACCCTCCTACAAAATGCTGCTTCCACAGTTTCTCCAGAATTTGCAGTTACTTTCTGACTCCACATATTCACTACTCCCTGATTTCAGAGGAGGGTCCAAATCTCTTTATTTTCCAAATTGATCACTTTGAACCCTGACATTTTTAGGCCCCAGACCTTAACAATAAGCCTCAGTCTTCTTTACCAGCTCAATCATTTCTACCTGCCATCTTTCGTTCTTCTCAGAAAAAGCTCACTTTATGGGCTGATACCTGGAACCCTAGTGGTCATCAGAAAATGGGGTTTAATACTTGGCAGTCACATGCATGCTTGATATTTCCCAATCTCAATGCCTAGGATGGCATATCCCCTCTGTCTTGTAACCAGAAAAATGTCATTTGTCCTCAGACTAAAGAGATCATGGAGAACTGTTTCAGCAATAGATATGGAGCAAGGAAGCATTATTCTTTCCTATGCCTGCATGGAACAGCAACTGAGGTTACAAATAATACTCCCCTGTTTTCAATCTTTCGATGGCTTTCTATCACAAACTATTTTGTGGACTTAGGGAAAAATCAAAACATATTTCTTGTCTACAAGACTGTAAAAGCTCTATTTACATGATGTGGCCCTAACTAAGTCTCCATTATTATTTACCACCTCTCTCTCCCTCCCCCACTACACTCCAGCCATGGTGTCTTACTGCTGTTCTTCAAACATAACAAGCACTTTCCCATCACAGGGCTTTTGCACTTGCGGTTCCCCCACTCCTCCTAAAGATCTTCACACAGATGTTTGATGGTTAACTCTCTTACATTATTCAGTTTTTCATCCAAATGTCATTTCCCCGGAAACAACTTTGCTGACCACCTTAAGGCAACAACCCAACATCAGTATCTGCTTACTCTGTGTTGTTTGTCTTCACAGCAGTAACGACTTTCTGGATTTTTATATGTGTTTGTTTATGCATATGTGTTAGCATATAAACTCCATGAAGGCTGAGGTTTTGTCAGTTCTCTTTATTGTTTTATCTGTGGTACCTAGAATGGTGCCTGATACAGAAAGGTTCTATATAAATGTATGTTAAATGAAGGATTTGACCAAGGAGTATCATCAAATTTCCTGTTGCCTGAGCCAGTAGCTGACTTCTCTGTTGCCCCTTGCTTTCAAGCAGCTGGTTGAGTAATTGTATTATACACATTGGGTGGCCAACTGCCATTCTGAGACCTAATTTTCTAGTTCTAAAGAAACTATAAAATTGATCTGAAGAAACTACTAGAGCCAACAATAATTCAGGAATTCATCCCACCATCTGAGCACTAATTTCTTGACTTTCCTCTGAAGATAGGTGCTAGACCTTTGGCAAACAATGGCAGCAAATGACAGGAAAAGTCAAGTTAAGACCTATTTTGCCTTAGCACTGCTATATTCCTATGGTCACAAGTGTTTCATAGTATAATCACATCCTCTTGTTTAAGTGGCATAGGCTTAGGATTGTTATTTTTCTTTAGCATACACATAAACAGGGGCCAAAATTGAACTCAACTGCTGTATATTGGCTACATCAAATATTGCAGTAAGAATCTGGACTTTGGGGTTTGAATGGACAAATCTATATTATAATTTTCCTCTGATATTTTACAAATAAACTTTTCCATCAAGGAGTCTACACACACTGGTTCTACATTTTCTTTACCATCAGATCCTGTTTTGAACACTACCATGCCACTGAAGAAAACTGTTCTCTCCAAGGTCAATCTGCACTGACCTGTATCAGTCATTAAATCCAATGCCTCCTTCCAAATTTTCCACAGCAGCTTTCAAAACCTGTGACATTCTGGGTCTCCTCCCATAACTGACTCCCACTTTACAGGCAGTAAAATGTAGAAGACAATGCATGGACAATAAAGTTATACCATTCTGGATCAAGCAAATCTGTTCCAGTTTTGAATTCTCACTCAACCACCTATTGGCTACACAACTTTAAACTAGTGGGTTCACAAACCCCTAAGCTTTACTTTCCTAACCTATATAATGGAAGCAATCATATCCACCAAATGTTGTGGTTATGAAAACTAAATAATAATATTGTCTTTTGGCACACGGTTAGACATTAAATGAATGTAAGTTTTCATCTTTCTTTTGTATCCTCTATCACTTCCTTGACTATTTTGTCTTCTTTCAACAAAGTCTCTCCTGTTATTTTCATTTATTCCATTAACTATCAGTTTTTGAAGGGCTCATGTAAATATTCAGCTCCACACTTATTGAAAATTTCTTAATTACTTACAAAATTTGTAAGTCACTGATATGTGACTTACCTAATGTAATTACCCTAATGTAATGCCCCACGGGGTGGGACAGGAAGGTGGGTGTCTGCGGTGGAAGCAGGATGGTACCCACGTGGAGGTGTCGGCCATGTCGAGGATGCTCCCTGGTGGCAGGGTGGAGGAGATGAGCATGTTGCCGATGGTGATAGTGATGCGGAGGCGGGAGGGCAGGGGCCCCACCTGGAACAGGCTACTGATGTCGGTGTCAAAGGGGAGGTAGATCCCTCATGCTCTAGCGCGTCGACCCCATTCACCCACACGATGGCATAGGAGTGGGCACTGACAATCCTCAGTACCACTCTTGTGTGCAGGTCCTGGGTCCATTGCTCCAGGAAGGTCACCTCCCGTTCGTACCACATCTGGTCTACAAAATGCCGCAGCCGCCAGTCCTGGCCAACGTCGTTGAAGCTGGAGGGAACCGGTATGTCCATGGTGGAGCCCGACTCTCGCAGCAGACGCCGATACCACTACTCCTAGAAGCCAAGGCACAGTTTGTCGAAGAAGTCGGCGCGGAAGCTCCAGAGGCGGTCCAGCTTCTTCCGCTCCCGCGACGGCCTCTCTCTTGGGTACAGCATCCCGCCCTGCAGCGCCAGCGCGCAGCCCCACAACAACGGCCCGAGCGCCTACCAGGCGTCCGCCGCCCCCCGGACCATGCTTTCCGCTCCTCTGCTGGGCCGCCGTCTGCGGGCCTATCAGCAGCGCGGGAGGAGCCCTGCGGACTGGTCGCGCGCGACGTGACGCGCCAGTCGCGCAGAGGGAAAGTATTTTTTTAAAACCAAGAGATTTGAACTGACGAACAATTACAAATACCCAAAGTGATGATTTGTCCCCCTGTGTTTAAAAGTCTTGGTGCTAGACAATCAAGGATGTTTCCAACATGTACGTAGAAGACTCTGACCTTCTAGCACCACTGTTCGGGTGTTAAACCCGGCCTAGTCCTACGTGACTGCCTGCGCCTTTCTGTATTCTAGTCTTTCACTCCCAGCTGCAGCTGGTAGCCGGCAGCGTTTGACCTGCAGTGGGCAGCTCACCTTTGTTCCTAACACTGCCATCTCGCGGATGGGGTCTGCAGCCGCCAATCAGAGCGTCAAGGTGAGCCTGGGGAGACCTCTACAGGTGCCTGTGGTTTCATTGTAACTACCTAAACTATTCATTCTCTTATCAAGCACCCACCCAGTTCCAGTACTGTCCAGTTACAATAAGGAGCCCAATGATAATTTTTTTTAAAGATTAGTTCCTGCTGTGAAGAAACTAAACTCAGCGTACTCTTGAAGGAGCTCCCTCTAACTTATCTTACGACTATTAAGGGTGAGAAAAAAGCACTGTGGCGTCTGCAGCATTTAGATTGGTAGGAGTATTCTGCAAGACTTGTGCCATTACTTTTATCAAGTTGGCTCCCAGGGAAAGAGGTGGCTGGGGAGGAGGGGGAGCGCAAAAAATAGGAGGCTGGGGGAAAGCCAATACCCAGAGAAAAGACCTTTCTACAACTGGAAAGCATACTAAGAAAGCAAACCTATCCATCTACTGGGATTAAAGGGCATATAAAATGAAAAAAAAAAAAGTTACTCCTTGCAAAGCTAGGATGACCAGATGGCCCCTTGCCACCTCCCAGAAGGGAATCTGAAAGTCAGCTAATCACCAGCCTGTTTGTGAGGAAGAGCCAGTAAGAACTCCGCCTTTGCACAGCAAATCTGTATCATCTATTCTTCTTTTTCCCTCCACTCAGGATCCCTACACCCAGCCAGCATGGGCATCAAGGAAAGCAGGCTGGTAAACTTCAGGGCAGAGATCCGCTTCTGAAGGCAGCTAGTAATGTCTCACCCAGCTAAGCCTTGCTACTAGGCAACAGCACTGCCTCACTCAAGAAATTATCAATCTGCATCAGGCCAGATGCAGTGGCTCACACCTGTAATCTCAACATTTGGGAGGCGGAGGCAGGCAGATCATTTGAGGCCAGGAGTTCGAGACCAGCCTGGCCAATATGGTGAAACCCTGTCTCTACTAAAAATACAGTAATTAGCCAGGTGTGGTGCATGCCTGTAGTCCCAGCTATCCGGAAGGCTGAGCCAGGAGAATTGCTTGAACCTGGGTGGCAGAGGTTGCAGTGAGCCTAGATCGCACCACTGCACTCCAACCTGGGTGACAGAGCAAGACTCTGTCTCAAAAGTCACTAGTGTGCATGAGACACAGAAGCTTTGACAAAAATTCAAACAGCCATGGAGAAATACCGATGGTCTACAGAAGCAGTGCTTAGTCCTTGCTAGAATTCTCTAGTTTTGAAACATGGGAATAAGTAGAACTGCCAATGTGTCTGATGAGTAACTGTGGTATTTATTGCAACTGAGCTCTAGAAAGAGGCTACTGTTGTCTATGATCTGTCCTTTCCCCAACCACCCAGGCATCTCTTTGTCCACTCCAGTGATGTCTGCAGACCACCCTAATGTCACCTCAAGAGGGGTGAACCAACCTTCCACTGGCCAGCATAATAGCCTTGGAGTTTCATCTCAGATTTCATAGTGAATTCGGCTTTCAGGGCAGGATTTAGTTTGGGATGAAAAAGTGTTTCCATTAAGTATTGTATTTGAATCCTGGGTTCTTCAATGATTGAGGAAGACTAATAAAGAAAAGTTTACAAATAATCACATGAACTAAATTAGGACTTCAAAAGTTTAATGAAGTGAAATAATCTCTACTTATCTCTATTTCTTTTCCCAATTTATTCACAATCTATATACATAAAAACTCCTTTGGGTTGTCTACATCAAAAACAAGAATTTCTGTAGTAAGCAAACTATATGCATATTCTTTGTATTAATAAAATATTTTTGTCAATGTAGTGTTTACATTGTTTATATTACAAAGTTTCCAACATTAACTAAATTCTGATAAACTTTCTTCTTGTACTGGAGATACATGATATGCAACATTAAATATTGGTGTCCTAGAGATAAGAGCCACACACCTTGTATGCTGTAGAGTTAAAGGCAAGTACCTAGATCCTCAATCTTCTCATAGCCTCATTACCCCCCAAAAAAGCTGTCATTAGAGCTAGGGAATCTCTCCGGACACAAGGGAATCTGTGGTAACAAAGAATGTAGACCCATGTTGCCAGTCTTGAGTATCTCAGGTGAGGTGCCAGTCCACTTCTGAAACAATGCTTTGCCTCTTATGCCTGTGGAGAAACTATTCCACTTCTTCATTTTTTTCATTTAGAATCATATCATTTCAGTCTTTTTCTTCTTACTTCAATTTTGGTTCTTGTAGCATAGTCTTTTCTGGTAACTACTGTAAAGTTAATGCTGCAAAAGCCTATTTAATCATTCTAATAAAAACCTTAACAGATCCAAAACGATTCTGGGATGTACACAGCGAAGTTAATTCTGCAGCACTGCTCCACACCAAGAATGTATTTTGCCCATTATCTGTCATCTGAGGGATGCCCTCACCTTTGATCTTGACATCAGATTCCAACAGGCAAAGATACATTTTGGTAACAGCTATGTACATATACAAAATATGTATATATTTTGGTAACAGCTACTCCGTTAATACATGTCTTCTAGCATTCCATTCATTTGGATTTATGAGTTCATCAATCCACCTTGTGTCATTAATCTACTTTGTTTAAATTACCCTCCTTAGTACCCATTTTTTTAGCAATGTTCTACTCCAAAACTACTGGTTTGAAATATAGTAGCACATCCTTTCAAAAAGATTTGTTTTTTAGATTCAAAGGGATAGAACAAGATGAAATTTATTTTTTACTCAGAATTTTTCTGAAAAACCACAGGGGTGTTTTACAATGCTTTTTAAGATCGAGATTAAGAAAGGTACTAAGCCAAAGATCATTTATATAATCATTTATATAATTAAATCCAGATTAGTTCAAACAATCGGCATATATTAAATACTCAAAGGGCAGATGGAGCAATCCTTATCTGAAATGCCTGGAACCAGAAGTGTTTTTAGCATTTTCCAGACTTTAGAATACTTGCATTATACTTATCAGTTCAGCATCCCTAATCCAAAAATCAGAAATGCCCTAATGAGCATTCAAATTATGGAGCATTTCTGATTTTAGATTTTTTGATTAGGGATGCTCAACTTGTACTCTATGCTTAGGATTTGCTTCTCTCAACTTTATGAAAAACAAAATGTAGGCCAGGTGTGGTGTAGGCTCACAACTATGATCCCAGCACTTTGGAATGTAGGCTTACACATGTAATCCCAGCACTTTGAGAGGTTGACGCAAGAGGATTGCCTGAAGTCGGCGTTTGAGACCGGACTGGGCAACATAGCAAGGCCCTATCTCTACAAAAACTAAAAAAACTTAGCTGGGCGTGGTATCTGTAGTCCTAGCTACTTGGGAAGCTGAGGTGGGAGGATCACTTGAGCCCTGAAGTTTGAGGTTGCAGTGAGCTGTGATTGCACCACTGCACTCCAGCCTGGGTGACAGAGCAAGACCCTGTCTCTTAAAAGTAGTAATAATTACACTTTATAATAGCCTCCAGCACTTTGTCAGATGTACAATTAAGCAATCTTTCATGCTTTGTTGTTAAAAAAAAAAAAAGACATTTATTCAGTATCATGATCAGATTATTAAAACATTTAGCAATCAACAGCATGGGTACAAAACAAAACAATCTACACTGAAACCCTGTGTTGGAATGCTTTACTTTCCACAGAACAGAAACTATTATACAATTAGTCACAAATACAGTCATCAAGTTCTGTGATCGTGGTGGCTTTGGTGGCAGCCATGGTGGTGGTGATGGATATGGTGGCAGTGGGGATTGCTATAATAGATTTGGTAATGATTGAAGCAATTTTGGAGGTGGTAAAAGCTACAATGATTTTGGCAATGACAA
This sequence comes from Homo sapiens, assembly GCF_000001405.40. Classification (NCBI taxonomy): domain Eukaryota; kingdom Metazoa; phylum Chordata; class Mammalia; order Primates; family Hominidae; genus Homo; species Homo sapiens. Next base: position 143,555,271 of record NC_000004.12, on the reverse strand, counting down.
CAATCAGTCTTCAAATTTTGGACCCATGAAGGGAGGAAACTTTGGAGGCAGAAGCTCTGGGCCCTATGGTGGTAGAGGCCAATACTTTGCCAAACCACGATACCAAGGTGGCTAAGGCAGTTCCAGTAGCAGTAGTGGTTAAGGCAGTTCCAGTAGCAGTAGTAGCTGTGGCACTGACAGAAGATTTTAATTACTGCCAGGAAACAAAAGCTTAGCGGGAGAGGAAAGCCAGAGAAGTGACAGGGAAGTGACAGGTTAAAACAGATTTGTGAACTTGGCCAAACACAGTGGTGGCAGGGCCTAGCTGGTTCATGCTTTTTTTTCAAGTGAGTTTCCCTTCACACAGTTTCCATTTGAGTCCCTAAGCTCTCAGGGCTACCACTATACTTGATTCATTTTGCATTTCCACTGTGTATCTCCCTCCCAGTTTCTCCTCCTCTTGAAAACATCACTTTTGTGACCTCCGTAAGTTTTCTTCAGCCTTACATTTTTTCAATTTCTTCCAAACTGAGGTGATAACTCTTACAAATTCTTTTTCCTTTCATAAGTAACCATTCCTCATGCATGTATTAGACCTTTAACTGTTAAGAATCTAACATAGTATTTAAAAAGTTAATTTTGAGGTAGCACTAAATTCAAATTACTTTACAATTTGCCATAAATACTGCGTTTTGCTTGACATTAACAGCAGCAATTCCACATTTCAAGAAATTAAGCAGTATTAGTAATACTGCAGGTATCAAAATTTTTTTTTTAAATCTTCAATTACATGTGGGCAGATGAAAACAACTACTAATAGAAATTTAAGGGAAAGATATCCAATTAAGGGAAATGTGTCCTAAAGGAAAAAGTGAATAAAAATTGAGAAAACAATTAAAGAAATGGAAAGAAAAGACCACTTTACGGATTATAAAAGTTATATTTATTCACGATGCTACATTTATTGCATTCCCTTAGAAAAATGGAGAACTGTTTATGTACCCAATCTGCACATATAAAATTTTATACAAATTATGTGTAGCACATAAAGGCCTCTGGTACAGCTAAAATCCTGACACTATAATTTGGGTATTCCTGCTTTAGGGTCTCCAGTTTATCAGGTCTGTCCATAGAAAACAGAAACTGGAATTATAGTCAGTCTTGCTAACACTTAGAAACTACTTTAAAATACAATAAAATTTTCATTTACCCTAAAAGTCCAAATGGGAGGGGATATATTTTGTTACCAATTTCAATGTAACAGTATGACAAATTCACACCTCATTTTGGCTGGGCTTTCAAAATTAAAAAAAAAAAATCACCTTAGTTCTGACATTATCTAAGTTGTGGCTGCTTCAGAAGGTCATATGACAAAATATTTACCAAATAATTAAAAATAATAATAATAATATTCCTTTTACAAAATGGTACAGTAATACCTTAAGGAACCGGAAAATACTAAATGTCTTTGGCTATACAACTAAAAGGCCATTCTTTCAAAAGAATAGGGCATATTCATTTCAGAATCAACTAAAAAAAACAGAAAGCATAACAGAAATATGCATAGAATTTAAGTATACTTTGTCTTGCCTTCTTTTCCCATTCTACCCACATAAGCAAGGAGAATGCAATTTATATAATCTTTCCAGATGAGACTCAATAGCACTACAAAGAAAATACCCAAATTTCTGCAAAGGCAAAGTGAATTAAAATAATTACACAACTAGGTGAAGACTGAAAGGGACAAATGTTATTTGCAATTTTCTTTTTAACTTGTTTTTAAGCCTTACAAGTGTAGAAATTATAGCTAATAAACAAAAAGTCACAATCTTCACAAATGGAACTACAATAGAAAAATAAATCAAATGAAACACTTAGTAATAAATGAAGCCTATTTTATTACTTCAAGTGTTAATGATAAAAAAATTTCAGCACAGCTGTTGCATTTAAAAAAGTGAAACTACATACTATGTTTCTAGCTCAGTAAACAGATGAACCTGATGTCTTTAAATGACATAACAATTGAGCATTGTACAGTACATCTTATGAAGACCCGTAAATTAAAGAACTACTGGTTTAAAGTTAGTGATTATGAAACAAAAACATATTCATAGTTTCAGCTTCTTTTTTCTTCCTCGACCATCAGGTGCGCCATCCATTTTACGTTTCTGTGTCTACAAACAGACAGAAGGATTACTTTTCACAAGACTAATATAAACATGAAATATAGTTGCAGACACATTATAACACTTTAGTAATAACAACTACTACAAAGTAATAGGTATGAGACTTTTCCCCCAGGCTATATAAATCTTTCAAAGCAAACTATAAAGCCTCCAAATAATCTTACCTACTTATTTTACTTACAGAATAAAAAATGTTAATGTTAATAATGACGTTATAAAACTAATGCACAATTAACAGTAGTAGATCAATATCAAATAAATGCAAGCTTCCCAAAATAGTAAGAAACACTTGAGTTTTTAAAAGGCAGTTACATAAGTACCAAATATTATCCAGAGATACTCATTTATTCATGACTTTATAAATTAACCATTTTTTATTAAATTAACTATTATTAAATAACATTTTTTCCCTTTAAGTGTTTGCCTTCACATTGCTAAAACATCACTGAAATAATCAAAGCTTAGAGACTAACAGTAAAAGTCATAATACCACTGCTTTTCCAATGTTTCTTAAATTATTCTAAAATTATAACTTGTATTCTCAATGAGATGTGTACACACTTGACATTTACGAGACATACTTTCCTGATTTTCACGAAGCCCCATATTAAGGACTACCATATCATCAAGAAGTGATTTTTCCCACACAACCCAGTCAAGCTAAATTTGTACTTTTTAAGTATTTCAAGGAAGTCCTAGCTACAGCAATCAGACGAGAGAAAGAAAGAAAGGACATCTAAATCGGAAACAAAGAAGTCAAATTGCCCTATTTGTAAATGACATAATCTTACATTTGGAAAAACCTAAAGACTCCATCAAAAAACTATTAGAACTCATAAACAAATTCAGTGACACTGCAGGATACAAAATCAACATACAACAAACAGTAGCATTTCTATGCCAACAGTGAAGAATGTGAAAAATAAAAAGTAATCCCATTTACAGTAATTACACGTGAAATAAAATACCCAGGAATTAATCAAAGAAGCGAAAGATCTCTAAGATAAACTATAAAACACTGATGTAAGAAACTGAAGACACAAAAAAATAGATATTCCATGTTCATGGATTAGCAAATTCAATATTGTTAAAATGTCCATACTACCCAAAGCAATCCACAGATTCAATGCAATCCTTATCAAAATACCCATGACATTCTTCACTGAAATAGAAAAAAAAATACTAAAATTTATATGGACCCACAGAACACCCAGAAATAGCCAAAGCCACCCTAAGCAAAAAGAATAAAACTGGAAGAATCACATTACCTGACTTAACTTATAGTACCGAGCTATAGTAACCAAAACAGCATGGTGCTGGTATAGAAACAGATACATAGATCAGTGCAACAGTGGAAAAGAACAGAGAACCCAGAGATAAGTCCGTAAAGTCCATACATCTACATGGAACTCATTTTTGACAAAGCTACCAAGAACATACACTGGAGAAAGGACAGTCTCTTCAATAAATGGTAATGGGAAAATTGGATATCCATACACAGAAGAATGAAACTTGACCTGTATCCCTAACTATATAAAAAAATCAAATCAAAATGTATTAAAGACTTTAAGTCCTCAAACTGTGAAACTACAAGAAAACATTGGGAAAACTCTCCAGAACACTGGACTGGGCAAAGATTTCTTGAATAATACCCCACAGGCAACCAAAGCAAAAATGGACAAATGGGATCACATTAAGTTAAAAAGCTTCTGCACAGCAGAGGAAACAGCAAAGTGAAGAGACATCCCACAGAATGGAAGAAAATATTTGCAAACTACCCATTTGTCAAAGGATTAATAAATAACCAGAATATGTAAGAGCTCAAACAACTCTACTGAAAAAAATCCTAACAGTCCGATTTAAAAATAGGCAAAAGATCTGAACAGATGATTCTCAAAGGAAGACATACAAATGGCAAACAAGCATATTAAAAGCTGTTCAGTATCACTGATCATCAGAGAAATGCAATCAAAACTACAATGAGATAACATCTCATCCCAGATAAAATGGCTTTTATCCAAAAGTCAGGCAATAACAAATCCTGACAAGAATGTGGAGAAAAGGAAACCCTCATACACTTTTGGTGGGAACGCAAATTAGTACAATCACTGTGGAAGCAGTTTGAAGGTTCCTCAAAAAACTACAGATAAGAGTTACCCTACTCCTAGGTTTACACCCAAAAGAAAGTCAGTATATCAAAGAGATATGTGCACTCCCATGTTTACTGCAGCACTATTCACAGTAGCCATGATTTGGAAGCAACCTAAGTGTCCATCAACAGATAAATGGATAAAGAAAACATGGTATGTATACACAATAGAATACTATTCAACCATAAGCAATGAGACCCTGTAATTTGCAGCAACATGGATGGAACTGGAGTTTATTAAGTGAAATAAGCCAGACACAGAAAGACAAACTTGGCATGTTCTCACTTATTTGTGGGAGCTAAAAACTACAATTAAACTCATGGAGACAGAGAGAAGGATGGATACCAGAGGCTGAGAAAGGCAGTGGGGGTGGGGGAAAGTGGGGCTGGCTAATGGATACAAATAAATACAAAGAGAGACTAAGACCCAGTATTTGATAGCCCAACACAGTGACTACCGCAATAAATAATTTAATTATACATTTTAAAATAACTAAGAGTTAAACTGTTTGTAACAGGGATAAATGCTGGAGGTGATAAATACCCCATTTACCCTGATGTCCTTATTACTTATTGCATGCCTGTATCAAAGTATCTCATGTAACCTATAAATACATACTTACTCATAACAACTAAAAATTAAAAATTATACCACTACCTAAATTTGAAAGTGGAAGAATCTCAAATTATGAGCTTGGGTTCTCCCTTAAGGAAAAAAAAAAAAAAAAAAAAGTAAAGGCAATGGAGGGGTGCACAACAGGGACTAACACATCAATGACAGCCAAGCAGTGTTAAATACTTAGAAAGGGGAAATTTACATAATCCACATATTTACATATTCATGAATACTTACTGAAGGCTTTGGTCCTCGTTTCTTTTTCTCTGCCTTCTCCTTTTCTTCTAGTTCCATGTTTTCTCTTTCAATCAAAGTAATTAAGGTATTACATCTCCTCTGGAGCTCCTAAATTATAAACAAACATGGTACACGCACTTTCCATCCACAAGTTTCATGATTTCAATTTTAAAACAAGGTATGTTTTAATAGGATAATATATAAAACCACTAATACACCCCTGATTTAAAAAAAAAACAACTGATTTTCATATACAATTCATGCTATGAAGATTAAAGGCAAGATATTTGTAAATAATGTTTTTACTCCAATCTTTAAAGCCAAACTACTGTGTATTCTTCAAAAATTCTTCCTTCACTTAGGAATTAAAGCAATAAAAATGAACATATGCAATACTGCTACTTAGTGTGTATGTCTGAGAACTACTGTGCTACTTATATCCAAAACTTAAAAAGATTAATAGTGCACATATGTGAGGGTCAAAAACAACAAGAACTTTAACAGGTGTGTATAATCTTTCCCTTCAAAGTATCACTAGAATTATGGTAGTCAATCAATCACATGGCACCTTTCCCAATTTTGGAAAACCAGCCATGGAAGTCTACGATGAGTTCTACCTCATCTCTCTCTGGCAAACTGGACATACAGCCTCCAGAAAAGATTTAAAGTATAACATAGAAGTAGCAGTTAACCCTGAAAGAAACAGAAGTCCATCTGCACGGACGGCTGCTGGGTAGCAGCCCCCTTTCTTATAGAGCAAAATTATTTTTTTCTTATAGTAAGTGATACTACTACACACACAACTACAGTAAAATAATTTTAAAATACTACTGTATAGAATACACCACACAAGACTTAGAAATAGTATATAGAGATAGAAGAATACATTATCATTTTTTGTGCATCTTAACATGGAACATGTTAAGAAGTAACACAGTTTTAAATTACGGTACTGTACTAGTTAAATTAACATGGCACTGTCTTGTTACAATCACTATAAAATTATTCTTTATTAACTCTATAAATTGTTCCCACTTAAGAAGAAATAAGCTTTCAGCAACTGGATCTTTTCTCTAATTATATATTTATACAGTGTTTTATCTTCAAAGTATCTTCATGTATTTAAGTTTAGTACATTTCCCAAACTTGGGTATCACAAACAGTGATGTCTAGTGAAAAAAAATTTTCAGTGGTCAAACATGAAAATACTGCTTACTATCCACTGTCTTACAAAGTGACATTTTACTTTAAATATACAGAGAAATCTTACTATAAACAAACACAAAGATGTTTAAACTTTGCTTATCCCAGAATATCCCAAACTTAAGACTAAAGAACTTATTAGCATTATCCTCATCTGGCAGAAAACAAGTTGAAGCTCAAAGTTCAATGGTGGTGAAATAAGGAAGAAAAGGAGCAATCCATCAAAGTTAAACTTTTCTGAATTCAAATTTTAGGTTATTAGAAATGGGGCTATTTGGTCAGAAACTGTTAGTCAGATATTGGGAATAAAAACAAAACCTAGCACTAAATCAGTGCAAAAGTAGTGTTTCACTATAATAAGCCATCTTAAAATAATCCAGACTCTGGATGATTTATATTAAATAAATCAGAATGCTGATTCTGATGTGCAGATGCTTGAATGCAAGGACCATTTTTCTTTATAGAAATATGTTCATTTGAAAAACCAAAAAGTCGTAACACTCAGAAGTTGAAACTGATACTTCCTCCCACTTAGAACTTGAAAAGCTAGTCTTATCATATAGTGATATTTAAAGACGTAAGATACTAAAGGATAGGACCAATAAACTTGTAAGCTATCCCTGGTATTAGGTTTTATGATACTAACAATATTGTAACAAAAGTCTACTTCATAGATTTTTTTAAAGTCACCTTAAAGAATACCAAAGATGACACTTACTCTGAACTCTGCTACATTACACAAAAAAGCCCTGAGCACTCACCATTGCAGTTCTGGACTTAAGAAACCAGTCAAATCTGAACTGAGGAGAGTTGCGAATACACTGTCGCAATTCATCATAAACATTTTCTTTGTCAAATCCAAGTTTGTGAAGCATACAAATCAGAAAACGATCTTCTTCTTCAGTATAGTTTTTTCCTTTGTTAGTACCATATGATATTCTCAGCTGATGAAAAGGTGCTTTGTACCGTCCAATCTATGAAAGTCAGATTTTATATTATATAAAATACAAATCCTATATAATCTGTATTTCAAACTCAGCTTTAGTATAATTAGCTAAAATGTTGCATTTCAAATCAGAATTTTCTATCTAGAGCACTTCAATTGCTTTATATAATCTTTGTCCCGAAAGACCTTTATAGTCTTTATTATTATAAAGAGAAATACAGACTAAGACTTCCTGATTCTACTTAGTAAAAAGCTAATCTTAGTGTCTTTGACTCAGATCTATCAGTCTAGTGTATAGGTAAATTCTGCTGACAATACCATGTTTGAATGCTACTCTGAAGAAATTTTAAATTGTAAACCCTTACTTCTTTTCCTTTATAAAAAGTCACTCTCTCATACTCACAGCTAGGAGTTATTTTATTAACTACCTAACTTATTAACAAGCAAATTACCTTTGTGTCAAGTGCTTTCTTGATGCTTATTCTTCTTTGAATTCTCGCCTCTCCCCTTTCAATCTGAGCCATAATCTTCTCTATGTCCTGGAGCTCGTTGCACCTTTCCCAAAACACAGCTGTAAAAGTTGGACAAAGTAAACAAATCATTTATATTTTTATTTCTTTAATGTAAAAAAAATGGGATCAACTGGATTATTTATCTTCTAATTCTTAAATTTCTGCTATTCTAAGCAGACTCACCACAGCATACCCTCACATGTTAACCTAATAATACAACTGACTTCAGGAAACACAACACATAATACTTGAAGTTATGCAGAGAAATTAAGATAAAAATGCAAGGGCAATTATCCAGTGACTTATTCTGATTTTCTTTGCTGTCGCTAGAGTTAGCTAGGGTTAAAAAATTTTTAAAAAGGAAACCATTACGCCATTTCTGGAAACAGAACATTTTCTAATTTGTAAAAAATAATGAAGAAGGTACTAACTACACTGTGACAAAATTAGCTAATCACAACATAATTCAGAATAAGAAAACAAGAACCTTCCAACAGCTCTTACTAAACTCCAACAGCCTGCTTAAAAGAATTACCTGAATATTCAATGACTTCTTCTGGAGTTTTGCCTTCTACTTCTCTTGCTATATTTTCAATATCATCACGACCCCACTTCTCATTAGCTTTGATAAACTGGTTAAAATCTCTCTTATTCCAATTGGTAAATCCCTTCACAGGAACAGAAACAAAATATTTAATCACAGCACATTAAACTTGGAAAACATGCTATTAGCAAACCTTCTAAATATTACAAAAACAAATTTTCACTAGTTTATTAAGTTCTTTTAGAGTGGTAACTTTTCGTGTACATAAATATACACTTTTGACAACACATTATATATTGCTCAAATACCCAAGCAATTAAATATGAGTGGCTGAGAGTAAGGAATACTGTATGAAAAGGTGACAGTTTCACTGAGCTTTGAAGGATTACTAGCAGTTGGCCAGAAAGAGTGAATAACATAAAGGGCAAAAATATGAGCAAGTAGAAAAATGGAAGGAAAATGAAGCTTTAAAGGTAAGTCAAAGGCCAGATTCTGAAAGACCTTGATGAACACCAAAGGATGTTTAAAAAATAACCAAGCCAAGATTTATAGTTGAAAATGGTGACTGGGTAGCAATGTGGAAAATTCATAGGAAAGACGGGAACATTCAAAGTAAGGTGATAAAAAAGATACCCACTCTACCGAGCCAGAGTAATAAAATCTGTAGTCTTCTCAACTACCTCAACTAGTGACAATCAGATGGAGCATTTATCCACATGCCCATACTTTATTGTCTCCAATTATTCCATCTTTAAAAGCAGAAACTTGTATTTATTTTTATGCCCCAACATAACCTAACACAGTCCTTTACAACAAACTGTTACTAAAGTTTGTACTGATTAAAGGCTATACCTGTGTTAGAAGCTTCTCTTTTTCCTCTAACTCTTCATCATTAAGGGATTCAGCTTCATCAATTTTAAGCTGTTCTTCTTTTTGTGCCTGTGCTGCATTAGGCAGCTCAGGATTTCGAGGTACCTAAAAGATATTTTTCTATGCCATCAAATCAGTAAATTTTAAAGAGCATGTGATGAACCAACTAACTGACATTTCACAAGTTTCAATTCAACCAGGAAAGAAAATATACTGATACATTGCATGTATTATGTTAAAAACAAACCAGATTGGTCATGAAGTCTTATTTTTTCTTGTTAAAGAAAAACAGACCCAAGTTTATGTATTTCATACATACAACTAGACTAGGCTAAAGCAGTATTGTTTCACACTAGGTCCAAATTAGATAAATATTTATAACTAATGTTTATACCTTCCATAATTTCTGGATAGGAATGAACAGAAAGGCAGATAATTTCAATTACCTTGTACCCAATAGTTTTTCTGTAAAACAGAATTTCTTTTTCCAGTAATTCAAATAAACGTGGAGGAAAGAACTGGAAATCCTGAACATTGGGTTGTTTTGGAGGTCGAGGAGCCTAAAGAAAAACAAAAATAAGTGTTATCCATAAAAAAGAAATTTCATTTTAAATGTATCCTTAGTCCTCACTTCATAAACCACAACAGCCAATTCTGCAAGCAACTGAATGCATCTTTCAATAAAACTGAATTTATATCTTAATTTTAAATGCACAGATTCAAAATTAATTTTTGAAAAATGTTAACTAAAAACAGAAGAGAGTACACTCTAAAGAAATGCAAAATGTAGGAAAGAGGCAGTGGCTCACGCCTGTAATCCCAATACTTTGGGAGACCAAGGTGGGCGGATCATGAGGTCAAGAGATCAAGACCATCCTGGCCAACATGGTGAAACCCCATCACTACTAAAATTACAAAAATTAGCCAGGGGTGGTGGTGGGTGCCTGTAGTCCCAGCTACTCGGAAGGGTGAGGCAGGAGAATTGCTTGAACCCGGGAGGCGGAGGTTGCAGTGAGCTGAGATCGCACCACTGAACTCCTGGTAACAGAGTGAGACTCTGTCTCAAAAAAAAAAAAAAAAAAGAAACACAAAATCTAATTATCAATCTTTTTGCAAGAATATATGAAAAAAATTACATTTTCAAAATTTTTAGATATTTTTATGCTGTGTCAGTCAACTCACCTTGGGTGCTTTAGGTTCACTAACACGAAGAGCTTCCCTGAAATATGCATCAACGGCATAGTTGGCTTTTCTTTCTCGTTTAGGTGGTTCAATCCACTCTGTGAATGCAATCTAGCACATGGGAAACAACTCAAATCACCAACTTTTATTATACACAGTAACAAATCATCATCAAGAAGGATGTTTGTAAATGTAAAGATATTCACAAAATCCTGGGCTATAAGCTCTATGAGGGTGGAGACTATGATACTTTGCTCAATATTATGTATATAATTAACACGAGACAGTGTCTAGTCAACAGAGTAAGCATTCAGTATTTCTTGCTTAAAGGAACAACTGTTAAATGAGGGAGAAATGCTACAGAATGTTTGGTATAAATCTAAACTAGGAGAAAAATGTAGACACATAATTAGCCTACAAAAAATTCTGAAGATATAGACCTAAATATTAACAAGAAAAACACTGGGTAGAATTATTTTTTTCTTCTAATCTCTGGGTATTTTTCAATTTATCTCTATATTACCAAGTATTACTTATGAAGTTAAGAAATTTTTCCCTTTATTACCAGCCAATTCTGCTGTTTAAAATAAAATGAATCAGGTTACCATCCCAAATTACTATTCATCCCATACAAGAATATATTTCACTGTAAACATATACCACAAACTTCATTACAAAAACTTTAAAAATATTTCAGAGCTTACCAACTGAAAAACTGGCATTAAATTTTACATAATGATGAAAATATTCAGATGTGAATAAGCAAAAATGACTACTGTTTTAAGCAAAATTATAAGACATTACAGTAACACTTAAAATTCCAAGTTTCCAGTAAAATAAAGCTTTCATGTAACCCAAACCTATTTCTAAATTACCTTTTGTTTTTCTCTATAGTCTTCTCCTTCGAAGTTATAAACACTTGACTCTGTATCCATTGTAAAGTTTCTAAGTGAACTTTCGCCCATCTTGGAGAGCTTTTCATTCATCTCTGCAGTCTAGAGAACAAAACAATCAGCTTCTTAGATTCACAGCAAAGAAAGCATGAAAACTGCAGTCAAAATAAATTAACTTCACGTACACAAAAGCTTCTCTTTAAGGAAATAAAATTATTTATCATCAATGTAACAAATATTTCCTGTTTCTGGTCTAAAACATTCTATATTAAAAGCATTATTTAATCTACATCTCACCTTCTTTGCACCTCTTTCCAAAATACCATCGATATCTTCATCAGTGATCTCACTTTCCTTTGAAGCAAACACATGTGTTGCTCCATGTCTAATCATTTGAAGCATTTCATCTTTCCCAATTTTGTTCAGATTCTGATCCACAAGCCTCCCTGAAAAAAGATTGTGTTGTATAATGTTAACTGAACAGACTTTATTTTACTGGAAACTTGAAACTTTAAATGTAAGGTTTAATGCTTTATAATTTTATCTCAAATGTCAATCATTTCTGTTTACTGTTTATTCACATCTAATAATTTTGATTTTTGCACTAAATTTAATGCCAAATTTTCAGTTGGTAAGCTACAAAACATTCCTAAACCTTATGTATTATATAATGAAACCTGCTGTATACTGTGCCAACGAAATATAATCTTTTGTGAAAGCTGCATATGAAAAATTTTCAAAAACCTACAAGTTTCAACAGATGGAAGCATTATACACACAAGTTTCTGATGAGCAGAAAGGTGTTATTAACTAATACTCCCCAAATCAGCTTTTCTCCTTAGAAAAGTAAAGTAAAAAATCCTTCACCTAGGCCAAACTTTACACAGAACTGAAATATGTAACATCAGTTTCTTTTTAAAGAAAACTTCCAGAAGAACTGAAACTCCTAAAAACTTATTTTATTCGTTTATTTTTTTGAGATGGAGTCTTGCTCTGTTGCTTAGGCTGGAGTGCAATGACAGGACCATAGTCACTGCAGCCTTCAACTCCCTGCTCAAGCCATTCTCCTGTCTCAGCTTCCCAAGTAGCTAGGACTAAAGGCATGCACTACCACACCTGGTGAGAAAATGTATCTGGATCATCGAAGAAACTCACCATTAATAAATTAATAAATATTTTCAGTTGGCAGGAGTTTGGACAACCTTGTAATTTTTCAAAAATACAGGTATAAAAAAACAAACAAAAACCCAGAAAGACTTGTTTTCACCCTCCTCAAGGGTCACTCACATACACCTAAACAAAGCTTTGATTTTTATATGCCAACCAACTTGTAAGTAAGTGGAAAAAGATCCAAGTTTTCAACAACTTCTTTAAATACTTGTATCATGGTTTGGGACCCATAATAGGATATACAGCCAAACATCCATGACTTTGTAAGTGAGGAGATATCCACAAGGTATGTTTCCTTGGATTGGATGCTACCATTGCTACCAAAATGTTCTTATGCTTATACAAACTACTTCCAAGTTGGGCAGGAAGGTTCCGGAACCTTCAGATGTAAAGTGCTTGTGTACTCTCGTTTTTAATTATGTCCCTCAAATAAAAAACAGTAACACAAAGGTATGCACTTAAGGCTTGCTGTTTGACTAACATGTCTACAAACGGCACAAGAAAGCTATTAGCCTGAAGGTTTGCTCCAAAAATTGCCACAGTAAATATGAAGTAAAAAAACCTCAAGATTTCTAAATTAATTATGAATCAATTAAGGTCTTTTTTATCTTTAAAAAAAGTGTTTTGGACAGGCGTGGTGGCTCATACCTGTAATCCAGCACTTTGGGAGGCTGAGGTGGGTGGATCGCCTGAGGTCAGGAGTTCAAGACCAGCCTGGCCAACAAAGTGAAACCCTGTCTCTACTAAAAATACAAAAAAATTAGCCAGGTGTGGTGGCGGGCATCTGTAAATCCAGCTACTCAGGAGGCTGAGGCAGCAGAATTGCTTGAACCCAGGAAGCGGAGGTTGCAGTGAGCCGAGATCGTGCCATTGCACTCCAGCCTGAGTAACAAGAACAAAACTCCATCTCAAAAAAAAAAAAAGTGTTTCATGGATGAAAATAACTGAGAACAAGAAACACACGGCAGGTGTATTTCAAAACACATGGATGTGTGAAGAAAAATAAAACATTAGCCATTATATCACCCATGAGATAACATCACGGGGTGGCAGCCTCGAGAAGTCCCCAGAGACTTTTCTAATTAAACACTTAAGAGTTAACAAAGTTCTTGATCCCCCTTGAGTCACTTCCCAGCTGTATGTACAATGAACAAGTAATTTAACCTCTCAAAAGCCTTTATCTCTGATGCTAACATCTCAAGTTGGCATGAAGACTAAAGGAGAAAATGAAATGTTAAGTATATAGCACACTGCCTGGCACAAAGTAAACACTTTATTAAGGGAAACGATTTGTAAAAATAAGCAATAATTTATTGTCTTCAGGTATGCAGACATATGGCTAACACTATGAATAGCATTAGGGATACCAAAGACATGTACAATACTCTCTTACATGGACATCAGAGACTGACAAAATCAAGATACCTACATAATCAGTAAACAATGTAACAGTATGCCTTTCAGCTTTATAGACAGATAGTAAATACATGCTCACAAATGCAGTTACAAAGGAAACCAATGCACACTTGAAATTATTAAGTTTCCCACCCCTTTTCTTGAATTTTATATTTCCCATCATCAACTTTATAGTAGGCTTCATGAAAACATAAATTATGTCATCCTTAAAAGCTGATCTGGAATGAGAACTTAAGTTTCCTTCAATTGATCCAAAATAAAATCCCACTCTCACCCCCTACTCCTACTTATACCCTTGTTTACTTCATCTCTCCCTCCCAACTAAATTGTAAACTCTTTGAAAGTAAGAATACTTGTTTGTTCCATTTACCACTGAATTCTCAGCACCAAGAACGGTGCCTAGCATCTGGTGGGTACTCAGTAAATTGCAGACAAGAAAAAAGAATAAAATCAGGCTCTTTGATTTTTATTTCTTCAGTTTTCCCCACAGTAATCAAGAGTAGTTAGTACATATAAATCATTAACCACCACACTGAATGTCAGATATTTTATATACATTATCCCCTTTAATCCTTTAAAATCCTTAAGTGTAGTTATTTTTATCCCCACTTAACAGATGAGGAAATGGGTTCATGTAACCAGAGAGAACTGCTAACTGGCAGACTCATTATTCAAACCTCAACTGTCCTGAGCCCAAATCCATCTTTTTAATGACAAAACTAAAGTTTACTGTATTTGCAATACAAGTCATCTCTACTGGCTGCAAGCTTGACTCAATGGATGCTTAGTAACAAGAATCTTCTAAGACGATTTTCAAACAAAAACAGGTTGTGTCAATCCAACTTGGTAAAGTTTTAAAGTTCCATGGCTTACCTTGTTGAATGACTATTGAATCCAGTCTGAGTTTCATCTCAGCACGTTCTACTATTCTTTCTTCTACAGTGTTATCAGTTATAAAGCGGAACACTCTGACTGTCTTAGTCTGCCCAATTCTATGTGCTCGGTCCTAAATAAATTACCATGTTATTTTGAATTTAGTTTAAAAGTCACATAAATAACACTGAAATGGGTACACTGAGAAAAAAAATTAAAATATTCTGAAATATAAAACTTTTAAAAATTTGTAATAACACTGCATCTGTAAGGAATCAGATGAATTCTGCTAGGTTACACTGAGATAAAACACATAATGTCTCCAAACAATATACAACATTATAATTTTTAAGTCTGATGAGGAAAGATTTTAAGTCTTTTTTCCTAGGTTTAAATTCAAAATGTTTTTCTATCTAAATCAAACCCAAATTGTCACTGCTATCAGGCAAAGAAGTGACATGAAACAACTTAGCAAACAACACAAAAATTCTAACCTTTAAATATTACCCAATTAACTATATACAAGTAGTCAAACTAATCTGAATATGAATTTGTTTTACTTTTGCTAACTACATTCCTAAAAAACTCCCTTATTTCTAATAATTGGTCCATTTTCCCCTGTCACCCTTAGTAAGAGTACAAGATGAAAGTGACTAATGGGCTGGGTGTAGTAGCTCACTCCTGTAATCCCAGCACTTTCAGAGGCCAAGGTGGGTGGATCACCTGAAGGTGAGGAGTTCGAGACCAGCCTGACCAACATGGTGAAACCCCATCTCTACTAAAAATACAAAATTAGTCAGGCGTGGTGGCGCACACCTGTAATCCCAGCTACTCGGGAGGCTGAGGCAGGAGAATCACTTCAACCTGGGAGGCAAAGGTCACAGTGAGCCAAGACTGCACCATTGCACCCCAGCCTGAGCAGTAAGAGCGAAACTCCATCTCAAAAAAAAAAAAAAAAGAAAGTGACTAATGACAGAGATTAAAGTTGGGTTTGTGGTCACCAATATCATGGGTCAGGCCAATCTGCAGTATCAATTCTCTCAATCTAAAAATAATCTTCCTGATCTGACCAGGTACTCTCACACAGGTGTTCTTTTAAATAACTAAAGTGGAAGACAGGCTAGTTGCTCATCAAACCCAATTCTCTTTGGTCCTGTGATATAACTATACTATAATTTACCAATTCCCTTGCAGTCAGTTATGCTACATGATTTGAGTTCTGTCTAATTCTTTGATCAAGGGGGTGGAGAGACAAGGAGGCTCTTTCAAGGTCTGACCCATAAAGAATTTCCTGGGAAATCCCCAACTCTATCGTTTCCCCCTTCTGCCAATAGGATGCAGTATAGCAGAGGACTCCAGGGTCCTAAGATATGGCAGATCCCTGAGATGGAAATACCCTTATTTAGATGGAAGATCACCTCAATATACTCTCACTGAACCATTAGATTAGAGAAAAATAAAATTCTATTGGGTTAAGTCACTGATATTTGTAGAATTAGCCTGTCCTAACTAACGCCATCTACTAAGCACAGAATATATTTATTCGTTATCTCTTACCATAGCCTGAAGATCTACTTGGGGATTCCAATCAGAATCATACAAAATTACTACATCAGCAGTCGCAAGATTGATGCCAAGACCACCAGCACGCGTGCTTAACATGAAAACAAACTTTGTGCTGTTTGGTTCATTGTATGCATTGATGGAGTCCTATGGATAAAACAAAATGGTTGTCAAAAAATTTATCTGATTCTTTTTTATCTCCCTCCCCAAATTTTACTCACTTGTCTCTCATCATGGGGTGTCTGACCATCCAACCTGCAGTACTCATAATTTCTCCACATGCAATAATCTTCCAAAATGTCCAATACCCTTGTCATTTGACTGAAGATTAGTACTCGTGAACCTGTTGGGGAATATAACAATCTATTATCAGTGGCTTCAAAAGTAGAAAAATTTAAGGGTAACCAAAACTAAGACTAATCAATTATCCTTAATTCCAAAGCTACCTACTTGGTTACAAGGGGGAAAAAAATCTACACATTATTATCCAAGTCAGTCATTTCCCACTTTTTTCTCACCATGGCACAAATAAAAAAGGGTAACATTTGTACAGAAAAGCATATTTGCCTCTGGTCTGGAAGGCTTTGCCATCCCAAAGGGTAAGATAATCATTATCTTGTTACCCCATATACATTTAAAAATAACTTTCCACTACTTCACAACAACTCTTCAATGCATATGACTCCCCAAACCTCCAACACACACCTAATAATCCTGGTCTCAGCCTGGTTCTGAAGATCCATTCTAGATCAAAGGACCATAATATGTGCCTCATATATCTACAATGACTATCCTTCACTTATCACTTATCTGCCATGATTCAAACTATCCGACTGCCTTCCACTTCTTTAGGCAGCTACATAATACCTTCAGTAGAATATATCAAGACAAAGGATCATTTTGAAAAGTAATGATTATGAAATGATCCTGTCCTAGAAGCAGAGGCTGACAATCTGCTGTTGTCACACGTTCCTGCACCTCAAATGCATAAGAATTTTTTTTTTTTTTTTTTTTTGAGATGGAGTCTTGCTCTGACACCCAGGCTGGAGTGCAGCGGCGCCATCTCAGTTCACTGCAACCTCTGCCTCCCAGGTTCAAGTGATTCTTCTGCCTCAGCCTTCCAAATAACTGGGACTACAGGTGCATGCCACCATGCCCAGCTAACTTTTTTTGTATTTTTGATAGAGACAGGGTTTCACCATGTTGGCCAGGCTGGTCTCAAACTCTTGACCTTAGGTGATCTGCCCACCTCAGCCTTCCAAAAAGTGCTGGGACATGAGACTACTTAATAGTCTCCATTTTCCCTGCAGAGTTTAATATACCTTTCATTAATATCTGAGTATTCCCACCACGTTCCTGCCACTCCTCCCCACCAATTTAACTCCTTTAATTACTTTGCTTTCAAGGAAAGCATTTTTTAAAAATCTATCTCTACAAAAAGGTATGAAAAGGAAAAAGTAAACCCATTCACTGACAACTCTTACAACATGCTTTTGATAGTATCATAGAGGAGATTCACCTACTGGTCCAAATGTCATTCTTATTAAAATATAGAGAGAAACACAAACTTGAATCTGCACACTTAATACTATAGCAGTGATATTTCGTATCTTTAAGAGATATGTAATAATTTATGAAAGGCTATAGTGTCTGGCGTTTGCTTCGAATAATCTGGGAGGAGGAAGGGTATAGCAGACTAAAAACGTTTTTATTAGTTAAAATCAGAAGCTGGCTTCTAAGTTCTTTCTGCATTCGTGTAATTTAAATATACCCAAACACACAACACAGACATACCCATTTTCATAAAAAAAGTCAGCATACTACAAATAAAAATGTTTCAGGTCCATGTACATGGTACCTTATTAAATTAAAACTCCACATAAATAATTAAAAAACAATATCATGAACACACCACCACTGTCTAACAATGGATCTGGTAACCATGTGTGGGAGGGAGATGCATTCTTCACATTTTATGACAGAAAGCTATAATTTCTAGGAAAGTATATATAAAGTATGAACTCTTCCCAAAATCAAGGGAGTATGGTTGCTCTAACTATTGCTTACCTTCTAAGAGACTTAAGGCCTAAAATCAGGAGTGGGGGTTAGAGCTCAGATAATGAACAGGTTTTTTTAATGTTCTACACGTCAACCTTGGAAAGCATCAGAGCAGTCATTTCAAAGTACAGTGCTCCTTTGTTTTAACATGAGCATTTTAAAACAGTTTTGATAATTTGATACGGGTAACCGATACCTTGTTCTTTTAACTTAGGGAGCAGCTTGTCTAAAACCACCATTTTGCCACTGTTGGTTACTAGATGCATATCTGTTGTATAAGGTGGACCAGGTTCTGCTCCATCAAAGAGATATGGATGATTACAACATTTTCTCAACTGCATTAGGATGTTCAATAACCTCATTTTGTCCATCTTGCCTGCTGAGTTGAGTATATCTATATCCTTCATTAATATCCGAGTATACCTATTCAAAGAAGAAAAACATTTTTAGAGCTCAAATGTTCCTTGATCAATCCCTGCCACTTTACATACTTAATCCCCTTCCCCACATGAACCCCCAAATATCTGTAAGAAACTACTCATCAACTTCTAGGTATGGTTAGGAATTTAACATCTGTAACCTCTTTTTGCTTCCATTTTTCTTTACTGTCCATAGCATTATAATGTTCATACTTACGCCTTGGGCCTTGAGGATATTATTTTTAAAGTACAAAAACAGTTCCCTTGGGTAGAATTACAGCAGTAAGACATAATATTTTTAAGTAATAAAGCAAAACTTAAAAAATGTAAGTTTTAAACATAATTTTAGTTTGCAGTTTTTTTGCAACAGAAAGTGCCACTATTCGATTACTATATACCCCATAGCTAGTGTAGCATTTAGGTAAGAACCCTAACATCTGAGAAGACAGGAAGAATAATGAAATGGTAAGGCATGATGATGAGAATAATATGAATACAACGTGACTTAAACATACGTATAAATACATGGGGGAGGGAGGTATGTCTGTGAGGCAGGACTGTGAAGCTACAGCCATAAGCTAAGGCCAGATTATAAAAAGCCTTGAACATATACTAAGGATGTAGACATTGTTATGAAAGAATGAGTAATTTGTCTAAGCATCAAAGTTTTAGAGCCTTGGATCCTTTGAACAAAGTAAGTAGCCTAGGCAATCTATGCTTAAACAACAAGGCAGACCTTTCCATCTCAATTCTGATATAAAGTTCACTCAAATGTTTAACTAAAAAAGATTTGTCTTTCCTTAGCATTGACTCATCTTAGTTCTGTTTTAGAGCCATCCAAGGTAAGCCTAATATCTGCTACCCTTTCAGAAGTTTTTGAGGACATTTAGGACCAACCACCTTCTACAGATAACCTCTTACCCAGATAACATGCCCAGTTCTCTATATGATATTAAGTCCTTTAACCAAACAACTCTGGCCTCTTGCAAATACTTATCAAAATTTAAGTATGCAGTTAAATATACATGAAATATGATGAGACCAGTAAAGAAAAGGGTAGCTATATTTATTTCCTCTCCTTTGAACACTACATTTACATTAAGGCCAACAGTATCTTTTTCTGCAGCTACTTTACACTGACCCAGTATTTATGAACTATAAGTGAACCATATATCTCCCACACTGTGCTATCACAGTTTCCTTTTTAAAAATCCCAAGTAGATGGTTTCATATGAACCCCGTTTAATTAAATCCCAATTTTAATTTTGGATTCATAAGCCTTCCATCCTGATTCTGTCATCTAACAGGTTCAAAACTTTCTATAACGAACTTAATGAGCAAGTCCTATACTACGTGACAAGAAAACTCTTTTCAGGTTGAGTTCAATCCAGCAAATTGGAATTCCATGAAGACACAAATTAGGAAAACAAAATACACATGAAATTTAGGGAAGAATCAATAGTGCTATCAAGTACATCTGAGAATACATACCATTCCCTTTGCATTTTGCTGAGGCCCACATAGATTTTTACTTCCTTCTTTGGAGGCAAACTCTTTTCAACATCAGCCTTAATTCGACGAAGGAGGAATGGACGCAAAACCTTAAAAAGGACAAAAATAAACAGGTAATACCAATATTACACATAAGGTCATATTTCAGCATCTTAGAATTGTATATAAAATACATGAAAAAGAAATTTCTCTGCGTGAGTATCAAGTGATTTCTTAGGACTTCTCCCTGCAAATACAGTCATATCTCAGTATCTGTGGGAGACTAGTTCCTGTCCCCTTCCCTTTGAATACCAAAATCCACAAATGCTCGAGTCCATTATAAAAAATGTAGTATTTGCATATAACCTACAAACATCCTCCCATATACTTTAAATCATCTCTAGATTACTTATAATAATAGTTAATGGAATGTAAATGCTATGTTAATAGTTGTTACACTATACCGTTTAGGGAATAATGACAAGGAAAAGGTCGGTATATTTAACACAGATGGAACCATCTATTTTATTTTTATCTTTTTTGGGGACAAATATTTCCAATCCATAGTTGATTGAATCTATGGATGTGGAACCTATGGATATGAAGGGCTAACTGTATATAATTTATTACTACTGGGTTCCTGAAGGGTAGTAATACAAGACCATTACTTATTCAATAAAGGCATACCTCAGAGATATTGTAGGCTCAGTTCCAGACTACCTCAATAAAGCAAGTCACATTTCCCAGTGCATCTAAGAGTTACATTTACACTATTAAGTGTGCAATAGCATTATGTCTAAAAAAAAAACAACGTACACACCTTATTTTAAAAGTACATTATTGCTTTAAAAATGTGATACATTATTTAAAGCAATACATTACTGCTTTAAAAACAGAGTAAACACATGCCGTTGGGAAAACGGTGTTTATTGATAGACTTCCTTGACACAGGGTTGCCACAAACCATCTATTTGTTTCGCAAAATAAATGTTTCTTAAAAATGCAGTATCTGTGAAGCACTGCAAAGGGTAATGAGATGTGCCTGTATATGTTTGAGTATATACTTGTTATACTACCATAAAATACTAAAAACAATAGTAAATTTTTAAAATGTTTTCAACAATTTGCTGCCTTTCAGGTCTAAAACTAGTTACTTGCATGCAGACTGTCTAACAGTGCCTAAGAATGGGCAAGGGTCGGGAGGCCGAGGCAGGCAGATCACAAGGTCAGGAAATCGAGACCATCCTGGCTAACATGGTGAAACCCCGTCTCTATTAAAAATACAAAAAATTAGCCAGGCGAGGTGGCAGGTACCTGTAGTCCCAGCTACTTGGGAGGCTGAGACAGGAGAATGGTGTGAACCCGGGAGGCGGAGCTTGCAGTGAGCCAAGATGGCGCCACTGCACTCCATCCTGGGCGACAGAGCTAGACTCCATCTCAAAAAAAAAAAAAAAAAAAAAAAAAAAGAATGGACAAGGGTCTCATTAAGATCTCCTTATGGTTAGTCTTTAAACTTAATGTACTAACTTAGGGAAAGAATATAAAAGTACACACTTCAATAAATCATGAGTGTACAGTTCTAGAAATTTTATTCAAGTACTGTAAAAGTACCCATGTTATTACCCAAATAGAACACTCTAGAAATCATTTTTGTGTCCCTTCCAATCACTATCCCCTCTTTTCCTTCCCAAGGGTAAGCAATATTCTTATTTTTAGACACCATAAATTAATTTTGCCTATCATTTTTAACTTTATATACATGGACTCACTCAATATGCACCCATTTATATCTGGTTTCTTTTATTAAACAATGAGACATTTCCATGTTATATGTAGTAGTAGTTCACTCATTTTCATAGAACAGTAAGTTTTAAAATTAACTACACAACTAAAGATACCCTTTTTTGTACCTCTGTTCTATTTACACTGGTTTTTAAAAATAGTGACTATATCACAAACCAAATTAGACATTAGTGGGAAAAATACCAGCAACACCTCTCTAACATCACCACGTAGAAAAGCTAGTTCAGCCCTAGTCAACAGGCGGCAGCAACTGCCAGATGTGTAAGTGAAGACCTTTAGCCCCACCGGTTCTCTTCTAGCATTGTCCAGCTAAATAAATGTAACTGGATAACCCCAAGTGTAATCCACAAAGAAACCATCCAGTCAACCCATAAATTCTGGGGTTGTTAATAAAATATAAACTATGAAGTGTTTTGGAGGTGGGGGAAATAAGGGGGTCTTAGTAACCCCTAAAGGGGGGTTAAGGTGTTTTTGGGGGGTGGAGGGA
Organism: Homo sapiens; assembly: GCF_000001405.40. Classification (NCBI taxonomy): domain Eukaryota; kingdom Metazoa; phylum Chordata; class Mammalia; order Primates; family Hominidae; genus Homo; species Homo sapiens. The sequence continues at coordinate 143,532,674 of NC_000004.12, read as the reverse complement.
ATAAGGGGTTCTTTTGCAGCATTAGATAACTAATACATCAAATAAGAGTTATCTCATTCCTAAGCGCATCCATACCGACTTCTAAACCCTCCTTTCATTATAAGACCACAGGTGCTACTGTAGAAACTTCAAAGTAAAGAGCAGGAGAAAGTAGAGAGGTAGCTACAAGACCTCTTCTCCCTGACTTCATAAGCATTTTCAAAATACCCTGTGAACAAAACAGAGTTACCAAATCTGGTTGATACTGCTGAATGGGTTGTTCATTTGCTTTACCTAGATGTACCTACGTATTTACTAAAGGAAAGCCAAGAGCAGAGGAATAAGGGGAAAAAAATGCATGAAAAAAAATCATGTTCTTCTGCCTCCTTTTCTACCCCCAAGATTACATATACACTCCACAATCCTTGGTCTAAGTAAATACAAAGAGAGTGCTTAGATGCATGAATGCCATCTGAATTGAAACAAAGGTAGCTAGGAAATTACTACCTTCAAATATTTAACAAAACTCTCAATATTTAAGAATTTTAAAGTACTTTATAATGAAATATTTGAACAATCATGAACTTAAATTTTTTTCCCTGTTCAAATATCCACTCTAACTAGGCATTGTGCCAGGTATACAAAGACAAATAAATCTGTGCTTCCTGCCTTTGTGCTTACAATCCAGTATGGAAAACACTTGTGAATCATCTCAATATCCTCTGCAAAGTCCTATAATATTAGGATGCTCAGATTGTTAAAGATGGAATACACAGAAGGGCACCTAGGCCAGCCTCAGCCTGGCTGGTTCAGTGGAGGTGATGTCGCTGAGTCTTGGACTAGGTATTAGTAAAGAGACCAGGAAAAAGGATTCTAGGTGTAGCAAAAATGATAAGCAAAAATAGATTAGAATTACCACAATGTTTACAGAAAACTGACAGTGGGGTCAGCAATCTATCAAATTAAAGCTCAATATATGAAGAAGTAAAACAGATGCCAAAGAATGTTAAAAAGGTTAGGTCATGGAGGGGCACAATTTTGTTCCCCAGGGGACATCTGCAATGTCTAGAGAAATTTTTGGTTGTCACAACTGGAGGAATGTTACTACTGCCATCTAGTGAGTAAAAGTATCAGGGATGCTATTAAACATGCTACAATACACAGGACAATCACGTTCTCCCCTCTCTCCTTACCCCTCTCAGATATACCCAGACCAAAATGTCAAAAGAGGCTGAGAATTCCTGAGTTAGGTCATTAAGGGCTTTATATAACATTCTTACAAGCTCCTGCTTTAACCTGCTTAGCAGGGTATTTTAATCTGGTGTCTGTTAGAGAAGTTTCTCTACCTACCAACTTTTACTTGTGAACCGTCACAGGAAGCTGTATGTAGAAACAAAGCTATACAGCAAGCAAAAACATACCAACTGTGCTCATAATGCAATATTAGCAGTTGTTTATACACAATGTAGCTAGATTTAAGAAAAAACAGATGGATCTTTAGCCCTTTCAAAAGTGAACCTGTTAGATTCTTCCATGGAATGTAAATTGAACTAAGCTTTAAAAACTTGTCTATTAAGGCCGGGCGTGGTGGCTCATGCCTGTAATCCCAACACTCTGGGAGGCCAAGGCAGGCAGGTTGATAACTTGAGTTCAGAAGTTCGAGATTAGCCTGGGCAACATGGTGAAACACTATCTCTACAAAAAATACAAAAATTAGCTGGGCATGGTGGCCAGAGCCTGTAGCCCCAGCTACTCTAGACGCTGAATGGGGAGAGACTGCTTGAGCCTGGGAGGCAGAGGTTTCAGTGAGCCAAGATCATGCCACTGCACTCCAGCCTGGACGACAAAGTGAGACTGTCTCAAAAACAACAACAAAAACTTGTCTATATTAATTATTATGCAATTCTTCTTCCCCCCACTGTATTTTGTATAACTGTAAGAGAATACTTTCTCCCTTAAGTCAGGATTCCATTCTAGGTTCTAACACTGAAACAACCACACATCACCCCCTACACTGATTGTAAGATGTAAGAGTTAAGTGTCAGAATTCAAGCAGATCTGATTCTTAAGCCATTGTGTTTTTTATTAACAGGAAAATAATCTACTAATTTAAACCTTTATCCTTTTTCCCATCATAAATATGCTTTAACACTACTCCAAAATACTTACCATATGAAGCCTCTCAACTAGTTTTTGATCCCCAAGGCAGTTGTTTGTATCAAACCAGGAATCAAAGTCCTAGATAAACAAACAAAAAATATACTCAGATCAGAGATAATATTAACAAATACCCTATAATACCAGATATAGAAATGATTTCTAGAATTAGTAATTTGAATTGTAACCCACAAAAAAAAATCACTTAGTCCAATCCTGGTTTTCATGTGTCATTGTTACTAATTTTAAAACAAGTAGTTCAGAAATCACACTACCTTCTAAACATTCTTCTCAAAAACATCAAAATAACAAGTTTCACAGTAAAAAGTTGGAGAGCAAGTTCTATAGGATTAGAAAATTAATATTCTTGTAAAGTATCTTTCAAGTTTCATAAAAGCTTGAAAATTAAAACATTTTATAGTTTGTTCTCTGAGACCATTCGCACTACTCAAATACAAGTTTACGAACAATGTCAATTTTAATCAAACTTACTAAATGAAATTGAAATTACCAGCATTTCATTAATATTTGGTTACGATTTCAACAAGGGCAGTTTCCCTAACCTCATCTCTTGAACATATGTATTATATATGTGCTTTGTTTTTGAGTAAACATAATCTTAGAATTCACTGCTTTAAAGTAAATGAAAGTGTCAATGTAGTGAGAAACAGGAATTATCTCAAAAACATCAAAATACATAAAATCGAAGCTAAAATTGCTTTTGGAGTCTGATTAAATATCTTTTTACAACACAATCTATTCTTTCAAAACAATCTTCAACAGAAAAAAAACAAAATTAATTAATACCTTTTTATAACTTAATTGTACAAAAATATACTAACATGGAGCTCTTCAAATCCCTCCAATACACATAAGACGCCAGCTATGCAAACAAAGCTTCAAAAATAAACACTGGTCCAGGCAAAAAAAACTGCAATTTCTAATAGCACAAACTCTTGACATAGTTATTATATTACTATTAACAGTTCAAATAGCTAATTAACCATTACTATCCTTTCTATGACTATAAATAATCCATAAAGATTAGGTTCTATTTGTTTGTTAGACTATAATATAAGAAAAGCCAGACAGATTTCACTAAATTTGACAGTCATCCTTGGGACTTAAAACATAAGCAATGTGAGGTATACAAATCACTTCAGGAATACCTTGAGCAGCACCTTAAAAACATAACCAGTCAACCTAGAGCCACTGAAACAAAGTCAGGCCAACCTGACTTACCAAATAGGAGTGACAATTTATGCCATTTCAGATAGAGAAAACAATGATTTAAAGAAGACTGAGGCCTGGTGTGGTGGCTCGTGCCTGTAATCCCAGCACTTTGGGAGGCTGAGGCAGGCAGATCGCTTGAGGCCAGGAGCTTGAGACCAGCCTGGACAACATGGCAAAACCTCATCTCTACAAAAAACACAGAAACTAGCCGGGCATGGTGGCACACACCTGTGATCTCAGCTATTCGGAAGGCTGAGGCACAAGAATCACCTGAATTCCGGAGGTGGAGGCTGCAGTGAGCCAAGATCACACCACTGCACTTCAGCATAGGTGACAGAGTGAGACTACGTCTCAAAAAAAATAAAATAATAATAATAATAATGAAATAAGATTGAAACCAAAGGCACAAAAGTAAATTCCCATTATACAGAGACAACCTAGGAGATAACACCAGGCTAACTATGTAAATAAAAGCATAAAAAATTAATAATAACCTCAAGCCATGCTAAAAGGCAGGCCACTTTTATTACAAAAATATATAGCATTAAGCAAAATATTATTATTAACCAGAAAGCACCAGGAAATACTTACATCTGCTGAATTAAACACATCTGGCAACAGAAAGTTAAGAAGTGACCACAGCTCATGCAAGTTGTTCTGAAGAGGTGTTCCAGTTAATAATAGTCTATTTGTAGTCTTGAATTCCCTCACTATTTCTGACAACTGAAAGAAAAGAACCAAATACACCATTAGAATATTCTGCATATTGCATTATCTACAACAGCAAAGACCTGGAACCAACACAAATGCCCAACAATGATAGACCGGTTAAAGAAAATATGGCACATATACATCAGCGAATAGTACGCAGCCATAAAAGAGAATGAGTTTATATCCTCTGCAAGGACATGGATGAAGCTGGAAGCCATCATTCTCAGTAAACTAACACAGGAACAGAAAACCAAACACTACATGTTCTCACTCATAAGTGGGAGTTGAACAATGAGAACACATGGACACAGGGAGGGGAACACCACATGCCAGGACCTGTCGGGGAGTGGGGAGAAAGCAGAGGGAGAGCATTAGGACAAATACCTAATGCATGCGGGGCTTAAAACCTAGATGATGGGGTGCAGCAAACCACCATGGCACATGCATACCTATGTTAACAAACCTGCACGTTCTGCACATGTATCTCATAACTTAAAGTTAAAAGAAAAAAAAATCTGTACTTTAATCAAATTCTTACATGAAGGCTTTTCACATCTAAGTATCAAATTACCTTAGATTTTTCATTTTTGATCCTGTGAGCTTCATCTATTACTAAGTATCTCCAATTAAATTTTTTGAACACAGACTTCTCTTTAATAAGCATTTCATAAGATGTTACACATACATCCCATTCTCCCGGTAATAAAACGTCTCTGACAAAAGCAGCCTGTGTAACAAGAGAAAAAAATTACATCACGTAGAAATAAACTACGCATTACATTTACTGATGACAAGTAATCTAGTATATAAAAAGAGGTGGGAATACTAAAAAGGAGTAGAGTAGCTAGCTATATTATGCAAACGTTTAGAACCAGCTTTCCTAAGACTAAAGTAACGTCATTAATCATTTAAATGTCAGAACCATTAAGTTTTAAAAAACTGACAAAGTTAACCAGTGAAAAATTCAATAGACACTTAAAATGTCTTTCTGCAATTCCACTAGATCGGGAAATTCTTAGGAGGCAGGTTTAGACAAAAAAGAGGGAGGTTTTAACATAAAGAAAGGAAGAGGGTGGAAAGATAGTTAGCAGTAGTAGGCATCTGCATTCCTTTCAGGTTTATAAATGTATTAACACATTCCTAATAGTATTATTTTAAAGGTAAGGAAACTGAAGCAAAGACTGGTTAAGTAATTACCACTCTTTGGGCTCCCAAACAAACAAACAAAAATTGATAACTTAAAATATCCAACATAACTAGAAAGGGAGAGAAAAATATAGACTTATCACTCACAGGTAAATGAAGAGGAAATAAAAAACAAGTACACAGCTATTCAGTAGAGTCTGAATAAATTTCCAAATCTGAGCTTTATATACTAATGTCATTATTTCCATCTCTTCTTCCCACAAGGATGTTGTCAACTGATCGAAATTTTAACTTATTTTGTTAAATATCATAATAAATCACCAAATTACTATATATGACTCAACCCGTCTTTAAAAACTCTAATTCTGTGACTATTACCACTACACACATTCATCTAAAAATGTGGCTCCTTAAATTTCCAACCAACTCACATTTCAAAATATCTTTTAAAAACAAGAAAATAACTTCTAATGAGAGCACAACCAATGATTTTATACAACCACTCCCAAAAGGGAGAGAAACAAACTACAGTCTTACAGCTTTCTACCATTTCTAATGTCTTCTTCCCAGTATGATTTTTTTTTTTTAAGATGGTCTTGCTTTGTTGCCCAGGCTGGAGTGCAGTGGCGCCATCTCGGCTCACTGCAACCTCCACCTCCCAGATTCCAGCGATTCTCCTGCCTCAGCCTACCAAGTAGCTGGGACTACAGGCCATGCGTGCCACCACACCCAGCTAATTTTTTGAGTTTTTAGTAGAAACGGGGTTTCACTGTGTTAGCCAGGATGGTCTCGATCTCCTGACCTCATGATCCACCCGCCTCGGCCTCCCAAAGTGCTGTTTTTTATCCACCAAGACAATGCTACATTTGTAAATACTAATATTTGCGAAGATCCCGTCTCATTTATCCTTCTTCCAGCTATACCCATACCCAAGCCTGAATTCAAATTATTTTAGCCTCAAAAATGTAATGAAATACTAGAAACTTACTCTTTGTTCTTTATCTCCTATCAAACAAACAGATCTAAGTGTTGGTACCCATCTCTTGAATTCACTCATCCAGTTGTGTAATGTAGACTTAGGAACCAAAACCATATGAGGCCCAGGAATGTTTCTATAATGTTTCATGTACCCAAGAAGAGAAATTGTTTGAAGAGTCTTTCCTAGGCCCTGAAAGATTTCAAAATAACCATGAAGCAGTGAAAAATGAAAATATTATTTCACAATTATACCTCCCAACATATAGAAATGTTCAAAAGAAATGCTACATATTTATAACAGTTAATAAATGGCAAAAACTTAACATATATCAAAGTTTGTAAGTGTTATGTCATATAATTTTCACAAGTCTCTAAAGGAGGTATTATTATCACCCGCATAAGGCCCCGTTTAAGTGACATTCCCAAAGTCATCTAGCAGAGCTAGCATTGAAACACATTTCTTTTGACTTCATACTTTCTCCAACCAATTAAACGTTTTAGCATTATAGCAATAAGGAAACTTTTTTAAACATTCATTACATAACTAGTAGTTAACAAAAGATAAATGTTTTCTAAGAATTGTACAAGCTACCACCTGGAAAAAACATTTATCAATTATAAACAATTAATGACCTCACTTTTGTTTTACAAAACTGGAAGCAAATAAATCATTGTACTATAAAAGTCATCCAAAAACATGTTTCTCAAATGTATTCTTTTTAAATTTATCATATTTTCAGCGATGGAAATTTCTCACAATTAAAATACAGATCACACTTATGCAACTAAGGCAAGCTGCTTATACTAGTTTCTGAGAGGATCCATTTGCTAACAGTTGTAGACTGTAAGAAACTTTTATCAACGTATAAGATATTTTCAATACAAAACATACCCTTCAAAAAAAACTACCAACACATACCATTTCATCTGCAAGGATACCATTGATGCCATTCTCATACAAAGAAATGAGCCAGTTTAATCCTCGGACCTGATAATCTCTCAGTTTACCCCATTTTACATCTAAGAACAAAAGAAAAGCACAATAGGCATTTTAAGACAAGAAATACAAGGCAATCTCTTCATCTAAGCCTACACATATCTACTGACTTTATTTTCATTACTAACGGATTCTTGAATAGGAACTCTGCAAGTTCCAAAATACTAGAGGTAGCTGCCATGGTCTGAAGTGGAAAAGCTGGACATGGAAGATAATCAAGTGCGGGAAACATGACTGCGGGCATCAGAGTACCCACTCCAACAACTCAGTTCTTACGTTACCCATATACTGGTCTGAGAGACTCTTTGGCCTCTCGTCTTTTTAATGAAAAACCAAGTGTTCCTAACCAAGTATTTTCAGCTTTCATAAAGACCAGATACAGGTTATCTGGGGATTTTATTTTCTTTCTAGTAAAAAAAAAAAAAAAAGAAATAGGAAATTCCTAAGTTACTTGTCCAATATATCTTATACATTCCAATGCACTCTCTTTCAGGGTATACTACTTATTTTGCTCCCCAGAATAATTACCAAATATACATAACGGTCACCTGATTTTTCTTTTTTAATATGTACACAGTGTAGCCCTCCATCTCCTTTTGAAAAACACTTGAGGATAAAAAGCTAACCAATAAACAAATACATTTCACAAAAAATTAAATTAATATAAAAACATCAGAAGTAAGCAAATGTGTTCATGAAGTACCTTTTTTAAAATAAATTAGTTTTCTTATGTGGGACAAATATAAAGCAAAACGATCCTTAGATTTACATATACTTCAGGGCAATAACAAACACAATGACATTTTATATAACTTTGAAATACAGCACTACTATCCTGTAATATGCTCTCATCTCCATCAAAATCTGAAGTTTATTTCATAACCAATAAACATCTAAGACTACTAAAAATTTGCTTCACAAATAGTAGCCAACACAAATCCAAAACATTAACCAAAGGAGATCTCAAAGGGCAATTTTTTAAAAAAATCAAGTGTGTTTAACATACACGATGGAGAGTCTTCAAATCGAGTGCAAACATTGGTTGCTTTGGAGCTTTCTGTTAATAGCTCTTCATCCTCCTCTTGCTCTGTTCTACGGTGTCGGTAACTGTTAAGATGAAAATAAAATAACCTGATTTGAGTTTTGGCTTTAATTATCAGCTACTGTTTAAACATCATAGTCAAGTGGCTGACCAAGATTCCACAAAATTAAATTTTTAACAGGCATCAACCAGTGGACAGTAGAAAATATGAGTACATTTAAATCTGCAATGTTTTAAATAATTATTTAAAATATACATTAGTTATTAAAATACACCAGTACGATACATTAACCAGAACCCAATAAACTCAAATATGATAGTCAAATTTCAAGAACTATGTAGTCAGAAAATCTCATTATTTGAATTTTAAAGTGTACCTTTTTAAAAATCTTTTTGCCAAGGAAAAAAAAGTTCCAGAAACCACATGTTTAAAATTGTAACTTCGAGCAAAAGCTGCAGCATAAGGACTCAGAAATTTAAGCAGTGACCACGGATTCATCAAAAAAATTTTTAAATACACATCTAAATTCTACATCCTAAGAGAATCAGATATACTACCCCCTTAAAAACTGATTTTCTAAAGTTTTAATACTGCCAATTAATCTCTAAAGGGCTTGGTTCAGTAAAACTATTAATACTTACTCCCCAATTCTGACACTTTCAACAAATATTTTCATCTTATTTAGAAAAAGGCACGTTATGCCTCTGTTGAGACCGCTGAATCTAATTTGTAACTTCATTTCTACCAAAACCACATGCTTGCTAAAAGGATAAGCGGCCTTCCAAGATAGAAGCATTCCTCAGAAATTCAAGGGCCTTCTTGTTTGTTATATATGCTTCTAATCATAATCAGTACATCCTAGTCTGTTATTCCTTGTACTTCTCTGCATTCTGAGCCTATGAAATTGAGTACAAAGATCTACTTCCATCCCCTATTTATTCTCCATAAACTGGGAGATAATTTTAAATTCTTTTTATAAAATATCCTTTATAGTTACTCTCAAAATGTTTGATTATTACAGTTGTAAAACTTAAAAGCTGAGATGTCATTTATTGTTAAAAATTGAATATAATCGTGAATGACTTAAAAAAAAAACGTATTCCTGGCCAGGCACAGTGGCTCACGCCTGTAATCCCAACACTTTAGGAGGCAGAGGTGGGTGGATCACTTGAGGTCAGAAGTTCGAGACTAGCCTGGCCAACATGGTGAAACCCCATCTCTACCAAAAATACAAAAATGAGCTGGGCGTGGTGGCGTGAGCCTGTAATCCCAGCTGAGGTCCAAGAATCGCTTGAACCCCAGAGGCACAACTTGCAGTGAACCGAGATCACACCACTGCACGCACTCCAGCCTGGGCCACAGAGCAAGACTCTGTCTCAATAAAAACAAACAAACAAAAAAAGATTTAAAAAAATGTATTCCTGATACCCAAAGACAATACTATGACCCTCATTACTTTAGGTAAATTAGCTTCCCATTTAAGATGGTTTGAGGAGTAAAGAAATCTGTTAACTAGGACTTTTTTCCCTAATAACACTATTTAATACATTAAGCCTAACAATTTATTATTACTATTTCCAATAGAATCTTTTTTATCTTATAAAAAAGATAAATTAGGATAATAATAAAATAGAAAAGAATAAAAGAAGTGTTTCTTTTCGAGACATCATACTGACTATCCCATAACAATATTCAGTACAGTAGTTTCCAGTTTCATGCCATGACACTAATGCAAACTTCTGAAGTCTGAAATATTTTAAATACAGCTGAAGGGCAAAATTGTCCCTTCAAAGTTTCGTAAGTATTAAAATAGTGCTTTGGTCACAATGGATGAGAAATAAGATATAATGAATGAGTGGAATACCCCAAATAAAAGGTATTATGCTTACAACGATAACCCCTTCAAGATGAAGATCATACTTCCCTCTTTCAACAAACTGTGTAGTGAATTTAACCTTGTTGATACTTCTTCTTTTAAACAATCTTTTGTATTTTAATTACTAATCACAGTTTTCACTTTGGGAATTACACAAAGCCATTTCAGGGAGCCAAGACTGCCCTAAATCTACTATTACTAATTAAACATCTTATTTATCCAACCAGAATGAAAATTCTAGAGAATTTCCAAATTCAACATGTAAGAATTATTTTCAACCACCACCAAAGGACGGCATACAACGTGACACTTCAATTTATATAAAAACAACTAAGTATGCAATAAAAATTTTAAACAGGCTGCCGTGATGTAAGTCATCACAATATCCCACACACCACACTTTAGATAAAATACTGTCAACATCTGTATGTGATGGAGGAGCCTAGAGCACACCCAAGTCAGATTCAAATTCAAGTCTGGATCATTCTTCAATGTGATGTTAAACAAGCCACTTAACCTCTGCATTTGTTTCCTCTCTGAGGAATGACGTGACATCTAAATTCCATACTCAACATGATTGTTACAATTCATAAACTATATAATGCTACAAAAAATAAGGCGTTATGCAGTTTTATTCTTTTTTTTTTTTTTTTTTTTTTTTGTAGAGATGGGATCTCCCTACGTTGCCCAGGCTGCTCTCATACTCCCGGACTCAAGCAATCCTCCCACCTTGGCGTCCCAAAATGCTGCGATTACAGGCAAGAGCCACTGTGCTCTAACCATTATGCGTATTTTTATATACTTATACATTTATGGCTAAATCATGCCAAGCCAAACAGGGCCAAATAAATAATGGCACTAAAATAATTTTAAGTTATTTATCATAGTGATTTTATGCTTCCACTGAAGACTATCGAAAATAAGTTTGGTTGAACTATGAAGTTTAAACTATTACTCACTCGCCAACGGATAGTAAGTTCTGCTTCTCATCTTTTTTTATTCGTGGGCGCCCTGGTTTCATCTTCAAAGGTGAAGTTGGAGTCTTCTGAGCAGCAGGTTGAATGAAATGTGCAAAAAGTTCTGTCTGCTTTAATAAATACTCGAATCTATTTGCCCGGTCAGTTTGCTGAAAAAAAAAAATTTAAGATACATTTTATCAGAGTATCAATTAAAACTTCAGAAATCAAAGTTTCAGCATGCCTCCATACAATGAACTCAGCAAAAAAAAAAAGAGAACTACAGATAAATGCAACATGGATGAGTTTCAAAAGCACTATGCAAAGTGAAAGAAGCCAAACACAAAAGACTACATGCTGTATGATTCCACTTAAATGAAATGCTAACTAGTGATAGAAAGCAGATCAGAAGTGGCAAGGAGGTGGGAGCAAGAACTGATTAGAAAGGAGCAGGAGCAAACTTTGGGGATGATGGAACTACTCTGCATCATGATTGTGATGGTATTTAAAGAAATATTTGCTAAAACTCATTGAATTACAAACTTAAAATTATTTTATGTCAATTATACTTCAATACAGTTGATCGGAACAATTTTTAAAATATTAAACACTGTGCAATACAAGTGAATTTACTCAGAAGCTGGAAAAAATGCAGTGCTCATTCATTAGTTAGGCTGTGACAAATTTTAAAACGGTATTGGGATTGATACTATTCCTTCCTTTCGTATCTGCCATCTGCCCCTTTGAATGTTCCCTATTATAATACCGAGAGAATGGAAAAAATTTACTTGGGCAAAAAAAACCTTAAGAGCCTCGAAGACAAATTTTCATAAAAATAATGAAATTGGGAGCCATTAGGCAGCCTTTATACAAAAACAATAATAGTTTGATGAAACAAAGGAGAAGCAAGACAAGAAAAGCTCAATAAACAGGGAAACCAACTACTCAACATCTCTGTCTATAAATGTTTAAAATGTCAGTTTGGGAATAAATTACAAAAAGACATTTTACCTAGCAAACACAAGAAGTATCCAAATGCCATAATGTTGTAACAACTACGTATTTTTAAAAGGAACATAATCATTTTTTAAGGTCACACCAATGTAAAAACTGAAGCCCAATTTGCTATTAGGAAGGCACATGGTTATAGTGTTTCATTGGGTCACAAATGGCAGTCATAGCAGCAAATGAATCTGCACAGTAACAAGACTGTGAACATGCTAGAACCCCAGTAATGTCCTACAGATGACAAGCCTCTGTTATTTATGTTTTCCAAGATTACAGACTGTTTTTAAAGTGCTGAACAAGATACATATGTGAATGCATATTTTACATAATTACATTTCTTAATTTATAGATAATGAAACAAAAGCCAAGAGCACGCATCTACAAGATGTTTGGACTGAAAAAATAATTATTGTAATTATGTTTGGAATCAAGATAAACTGCTTGAAAGAATGAAAAGGTTAAAACTGAAATGTCTTGAGGGAGAAAAACCAACAGAACCTAAAAAGCAGAAACAAGAGAGTATGATTAGGAACCTGAAAGAAATCAATTATAAAATCAAACGGAAATTAAAGTGAATAGCTTTGGACTAGCTTCTTTCTCTGAAACAGGAAGAAATGAGGTAGGATAATAGAGGCTATACATATGTTTGAAAAGAGAAAGAAAATAAAGACAGGCCTGCAATTCTTTGTGGAGGAAGATTGGAAATGAGGGCATGGTAGAAATGGAGAAGAAAGACTGATCAGAGTGGGGACATTTTAGAATGGCTAAATGAGACTGATAGGCAATAAATACTCAAGGTCCAAGAAAATAAAAACCATAAACTTATACTGGCACCAATCAGCACTAGTATTTAGTTTTCTGAAGTAGTACTCAGCATTCTGGGTTCAAGAACGAGGAGTGGATAGTGAACTTATCTATGGTTAGAACTAGCAGATGACAAGGGAGCTTCTTGCTTAGAAGAAAACTGTGCAGGTGAAGATCATGATGTCAAAAAAGGAAATAATGCTGGGAGACTGAAAAACCTGGAAGAAACGAAAAGAGTTCCAATAAAGGCCACTAAGAAAATGAAAAGCATTGTAGAGAGCCACTGAAAAACCTCCATTTCACAGTCAAATTTGTGTTATAAATAACACTTTGCAAAAATGTTAAGAAACTTGGAAGGGGCCAGATCATAAGAAAGGAGGCAAATACAGAAGCACAAAATAATCCATGCAATAATAGAAAAATACTAAACTAGGGTGATATGGAAAAGAGAATAAACTCGTAAGTAAACTTATTGTTTACAAGTATGCAGTACTGTCATGAACATCTTGAGTATACCTGAAGAGGAACTTTCATTCATTGAGGTAACACTAAGGTATGCTAAGTAAAAATTATGAATTCAGTTTTGGATATTCTCAAGTAAGAGGTATGAATAGGATTTTAAAGTAAATGAAAATACGGATTACAGGCTTCTGGGCTAGAGGTTAAGTATTTGAAAATATTCAGTTTAAAGATACCAGGTAAAAACCAGTAAGAATCAAACTGTCTAGGAAGAAATGTTCAAATTTTAATAAGGAAGGACAAAGGAATAAAAAAGCAAAGAGGATATTATCACGGGAAAAAATGTCTTTCAAGGCAAGTCAAGATTTTTGAGGAATGGTCAACAATGTCAAGCACAAATCAAGAAACTAAAACTAAGCCTCAGAATTGGCAATTAGATTCACCAGCAGAGTGTGTCAGAATCTAAACTATAAAGGGTTAAAGCAGTATTAAAATATGTAGACTGTATTCAAAGTAGTATTCACTTTAAAAAAACAGAGCGGCAAATCTATTTTTTCTCTAAGTTTGATAGCAAAAAAGGTGACAGTTACATATATACATATGTAAAATATATAACAAATCAAACCTAAAGATATATCATTTATAATTTACATAGTGTTATATGTATTGTGCATATTATACATGCACATAAAATACATACCATAATTTTAAGATTTTGAAGCTATTTAAGACATTCAAAAATATTTACTGATTTGGAAGAGAAAGTCAAAGGACAAGAAAAAAGTATGTTTTAAAAAATATGTAAGATCTGCTATGTGCCAGATACTGTTCTGGGTACTGAAGACAGAAAGAAAGATTAAGACACTGTTTTTACCCTACAGGAGCACACTGTGTAGTGGTATTCTTATTTAATACATTGTTATTTTAACTTTTTGAGATTTCAATACAATTAAATGAGTTTAATCCATATAAAGCATTCCTAACAGGGTCAGATACGGAGTAAACATTCACTGTTAGCCACTACTACTATTACTAAAACTGAATTTAAATTTAAAGCTCTGTGTAGGTACTGTTTAAGTCAAGTCATAGTTTTGAGAAGTTTCTTAGAAGATACGGAACGTGAACTGGGACTTGAATGACTCCAATATAATGTCATGTTCTTTTTGTAAAGACCCCATCTATAATATAAAAATGCTGTGAACAAGGAGCATATTTCTTTTTTTGGTAACTAGCAGAGTACAATGCTAGTCAAGTGCAGAATAAACATACACTGAGTAACTATTCTGGTCTTCACCTCGCTTCCAAGGTTAAATTTTTAAAGGTGTTGTTAACATAACTAGATAATGACATCATATTATGTTAATTCATATAATACTTCCATTTGGCTTACATAGACACATAAGATATGGAAGTTATAGTATTCCATATTACACATATTTCAAATGGATATCTGTGCCATAATTACAAAAATTAAACAGACATTGCTATGGTTTGACTGTGTCCCCCTCCAAATCTCCCATGTTGTAATTTAATCCCCAACGCAACAGTGTTGGGAGGTAGGGCCTAATAAGAGGTGATTAGGAAAAGATTACTGTCAGTATCTCAGGAGGAGGTTATCACCAGTGAGCTTGTTATAAAAGAAAGTTCAGTCCTGTCTTGCTCTCTTCTCTTGGCCTTCCTCCATATAATGACACTGCAAGAAGGCCCTCAACAAATGCTGGCCTTGACCTTGGACTTGCCAGCCTCCAGAACTCTAAGAAATAAATTTCGTTTCTTTATAAATTACCCAGTCTGTGGTATTGTTGTAACACAAAATGGACTAAGATAGATGTTTAGTACATTTAATCACCTGATAAAAAGTTTTCCTTATAGACTCTATTCACAAGCCTAGAACATACCATTTTTTCTTCATAGGTAGGATCTGGTTCTTGGATTTCCTTTTGCTTTCCAGGTGACGCATCATCAAATATTTCCTGGTAGAAAGAAATAATTAAATAGAATTGGTCTTCGAAAATAGTAAACATACCATTATAGACCAATTTCTGACCAAAACACATCTTAAATAATACATTCTCACCCCAAACTTCCTAGAAACTTAAACAGCTGTCATCTAAGCTAACAGAAAAACTGATAAAATGATATTAGATACTATGGGGATAACAACGTATTTAACCCATATATATAAACTGTATGGTTGTTGCCAAGATTAGAACACAAGATTATCTTCATCATCCTAAAAGAAAACTACATTTAATACAAGCCAATCTGTTTCTCTTTTTCTGTAATAACCATGAAACCAAACTAAATAGTATAAAATGTGGGGAAAAGTTCCCCTTTTGTCATAAAACTACAGTATCTACTGTGCTACCACACAAATGTCTACAAAGAAATCAGAATTAGTCACCCTGATTTCCACCTTCTGGAATATTACAAAAACTTTATCTCGCAGCCTAAATTGAATACTCTAACTACAGTCTGATTCCTAAACTAGTAATAAATGTTATTCTTGCAAATATATTTATCCTGACATTCATATGTCACAAGCAACAAAAAACAACTTCTACACTGCAAAGTTCTATTCATCCATTAAAAAAAATTGGCAGAAGTAATCTTCATTAATGATGCACAAATCTATGCTAGGCAATATATGCTATAATAAAACTATCTGTGACCAAAAAGTTGTGGGGAGGAGATCTGGTACGGTACTGGAATAGAAGGTAAAATGACCTTAAGTCAAGTCTAACTTCATTGTTAAGACCCTTGGCACTTGTGTGACCCTATGTTCATCATAAATCTCTGGTCTACATATGTAAGTGACAAAGCCACCTACCCAGTCCAGTTTACAAAATTCCAAAATGCCATGAAATGCAACCTACAAAAATAAAATGTGCTTCAGGCATCTTGACATCACATTATTGGTATACAGGTGACTATTTAATCAATCTAGTCAATAGAGATGAGGATGAACACAGAAGAGTTCCACACTGCCAAAAGGATAACTAAAAAACAAGTGCTCCATTGACCTATTAGTATCAAGCAAAAAGAAAAAAAGTAACTGAATACATAGGAAGGCTATTTCTGGGAAAATCAGCTTTGTCACCAAAAAAAAAAAAAAAAAAAAATTCATGAATGCTGGGTTTACTCTGTTTAGAAAAACACCTTAGATCATACTTCCAAACAAGAAAAAGTCATTTATAAAATATTCATTTTCCAAGTGCAAAACAGATTAAGTTGTGACATATATATTAAGCATGTGTGCTCAAACTTAGTTTATATCATGAATTGCAGTAATTCTGAATTTTGTTAAACAGGAAACTGACATTTTAAAAGACAAAAAAAAAAATCACACTATAATGTCAACCAAAAAAAAAATGTGTCAGTGATAAGATGGATAAAAAAATAAAATTCCTAATATTTCTATACTAGGAAGGTAAAAATAACAATGTTATTCAATAAATTGAACCGCCAAATATGTTTTTTTTGGTAAGAACATGGCAGAGCAAGATGGGTGGGAAACGGCTCACTTTTAAAGGCAGATCCGAGTTTTATTACAGGTTCTACCTAGTAGAACTCAATTTCCCCATCTGGCAAATGAAAATATCACTAATTTAATACGGTAGTGATAACATCTATACTCACGTTTGAACTTAAAATCAATTTTCATTTAAAATAGCAACTTCAAGTCAAAAATGTTGACTTGCTTTAGGCTTAAAATTACTCTGCATTCAGATATTAATAAGACCTCTGGTGAAACATTCATTTTTCCAAAGTTTGGATGGCAGACCCCTTTGAGAAGCTGAGGAAAAACTATAAACAATTTTTGTAGAGAACTGCACATTTACACATAATTGCTTTGTGTCAAACCCCTTAAGCCTTGGAACAGAAATCCAAGTTAAAGAGCCCTAGTAACCCAAAAGAACCATTTCCTTAAGGAAAAAAAAGCAACACTGAATATATTTTAATTTGGAAGTAATCTTATCTTAATCACTCAAAACTACAGGAACTATCAGGAGTTCCTATGTCACTAAACCTACCCTCACCACTAAAAGTTCTTTAAATGATTACTAACATTAATGTTACTTAACCCCAGCTACCCAAATATAACTACTGTGCCAAAAGCCTCAATGGTAAATTACGCTACCATTTTCTTACTGTATAATGATTCTGCATCAAGACTCATCTTCGGAGCAGTATTACTTTCATTCTGTCTAAGGATAGGAAAATCCCAGAAATCTTTGGGCTCCGACTCACAAAATATCTCAAAACAGGTCGAAGGCCAAGAAAATAAAAATTGGAAGGAGCAATTACTTTGTTCCCAGATGCAAAGCCTGGAAGCATATCCAATTTACCCGCCTGGCAGCTTCCCCCATCTTTCCAGCCCCCTCAGTACTGTCAGCATCCCCTGCCCAACCCAAACCCATAAGTCTCGGCAGCGAGTGGTACTAATTTTTTTTTTTCTTAAGGCCAGAGGCCAAAAAGAGAAAAGTGCCGGACTGAGAGCCAACCAACTGCGCCTGGTTCTCTAATTCATTCCTACACTTATTCATCCCCCCTAAATTAGACGGGGGATCCGAGACAGCTGCTGCTGCCTTGGTTGCTTCCCTTCCAGTGGAATAGTGCCTGGGAGGGGCCTTCTCTCCCTTCACAGAAGCAGCTGCGCCCCGCTTATCCCCACTGCGCACTCGGCCATCCAGCTCTCGCCATTGTTTCTGCCCACAACAGATACCGCCCCTGCAAGGACCGGGAAGAAGAAAAGGAGGCCCAAGTCCTCGGACGCGCTGCTTTTAAATGCCTCCTTCACCCCGCCCGTGCATCCCGCTCCTAAGGGGTCATCTCCTCGCCCTTCCCCGAAGTTTGGTGGAAACTAAAAACCACATTCAGAGGTAGGAGAGGGAATTATGGGAGTCTAGTGGGAAAAAAACGATGGGTCCCCCGGGCCACGGTAACCAAGAACATCTGTTCACTGAGAGCGTTCAAATATTTGTCAGGATTCACGAAAGAGACAAATAATTTAAATGTGAGGAGCCAGAAATCCATTTTGCTTAGCTCGAATAGGGTAAGAACAAGGGAGCAAGAGTGAGAGCATCATTTCGTATCCACAGGGTGTGAAGCTGAGTCTGGTGCAGAGAGAGAAACCCGGCTCTGCGTCCGATCGCCACGATCCGGCGAGGGAGCCAGCTCCTCCTCCCCGCTGCACCCGCTCCCCATGCCGCAAGTCGCCCTCACCTCCATCTCGGCGTCTGCGGGACCAGCGCTGGCCGCAGACGCAACCGCCTGCGCCGCGACGCCTTCGGGGCCGCCTTTGTTGCTGCTGTTGCTCCCGCCGCTGGCGATCGAGGCTGCGGGCTTGGAAGGCGCGCTCTCGGGAGGCGGGGGTGGCGGAGGCTCGGCCGCGGACGACATGATGTTCCGTCTGCGTCACCCGCTGCTGCCAGAGGCCCGAGTCCGGCGGGGATGGACGGGGAGGCCTAGGCCTGGATGCTACGTCGCAATAAACTGGTGGAGGAGCGAGACTCCCACCCGAGCGCTCCCCTGCGCCGCGCCTCCGCGACGGGCCTGAGCCGGGCCCAGGAGCTGCACACTCCCAAACGTTCTGCTCTTCCGCGGGGCTCTAGGTTCCACCGGCGCTTACCTCACGGCGGGAATCACGTCGACGAGGGTGGGCGGGGCCAGACGGGTCACTGAGGTCAAGGAAGGCCGGCTGATTTAGAGAAGGGCGGAGGGTTGGGGGAAGGGAAAAGGAAAACGAAAGAGAGACTGAGGCTGGGAAAACGCTTCGCCGCCTCCTCCTCTTCCTCTGGAAGATAACATCTATCTCGCCAGCATCCAGGACGACGACCTACGCCACCGACTTTCAACACTCGCGAGATTCCTTATTGGCTCACTGACTGGGTCCTGAGCGCGCATGCGCATACTGCCCTCCTCACCCTTGGCCCGCCCTCTTCCAGATCTCTAGCCGGCTCGGGAGAGAAGAGTGGGCGGGACCTCCAGGGAGCGCTCGGAGGTGTAGGTTTGTGCGCCTGCTGCTTGGCAGGACGCGAGCTCAGTGTTTTAGGCTTTCGTAACGGCTCACGGTTCTCGCTGTGTCTTCTGTGCCTGACAGGGGTTGGCGGCACTACCGGAAAACTTGTCTGGGTTTTGCGCTGCCCATTCAAACTTGGAAGTCTTGTGTCTGGCCCCAAAACTTCTGCCGTATCCGCTTAGAGGCGTGACGCCACAGCCTTGACGACGTTATGGTTACCCCAAGTGAAGTCTCACGGTTTTTTGTTGTTAGAAAAAAAAAAAAAGTCCGTTAGTGTGATTTTTTTCTTTTTTCTTTTTTTTTTTTTTTGCCTTCTCATGTTAGCTGCGTCGGTTATTTCTAAATACCCTCCTTAGGCACAGAGTTAAATGATATTTCTTCTGAATTTATATGCCAAAGTTAAGCAAATAACGTGCACACTACCATGGAAGTGAGAAACACGAATAATCAATATATGGGGAAGATAGGTGGTGCGATGTAATCTTTTCCCCAAGCATCAAACATGAAAATTAAAACGTACATTCTCCTTAAGTGTTAACAAATATTCAGCACTGATTTTGTATACTGCCTTAGGCAGCCTTCAATGCAGCTTAAGGGCCTTGTGCATTCATCGCCTACAAAATTTAAATACATTGTAGTCTGTTTGATAACGAATCTGCATACTACAGTAGATTACCTGCCCAGTACAGGGTCTTTTTTATCTTTTTTTATTCCTCATATTCAGTATTCTCTAAATGTTTGTTGAGTAAAGGAGACACATTTTTCGAGAGTTGAGGTTTGAGCTAACTGGTTATGTTGAATTCCAAACAGAAGGGATCCCCTTTGAATATATAGCCTGCAAATTTTTTAACTAATGGAATGATAATTCTTAAATGGACATCTGGAAAAATGTCCCCACTCCACTAGAAATGCTAGTTCTTAGACTATAAGGAAATGTCTAAGGATATATGCAAAGATGAATACCTACAATGATGTTCATCATAGTCTTCATATATGACTGCAAAAAGCTAACAACAGTAGGCTGAATCCAGTATTAAAAGTTAGGTGTTTAAAACTGTCATACACCCAGAAAATGAACTATTAACCTTTAACAACCATTAATGTAGAATAATGGTTGTTTTGTGTTGTTTTGTTTTCAGACAGTTTCTGTCGCCCAGGCTGCAGTGCGGTGGCATGATCTCAGCTCACTGCAATCTCCAACTCCCAGGTTCAAAGGATTCTCATGACTTAGCCTCCGGAGTAGCTGGAATTACAGGCGTGCACCACCACGCCTGGCTAATTTTTGTATTTTCAGTAGAGACAGGGTTTTGCTGTTTTGGCCAGGCTAGTCTCAAACTCCTGGTCTCAAGTGATCTGCTCGCCTAGGCCTCCTAAAGTGCTGGGGTTACAGGCGTGAGCCACCGCACCTAGCCAAAGAATGTTAATTTATAAAGTGTTAACTGAAAAATTTGGTTTAACAGTTCAAAAATGTAGATAAAAGTTGGAAGCATATTTACAAAAGTATTGAAACTGATCGTTGCTGGTTTTTTGTTTTTGTTTGTTTGTTTGTTTGTTTTTTGACAGTGGCTTGCCCTGTCTCCTAGGCTGCAGTGCAGTGTCACAGTCGTGACTCACTGCAGCCTCAGCCTCCTGGGGTCCAGCAATTCTCCCACCTCAGCCTCCCAAGTAGCTGGGACTACAGGTGCATGCCACCAAGCCCAGCTAATTTTTGTATTTTTTGGGTGTAGACAGGGATCGCCATGTTGCCCATACTGGTCCTGAACAACAATTAGGGCTCAAGCCATCTACCTGCCTCAGTCTCTTAAAGTGATGGGATTACAGGTGACAGCCACTGTGCCAGGCTGCCGAATTTGCCTATTATTGTATTAAGAAAACTTTTTTTAAAAAAATTTCAGCTTTACTGAGGTATAATTCACAAAATTGTATATATTTAAGGCATACAATGTGATGTTTTGATATATAAACACGTTGTGAAATGATTACCGCAATCAAGCTAATAAGCATATACATCACCTCTTATATTTACTGCCTGCCAGCATGGTGAGAACATTTAAGATTTACTCTCAACAAATTTCAACTATGCAAACAGTATTATTAACAATAGTTACCATGCTGTGCATTACATCTCCAGAAATTATTCATCTTGTATAACCAAAACTTTGTATCCTTTGACCAACATCTCCCCATTTTTAGAAAGCTTATTTTTAATTTTAAAAAATGTTCTTTCACCGAAAAAAAATTATGTGGAAGGGTAAGAAAGTGGTGTCTAGGGTGGAACCTGACACATACTTAATAAATACTTGATGAATAATATTTTTATATTTACATTAAATAGACTAAAACATTAATTTAGCATTCGAAATGTTTCTTCACTTTTTATAGTCTTAGGTAGAAATCTTGGGTCTTGGTCTGGAAACCCTAAAGTTATATGTAGGTATATAAATGAAAGGATCTTAAGTCTGATAACTATTTAAGGAAAGCAATAAATAGCAAGGAAAACAATGCACATAAATAAATAAAAATTGCCTCCAAAATGGCGATTGTCTTTTAACATGTGCATTTACATGTGAGTTTCTCATATGATCATATGAAAGCTGTATTAGAATCATTCGGGGGAAAATTATAGAGAAAAGATGGAAACTAGCAAGAGGACACAGAATGCTCGAACTCAGTTATCTAGCATAAGTGACAGAGAAAAAGATTTTTGGCAGAGTTTAGAACCAGAAAGGAAAAGCAGAGAAGAGCTACAGAAAAGACATGAAGCCTAGAAACAGCTACAGGGACATTAGCTGTGTTCCTCAGGCAGATAGCAATACTAATATGGTGGCCAAATCACAAAATCCTGCTAAAAGGCTAAAACTAGCAGCTAGTTGTTGAATTGATCACATAATACAGAATTCATGTGTTGGTAAAAGAGTGGGTTGGGGAGCAGGCAAGCCTAGATTCCAGTGCAGGCTCTGGAACTTAGTAGCTGTGTGAATGCAGACAAGTTATCTAACCTCTTTGAAATCAATTTTCTCATCTTTTTATTATTATATTTTCCTAGCTTTATTTTGAGATAATATTATGATGTCATAAAAATTAAATGAGACAGTATAAGGTACATGATACAGTGCCTGACATATAGTGAGTTCTGGGTTCAAGTGTTAGTCTTATCCTTGAGAATCATAAGCCTAAGGTTTAGAGTCTAGTTGAAAGAAGAGGAACCAAAGAAGGAGGAGGGTAAGGGGTTTGGTAGCAAGAAAACACCAGAAAGGATTAGAGCTTTAGTCGTATTCCCAGCAACAGAATGCTACAGTGTAAAATAATGTTAGTGTTCTATCTCCAATATGTATATACATAGTTTACACCTAAAATTTCCTCTGTTAGATTTAATGTGCTAGAACAGCAAGTACAGTACAGAAATACAATGGAACAAAGAGATGTTGCCAGAGGACAAAAATGTGCCGAAGAGCCAGGGCTCTCTCAGCATTGTGTCCTTGAATGGTAACAGAAAGGAGTTAAAGTTTTCTCAAGGACAAAGAAGAAATGCAACACCTCTCTTCATTGCAACTCATTTTGTCAAAGCTTAAGAAAATAAAGTCTGATTACTGCAAGACAATAAAACTGTATTGAGTTTGTATCTAAGAATGGGTATTTCCAACACCAGATACCAATGATTACATGTTGTATGTATCTTTTTTAGAGTTCTCCCACATAGGTCATTTGTCAATGTACAGAGATTTCAGTTAAAGAGAAACATTAACTGTACTGTTAATAAACAGGTAAGGATATATTCCCTTCATTCCCCTCATATTTAGTCACCAACTAAATAGTGGGAGACTTTGTGTCTGCTCGGTATATATGCATATGTTTATGTAGTCAAAGTTTTTCAGGTTTTCTCTGCATTTCTTCCTGCTCATGAAAAAATAATTTCTTTTTTGTTGGGCTGGTTCTAGGTAAAGTATTTCTAGGAACTCAAATATTATGATCCAAAGTTAAATTTTAACCACCATCTTTGAAACATTTTTGAAATAATAAACTACAAAGCTTCAATTAAGAAATTAGAGTTTTTTTATTTAGTTTTTATCTCATTTATTAAAAGGAACTTCAGACAAAGGAAATTAGGCAGTCTTTTGCTCAAAATATTGAAAGTAAAAAGATGGAAAATATATATCATTAAAACAATAGCAAAAAGAAAACAGGAGTGGCTATATCATTATCAGATAAAGTAGACTTCAGAGCAAAGAAAATTATGAGACAAAGAGGGACATTATATAATGATGAAAGTGTCAACCCAGAAGACATAGCAATTTTAAATGTATATGTACCAAACAACAGAGCTGCAAAATATGTGAAGCAAAAGGTGACAGAACTGAAATTAGAAATAACAAATCCACAATTATATGTGGAGACTACAGCATCTCTCAACAACTGATACTACAACTAGGCAGAAAACCAGCAAGGGTATAGAAGAACTTAACAACAGCCAATAGGATCTAATTGACATTTATACAACACTGCACATATTTTTTTCTTCTACAAAAGTAGGACTATACACATTCTTTTCAAGAACCCACAGAAAATATAGCAAGATAGACCATAAACCTTAACAAATTTAAAAGATGTGAAATCATACAGAGTATGTTTTTTAACCACAATGGAGTCAAACCAGAAATCAGTAACAAAATGTTACCAGGGATATATTCAAACTAAATGACGTGCTTCTAAATAATCCATGGGTCAAAGAGAGGTCTCAAGAGAAATCAAAAAGTACATTGAACAGAATAAAAATACAATATATTAAAATTTGTGGAACACAGCTAAAACAGTGCTTAGAGGGAAATTATACACTAAATGCTTACATTCAGAAAAGAGAATAGTCTCAAATGTAAGCTTTCACCTCAAAAAACTAAAAAAAGCAGAGCAAGGATAAATCCAAAGTAAACAAAAGGAAGGAAATAATAAAGGTAAGAGCAGGAGTCAATAAAATTAAATACGGAAAATAAAAAGCAAAAACTGGTTCTTTGAAAAGATACGTAAAATTGGCAAACCTCTAGGAAGTCTGACAAGAAAGGAAGAAAGGAAAAAAAGAGAGGGTAAGAAGGAAGGAAGAAACAAAGCTCAAATCACTAATATCAGGAATAAAACAGGACCTATCATTGTAGACCTTGAAAACATCAAAAGGGTAGTAAGGAGTACGACACACATAAATTTGACAACTTAAAACCACTTCCTTGAAAAATTCAAGCCACTTAAACAGTATAAAAAGATCATATGAATAGCACTGTAACTATTTAGGAAATTAAATTGATAAATTAAAAACTCCCAAAGAAGAAATCTTCAGGCACAGATGGTTTCAATGAAAAATTCTACCAAATATTTAAAGATGAATTAATACCAATTCCATACTATCTCCTGCAGATAATAGAAGAGGATGATACACTTTGTAATTCATTTTATGAAGGTGCTTTATCTCTAATACCAAATCAGACAGACACTACATAAGAAAGAAAATGACAGACCAGTATCACTGATGAATACAGACAAATCCTTAACAAAATATTATCAGATACAATTAAACAATGTGTAAAAAGAATTATGCACCCTGATCAAATGTGATTTATTCCAGATATTCAACACTGATTCAATATTTGAGTATTAGTCAATGTTGTCTGCCATATCAACAGGCTAGAGAAGAAAACTCACATGATTATATTGACTGATGAGGAAAAAGCATTTGACAAAATTCCAACACCCATTTAGAACAAAACTCTCAGAAAAAAAAAAAAAAAGAGAAAACAAATAGAGTGGAACTTCCTCCTCTTAATACAGAGCATCAGCAAAATACCTACAGCAAACATTATACTTAGTGAGATTGAATCCTCTCCCTCTAAGATCTGAAACAGGGAAGGTTTTCTGCTTATAACATTCATATTCAACACAGTGCTGAAAAGGAAAAATAGAGATCACTGAAATTCTCTTCAAACTGACATAAAACTTTTGTTGAAAATCAGAATAATGAACCAATTTGGCCAAATACAAATTTATATTTTTCATAATCTTTAACCATAAAGTGGAAGTAATGCTAGTTTATTTGATCAATAAATCAGTATAAATTTAGGAAAAACATTCCCAACTAAAATTATTATAGGATTTTATTATACTTAATATTGATAAATTAGATAAGACATAGATGATTTTATTAAAACAAAAATATTAAATTAGTCTTGTTTGCCAAAGATTCACCTACACTTTGTGAACATGGCTTCTCTACTTGTTAGTTTCAGTAAGAATACTTTTCTTTTAGATTTTAGCACGTTTAAATTATTAGAAGTTTATTATTTTCTGGGAATTTTTGGAATACTCAATCCATGTAAGTATCTTTATTAGTCAATCAGAACAGGCCCCTTTAAGAGTTTGTAATTGAACTTATTGATTACATCCTGAGATGGAAAACATTACGCACTCACAAAAGGAAAGTAAAATTTTTTCTGAATTATAGACACGTATATAGACAGAGATAGATAGCACTTAGAGTTTTAATTCTAAAATTTCAGCCATTGGTCAAGAGTAAATACAATATCAAAATAACTTTCCAGTTCAGATACTAAAGAGCTGTTCTTCCTGATAGACAGGAAATTCTTAATTGATTTAAGCCCTAAATAGATAAATTGACAAACCAAAAGACTAACAAATCCAACACTTTGTTGTCTCTCACTCAGCAGAGAATAGATCTTTATTAGCCACAAATTCTTCTACAGAAATCAAATGGTCAGATCATAAAAATCAAATTGCCAGTTATTGCTGCCACTAATGGGAAATAACTTATCAGCTGCAAAAGAACAAAAAAAACCCATAAAATTAGTAGAGAAGAAAACTAAAAATAGAAAAACATCATCAGCAAATTTATATTGCTGCTTTGGATTTACTTCTGGAAGCCAAGACATGCTGGGCTTAAACTACCCATGAGATGCACTTCTCTGGTGACAGTTTACCTGGTGATATGGTTTGGCTGTATCCCCACCCAAATCTGCTCTTGAATTGTAATCCCCATAATCCCTTCATGTCTAGGGAGAGACCTGGTGGGAGGTGACTGGCACATGGGGGCAGTTCCCCCATGCTGTTCTTGTGATAGCAAGTGAGTTCTCACAAGACCTGATGGTTTTTATAAGGGGCTCTTTCCCCTTCGCTCCTCTCTCTCTCACCTGCTGCCATGTAAGATGTGCCTTTTCCTGTTCCACCATGATTGTAAGTTTCATGAGGCCTCTCCAGCCATTCAGAACTGTGAGTCAATTAAACCTTTCCTTTATAAATTACCCAGTCTCCGGTATTTCTTTATAGCAGTGTGAAAACAGACTAATACACCTGGTCTTGTTAAGTGAATCCAGTGGACATGTTTGTGGAAAACTCCCAAAACTGTTAAAAGAAATTTTTTAAAAAAGTAAAAGCATGATTCTCATACATACATAAAAAAGAACACTTGTTAAAGATTTTATTTAACTCACTAATACGGAAGTTAGTGAGGTGTTAACAACAGTTTAAAGATTAAAAATGGAAAAACAAATTTATATTGGGTAAAGAAAAGTTGAAATTAATGTGGAAGTGGAGGTAAAATTATCTTCTTCCACACTAGGGGAAGGAAGTCAGTTTACCTTCTAATGCATAGGACAACACTTGCGTATGTACAGACGAGAATTATTTTGCACTTGTATAAGTTATTTACAATTTACAGAGTTGTAAAATAGCTCACATAGAGTCAGAAAACCCAAAAGTCTGTCTTCTGGAGTCAAGACAGTTCATGATTTTCTATTTAAGCCCATGTTTTCCCCTATGTGCTATTGTTTTAGTTTTATTGTAAATAATTCTCATTTGGACTTGTAAGTAACCTACTAGTTAATTTGTCTTTATTTTACACTAAGTAAAAGAACTGAAATTCAACCCATATGCAAGCTGGTAACCACTGCAGCATATATTTTTGTCATTCTGCATCTCTCCAGAATAGCTTTCTTTGCTTTCTCTTGGTTTCTCTGCTTCTAAGTAAGTGCATTGTGTTTAGTCTGTTCCAACTCCAACTGGCTGTGCATTATAGTACCTCATAGATAACAACCAGTGTTTCAATTACAAATCTCAAGGTCCAGAGACAGATCAGTTCAGTTTAGGTCAGGTGCCAATCCCAGATTCGTTAGGTATGAATAGGGATCAGGCCACTAGATATAAACATGGCTACCTAGGCCACCTCTTGAGCAGCAACCGAGAATGGAGGCTCTCTTAGAAAGAAGAGTAAATTAGTGCAAAGAATTGACTGGAATCTCTAGCATATGTTTATGGTCTATTTATGTTGCAGAAAAGTAAACTATCTTTGATAGAAAAATCTATTAATGTTCCCATTCAAGCATTATGATCCTTTTAATTTTCATTCATGGTTCAATTTTTATCCAAGTTGCCAATTCTAAGCCCAGTTGCACTTGAAATTGAGTTATTCAGTTAAAATGTATTTGAAGTATGTTTTTTTGAGAGCTGGAGATTAATTTTGGCCTTTTGAAAATTTGATTCTTAACACTTGTAGGTATATAATTATTATTCTATAATAACTCATTATGAAAGATGGTATGGACTTAGTATCTTATAAATTCAAAGAAACTTTTTTTAGTTTCTGATTCATCTCAAAGTACCTGGTGTTGAACTTAATCTTCTCTGAATGGTAAGTGCTCCAGAACGCATGTAAGGAGGAAGCCCTGTAACTCTGTCACTGGTCAGAAGGCCCACTGAGTTGTGTTCTGAAAAAGAGTGCACTTTTGGTTTTGCCCTATCAATATAGGCCACTTCAGGGTCTTCATTAGTGGAAAGAAGTGGAGATTTTGTAAGTCTCGCTTTCAGACACAAAAGAGAAGAATGTTAAGTCAATGGAATTTTCCACTTATTATTTTGTAAGAGAATCAGGAATTACAGAACAGAGACCTTGACAGTAAGAACTGTGTAAGACTGTAAGCTTTGCAGCTTGCTCTTGCTTGTCATTTTTGTCACAGCTTGCTGAACATTTCAAACCTAAATTCCTTATCACTGAATTTTCTTTTATTACAGTTCTTTCAGTAATAAGAATTGGTGAATCATGATATCTGGAAGTAAACTGAATTTTAATTCTAGATTTATAATTGAACTCACAATGAAGTTACTTATGGACCTGCAATTACCTTTATATAACGAGTATATCTTATGCACTTTGATTCTAAACCAGAACCTATGGTAGAGATTGCAATAATATAATTTAGCTATTTTGTGTTTTATTTACATATTGTGTTTGTGTCCCCACAGAAACAGACACCAAGACAGGGTCAAGCATGCGAGATATTTACTGGAGGGACTAACTGTGAAGAATAAAGGGGCCAGGCATAGTGGCTTATGCCTGAAATCCCAGAACTTTGGGAGGCCGAGGTGGGTGGATCACAAGGTCAGGAGATCGAGACCATCCTGGCTAACACAGTGAAACCCCATCTCTACTAAAAATACAAAAAATTAGCCAGGCGTGGTGGCGGGTGACTGTAGTCCCAGCTACTCGGGAGGCTGAGGCAGGAGAATGGCATGAACCCAGGAGGCAGAGCTTGTAATGAGCCAAGATCGCACCACTGCACTCCAGCCTGGGCAATAGAGCGAGACTCCATCTCAAAAAAAAAAAAAAAAATACATGAATAAAAATAAAGGGAGGAAGCATGAGTAAGGAGGGAGTGACTTGAGACAGAGAGGCAGAACTAACATTTGTAAAGACAAGGGAAGGATGGAGGATTATGAAAGAAGAATTTCAGTTTGTAGCAGAGCTCTGAGAAAGTTTTGGCTGGGCTGATGGGGCATCTTTAAGCCAAAGTTGCTCATTAGATGAGTAGTATATTCCATGAGAGTGTTCCTGCACTAGTACCACTGCCTGCTGGGAGTAGCCTGAGAAAAGTTGGCCCTAAGCACAAATATGGAGTAAGTGGGGAGTAGGGATGAGAGGATGGAGGGATGGGGAGGTGGATCCAGAGGGGCTACAGCTGGGGCTGCCATAGTAGATCTGAGTGTCATAGCTTCATGGTCACCACAAGAATATATACACATATTATAGAAAGACAAAGAAGTATACTTTCAACAAATTCATCATCTTTTAAATTTAACAAATTTCAGCTAATTTTACACACACACACACACACACACACACTATACAATCTTCAGGGTGAAAAATAAAACATATATTTATCATTGAACCCTGATTTTGGACTCACAGAGATCCCAGGTACTCAGATACAATTTAGATGAAAGAAGATTTGTATTTTGATGATGATAGTGATGATAATGATAATCATAACTAAAGTTTATTAGTTGCATGTAGTGTTTCAAGTTTTTTATGTTTTGACTCATTGGCCCTCACATTAGCCCTTGTGAAGGGGGTAATATTTGTCTCCATTTTGCAGAGAAACAGACATAGAAGATAGAGTGGCTTACATAGTATTATACAGTCAATGTGTGATATGGCAGATTAATTAGACTAAATTGCATAAAAGTAAAAGATGAAACCTGTAGCTCAAGGATGGTAGCTTATTGAGATCGTGGAAATAAATGAAGGTCACCCAAACAAGAACAAACAGGTGCTATTTATTCAGAACTTGTTATATTGAGGGACTTAGCTATCGTCACTTGCTCTTGGCAAAGTAGGACAGTGGTAGAGTGGGAACTGGAAAAGCTTTATAGTATTGTGCTCTGAGTAGAGCTCATTCACATAGAGGAACTGGAGGCAGGCTAAATAAAAATAAGACATCTAGGATGACTGGTTTGGGAAGTATATTTGGCTTTCTCTGGTTGATCCTGAATTGAAAGTTGTCCTGATGCAAAAAATAGGGAAGTAAGCAGTCATTGACCGAGTTGTGACCATACTGAGCTGTTGCTGCAGAGGTTGTGGTATAGCTCCTGCTGTGGTTTGAATGTCTGTGTCTCCTCCAAATTCATATATTGAAATTCTAACTCTCAAGTTAATGGTTTTAGGAGGTAGGGCCATTTGGGAGGTGATTAGGTCATAACACCTCCACAGAATGGGATTAGTTTTCTGATAAAATAGGCCCAAGGGAGCTCGTTTGTCTTTTCTACCATGTGAGGACACAGTGAGAAGGCTCCATTTGTGAACCAGGAAGCAGGCCGTCACCAGGCACTAAATCTGCCAGCACCTGGATCTTGGTTTTCCCAGTCATCAACACTATGATAAATAAATTTCTAGTTTTCTTTTTTTCAGTCTACACAGTTGATGGTATTTTGTTATAGCAGCCCAAAGGGACTAAGATAGTTTCTCCAACTAGTTGCTACAGACATTGTGTGTGACAATTCTGTTGTCGTATAGAGTCAGTTTGTATATTCAGTCCCTCAAGGGGAAAATCACCCAACTTATCTTAATAATTCTGCTGACAATAGTTTGCGTCTATTTAATAGTAATATCAATAAAATGCTATTTAGGTTATCTTAAATGCCAATAAAATTTAACATATTAATGTTTAATTTTTAATAAAACATTTAATAAAAATGTTTAATAAAAAGTATTAAACAATTAAATATATAAATTATATATACACATATATGTGTATATGCTGTACCATTTGTACATATGTATATATGTACAATATATATACAATGTATATACACACATATGTATACATACTATATATGTGTGTATGTATATGTAGTGTATGTAAATACAACAGTGAAGAAGCCTAGTTCCATGAAAACTCAAAAGGTTAGTGCCTCTGCTAGTTCCTATATTAAATTTTACCTGAGAAAGTGTTTTACAATGTGTGATTATGACCAACTGAAAGCTTCAACAACCATTCTCCAGTACTCTCTCAGTTAACTGCGCATCTGGCCATCCTGAATAAAGTCTTCATTTCTCATCCTCGT
Organism: Homo sapiens; assembly: GCF_000001405.40. NCBI lineage: Eukaryota > Metazoa > Chordata > Mammalia > Primates > Hominidae > Homo > Homo sapiens. Next base: position 143,501,413 of record NC_000004.12, on the reverse strand, counting down.
GCTGCCAGGGGTGGCCATGTATATTAGTCTGTTCTCACACTGCTATAAAGAAATATCTGAGACTGGGTAATTTATAAAGGAAAGCAGTTTAATTGACTCACAGTTCCACATGGCTGGGGAGGCCACAGGAAACTTACAATCATAGTGGAAGGTGAAGAGGAAGCAAGGACCTTCTTCACATGGTGGCAGGAGAGAGAAGTGTGAGTAGTGAAGAGGGAAGAGCCCCTTATAAAACTATCAGATCTTGTGAGAACTCACTCACTATCATGAGAACAGCATGGGAAAGCTAACCCCAAGATCCAGTCACCTCCTACCGGGTTCCTCCCTTGACACATGTGGATTATGGGGATTACAAGTCAATATGAGATTTGGGTGGGGACACAGAGCCAAACCATATCACCATGTGAGTGAAGGATGAGTGCAATTCTTCATGCTTCACTCAGATAAGAAAGAACTTCTATCTGTGTAAGCCACTGCTATTTTGAGCCCCTACTGCATATCACTAAACTACATTCAATAATACCAAGTTTAATTTTTATCCTTTGAATAATGCTAGCCTTTGAGACTGTGATTTTCAAAACTAACTGAGAAAACACTATTTAGAAACAGAGACTCAAAAATGTTTTTATACATACAGCAGGTTCCCTTTAATGGAAAACAAAAGGACATCATTGACACATAAAATTCCTACTTCTCAAGCATCCAACAATTTTCTTTTTAAAATTAATGCTTTATAGATAAATGTGTCTATGTCACCTGTCATAATGGCAAATGTTTGTTTAAAATATATGTAATGTATCATAATTAAAAGGTTCATCAATTCCAAAAGTGACCCGCTGTTTTTGTATATACTGAAATCAAATTGTATTAACACTATATGAAAATATTAAATAATTTTCTATTTCATATATAATTTTAAGTAAAGATTACTTTACTGAGCTAAGTAGGAGAAGCTAAGCACATGGCTGGAAATCACCAATTTTTTAAGTCTTGGAGGAAAAAAAATAGTATAATGGCTTATATTAGCTTGTGAGCTTGTCCTGTGTCTGTGGCTTCTGTGGACTTAGAGATGGGGAAGATTGAGTAGAGGGTAGGTGGAATTTTGAGACTGTCCCTTCCTCTTCTTCAGTAAACGATGGAAAGGTGTTAAATGACCAGTATTAAAGAGAGGAAAAACCATTTTTCAGTTCATTAACAAGGTATTATTACAGATTGGAGCTCTGCTACCAGAAACCTGAAAGAGGAATGAGGCTCTGGAGCAAGCTTGTGCCTCCGTACTATGGATTGGAGCTCCAAGCATGCTGTAGGGTTCCTTGCCCAGCTTCATGCCACATAATTAGAAAGAATATGAAGTAAAAGCTGTGTTTCCAGGTTTTGGTGAGAGAAAAATTCAAGCACCAGAATGAGAAGGGTAAAAATACAGGCTCAGAAGAGAAATTGCTGAAAACCAAGCACATTCACAAGGGCTTATCAACTCTGTTCCAATGCAGAGTGAAGAGGGGACCCAGGAACCTGATTGCACCCTGGGAAATGTGAAGCTCTTTGTGAAATGACTATTAAAATGGCCTGAAGAGGTTGGGTGTGGTGGCTCAAGCCTGTAATCCCAGGACTTTGACAGGCCGAGGAGAGTGGATCCCTTGAGTCCAGGAGTTCTAGACTAGCCTGCGCAACATAGGGAGATCCCCATCTCTACAACAACAACAACAAAAATTAAAAATTAACTGGGCATGGTGGCGTGCACCTTTAGTACCAGCTTTTTGGGAGGTTGAGGCTGGAGGATTGCTTGAGCCCAGGAGTTCAACGTTGCAGTGAGCTATGATCCCCAGTGCACTCCAGCCTGGGTGATGGAGCAAGACACTGTCTCAAGAAAGAAAGAGAGAGAGAAAGAGAAGGGAAGAGGAGAAGGAGAGAAGAAAAGGAAAATTAATTGTAAGGGTATTGGGGCCTAACTAAATGTAGTGTAAATATTAAATTGCAACTGAAATATCCCATAATGAGTATGTATGGTTAATGTATCTTATGTTAGTCCTTATGTAAACTAAGCAGCGTTCCAAAAATAGACTCACCAAATTTGTTCTACTTAATTTTTTTGAAAAGTCTTTGATAGCTCTTAATATCAATTAATACTTGATCTCAATTAGTTTTGTTTATGTATGCTAACTACCTTAATTGACATTTAACAGTTGACGCAGCAGAGTAATAAGATAATAAATATCTGGATTTAAAATAAAGGCCTTTTTAAAAACTTAGAATTCAATAAAGGCATTTTTAAAAACTTAGAATTCAACAGCAATGCCACTAATAATGAAAGATAAATGAGAACATCAGTGTCCATAAACGTAAAGAGTTAAATAAGAACTTAAGGCAAAATTTCAAAGGCTTGTTGCCTTTTTGGCTATTTCAAAGGCTTGTTGCCTTTTTGGCTATTTCATTTCTGTTTTAGGTTAGTTTTATGGATTTATATCTAAAGTATTGCTATGGTCTGAATGTTTGTGCCCCCTGAAAATTCGTATGTTGAAATTTAATCACCAGTGCAGTGGTGTTGGGAGGTAGGGCATCTGTAAGGTGATTAGGTCATGAGGTGAGAGCTCTCATGAATGGAATTAGTGCCCTTATAAAAGAGGCCAGAGAGATCTTGTTTGCCCCTTCCTTCACCTGAGGATAGACAGAAGGTGCCATCTATGAGGAATATGAGGATTCAGACACTCAATCTTCTGGCGCCTTCATATTGAACTTCCCTAACTGTGAGAAATAAATTTCTGTTGTTTATAAATTACCCAGTCTAAGGTATTTTGTTACTTTTAATGGCCAAAACCACAATTCCTTTTGCACCAACCTAATAGCAGCACCAACCTGAATTGACTAAGACAAGTATTTTCTGTCTCCAGTGTGCTCCGTAGGGAGAGAAACACATCTTTTCTATTTGAAAGTATGGGATGCTGTCTTTATTTGCCAACAGAAAACAAAACCTTGACCAATATGCTGTGAATCTGATTCCAGGATAATTTGGATCAAAAGTAAAAAATGTAAAAAGCCTTGGCCGATTCGGGAACTAAGGCAGCAGCCTTTTTCTCCCTTCTCTCAACCTCCATTTCCTTGTAAAAATAATAGCACGAAGAACAGGCAGCTGAAACATTAGCGAAATCCATAGTAGTAAGGCCAAATCACATGCAATGTGTGAGAATGACCGATGAGTTGATGTCGTTGATAGCATTTTAATACTCTTGATTACATTTATGTTTTATGCCAAGTAACTCTTTCTTGCCATCACGTCTGCCTAAATACAGATGCCTTCAGCCAAATGGTACTGCTCTGACTGCAAACAACCCTGGGTTTTTTTGTTTGTTTGTTTGTTTTTTGAGATGGAGTCTGTCGCCCAGGCTGGAGTACAGTGGCACGACCTTGGCTCACTGCAATCTCCTACCTCTCAGGTTCAAGCAATTCTCCCACCTCAACCTCTGCAGTGGGTGAGATTACAGACTCCTGCCACTATACCCAGCTAATTTTGGGGTTTTGTTTTTTTGGTTTTTTGGTTTTTTTAGTGGAGACAGGGTTTCACCATGTTGGCCAGGCTGGTCTCGAACTTTTGACCTTCAGTGATCCACCCGCCTCGGCCTCCCAAAGTGTGGGGATTACAGGCATGAGCCACCATGCCCAGCCGACCCTGGGTCTTAAATATAGTGAAAAAGCCCCTGGCTTGGTCCAAAATTTGCCCCAAACAAGTGTTATTTCACACATCATATTTCCAGAGCTAATTACTGCCTGGAATATTGCACTGCCCACTCTCTTGTTAGAAGCCTTATTCTCTTTTATTATTTTCCTCTTGAGTTAGTGCCCCAATACCTTACTAGGTGATTTTTTTGTGAGTTAGGCAACTCACTGTTCTGGTAACCACCTCTCATTGGGAAAAGAATCTATTGGTTTGAATCAATAGGGTTTAATTTCACATTACAGACAATTTTTATTAGAAGAGTTAAAACTGTAAACAAAAAATACACTCAAAGATATAATTGCAACTAAATCTTAAATTTCTATGAGTTTTCATGTTTTCCCTAACTCTGCTTTCAGTTCAAGGGGAATAGGAAGACAACTTGTTTTATTTATTTATTTATTTATTTTGTTTTATTTTAATCCTGACCGAGGCCACTATAACTTCATAAAACTAAATGAAATTCTGGATTTGTGCCCATGGTCTATCTCATATGGATCAAGGCATGTTTCTTATCACTTCACTAGCCACATTCTAAGTTTGGGACCTACCTTCCTAGGTTTTCTAAGTATTTTGGTTTGGACTAAGCCACCCTTTTCTAAACAGTACGATATGACCTGTTATGAAAACTTTATTTTATAATTCAAGCCTCTAGATTTTCATCTCTCAATTAATTGTTTACATGTTAAATAGAATAATAGGAAAGACACTATAAGAATATTCCACTTGCTTTTCAGCATGATGCCACAATGTTAGGACACTTAAGCTGACCTAGGTGGGGGCCCATTGGGTGAGGTACTGAAGCCTCCTGCCAACAGCCATGTGAGGGAGCTGTGATGGAAGCAGATTCTCCAGCTCCAGTCAAGTCTTCAGATAACTGGAGCCTAGGCTAACATCTTGGCTACAATCTTAAGATTGTAGCCAAGAACTTGACATTTAAGAGGCTTCCAATTGCTGATCCCGATAATCTGTGTAAGATACCAAACATATTATTGTTTAAGTTTGCTAAGTTGTCAGGTAGTTAAGGAATAATAGATGACTAAGACAGATATCTTAATTATTTCAGATGATTTGTATAATTATAGTGATAATTTTCCAACAGATGGCACTAATGTATCTTATTCTAACAAAATCAGTAGAATTTTCTAACAGATGGAAGGGCCATTTTCTAACCTGATTGATATTTTGCTTATAAAAGAGGTACAAATTTGATAACTGAAAAATCTCATTGATTTAATAGCTAAAATAACCCATGCTTATAAACAAAGAGCTATTTTTCTGGCTGATGTAATGATTATCAAATGTCTTGAAAATTTAAAAAAATCTCCCATTGGTACTGGTATACTGGCTAAATTTGACATTTTATATTGCAGCTCAGATTTTCTTCCATTTCTTTACTATACCAATATCCTATTGCTGGGTCCCAGTTTAAATCCATAAGTACTTCATATAAAACAGATCATGTTGTCATGTTACTCAGGAGGCTGAGGCAGGAGGATCTCTTGAGCTTAGAAGTTCAGGGCCAGCTTGGGCAACAAAAACCAGATCATCATTAATGAATCAAAAAGTAAGTAGTAGTATATCATTGATGGAACAGGTTAAGAATTTATTTTCTACTTTCTTATCAATCATAATTGAAGAATGTAAAGAAAAACCCAAAGAGAAAAAAGGCCTCAGAGACTCTATTAGCAATCTTTCTAGGTCATGGCCAGTAATTTGAATGTTAAACAATGGTACACTCTTTTTTGTTTGTTTGTTTTGAAACGGAGTTTCGTTCTTGCCCAGGCTGGAGTGCAATGGCGTGATCTTGGCTCACCGCAACCTCTGCCTCCCGGGTTCAAGCAATTCTCCTGCCTCAGCCTCCCAAGTAGCTGGGATTACAGGCATGCACCACCATGCCCGACTAATTTTGTATTTTTTAGTAGAGATGGGATTTCTCCATGTTAGTCAGGCTGGTCTCGAACTCCCAACCTCAGGAGATCTGTCCACCTCGGCCTCCCAAAACGCAGGAATTATAGGCATGAGCCACTGCATCAGCCCTGGCCATGGTTGAAATGACACCAGCCCAGGCTCCATGTGGTCCATGACTCAAGATAGCCCCTGGAACATGACACACAGACCTTGTATCTCACACCAGTTACGCATGCCTCCCATTCCACCTTCCCCTTTTTAATTCCCTCTCCTCAGCCTGAAGTTTGGAATGGTCTTTTAAGGACATAGGCACGGCCATTCCCCAACTGCTAGCATTTGAATAAAGTTGCTTTTCTTTCACCAAAACTTGCATCTCTTGTTTTTAGCCTCTGAGCAGCAAGTAGACAGACTTGAGTCAGTTACAGTGTAAGAAATTTTAACTTTCAAAGGATAGCTCAGACTGTGATTTTTTTTCAGAAACTTATTGTAGATAAACTCTTCCTATTGGTGAGGGGACCAAACAAGGATAAACTCTTGTTCCAAACAGGTTGAGAGATCATGGATATGACAATGCCATGTGTATTCGTGGGAACATAGATTTCTTTTTTTAAATTTTAAAATGTACAATTAAATTATAATTGACTATAGTCACCCTGTTGTGCTGTCAAATAGTAGATATCCATTCTTTCTAAATTTTTTTGTACCTATTAACCATCCCCAACCTTCCCCAACCTCCCCCGCCGCCCCAGCCTTCCACTACCCTTCCCAGCCTCTGGTAACCAATCTTCTACTCTCTATGTCCACCAGTTCAATTGTTTTGATTTTCAGATCCCACAAATAAGTGAGAACACGTGATGTTTGTCTTTCTGTGCCTGGCTTATTTCACTTAACATAATAGTCTCCAGTTCCAACAATGTTGTTGCAAATGAGTGGATCTTTCTTTTCATTCTTTTTTTTTTTTTTTTTGAGACAGGGTCTCACTCTGTCACCCAGACTGGAGTGCAGTGGCATGATCATGGCTCTCTGCAGCCTCGTCCTCCTGGGCTGAGGTGATCCTCCCACATCAGCCTCCCAAGTAGCTCAGACTACAGGTGTGCACCACTTTGCATGACTAATTTTTCCATTTTTTGTAGAGATGGGGTTTCGCCATGTTGCCCAGGCAGCCCCTGAACTCCTGGGCTTAAACGGTCTGCCCACCTCAGCCTCCCAAAGTGCTGGGATTACAGGCCTGAGCCTGTTCATACTTCTGAGCCACACCCAGCCTCATTCTTTTTTTATGCCTGAAAGGTAGTCCATTGTATCTTAGTACCACATTTTCTTTATCCATTCGTCTGTTGATGGACACTTATGCTGCTTCCGGATCTTAGCTATTGTAAACAGTGCTGCACCCAACATAGAGTGCAGATATCACTTCAATATACTGATTTCCTTTCTTTTGGGCCTATACCCAGCAGTGAGATTGCAGGATCAATATGGTAGCTCAATTTTTAGTTTTTTAGGAATCTCCAACTCTTCTCTATAGTAGTTGTACTAATTTGCGTTCCTATCAACAGTGTATAAGGAAGGGTTCTCTTTTCTCCACAACCTCATCGACATTTGTTATTGTCTGTCTTATGGATATAAGTTATTTTAGCTGGGGTGAGATGATGTCTCATTGTAGTTTTAATTTGCATTTCTTTGATGATCAGTGATATTGAGCACCTTTTCATATGGCTGTTGGCCATTTGTATGTCTTCTCTTGAGAAATGTCTATTCAAATCTTTTACCCATTTTTTGATAGAATTATTAGATTTTTTTCCTATAAAGTTGTTTGAGCTCCTTATATATTCTGGTTATTAATCCCTTTTTTAGATGAGTAGTATTTTCTCATTTTCCCATTCTATGCATTGTCTTTTCATCTTGTTGATTGTTTCTTTTGCTATGAAAAAGATATTTAACTTGATGTGATCCCATTTGTCCTTTTTTTATTTGGTTGTCTGTGCTTGTGGGGTATTGCTCAAGAATTTTTTGCCCAGACCGATGTTCTGAAGATTTTACCCAATGTTTTTTTGTAGTAGTTAAATGGTTTGAGGTCTTAGAGTTAAGTCTTTAATCCATTTTGATTTGATTTTTGTATATGGTGAGAGTTAGGGATCTAGTTTTGTTCTTCTGCATGTGGATATTCAGTTTTCCCAGCACTCTTTATTGAAGAGATCATCTTTTCCCCAATACAGGTTCTTGGCATCTTTGTCAAAAATGAGTTCACTGTAGGTCTGTGGATTTGCTTCCAGATTCTCTATGCTGTTCCATTGGTCTATGTGTCTGTTTTTATGCCAGTACCATGCTGTTTTGGTTACTATACCTCTGTAGTATAATTTGAAGTAAGAGAATGTGATTCCTCCAGTTTTGTTATTTTTGCTGGGACAGCTTGGGCTATTTTGGGTCTTTTGTGGTTCCATATAAATTTTAGAATTTTTTTTTATTTCTGTGAAGAGTGTCATTGGTATTTAGATAGGTATTGCATTGAATCTGTAGACTACTTTGGGTAGTATGGACATTTAACAATATTTATTCTTCTAATCCATGAACATGGAATATTTGTACAGTTTTTGGTGTCCTCTTCAATTTCTTTCATCAGTGTTTTATAGTTTTCATTACAGGGATTTTTCACTTCTTTAGTTAAGTTAATTCCTAGGTATTTATGTGTGGCTATTGTAAATGGTATTACTTTTTTCACATTGTTTACTGTTGGCATATAGAAAGTACTATAATTGCTACTAATTTTTATATGTTGATTTTGTATTCTGCAACTTTACTGAATTTATCAGTTCTGTTTCTTGTGGAGTCTTTAGCTTTTTCCAAATGTAATATCATATCATCTGCAAACAAGGATAATTTGACTTCTTTCTTTCCAATATGGTTGCCCTTTATATCTTTCTCTTGTCTGATTTACATCATTCCCTTGTCTTGTTCTCTTATACTATGTTGAATAAAAGTGATGACAGTGGGCATCCTTGTCATGTTCCAGATTTTGGAGGAAAGATTTTCTTTCCTCTAAGCCTTCTAGCTGTGGGTGTGTTGTATATGGCTTATATTATGTTGAAGCATGTTCCTTCTGTCCCCAGTTTTTTAGGGTTTTAATCATAAAGGGATGTTGAATTTCATCAAATGCTATTTCAGCCCAATTCAAATGATCTTATGGCTTTTATCCCTCATTCTGTTGATATGAAGTTTCACATTGATTGATTGGTGTATGTTGTACTATTCTGGTGTTCCAGGGATAAATCCCACTTGATCATTATGAGTGATTTTTCTATGTATTGTTGAATTAGTTTTGCTAGTATTTTGTTGAGGATTTTTGCATCAATATTCATCAGGTATATTGGCCTGTAGTTTTCTTTTTTTGATGTGCCTTTGTCTGGTTTTGGTATTGGGTAATACTAGCTTTGTAGAATGAGTTTGGAGGTATTCCCTCCTCCTCTATTTTTCAGCATAGTTTGAGTAGGATTGATATTTGTTCTTCTTTAAATATTGGGTCGAAGTCAGCAGTGAAGCCATGAGGTCCTGGGTTTTTTTTTACCGGGAGACTTGTTATTACAGCCTCGATCTTGTTACTTGTTATTGGTCTGTTCAGGTTTTGGACTTTTTCCTACTTTGATCTTGGTAGATTGTATGTATCTAGGAATTTGTCATTTCTTCTAGATTTTCCAGCTTATTAACAGATAGTTGTTCGTAGTAGCCACTAATGATATTTTGAATTTCTGTGGTATTAGTTGTAATGTCTCTTTTTTCATCTCTGATTTTATTTATTAGGATCCTCTCTCTTTTTTTCTTAGTTGGCTAAAGGTTTGTCAATTGTGGTTTAACTTTTTAAAAAACCGATTTGTTTTTTTCATTGATCTTTTGTATTGATTTTTATTTCAATTTCATTTATTTCTGCTGTGATTTTTATTATTTATTTTCTTCTGATTTTGGGTTTGATTTGCTCTTGCTTTTCTAGGTCTTTAAGATGCATTGTTAGATTGTTTATTTGAAGTTTTCCCTCTTTTTTGATGTAGGCTCTTATAGCTATAAAATTGGCTCTTAGTACTGCTTTTGCTGTATTCCATCGGTTTTGGTACATTGTGTTTTCATTATTATTTGTTTCAAGAAACGTTTCCATTTTCTTCTTAAATTTCTTCATTGACCCACTGGTTTATTTAGGAACATATTGTTTAATTTCCATGTATTTGCATAGTTTCCAAAATTTCTCTTGTTATTAATTTCTAGTTTTATTCCATTGTGGTAAGAGAAGATGCCTGATATAATTTCAATTTTTTTGAATGCTTTAGTGTGACCTAACATGTGGTGTATCGTTGAGACTAATCCATGTGCTGAATAAAAGAATGTGTATTCTACAGCTCTTGGATGAAATGTTCTGTAAATATCTATTACAGCCATTTGGTCTACAGTGCAGATTGAGTCTGATGTTTCTTTGCTGATTTTCTGTCTGGAATATCTGTCCAATGCTGAAAGTAGGATGTTGAAGTCTCCAGCTATTTTTGTATTGGGGCCTATCTCTCTCTTTAAGCTCTAATAATATTTCCTTTATATATCTGGGTTCTCCAGTGTTGGATGCATATATATATTTATAATTGTTATATCTTCTTGCTGAATTGACCCCTTTATCATTATATGGTGACCTTGTCTCTTCTTATAGTTTTTGTCTTGAAACCTATTTTGTCTGATATAAATATAGAGACTCCTGCTCTTTTTTGGTTTCCATTTACATGGCATATCTTTTTTTCATCTCTTTATATTCAGTCTGTGTGTGTCTTTATAGGCGAAGCATGTTTCTTGTAGGCGGAGATCAATGGGTCTTGTTTTTTTTATTCATTCAGCCAGTCTGCGTCTTTTCACTGGAGGGTTTAGTCCATCTACATTTAATGTTATTATTGATAATTAAGGACTTATTCCTGCCATTTTGTTATTTGTTTTCGGTTGCTTTGTGGTCTTCTCTTCCTTCTTTCTTTTCTTTCTGTTTTCTTCTAGTGAAGGTAATTTTGTCTGGTGATATGATTTAGTTTCTTGCTTTTTATTTTTTGTGTACCCATTGTATGTTTTCTAGTTTGGGGTTACCATGAGTCTTGCAAATATTATCTTACAACCCGTGATTTTAACCTGATAACAACTTAACACTATTTGCATAAACAAACAAACAAAAAGAAAACTAATAAAAACTCTATGCCTTAACTTTGTCCCCCTGCTTTTTAACTTTTTCTTGTTTCTATTTATATCTTATGGTATTGACTATGTCTTGACAAGTTGTTTCAGTTATTATTTTTGATCAGTTCTTTGTTTAGTCTTTCTACTTAGGTTAAGTGTAGTTTACACACTACAGTTACAGTGTTATAACAGTCTGTTTTTCTGTGTACTTACAATTTTTTTTTTTTGAGACAGAGTCTTGCTCTGTCGCCCAAGCTGGAGTGCGGTAGCATGATGCCAGCTTACTGCAACCTTCACCTCCTGGGCTCAAGCAATTCTCCTGCCTCAGCCTCCCGAGAAGCTGGGACTACAGGCACGCACCACCACATCCAGCTAATTTTTTTATCTTTAGTAGAGATGGGGTTTCACCATGTTGGCCAGGATAGTCTTGATCTCCTGACCTTGTGATCCACCTACATCATCCTCCCAAAGTGCTAGGATTACAGGTGTGAGGCACCATGCCCAGACTAAAGCCAATAACTCTTATGTTTGCCTTTTAGAGGCTATTTTCTAGAGGCTATATCCTGTAGGTGTGCTTCATTGTTTTTTATTCTTTTTTCCTTTGTCTCTTCTGACCTGTATTTTCAAATACCCTGCCTTCAAGCTCACTTATTCTTTTTTCTCCTCGACCAGTTTTGCTATTAAAGGACTCTGATACATTTATCTGCATGCCAATTGCATTTTTCACCTCCAAAATTTCAGCTTGACTCTTTTATTTATTTCAATCTCTTTGTTAAATTTATCTGATACAATTCTGAATTCTCTCTCTGCATTATCTTGAATTTCTTTGAGTTTCCTCAACACAGCTGTTTTGAATTCTCTGTCTGAAAGGTCGCATAGCTCTGTTTCTCCAGAATTGGTTCCTGGTGATTTATTTAGTTCATTTGGTGAGGTAATGTTTTCCTGGATGGCATTGATGTTAGTAGATGTTCTTTGGTGTGTTGGCATTAAAGAGTTAGGTATATATTGTAGTCTTCACTGTCTGGGCTTATTTGTAGCCATCTTTCTTGGGAAGTCTTTCCAGATATTGAAAAGACTTGGTTGTTGTGATCTAAGCTGTATCTGCTCTTTGGGTCATCCCAAGCCCAGTAACTCTGTGGTTCTTGCAGACTCATAATGGTACCGCCTTGATGGTTTTGGACAAGATCCAGCGGAATTTTCTGGATTACCAGGCAGTGACTCTTGTTCTCTTCTGTTACTTTCTCCCAAGCATACAGAGTCAATCTCTCTCTGTTCTGAGCCACATGAAGCTGGGGGTGGAGTGACACAAGCACCCCTGTGACCAACCACTATGACTGTGTTGGGTCAGACCTGAAGGCAGCATAGCACTGGATCTTGCCCAAGACCTGCTCCTGGCCATGGCCTCTGTTTGCTTAAGGCCCTGGGGCTTTACAATCAGCAGATGGCAAAGCCAACCAGGCCTATGTTTTTTTCTTCAGGGCAGCAAAGTCTCCCAGGTGCTGGGTGGGTCCAGAACTGCTGTCCAGGAGTCAGGCACTAGATTAAAAAACCTCAGAAGCCTACCAGGTGTTCTATTGTATTACAACTGAACAGGCACTCAAACCACAAGATGAAGTCCTTCCCACTCTTTCTTCCCCTTTCCAAAGACAGAGGAGGCTCACCTCATAGCCACTGCCACCCTGGCCATGAGGAGTACTGCCAGACTACCGCTGATGTTCCTTTAAGGCCCAAGGGCTCTTGAGTCAGCTTGTTGTGAATGCTGCCTGGCCTGAATGCACCCTTCAGGGCAGCGAGCTCCCCTGTAGCCCAGGGCAGGTTCAGAAATGCTGTCCAAGAGTTATGTCCTAGAACTGGGGACCCCAAGAGTCTGCTTGGTGCTCTACCCACCTGCGGCCAAGCTGGTACCTAAAGTGCAAGACAAAGTCCCCTACATTTCCCTCTGCTTTTTGAGGCAGAAGTTCTGTCCCATAACCACCAAGGCTGGGAGTGTTCTGAATCTCACCTGAAACCAGGATGTCTCAGAGGCTCACCCAAGGCCCTCAATGTAGTATCTGTTTATTGCTACTGATTATTCAGGGCCCAAGGTCTCTTCAGTTAGTGGGTGATGAATGCCACCAGGACTGGATCCTTTTCTTCAAGGCAGCAGATTCCCTTGTGGCCCAGGGTGTGTCTAGAAATGTCTGAGAGCTAGGGCCTGGAACAGTGGCCTCAAGACTTTGCCTGGCGCCCTTTCATGCTGTGGTTGATTGAGCTGGTATCCAAGATGCAAGACAAAGTGCTCCCCACTTTTCCTACTGCTCTCAAGTGAAAGGAAGGGGTCTCTTTTGAAGTCATGAGCTGTGCAGCCTGGACTTAGGGGACGGGTGATGCCAGCACTCCCTTGGCTGCCGTAGCTGGTGTCTCAGTATGTCGTGTGCTCCCCTCACAGTCCACTGTTTCTGGGCCTAGTTCAGCGCTAGGAGTTGCTCAGGGTTGCAGTCCTTATGGTCTAGACTGCCTTTCAAATTTACTTGGAGACACAGAGTGCTGTAGCCCGTGGCGGTGTGGTTTGCAGGAACTCAAGTTCAGACCACTAGGATGGGATTGGTGATTTCCCTCTGGCTAGGGCCTGGTTTAAATGCTCACTCCCTGTCAGCTGAGTTTGGTCTGGTTTTCCTTTCTGTTCTAACAGGATAGCACTGAATTCAATGCCTCACAATTGCTGTGTTCTCCCTCCTCCAGCACCCAGATTTGCTGCTGCTTGGGGGTGGCGGAAGGGTGGTGTTGGCAACTTAGGACTGTTTTTTCTGTCTGTTTGGTGCCTCTTTCAGTGATAGGAAATTAAAACCAGGTGCTATGAGTGCTCACCTGATTTTTGGTTCTTATGAAGGAGTTTTTTCTGTGTAGATGATTGTTAGCTTGGAGTCCTTGTTGGGGGAGTAATCTGTGGAGCTTTCTATTCTGCCATCTTGCTGTGCCTCCCTATCAAACACAACAGAGTTCAAAGCAGGATCCTCCAAAAAACATTCTAGAGATTCTATATTCTTTGTTCCATTCACTCTTTAAACTTGGTAATGGATGAAGCAGCAGAAGAATCTGTTTTGACACGCTAGATTTCTTTATTTTACCCAATAACTATGCGATTATTGTAATAAACAATACATTTTGGTTTCAACATGTTGAAATGTGTCAGAGAAGTCATTTATGGAAACTATTGTCAATATCTACAGGAAAATTGAGATGATGCCATCAGGCCACTAAGAACTGAATTGTACGTAGTATAAAATCCTTTTGTGGAAATTATTGATAATATTAATAAAGATGTAGAGTCTAGAACTCAAGATATAGGCATAAATTGAAAATATCCACTTTAAACTTACTTTCTTAGGACTAATTTGGCATATTTTAAGTCAAAATACAGGTATAATGAACATGATGCAGGACTAAATTCAATGTAAATAATGGCCTTGAAAGCATCAAAGAAACTAAGAAATTCTATAAAGATAAATAAAGTGATAATACTTACAAAAGTATATGTTATTGTGCTTGCTTTGGCAGCACATATACTAAAATAGGAATGACAGAGATGTTGTTTAATGTGTATACAGTTGCAAGATGAAAAAGTTCTGGAGATCTGTTTCACAACAATGTGAATATACTTAATATTGAACTACACATTTTAAAATGGTTAAGATGGTTAATTTTATATGTCTCTTACCACTTTAAAAAACATATGTTACAAATTCTAAATAAAGTCCCTTGATATTGATACAGCAAAGACAATCTAGAAGACTAAGAAGTCTCAGTTTGGCTGCACATGTCAAAATCAAGCCCTCTTTGATCCAGCATCAAATAATATGCTCTTTGCTTTGTTTCTACATTAGCTGAAAGAGTATTATCTTTAAAAAGAAGATTGTGATGGTGATTTCCTAGATGTGTACATACATTGAAACTCATCAATTTATAAGCTTTAAATACATGCAGTTTTATATTCATGAATTATATCTCAATAAAGCTGTTTTATTTTTTCAAAATAAGAAAAAATTATACTGAGGTATCATGACTTTTCTATGTCAGTGCTTCTCAAACTTCAATGTACACATGATTCATCGGGGGGTCATAATAGGAAGTAGGTTCTGATTCCATATATGGGATACCTATGGTTTGTTCATGTATGAGTATCTGGAAGCCTTATTTTCCAAAGTCTAGTATTAATTCTATTTAATTATTACAATATATTTATGGAGATAATTTACTGAACACATTCCAAAATACTTTGAAATTCTCAAAGATATTTTTTCTTTTCTAGTATCATTTTGCCAGTGAAAAGGTAGCCTCTCAAAATTAAAAATTTTTTAGAACCACTTAAAGTCTACAGTATCACAAGAAAGACTGGCAAATCTGGTGATTATTTCTGAAGAAAACAAGATATTAGAGTAAGCACTGAAATGATCCTAAAGAACTTAGTTTTATAATTTTAACAAAGTTTTATTTTTAAAATTGATTCCTTCACAGTGACTTTGCGTTCTTGCTCATTATAATTCGTTTTTATTAATTTATGATAACTTTGAGTCCTCAATGATTTTGATAATTTTAAACTTTCTATAATTTCATGTTTACATCTGATATATGTAATTTATTCAGATGCTATATTGACTTTACATATGACACGTTTTATCATTGTTGAGAACTAAATAACGTATTGACTTAAAATTTATTGTTACCCAGAGGTGCCAACGGGTGGTAGCAGCTCTAAGTGTAGGGTGTGAGGAAAAAGGTAATGAATGAATTGGATTTTATTTTGAAGGCTGTGGGAGCATCTGAAGGATATTAGGCAAGTGAGTTATGAGATCAGATTTGTGATGGAAAAAGATTCATTTGGCAATCATGATGGCGAATAGAGATGGTGGATTCAGAAGGCACAAGAGACACTGGGTGTGGAACTAATCAGAGATGATGGCAGCCAGGAGTTACCAGCAGTGATCTATGTGAGAAAAGAGGTAGGAGCAAACTAAGGCAGTGGCAGAAGAAAAGAGAGAAGAGAATGAGAATATTCATTATCTGAGCAGAAAGAAAAGACTGAGGGTCATAAAAATTTATTAATAAGAAAACATGCACTGATAAGTATGAATGTGCCATTAATATATTTCTATTCTTGAATACATTTCCATCTTCACCACCTCCCTGCCCATCGGTCTTACTTCCCTCTGGGATCAGGAGCCAGGCTTGCTGTGTGCTGCCTGGCCTCCTTTCCAACTTTTCTGCATCTTTTCTCTGGTCCAGCATTTTTCAGCTACAAGAACAGAGGCAGATCAGAAACGAATTGCACATTCCTTAAAAGCTGTTGTGAAGATGAAGTAACACTATTCAACTAAAATGTCACAGGAAATTATCAAAAGCTGTTAAATCTATTCCATTTGATGTGGAGTACAGTTGTAAACTTTATTAATAGTAACAAATATTAAAGTATATTCTGCCAATTGTTCATTTAGTGAATTGGCCTGATTCCACAAGTTCTAGGGTAGAAAGCAGGAGGAGGAAAAGGTCATTGGAGTTTAAGGAACATGGAGAGGCTGGTGTGCTGTATGCATTGCCCTGAAGGATATTAAAGTTACCCAGAAAATTGGAAGAAATATAGAAGAAGGGAAGGCATTGAGGCATGGGGGATGAGAGAGAGTGACCTCTGAATGAGAGGGAGTGAACAGAAATCACTAGAATATAGCGACGAGGACGGTGGTGTCTTAAGCTCCTATAGTTACAGTTTTGGGATGAGGATTGAGAACTTGTTTGAAGTAGTGTTGGAAGAGGAAGAAGGGGACTCATGTCCTGCTCTTAGGGTCTAGGGTATGACAGGAAAATACTTTCACTTGAAAGAGATGGGAAGTAGTATCCTCAGGAGAGCTCACGTTTAGTGAAGTCAGTTTGGGAATAAAATTGAGATAAAGCTCTTCCTTTAGAGAACCAGAGGAAAGGCTTAAGGGTTAGGAAGAGGTGGGAGACTGTGGCAAGTAATGGGACGATCATTTTGGGGGTGAAGAATTAGAGATGATAGATGACAGGACCTAGGTGAATTGGAGTTGTGGGGGATGCCACTGTAGTTGGAGTGCTTTTGGTAATGGTGGTGGCTATGGGCAAAGCCAAGTCCCCTTTTTGTGAGCCTCTGATTATCTCGGCTCAGGAGACTTCCATCTTTGCAACTGAAAAAGGAGGGCGGCCGGGTGCGGTGGCTCATGCTTGTAATCCCAACACTTTGGGAGGCTGGGGTGGGCGGATCACCTGAGGCCAGGAGTTCCAGACTAGCCTAGACAACATGGCAAAACCCTGTCTCTGCTACAAATACAAAAATTAGCTGGGCGTGGTGGCTCGTGCCTGTAGTCCCAGCTACTTGGGAGGCTGGGGCAGGAGAATTACTTGAACCTGGAAGTGGAGGCTGCAGTGAGCCGAGATTGTGCCACTGTATCCCAGCCTGGGCGACAGAGCAAGACTCTGTCTCAAAAAAAAAAAAAAAAAAAAAAAAAGAGGCCGGGCACGGTGGCTCACGCCTGTAATCCCAGTACTTTGGGAGGCCGAGGTGGGTGGATCATCTGAGGTCAGGAGTTCATGACCAGCCTGACCAACATGGTGAAACCCCATCTCTTAACTAAAAATACAAAATTAGCCAGGCGTGGTGGCACACGCTTGTAATCCTAGCTACTTGGGAGGCTGAGGCAGAAGAATGGCTTGAACTTGGGAGGTGGAGGTTGCAGTGAGCCAAGATCGTGCCATTGCACTCCAGCCTGGGTGACAGAGTGAGATGGAGTTCATATTTTAAATGTGCTATTTCTGCCTAAAATATCTTTAAAAAATAAAAGAAAATAAAAAGGAGGCCAAATGTCTATAGCAGCATTTATTCATACTACCTTGAAAGTGGAAACAATCCAAATGTCCATCAACTGATGAATGGATAATTAAAATGTAGCACAGCCGTAAAATGGAATATTATTCAGCAATAAAAAGGAAAGCAGTACTGATACATGCTACAGCATACATGAACCTTGTGTACAGTATGCTAAAGGAAAGAAGCTAGTCATAAACGGCCATGCCACATATTGTATGGGTTCTATTTTTATTAAATGTCTAGAAAAGGGAAATCTACAGAACCAGAAAATAGGTTCATGATAGCCTAGGGCTGAGGCAGGATTGGGGTAATTGGTAGTGATTGCCAATGGGTACGGAATTTGTTTTCGGGCTGATGAAAACGTTCTAAATTAATTGTGGTGATGGTGGTAAAAGGCTGCAAATACACTAAAAATCAGCTGTATAGTTTAAATGGGCGAGTTATTTGGTATGTGAATTATTAATATATTTCAGTGGAAAAAGGGGACAATAACTCAGGTTGTAATCAAACAAAATATTATGGATGTGAGAATGTTTTGGAGACCAAAAAGCACAAAATATATGTGAAATTGGTAAGGCAAGTGTGGGGACACCTTCTTCTGAAGATTTAAAAGAAAATGACTAATACTTTAGGGCTGGTCTTAACTGACTTATTGAAGGCAAGGGGGCAGACCACTTGGCTTCAAGGAACTTTTACAATTGTAATTCCATGAGAGAATATTCATGTAATTTATTCTACTTTTTGTCAGATTTCCCTTGAAAATTCAGTTCATGCACAAGAGGGTGCTGTCCACCAAATAACAACTTGTTCATCGCTGCTGGCAATGTGCATATGTAATCTTAGGAGAAAAAAACCAAAGTAAGGTCAAGGAGAACCTAAATTTAAAAGTCCCTTAATACATATGAACTAGTATATATGAGTTTGCTTATGAGTGTACAGCATATCTCTGGAAGGACATATAACATGGGCATAGGAGAGAGGGGTACTTTTTTCTGTAAACTATTTAATGCTTTTTATGTTTTGAACCCTATGATTGTATTATTTATAAGAAACATTGTATAGAAAGAAATAATACCTTATAAAAATTATTCTGTGATGTTATTTAGATTAACATGTGAAATTGAGAAAAGGGATGTGGAGAACATATGCAACATATAGAGATATTATTCAAATCAATTTTTTAAAATCATTGCCAATTCATAGTAATGGCTTATTTTGTCTACTTATTCTTCTAATGAATCCAAGGATTTTCCCATGTATTATATGTGTATTCTTTCCTTCCTTTCTTCCTTCCTGAACGCCTGGCTTCTTGCCTGCCTTCCTCCCTTCCTTTTTTTTCTCTTCCTCTCATTTTTTCCAGGTATAAGAAAGATAATTGAATTGTTCAACTACTTTTCAACTTTCTACTATAAAACTCTTCAATAGAAAATTTGAAAGAATAGTACAATAAACATTTACCACCTTGATGGAATAATTATTAATATTTTGATTTTAACTTACATCTTATCTTTTTAAGAGACAGAGTCTCACTTTGTTGCCCAGGCTGGTCTCAAACATCTGAGCTCAAGCAATCCTTCCATCTCAGCCTCCCAAGTAGATGGGACTGCAGGCACATGCCAATTATTTTGCTCTGTTTATCTCTGTACATATATGTATATGTGTGTGCATTTTTTTCAATATTATTTTCAGATGTTTTAACCCTAAATAATTCAGCAGCCATCTATATAATGAAGGACATTCAACTACATTGTCATAATATTATTACACCAGAAAAATTATGAGTAATTCTTTAATACCATTTATTATCTAGTTCATATTTTAAATGTGCTATTTGTGCCTAAAATGTCTTAAATCACTTTCTTCCCCCATGAAGTATTGTGGTTGTTATGCGTTTGTCTCTTTTGTTCTGGAGCAGTCCCTCACTTAAAAAAAAAAAAGACTTCATCTTTTTGTAGAGACCGGGCAAGTTGTCTTACATGGAATATTCTATATTTTGTCTGATTGTTTCCTGGTGGTGTCAATTAAATTGTCCCTCTGTCTTCTGGATGTTAGATTCAGGTCAAACATTTTTGGCAATAGTTTATTTTTAATCTTTTCATTATGAAATAAAACACACAGAGTTCACAAAACAAAAATATGCAGCACGATTAATTATTACAAAGTGAACATACCTAGGCAACCACCACCCAAGTGAATAAATAGAACATTGCCAGCACTCCAAAAACCACATGCGCCCCTTCCAACTTTTTACCTGTCCTTCCCATCCAGTGTAATTACTATCCTCGACTTTAGGAAATTAACTCCTTACTTCCTTTATAGTTTTGCCACCTAAGCATGCATTAAACACCATGGTTTAGTTTTTGCACTGTTTTTGCACTTTATGTGGGTAAAATCATATGTTGTGTTCTTTTGTATCTAGCTTCTTTTAGTCAATCTTGTACTTGAGAAATTCATCTATATGCTTATGAGTGGCTGTAGTTTATTCATTTAAATATCTGAATTATTGAAATAAAACATAATTCACTTCTCCTTTCTACTGTTGATGGGCATTTGGGTTATTTTGCTCATTTTGTTTTTGTAAATAATACTACCATGAACATTCTCATGTCTGTCTCTTGCTACACATGTGCATGCATTTCAGTTGGGTATAACTCGGTAGTATGATTTTTAGGCCATAAGGTATTCATATGTCTAAATTTTGTAAATATTTTGTACATTTTGTAAATAATGACAGTCTTTCAAAGTGGTTGTGTTAATTTGACCCCTACTAGCACTGCATGAGATTAATTTACACATTCTTAGCAATGCTTCGTATTGGCAGTCTTTTTAATCATTTGAGTGGATGTGCAGTAGTATAACGTGGGTTTTGTTTGCATTCTCGTCTCCTGCCCCTTTTTGAGTTACTGCATTTTTCTTACTGATCTATAGGAGTTCTAAATATAATCAGTTTATGAATCATTTGTTAATTTTCCCACTGTGTGTTTTGCTTTTGGTTATTGTAACAGTATCTATTGATGAGTAGATGTTCTTAACTTTGATATAATCCAATTTGTCAATCTTTTATTTTTTGGTTAATTCCTTTCTGGTCCTCTTTAAGAAACCTTCTTTTTTTTTTGAATCATGATAAAATTATCCTGTATAAGCTTTGTTATTGTTTTGCCTTTCACAATTATATCTACAGTTCACTAGGAATTGATACTTGCTTATAATATGAGTCACAGGTCAATTTTCTTCTTTTATTTATATGGATATCCATGTGGTCCACATTGTTTTCCACTGCTCTGCAGCTACTGTGTCATAAATCAGTGTCCATATATACGTGGTTCTGTTTCTGTGTTCTCTTTTGAGTTCCTTTGGCATACTTTTTCATCCTGGTACCAATGTTACTTGCTACATCTTTATAATAAGTTGTAAATCTTATAGAGTACTTCTTCCACATTGTTATTTTTCAAGAATATTTTGGCTATTCTTGGTCTTTTGCACTTCCATAGACACTTAAGAATCAGCTTCTCAGGTTCATTTAAAACAAAAACAAAAACAAAACAAAAACCTGGGATTTTGAATGACATTGCATTGAACTTAAAGATCAACTTTGGGGAAAACTGATATCTTCACAGCATTGAATTACCCCACCCATGCACATCATATACTCTTTTTTATTCCTCTATTTTGACTTTATTCTTAATATTTTATAGCAGAGGTTTTGCACATACTATTTTAAATGTGTTTCTGATCAATTCTTTTGATGCTATCAAAATTTCATATTCAAATTGTTACATACAAAAATTGATTTTTGTATGTTAACCTTATTTCTAACAACCTTTTACCTGTAGATTTATTTCAGCTTTCTACATACACAATCATATTATCTGTGGATAACAGCTGTTTTATTTATTTTCTCAAATTCTTGTAATTTTCCCTGCATATGTCCTTCAGTACAATACTGAATAGAAGTGGTGATAATGGACATATTTGTCTTGTTCCAGGTCTCAAAGAGAAAGTTGTCAATATTTCAGCATTAAGTGTCAGGTTTGCTGATAAATGTTTAAATATTCTTTTTTTCATAAACTTCCCTTTTATTTAATGTTGCTAAGAGTTGTTCTTTAAATCATGAATAGATGTTGAAGTTTAACAATTTTCTGCATCAATTGAGATGATCATGTGATTAATTCCCCTTTATTTTATTGATAAGAACCTTGCATTCTTGATTTACCAGGATTTATTTGTTATTTCTTAAATGTTTGGTAAAACTATTTGTTTCTTAAATGTTTGATAGAACCCATCGAGATGTTATCTAAGCTCAGAGTTTTCTTTGGAAAAAGGTTTTTAATTATAAAACTCATTTTAGCTGATATAGAACTATTCAAATTTCTTTTCAGTTTTAGAAAGTTGTCTTTTCTAGTGATTTGTTCATTTTATATAGTTTTCAAATATATTGGCCTAAGGTTGTCCATAATCTTTCTCGTTATCATTTTAATGTCTGCAGTATCTGTAGTGATATCCTGCTGTTTTAATCCTGTTAGTTATATGCAAAAACAGGATTATACCCAGGTTACATAGTCTTAATTTTTACACCAATGGTCTTAAAGAACCATTCATGACATCAAATATTCTTTTATTGCAAGAGCTAACATTTTTTTCAAGTAGTAAAACCTATTTTTCAAATAAAACCTTATACTTTTCTTCCAATGTACAAACAAAAATGTGAAGGTACCGTAATTAAAACAAGGATGAAGTGAGACTGGATCTCTCAAATACTTGATCTACCTTTCCTTTTTGAGGTCTCCCCTGTTGGAAGGACATGGTTTTAAAAATTATTATTCTATATTATAAATTGCTATATACATGTGTATGTACAACTTAATTTCCTCTCCATTGTTGGATAAGCCCCTAATTCGTTGGAGACAATTTTTTGTGATGAATTCGTTAATGCTAATTGCTTGAAATGTAATTGCTAGGTTAAAGGCTAACTACAGTTTCAAGACTTTAAAATCGTATGTATAAACTGCTCTTTGAAAAAGTTGAGGCTGGGCGTGGTGGCTCACGCCTGTAATCCCAGCACTTTGGGAGGCTGAGATGGGTGGATCACCTGAGGTCAGGAGTTTGAGACCAGCCTGGCCAACACGGTGAAACCCCATCTCTACTAAAAATACAAAATTAGCCAGGTGTGTTGGTGCATGCCTGTAATCTCAGCTACTTGGGAGGCTAAGGCAGGAGAATGGCTTGAACTTGGGAGGTGGAGGTTGCAGTGAGCCAAGATCATACCACTGCACTCCAGCCTGGGAAACAAGAGTGAAGCTCCGTCTCAAAAAAAAATTAAAAAGTTGTACCAATTTATGCTCCTAGTGGTATAGATGATAGTGTCCTATCACTCACATCTGTATCAATATTGGGTATTATCATTGAGTATTTCAAAATATTTGAAGGAAAATTACGCAGTCTTTAAAAATAATTCAGATGCTTAACACCTAGGAAAACATTTATGATAATAGTTAATGCAAAAAGTAGAGTCCAGCTGCACATTTAGGCAAAGGTAGGGAAGTAACATGGCTTGTGGGCATTTTTCTTCTTACTCTCCCAAATTGTCTTTAATTACAGTTTTACAATGCGAAAGTAGAAAAAAAATTCAGAAAGCAACAAGCTTGGCCCCTGTGTCAGCTCAAGAGAATTAAGCCACGCTAGTAATTTTTAAACGACAGATAATTTAATGCAGATTAAAATCACACCACTCACTGGTAGGTGTGAAGGCTCTTTAGGAAGGATTCTCAGAACAACGCTACGGAGCTGCCAGACATGGGAACAATCGGGAATCTGGGTTCAGGAAACCACTGCACCAATGGTTGAAACCGTAATACCTTCAGAGTACAGTAATCTACCATGGCAAGTATTGGCTCCAAGCATACACCACTGCAAGAATTGCTTAGCAGGAATCCATTGCTTCACATCCTAAATGCAAACTGCGAGATTTAATATTGATGCCTCACAGACTTCTGTCTCTCCACTGAACTGTTTCTGAGATTAAGCAAGTATCACTGGTGAAAAGTTAATTACAAGCAGCGCCCTAGTTGCAAGGAAGTCTGGGAAATGTAGTTTTTATCTTTACAGCTTCTTAAATACAGGAGGGTACTCCAGAGAGAGGTTGGATCAGCTGTTCAGCAAGCCAATCTTCTACAGATGCTTCATGTCCATGAGGATGATCAATAAAAGATTAACTGACTTACTGGTCTGACATGATGACAGATAATGAAGATTGTTAAGGATTTTCTCTGTTTGCTGTACCTGATTTTCTCTGTTTGCTGTACCTCCACCCTTCTCTGCCTTCCCAAGTGCCCTGGGAGACTGACTTCTATGTATTACATATTCTGGGTTCCCAGCCTTTCTGGGGGCTGGTTGGTTTTAGCCAATGGCAAGCTGTGAGAGAGGTACCCTGGTTTCTTCACTGCTGGTCAGCATTTGATAGTGTGTGTGTCCCTTTACCTAAGATTAAAGTGTCTGTTGGCAGACTGTCTCCACCAGCTACAGCTCTTGCTGGGTGTAACAGCTTCCTCCACTTGCCTCCTTAGTTCTAGAAGTGGTAATGGCTTCTCACTGCTGCTAGTCACTTACCGTTGCTCAGGATTTTACTTTTTAAGAAATGGGGTCATTTTGCTCTGTCACCGAGGCTAAAGTGCAGTGGTGTGATCATAGCTCACTGCAGCTTTCAACTCCTGGACTCACACAATCCTTCTGCCTCAGCCTCCTGAGTAGCTGGGACTATAGGTATGCACCACCACATGCAGATTACTCAGGGTTTTTAACCATTCCTTGTTGGCTCCCTTAACCCTACCCATACAATAGTCCCTTCATTCAACTCTCCTCAATTACTTCTTTGAGTGTGCCATCTTTTCCTGCTGGGAAAAGTTAACATAGCCAGGCAGATGAGACATAAACATAGCCACAAGCTCAGAATGTGTCAGGTTTTTGGAGATAGGGTTGTTAAAGAAGTAATTAAGGTAAAATTATTCATTTTACCTAATCTAGTATGACTGATGTCTTTATAATGAGAGAGCAGAACCAGGGGTGCCAACACAGAAAAAAAGACCATCTGAGGACGCAGTGAGAAGATGGCTATCTACCAGTGAAGAGACCTCAGAAGAAATCAAACCAACGCAGCCTTGATGCTTGACTTCTAGCCAACTGACCAGTGATAAATTTGTAGTATGAGGACTACATATGTATTACATTGAACAGCAACTGTTCAATAGTTTTATAAGAACATACATTGAAACTCACAGACCTAGGTTTAGAACTGCCTCCTGACTTCTTGTGGCCTACTCTTTCCATGCTTTGGGTTATTGTTCTGACATTTTCAAGTCCTTAATTACCAACACACTTGAGTTTCCAAGGTCTTCCATCCTTGGCCTCATCTCTCAACTCTTAATTTTGCCTTTGTGACTGCTAGCATCTTAGATGGCTCCCAGTGATCCTTACTTCCTGGTATTCATACCCTTGCAAGTCTCCTCCCACAGTGAATCAAGGCGTGAACTGTACAACCCATTACTGCACAGCAGAGATGACAGTGTGTGACCTCTAAGGCTAGGTCATTTGTTTGGTCTCTGGGATCACTAGCTTTGGGGGAAGCCAGCCCCCATGCCTCAAAGATACTCAAGCAGCTCTGTGAAGCAGCCACATGAAGAGGAACAAAGGCTCCCAGCAACAGGCAGCACCAACTTGCCAGCCATGTGAGTAAACCACCTGAGGCAGATCCTTCAGCCCTAGATAACTCCAGTCTCAGGTAATTTGACTGTAATTTCAGTAGAGACTCTGGACCAGAACTGTTCGGCCAAGACACTCCTGAATTTCTGACCATGGAAACTGTGAGAATAGATGACTTTTTAAAGTCACTACATTCTGATTACACACCGTAACTAATACAATATTTCATAAGCCTCCACCCAGTACATAGTTCTCCATATTCTGCTTTTGTCTTTTTCTTTACCTCTTCTCATGAAACAAACCAGTAGCAAGCCAACCTTCTTGCAAATCCTCCATTGTCCAGCTCAATCTCCATCTTTGTGAAGCTTTTCTTAAATACAGAACTTTGTTTTTTCTTTGGTAGCTCATAGTTGGTACCTCAGAAATAATAACTTACTGTCCTGTATTATTTTTTCACACATATTTGTAAAGATAAAGATGAGGTAGATTTCTTTCATGTTTCCCATAGCACCTTGAATAATTCAACATGTGTAGCTTAGTGAAATGACTAAATTATTAATAAGCCACCATCAATTAGAATCAAAATCTGGGACAACAGTATTTTCTTCTTAGTCTGACTTTCAAAATTACTGTTTTGTCTAAGGACCGGAATAAGCAACTTTCAAACACATTGTTTTAATAAGGCTGATTAAAAAACAGCTTTAGATGTACATGGGTAATATGTTTTAGAAATTTAAAGCAGGGAAAACTAAATAAATGTGTAGGGTCATAGCATGTGACAAGGGTGAAGAGGTGAAGACTACAACCCAGTGTTACAAATGAAATTCTGTCCTTAATAGTATTCTGTACCCTTTGTGACAAGAATCCAATAATCTGTGTTCTTCTTAGAATACTATTTTCCATCATTGGAGATGTTGATTTAATGGTTCCTAGAAGATAAAAAGCTATGGCCAGAAGTGGAAACATGGTTCACTGTCAGTAAATGGCTTCAGAAGAAACTTTTGGAGCAGACTGCTAACACATTGCAAATTAAACTTCAAAATCATTGCTTGGTATGAGAGGCACTCAGATTAATGACTCAGTATGTTTATCAGTCATGGTTCTCCAGAAAAACAGAACCAATAAGATACACATATCTGTAAGATAGCTATATATTCTTATATACCAACACTTACATGTTTTATATGTGTTTTGAAGATATATATATACACACACACACGGGGGAGATGGAGAGAGACAGAGAGAATTAGTTTTAAGAAAGGCTCCAGGATTGTAAGAACTGGCAAGTCTGAAGTTGGTAGGGTAGGCCAGCAAACTGGATCAGGTAAGAGGTGATGATGCACTCTTTAGTTCAAAATCTACAAGAAGGCAGGCCAGCAGGATGGAAACTTAGGATTAATTTGTTATGATCTTGAGGCTGAATTACTTCTTTTGGAAACCTTGGCTTTTGCTCTTAAGGCCTTTAGCTGATTGAATGAGGTTCAACAACATTATGGATGAGAATCTGCTTTACTTAAAATCAACTGATTGTAAATGTTAATCACATCTACAAAATATATTCACAGCAACATCTAGGCTAGTGTTTGACCAAACACATGGGCGCCATAGCCTCACCAAGTTGACACATAATATTAACCATCACAATACCATATCTGATAAAGTGGGTTTTGGGTATTATTTTAATTTTTAAATTTCCTATATCACTGTATGTCCCTCGCACAGAGCACTCCAAATGTTCCAAGCACCTCATGGAACACAAAATCAGAGGAGACGCATTAAGTGTTAATCACCAATAACCATAAGTAATAGTAATAAAATCTTTTCTAATGAAGTATAGAAACATCTTAGAAACTTAATTTTCTGTAGGTGTTCCTTTATTTTATCAAAAATAGTAATTTTGTATAATTTTAAATCAGGAAATCTAAGGGGACATGTTACCCAATCACAACAGCTAATAAAATGCCTCCCATTACAGACCCAGCTTTTTAAATATTCAATAACATTCACAGAATTGGCAAGTTAGTCTCCAAAAAATTCTAACAGAAACTGCAACTCAAAAAGTGTGTCTATATCAGAGATGGTGGTAACTTCCTCAAAGAAGTTACATGCAAATACCCAGGAGTCTCATGGTTTACAAGGTGACAGACAGACATATGAGAAAATAATCTTGAAGAAGATAGCCTCACCCTACCCAAACTTCCCAAATATGATTCAGTGAAGAGTCAGAGTTGCAAGTGGGCTGGGTGGGCTGAGTGGACCAAAGTGCTGACTTACAGCAATTGTTGGGATTTTATAAAGTACTGGAGATGTTTGAAACTTTCATAGAAATGAAAAATCCCAGCCAGTTAATAAACAGAATCATTTCCCAAGTCACATTTTACATATAAAACCTAGTTTCTGAAGATAAAGGTTGCATGCAGGCCCTTATTTATTTGGACTTTTACACAATAAAATGCTGGCAGCACTGGCTGGCTGGAGGAGTAACAGGGCACGTGCATGTGGCAACAGAGTTTTTCCAGGGAGCTTTTTCTATTTACTTAGAGAGGATCATGACTTGTGTTTCAACATGATTTAGTGAGATCTTTGTTGCAGAAAATGAGTGACATATAGAGGTGGGACTGGGAAGCACAGTTAATGGCAGAATTGGGTTTTTGATGCAGATAAAGACTCTAAGGAAGGGCTGGAAATATAAATTTATATGTCCTTATCAGTTCACAATCTTAGTATCCAACTTGTCTATTTAAGGTCTTGAAACCAAATTGTTTGAAAAGTTTTATTTGGTAGCAGAAAAGATCTACAATGGGACCTTTACAAAAGATGATGAACAAGAGGGGAGAAATAAATTTATACATATGATTTTGTTGTCAAAATTTGGGATGATCATCAGTAATCAAGAACTTACATAAAACCACATCTTTTTAAGTAAAGGAAGTAGAAGCTATGTTAATACCTTGACCAATCAGTTTGCTGAAACTCTGTTAACAGAGATTATACTGAACCGGAATAAAATTAAGTCTATAGAAGACAAATGAAACTATTTTTAACTGTAGTAATGCATGAACTATTTAGACAGATTAAAAACAACTTTCTCAAGCTGACAATTGATTTCTATCATATCAAGTCCATGATGTCCACAATATTCATTTATACCATGGCTTCTCATAGTTCAGTTTTTAAAATTATATATATATAAATGTGCATGTAACATCAGATGTTATTGACAGTAGTTGTTACCATAGAATGCATGTATCTTTCTCACTGTGTGTATCCACTTAATTTGTTCATATGTCCAATCCCTGTCACGGACCTGATTGCTTACTTGACAGTGGAGGAGAAGACCTACCAGAATGACCCGAAGACAGAAATGGGAAGGATCAGCCCACCTCAGCATTATTAGAGGGCCAAAGGCTCTGTAGTGAAAGTAGTAATACCAACACTTTCAACGGGCCAAAAAAGAGGCACTAGGAGTGTTTGTGAACACCCAAGAATTATGATCAGTATCTACAGCATAGTGTGTAGGCATAAAGTAGTTAATATTTTAACAAAATATAAAAATACTGTTTTCTCTAAAGGGGGAAGCAGACAACTTCCCATAAGTAGAAAAAGAAAAACACTGGTGTTCAATTTCAGGTTTAAATGCATTTATGAAGGAAGACTATAATCCCCATTAATTAAATATAAAAGAGTCCAGCAGAAATTATGACCTTAATGTACAAGTAAAGTAGTATTTCTATATCAAATTAAATTTAGTCTATGATTAAATACAATGCTATATATACACACACATACAGACACACTCATAGTACCTTTATGGAATTCTCTAAAATGCTCACAGTAACTTATATAGTATTGATAATGATAAAGATGTATAAACTGAAGTGTAGATTTAAAAAATCTTTTACATCTTACTAAATGATATCTTCCATGGGTTAAACAGCTTTTTCAAGTTTGAATTTTAATTTTTGAAAGCAGAACTGTGCTTCAGTATTCAAACCTTCATAAAATCTTACAATTTTTCAGAATAAGGAATTAAGGTAAAGAACTCTAATGTGGAAGAAAGATTTCCAATCTCCAAGATCATAACTGTCACATCGTTAACCAGTGGTTTTTAGCCCATTCCTGGCCAAAGTCTAGCTTCTTGGAGGTGAGTTAAAAGGGTTTGATTCAAATTTAGTTTTTATACGTGCATATTTTAAAACCTAATAAAAACGCACATTCTGATGTGTTACATACCCTACTTTACCACACTGGAGACTGCTTATGTATTAACTTCCACTACCAGGATAACTTATTTTTGTATAGACCTTGAATAACTTTAGCTATCTCTAATTAAAGAATTTCCTGAGATGTATGTTTAAAACCTATTATTTTTGCTTACATTTGTGTGAATCAAAATTTTCTTGATAGTATACAAATAAAACAGGGCATAGCTATAAATTGGCTGCTGGTTTCATCAACTATGTATAACTCCACATTTGTGTTATTCAGAAATAACTCAGAATCTTATTATGCTTAGTAATGAGCCAAAATGAATAAGCATAAATGTGAACCCAAAATACATTTATATTGATAAAATTGAGTTTTCAGGCTTTATGTATTGGGGTTATACATAAAATTTCATCTAAAAAGATTCTAGTGCTAAAAATGTTTGGAAAATACTGCTCTGTAAGAAACTTTTAATTTAATTCTCTAATACAATGTTCAATGTGATTTAGTTTTCTAAAGCAAACTGCCTTTCTAATACATCACCATTTTTAAATTATTCAGAATGAAAAATTTTCTGAAAATCAGAGTGCTACAGATCTTCAAATATGGTGACTTGTAAAAAGTTAATGATAAGTTAGACTAAAAACATTCATTAAGTGCTTTAGACCCTTGATAGGCAGCTGTAAAGATTTTTATTTTTGAATTAATCATGTATTTATTATTGTGTTTTAAATCTTAAATATATTCATCCTCCAAGTAACAGAATTTAGCATCTTTACACATTAGCTGTATCGTGTGTTTTGATAGTTTAGGCACATTTCAGGATTTTAGATTTCATTTTGTTGTTTCATTATAAAACAGCTTGCACACCAAACTCAATCAATCTTTTTTATTTAAAAATCCACCTAAAAATTCACTTCTGGGTTTTAGTTTTTGTTTAAAAAGAAGCAAATATTTAAAAGCATCAAATGTTACTAGTCTACAATTCATCTTGTTATGAACATTTTTAGTTTGAGGATTGGGAAAATAAACCTATTACATTGATTAGGCACAGTACTATGGCCAATGGGCCAGAAATCAGGGCACATCTGTGTACTCAGGCAACAGTTAGAGGTCTGAATGGAGGGGGTCATGCCTCAACTGTGGGCACTCCTTTCTCTATGCCCCCTCCAAAAATTGTTATAAGTCTCAAATCAGTACATGAGATTGTATGTAACTTGGTTAAAAAACAACTATACGTGCTTTCTAAATTATGTTGCAAAGCCAAGACAGACGAATATAATTGTAGCCTCACTACAACTTGTGGTCTTAATATCTATGTCACAGGACCATGTTATAGGTGAGACAGAATTATACCATCCCTCTGGTGTTTTCAGAAATCTGGTTGGAAGGAGTCCATGACTATAACATTTCACATTGTAGCAAGGCTCCAATATTTCTTGAATTGGGGCAGTGAATATAAATCACAGTACAAAATCCGTAATTCTTTCAGTGGAAAAGCAACAGGTGCTACATACGAGAATCACTTATATAACATCTATTTTTTTTAAAAAAATGCAGATATAAAATATTAATTGCATAGGGAATTAAATATAAGGCCAAGAAGAATATTAAGTAAAAAAAATCATAGAAAGGGCACTATGGTGTCAAAAGACAGAATTTCATAGAGTAATAAATCTGAATTACTATCTAATTAAAAATCACAGTATGTTGCTGTAACTAACAGTGAATGTCAACTGCTTTATTAATTCCAAACTGAAAACCAATATTAGGACTAACAAGAACACAACCAAAGCTCATTGTCTAAACCTGATCAGTGTATTAGCACATCACTGCCTGGTACGTACCTGATTGGTTACATAATCTACCTTTTGCAAATAACACTTAATACATGTTAACAAGTGTAAGAGCACATCATCACTGCATGCCATCAATGATTTGCAGGCTTACTTGGTAGTGTAATTATTCAGTCTTTCAAAGGTGCAAGATCCCACCCGGCAGAATCTTCACTCAATGAACCAAAAACACTGTAATTAACAAAATATAACAAAGTTCCACCATTAAAAACTAAATGTACATTAACCAGAGAACTAGGTCCTGACACCAGTACATACATTATCCTCAGCATTTTGGAAGGCAACAAATGATGAGTCCAAGTATAAGCTAATGGTTATCACCTGAAGCTTCAGGTAGAAAGCTAACTTGTGAATCTACCTCTCATTTTAATGTTGTTAGACTGTAAACAGCAATTTCCAAATCTAAAAGTAGCTTAGTTGACTTAGTATTGTTATATAAAGTAGTGTGACAAAAAACAAGAACTCCCAAAGGAATTATGGTAAGGTACATTGGGAAAACCCAGAACAATGTTTTAGATGAAAAAGTGCATAAATACAGTAATACTACGAGTGTGTTAACTGTGGAACAAATGTTTCTCTGGGAGCTAAACAATACTATTTTCCCACATTATTTACATGTTATGAATTGTTCAGATACCACAAAGCACCACTTAAGTCTAAATTGCTTGATTATGTCAGAAAGGTCCTTTGACTTCAACTCTACTCATTTGAGGATCTACCTAGAGTGGAAGTGTCAAGTCATTCTTCAAAAGGGATTTATCTTTACAATTCAGTTTTCTTTTGTTCAGAAATGGCAAGGCAATATTTTCATTTCACACTCTTCGCTGGCGTTTCTGATTCTGTGGACTGTCTCCCATCTGTCCAGGCTTCCCGGGTACTCTTTAGAGCCAAGGTCTTCTGTTGGTCAACAACAACATAATCCACTCTCTCATCTGCTACACTGCTGCCTGAGCCACTGCTCTTTTGCTAAAACACAAAGAAAAAACAAAAAGTCCAACATATAAAGGAGTGTTCCTGAGTACAACTCAGTCTTAAAACACAAAACACATCCACTGTGAATACTTTTTTTTTTTGAGAAGGAGTTTTGCTCTTGTTGCCCAGGATGGAGTGCAGTGGTGCGATCTCAGCTCACTGCAACCTCCGCCTCCTGGGTTCAAGCAATTCTCCTGTCTCAGCCTCCTGAGTAGCTGGGATTACAGGCATGTGCCACCACGCCTGGCTAATTTTGTATTTTTAGTAGAGATGTGGTTTCAGCATATTGGTCAGGCTGGTCTCAAACTCCTCACCTCAAGATCCATCCGCCTTGGCCTCCCAAAGTGCTGGGATTACAGGCGTGAGCCACCATGCCCGGCCATGAATACTCTTAAAATTTTTCTGGGTCATACACAAAAAATAACATCAACTACCTCAACTTAAAAATGTCTCTCTCCTAACTATATACTATTTTTGCCTTAAATTTAAAATTATTATATTTAAGAATTCAAAGCTGGGCACAGTGGCTCACGCCTATAATCCCAGCACTTTGGGAAGCCAAGATGGGTGGATCACGAGGTCAGGAGTTCAAGACCAGCCTGGCCAAGATGCTGAAATCCCATCTCTACTAAAAATACAAAAATTAGCCTGACATGGTGGCACGCGCCTGTAATCCCAGCTACTTGGGAGGCTGAGGCAGGAGAATGGCTTGAACCCGGGTGGCAGAGGTTGCAGTGAGCCAAGATCGTGCCACTGCACTGCAGCCTGGGCAACAGAGCAAGACTCCGTCCAAAAAAAAAAAAAAAAAAAAAAAAAGAATTCAAACTAATGCTTCCATGACAGATGAAATTCATAAAAAATAGGGACAGCAGATGCCTGTTTCATCTTA
The DNA here is from genome assembly GCF_000001405.40 of Homo sapiens. Taxonomy (NCBI): domain Eukaryota; kingdom Metazoa; phylum Chordata; class Mammalia; order Primates; family Hominidae; genus Homo; species Homo sapiens. The sequence continues at coordinate 143,468,135 of NC_000004.12, read as the reverse complement.
ACATAGACAACCTGATTCTCCTGTCAACTTAAGCTTGACTGTCTCTCAACCTCTGAGAACATGAATCAATGTTTACTTTGAGAGCTAACAAGAAATGTTTTTGGAAAAGTTATACTTCAAGAATGACAAACTACATAAGCTGATGCCTTTTCATTCCTAAAATTCAACAAGATATAGATATTTAAATAAAATTATCAATGCACTGCTGCGCTCACTAGAAAGTGAAATGTCTAAGGTATAAGAGAAGTAGAGGGAGTGGTGAGCTTCTAAATGGTAAACGTGGTGTTGGCTTTAGGATGAATGTCAATCTCAAAAATGCAATCAGGAGGCCCTGCATTGGAGGTGATGCTGAAACTGAGAATATCTCATCAAGCTAGGGACCCCTGAAGGGAACTGATGTGGTCCTAGGATGGTAGCACCTCCTGGTTCCTAGCAGAAGCAAATACAAATAGTTTATAGAAGAAATTTAGGTCCTCAGAAGATATGTTCAACAAAATGAGGTTGCAATAAAAATATATAAAACACACAAAGAAACAAACTGTAGAGAGTGTGAGATAGGAGAAACAATATACACAGATTCAGACCTCCAAGGACTTCAGATATTGAAAAAGGAGCCAGTAAATTGGCCAGACATATTTGATAAAGACCCAAACAGAATTTCATTTTAGAAATGGAAAAGCAATATTTGAATAGTGACTGAGACTTTCCCAGAATTGATAAAAAATATGAATCCAAAAAGAAGGCAGCACTTCTAAGCAAGATAAATAAAAAGGAATCTATGTCTAGACGTATTGTAGTGAACCTGTAGAATACCAAAGATACAGAAATGACCTTAAACTCATCCAGTCAGAAAAGACATTATCTACAAGGGAATTACAATTAGACTGACAGCAATTTTTCCATAGGAATAGAAGCAAGACAGTAGTGGGATAGTATCTTCCATGGGCTGAGAGAAAATTATTGTTGATCAAGAACTGTAAACTCAAGAAAACTGTGTTTCCAAGAGTGAAGGCAAAATAAAGACATTTAAGTTATACAAAAACTGAAAAAAATTACTACCAATGACCTCCACTAAAGGCACTTCTAAAGGGTATATTTCAGGTGGAGGGAAAATTATTGCAGAAGGAAGGTCTGAGAAATAGGAAGGAATGACAAAGAAGCTGGTCAACATGTAGGAAAATGTAAATAAACATTGTTATATAATAAGAGCAGTAATAATACTGTCTAATTAGTGGGCTTAACAAAAAGACAACATTAAAATTTTGGACAAAGATAGCACAGAATTTGAGCATTTTAAGGAGAGTAAAGACACTAGACTGGTTAACTTTAGAATTCATTAAATAACAGCCAGATGCAGTGGCTCCTGCCTGTAATCCCAGCACTTTTGGAGGGCTGAGGTGGGTGGATCACTTGAGGTCAGGAGTTCAAGACCATTCTGGCCAACATGGTGAAACCGTGTCTCTACTAAAAATACAAAAATTAGCCAGGAGTGGTGGCGCGCATCTGTAATCCCAGCTATTTGGGAGGCTGAGGCAGGAGAATCATTTGGACCTGGGAAGCGGAGGTTGCAGTGAGCCAAGATCACACTACTGCACTCCAGCCTGGGCAACAGAGCAAGACTCTGTCTCAAAAAAAAAAAAAAAAAAAAAAAAAAAGAATTTGTTAAATAACTATTTCAATGGTAACCACTAAAAAAGTAGAAAGTATAAAATTTCTAACCATCAGAAAGGAAAAAATAATCAGTCTCCATAACTATGTTATTTTTGTTTTATGAGATAGCATCAAGTAGCAGACCAGACTAAATTTATATTAAACATAACTTAATAAAATTATCCCAAAGGAAATAATTCTTCAGGTTTGAAGTGTGAACTAACTGTATACAAAGAAGAGACATGTCACATGTCACTCACCTTACGTGGTGGTGTGGATTTCCCAGAATCTAAGTCGAGATCTAAGTATTCCACCTGTTTGTCTCCTTTGGGCTTGATCATAGGGCTGCTTCCTCCATCAAGACTGTTACTGCCAAAGAGATTCTGAAAGTATTAGACAACAAAATCAACGGTCAGACATTCACCAGACATACCACTCGTACTGTTGAACATCTACGGAAGCCTAAATATTTGCTTTCAAGAGGACATAGCTTAAAAAGTTAAACAACCTTTTAGGATAGAAAGAAAATAAGTAATATTTAAAAAACTGATTAAAGCCTAGCTTAGAGCAAGCTAAACGTAGTTTCAAAAGTTAAACTTGGTTCACACTAAGATTGAGACATCAGGAGATACTTAGCTATGATAGCCCAACTTGAACATTATTAAAATTATGTCTGTACTCAATTATGCTTTACAGGATCTTTATATTCCTTGCTTTCAAGTTAAATTTTAAAAAAACTTTCTACGTTTTATCTAAAGGCTTTCACACTAAAATTTGTTTGACTCCATTGGCTAAGTGTATTTTGTTTCAATCATCTGGATTTTTTACCACCTAATTTCCTTAGCCTGATCTTTTCCTTCCTGAAAGGCATACATTCTAAAGAACGTATTTAAGAGAGAAGGAAAATTACTACCTAAGGAAGGCCTGAAATACAAGAAATGATAAAGAAGCTGCTAAACATGCAGAAAAACGTAAATAAGCATAGTTTATATAATAAGAGCAATAATACTACTAACTTCTGGGTTTAAAAAGAATTAAAATTTTGGACAAAAATAGTGCTAAGATTTTAAAGAGAGCAGAGTGAAGACAACTCTGGAATTTGTAAATAACCATTTCAGATGATTTGTACAGTAGGACTACTCTCTAAAAAAAGGGAAAGAAGGTAGGAAGATAGATGACAGCGATAAACAGCAGGAACAAAAAACTTGAGGCAGAAAAATGAAAAATAGGCACTTGAAGATCAATGCTAAATAGAAAGGAAAAGCTGGCATGAACCTAAGTCCCTATATATTCCCTCCACTCTAATTACAACAGGGTTCTATTATACATGTGCTCAAACAAGTGACTTGTTTCCATGCCTTACTCCTTTTAACCCCATCTAGAAATGTTCTTGGCTTCTCATACGCAAGACTGTGTATTTCTCATTAGGGAATTTCATCCTTGTGCACTGTTGATATTAATGTTCATATATTATCTCATACTTTTAAAGAAAATCATAATGATTTAACAAAGTTAAAAATTTATACATGTTATGATGAATAAAACAATTTGAAAACTGCATACATCTGGTGGTTCTGTTGATTCTTTTTATATTGCTACTTCATTTCTTTTTGCTTAGGTTAAACAGAAAAAACTGTGCCTTAGGGAAAGGATACTTCTAGGAAAATATTGAGACTATTCTCTCATTTCGTAGCAGGGCTGCTAATAGCTGGTATGGAACCTTTTTGCAAATTATTAAAAGGTGCTTCTTGCACTGGGGTGAGACAGCTCTGTGCTGTGGGCGACTGCAGCTTGGTGAGCAGCACATAGCCTGAATTTCATATAATCAGGTATGCAGTATGTTTATTCAGTAAACAACCTGTACAACTAAATGTAATATTCCTACTTGAAGAAACAGATTTTTTAAACCAAATTTATCAATTACTACAAATAAAACATTAAAAAAATATATAAAATGGCTAGGCGCGGTGGCTCAGGCCTGTAATCCCAGCACTTTGGGAGGCTGAGGCGGGCGGACCACCTGAGGTCAGGAGTTTGAGACCAGCCTGGCCAACATGGTGAAACCCCGTCTCTACTAAAAACTACAAAAACTAGCCAGGTGTGGTGGTGGGCACCTGTAATCCCAGCTACTTGGGAGGCTGAGGCAGGATAATCGCTTGAACCCGGAGGCGGAGGTTGCAGTGAGCCAAGATCGCACCACTGCACTCCAGCCTGGGCAACAGAGGGAAACTCTGTCTGAAAAAATTAAAAAATCAAAAAATCAAAAATAACATGTAGAGCACAAAAAATATAAGCAAGTTTTGGTCCTCAATATAAATAGCAATCCCTCTCTTCTTTCTAATTCATGGAGAAACTGGAATCATCATGAAATTTTTTATCTGAATGACTCTATATATCATTGTCACATAAAATCAGCCATGAGTGTGTGAAAAGTTCTATATTCAAATGTGATCAATGAAAGACCCATACCCTCCATTTCTCTGATTAGAAATATCTAGAATTGTTCACAGTATTACAAGGCTATAAAAGAAATGCATAAATTTGTAAGACCTGCATGCATAATACCAATAAGTTGCTCCTAAACAGAATTTCTCAGGGTGGCTAGTTAACCTATTTTATGTCTGTTATTACTAGAACTGAATGTTTTTCCATCTTTAAGTATGGTTAACATTTGTGTGTCTACAAGGAAGTCTATTTGCTCTTGATTTAATCTCCACTGGAACAGCCTGTCTGTATTCTAGCCTTTCACCCAGTATTTTCCCAAAACAGTTTAGAGAAACTCTAAGATTCTATAAGGTATTATAAGTGTTCTTTGAATTAAATAACAAACCAGTAGTGTGAGATTTTTTTTTTTTTTTTTTTTGAGATGGAGTCTTGCTTTGTTGCCTGGGCTGCAGGGCAGTGGCTTGATCTCGGCTCACTGCAATCTCTGTCTCCTGGGCTCAAGCAATTCTCCTGCCTCAGCCTCCCGAGTAACTGGGATTACAGGCGCCTGCCACCACGCCCGGCTAATTTTTGTATTTTTAATAGAGACGGGGTTTATCCATGTTGGCCAGGCTGGTCTCGCACTACTGACCTCAGGTGATCTGCCTGCCTCGGCCTCCTTAAAGTGCTGGGATTACAGGTGTGAGCCACTATGCCCGGCCTAGATTTTTAAAAAATTCTTTAAAAATTATGTAAAATCATTTAACATATTTTTGTTGTTATTATCACATAACAGTATGTATGCCTTTAGTTATGGTTTACCATCATTTGAATTTCAGGTGTCACATTCAGAATTCACTTGATAATGCATGATTTTTGATCCAAAATTAAAGAAGTTTGTTAAATATTGCTATAATTCTCATATTCTTTTCTAAGGGAGAGTTGAATGGACTATGATGAGTCCTTGTATTTGGCAGCATGAGGATATGGAATTGGCATTGTTGACTTTTCTATTGTACTTGGTAGATAGGTATGTCCTCCTGGGTCATTTTTGCTTTTTTCTAATACATAGGACCTAAGTACTTCATAAATTCATCACAGGCCAGGTGCAGTGGCTCACGCCTGTAATCCCAGCACTCTGGGAAGCCAAGGCAGGCAGATCATTTGAGGTCGGGAGTTTGAGACCATCCTGCGCAACATGATGAAACCCTGTCTCTACCAAAAACACAAAAATTAGTCGTGTGTGGTGGCGCAAACCTGTAATCCCAGCTACTCGAGAGGCTGAGTCAGGAGAATCATTTGAAACCCAGGAGGTGGAGGCTGCAGTGAGTTGAGATCGCGCTACTGCATTCCAGCCTAGGTGACAGAAAGAGAATCTGTCTCCAAATAAAAAAAAAAAGAAATTCACCACATTGTGTTTATTTAGACACCTCTATTGGTGGCAAGTAAAAGCACCTTTCTGGCTTACTGTCATTAGGTGTAAAAAAAAAAAATTGTATTTTGATTTCCTTTGATTTCTGATTGTAATGCTCTTCTTTTTCATCTTTTCCCTTCATCTAACACCCATGACAAATCACATTTTTAAACTTTCCTATTATATGGGACTTTCCAAAATTTTTATGGCTATTTACTATTTTGGGCAAAAAGACACACTCTTTAGTACCTCAGAAAATACTCTAATTACTTTACGATAAGAAAACAGTTCACTCAACTACCCAAAGTTGAAAATAGGTGACAATATCTACTCTGACCGAGAATTTAGGATTTAGAGTTTTACTAGAGTCAACTTACTATACTGAGGAAAACTAATTAACTTAAATAATAATAATAGAACTCCACTCAAATTGAAAAATAGTGAATACAAAAGCAAAAGTGTCTAAAAATTGCCCTGCCTTGAAAAATCAGTGAAAACATTATTGATATATTGATTATATTATTTTTGAATACTTTATAAATTTGATATTTAAAAATTTTTATAGATGAGGTCTCGCTATGTTGCCCAGGCTAGGTGTGAACTAGGCTCAAGAGATCCTCCTGCTTCAGCCTCCTGAGTAGCTGGGACTACAGGCACATGCCACTGTGCCTGGCTAAATTTGGTAATATTTTAAAGTTAATTAATTTAAGCACAAAATCAAGTTTTTCATATCACTGAATTATGTTTCCTGACAATATATAGTTTTAAGAAAGCTGGTTCTGCCTAAAGTCTATTAAGGATGAAAAACCAATTCATTGACAGAATTGGGCTTTATATTTTATACCTCTAAATAGGGCTGTTTTAAATAATATAGGGCCACTAAAGTGTTACTCATTCTAAATTTTGACATCAGGTATTTGCTTATCCTGGAAGATATGGTCTGATTGTCCCTCAATACCTGCTCTCCCCTCTCCCATATGCATGGGATTTTTAGGTGGGCCCACTGTTCCTCGGATCTAAGTCTATGTTTTCTAGCTCCTTTGTGTCTAAGTGTGGCCACACAGGCTAAGTTCTGGTTAATGGTTTCTATAAAGCAGTTTCGAGGTACTGTCCTTATGAGGCAGTTGGGCTGTACCCTTCTTTTTCTCTCTTTCCTCCACCTGGAGTTGGAATGTCACTCTGCTGGCTGGAGCATCATCTTGTCCAATGAGCATATGTGCCACACCCAAGGAAAGCAGACTGGAGAGCTGGAAAAGGTCTGAATCCCTGAAGACTCTATGGAACAGAGCTGCCACAACAGCCTTGGATTGACTCTCTCTAGACTTTTCCATGAGAAAGAAAGAAACTTCTCTCTTGAGTCACAAATATTTATTTTCTTTTACTCAGAGGGGAACTTAATCCTAATGGATATACTTATCAACTAAAATACAAATAACAAAGCAAACATTAAATCTGACTTAAGGAAAAGCTAAAGCAAAATATTTTTAAAAATTAAAATTGGTTTGTATTCTTAAACATTTGAAGTATTTTCTGGCAACTACCTGATTTATGAGGAACAAAATGCTCACTACCATTAGAAAATTCTCATGCTTTATGGTAGTATAGCCAACCTCAAACATGTTATGTTTATAAGAGGTCTTCTTTAATCTTTACACCTATCTAAAGGTATATTACTTACTTATAAGACCATTTCACCATTAGAGTGCTGTGACATGGCCTTAGAGAATTGCATCATAAAATGCTGCCCGTATATTTTCTTGAAGAGTATAAAAAATCAAGTATCTCTTAAATGACATATAACTGAAAACTTAATTTTTTTCTAATTAGAGACAGGGTGACATGTTGTGCAGGCTAGCCTCAAACTGCTGGACTCAAGGACTCAAGTGATCCTCCCACCTCAGCCTCCCAAATAGCTGAAACTACAGGGTTGTGCTGCTGTGCCAGGCAACTTTTTTTTTTTAACTCATTTACAGTTTACTTTCACCTTTTATTGGTTTTAGAGTTTATGACATTATTTTTAATAAGCTTTTTAAAAGTTGTCTTTTACTGCTTTTTCTTAAGTATATAAAGATACGAGGATAAAATTTATAGACAGAACAGTTCTAGCTTGAATGACTGAAAAGGGCTGCTCAGAAAGGGAAAAGTTAAAACTTTACATACTGGGTCTTCACTGGACAGGTTTGGGTTCATGGGAACATAATTCTCTTCACTGTCGTGTGAGTCACTGCTTGAAGTTGTGCTATGCACTGAATCTGGTCGGGGGGACATGGGAAACCTGGAAGAGCTAATTACAGAAATTATCATCACAAACATAAGCCTTGACAAAAATATCTAAAATTATTCCCCAAATAAAAATGAGAGACAGTCTGCATTCTTTCAGAAATATTCCCTTATGTTTATAATCATTCATTGTACACATTTATAATGATGTAATTTTTGTGTACAAACACATAACTAATATTTATAATTGTATTATAAAAGTGTATTTTGGACAGCAAAATATTTTGTGTAAAACAAAAAAACCACTGCCAGTGACTTGGTGATAAGTAGAAAGTTACAGATATAAAATGGAAGACTTAAGAATTTCTATTTTTTTAAAAACTATATACACACACACACACACGAAACATGAACATATGTTCAACATAGGTTTGTAACTTCATAAATTCCTCTCAATTCCCTATATACATTTAAATAAGTCTCGGTTAAATAATCTCCACAAGAGACTACCATATTTTCAAGATTAGTAGTCCTCAGTACTTTTTGGTTTCATAAACCTTTTACACTCTTAAAAATTATTGAGAATCCCAAGAAATTTTTGTTTACATGAGTTGTATCTATTAATTTTGCCATATTAGAGATGAAAATAGACATATTTTTAAAACGTAAGTAATACACAAATACACATTTCTATTGGGTGTCACAATGATCTCATCACTTATCATGTAGCCTCTGGAAAACTCCACTGTACACTCAGAAGGAGAAAAAATACAGAAAATAACATCTTAATATATTAATGAAAATGGTTTTGACTTCACAGAACCCCCAAAAAGGGGGCTCTTCAGATCATCCATTGAGAACCACTATTCCAGATATTTTCCATGATAATGAACAATTCTAGATAGTCACATTATTCATACAAACTACATATTTTAGACAAAGGACTTACTCTCGAGCAAAACTCCTAGTGATGGGAGATCTAACTGGGGCTTGTAATTCTTCCCATTCTGGCAAAGGTTTTATTTCTAAAGGCGCTGGCTTGACTGAAAAGAAAAAGAGAAAAAGAGATTTTTAGTATACAGAACTTTGGAAAACAAACAAGATTCTCTCTCTGTAACTCTATTTATATTTGATAGCCAGAGTAAACCTAAGACCACCTAGTTTCACATGTGAAATGAGGTCCATGAATGTTACATGATTTGCCCAAGGTTACATAGCTAAGTAATTAGTGGTAAAAGCTAAATCAGATGTTTCATGATTGTTACCTCAAAGCCTAAACCTCTATTACAACATGTTGCCTAAGTGCATATTTTATGAATATAAACTAAATGAGATAAAGAGTAATGTGACCCAGTTCCTCTATGGTTGCTTTATATGTTTCATTATTTCATAAATTATTTCACCAATTTCATACTCAATAAGAAAATTTAATCATCTATGTAAAATCATTCCTTTTCTTCAATATTGGAGTATATAACTATATATATAAAATGATGCATAGAAACTATTAAAAACACAACTTTGTTAAAACCCCAAACTGAAAAAATGTTCGAATCTTTTAAAATAATTCATGCACAGTCTGGAAACAAACAAAACGAAACAATATTTGTATCTTTAGATCCAAACTCCGCTCTGAAAAAAGGCCATAATTATTTTACTTCAAATTGTTAGTGTAATTTAAGCAACAAATCTCTTGCTAAATTATATACAATTAAGTAAATGCTAATAATAATTTTCATTTATAAGTGATCTTTATTTACCTCATATTGCAGTAGACAATTAAACCAATATATACCACAGAGTTCTTAGCCATTTTCTTAAAGTCAAGACTGAGATTTTTTCAGAAATTTACAGAGTGAGCAAAAGAACTGAAACAATACTATTTAATACTAGATATTTTAGGAGACTACCTAAACATGTTAGGTAAATATTTCAGTTATGTTTCATTCTGCCACTCTTAACAAAAAATTTCATCTTTGAGATTTATTTATAGTCTTTGTCCATGTATGTTATGGCATAGTTACCATTACACTATAAAATGAATGGTCATTTTAAAGGACCATACGCATTGAGGCTCATAAGTATTTTGTCAACTCACATATAATGAAGACCAAATTAACTTACTAATTTGAGCTGAAACCATTTTGCTTGTCTATATTCTTAAAATAGAAACATACAGAATATTCCGCTGAGTGAAAGTATTTCTTTAACTGTTAATGTTTTACTTTTTGACACCCAAAGGCTAATAGCAGTTTAGCTGTCAGTTTTTAAATAATGGCACAATTAATCCATGGAAATGATTCTTTATTCTGTCTCAGAACAGAACACATATACATAAAGACAGAAGACAACAGAAAATCACAAACAGTTCACAAACTGAAAGGATAAAATGTTGTCTACAAAGTTAAAAGAATAATGCAAAAGGACAAGTCTGAATATCACATATTATCAAATATTTAACATGCTGTTGTTAATGGCAGAGTAAGTAGACTCATTGTGTATTATGGGAAGCATTCACTTTAGAAATAATGTGCAGGAAAGTTTTATTTACAACAGCAGTAGTATTTAAGGTTCTTCTTTATTTTTAGAAAAAAAACAAAAAACATTACAAAATAAATTCCCAATGCCCCATACAGCATGCGGTGCTAAAGTACATACCCTTTCTTCTTGTAGCAAAGTCACCTATGGTTTGTGAATCAGTTCGCTCTAAACCATGGGGTTTGAGTCTTAAAATTTTAGGACTTTGACCTAATTGGTAAAAAGAAGACTCTCTTAATATAATGTTATTTATTAATTGGAAAATGGATTCTGTAAAAAAAAAAAAAAAAAAAAGCAACAGAGCCCTGTGCAAAAATGTTACATCTAAAAGCATGAACAAAAGTTTGTTGTGGAGAATATTTCAGTCTTGTTACATAAAATTCATGCTCATGCTCAGCACAATGGAAAAGAGGAATTTACATGCAACAATGTAAGCAGCAAGGAGGTATAAAAGATGGCAGGATTTTAGTGCGATAACCAGCCTGGTTAGTTGTTATCTTCATTTGGGGGAACAGAGGGAAAATATGTGCCATGTTAGTTTTTCTTCTAACATGTCTTAGAAAACTGGATCAAATAAAAAATTTGTAGAATACCCTAGTCAGATCTCAATTACATCTTTCTTTTCTTTGAAATCTGGTGTCTCATATGAAAGCCCGAAGGCCTACGTCCTTGTAATATTACTTTTCTAATTTGGTAGAGATGTTTTTAAAACCTTAATCTATTCCTGCACCTCCTGAACAAGACTCTTCTAGAGAAGCAAGTTGCCACTACTATATTTACTAATCTAAAACCAAAACAAGACCAGCATTTCTTTCCTCTGGATACTCACTGGTTGCCCAATGGCTTCATCTTGCAAGAATTACATGTTTAGATTCTGGTTCTACTGATTGCCTAGCTTCAGTTTAATTAAGTATATTTCTGAAAGCATAAATTCAGTTACCATCATCTTCCTTTCACTTAATGTCTGCCACATAAAAGCACTGCTGAAAAGCCTATGAAAGGGCATCCTTCCCATTAGAAGCCTGGATGCCAGAGCTGCAATATCATTTGAACCAGTGATTTAAGCTACTCCATTATTAGTGGCACTAAATTTTCTTTTTTCTTGGAATTTACAAAGTTGAGTTTACATCTATTAGGTGGCAGAATCAGAATTTGCTGGTTAAGTGCTGATATCTAGCACCTTACCTATCGAAATCTAAGTTTCTTAAAATATAATTCTGTAGAAGTTATAAAAAATAAAATTTCCTAACCAATTTTCTAAGTTACACAATACATTGAGTTTATTCAGAAATGAGGCAGCCTGAGTTTAAAAGGTAAATACTAAAATTTTGGGCAAGATCCACTCCCTACCCCTAAAATTCCCTAATCCAGGGCCCATACCCGCAGGACCCTTTTCTAAAGCAAAGGAAGATGACAACTTTTTTTTTTTTTTTGAGACGGAGTCTCTCTCAGTCGCCCAGGCTAGAGTGCAATGGCACAATCTTGGCTCACCGCAAGCTCTGCCTCCCAGGCTCATGCCATTCTCCTGCCTCAGCCTCCCAAGTAGCTGGGACTACAGGTGCCCGCCACCACGCCTGGCTAATTTTTTGTATTTTTAGTAGAGGTGGGGTTTCACCGTGTTAGCCAGGATGGTCTCGATCTCCTGACCTTGTGATCCACCCGCCTTGGCCTCCCAAAGTGCTGGGATTACAGGCGTAAGCCACCGCGCCCGGCTACGATGACAACTTTTTAAACTCCCCCAAATAGTGTGCTACCCTTCAAAAAAAATAAGAGGCAGAAGGTAAGTCTTAGTATTAAAATAATATGATTATTTTGGAGTGAAAGGCCCTTACAAATCTAGTTTCTTCATTTTATGAATGAGATTCATCCAAAGAAAGAAGGGGTTAAGTGATTTGTTCAGGTTACACTTTAACCGGAGGCAGAGTTGAGACTTCCTCTAGCCTGCCACTTGCTGGTGTGGCACTCCTGTTCTATACCACACTGTCTTACCTTTCCAGACCTTTAGGGATATAGAGAATCTTAGGAAATTTAGCTGGATACTATGTTGGAGCTGCTTGGAGTTCAGTTTTGAACTCTCCATTGCGGCTGGAGATCTTGCAGCACTCTGTGCCACACAGTCACAAACTAAGGAAACCAAGTAGAGAAAGGAAGAAATGTGCTCATTCCTACACTTATGTCTATAGTTGATACTACTCTGAATTTACAGATGTGGCTTGGGGGGACATCTACGTGAATGCCACAGAGAGCTGACACACCAGTGATACCAGGTTTAATTACAAAATGCTCTTAGAACTTCTTTTGGTTTGCTGCTCTTGACCTAGTATGTGAGATGCACTCCTCCTTGTCTGAAAGATCCGTTTTCATTAGCTCTCCAGCTCCCTCCTGATTTTTTTCACCATAGTTATCTCCCAGTGGTCACTCTTTGCATTTCTCAGCTTTGCTACCCCAGTATCTTATCTAAGTTTGTGGTTAAATAATCAAGGTCACATGACTGCTAAATCTTACCGAGTTATGGTTTCTCACTTTTTCTCTAGTTCCACCTTCCAACTGCCTGACAGGTTATCTCCAATTATCCTTCTGAAGCTGAAACTGATTGTTTCTCCTCTAAACCAATGCCATTTTCCACCTCCAAAGCCCTTAGTAATGACACCGTATCCTGGATCTTTAGGTACAAATTTTCAGAGTTATGTAGTCCATCCCCTTTAAGCATCTGCATTTGGTCTCAAAATGCTAATGATTTCCCTATATGACAACAAAAAGAGCTTTTAAAATGGGAAGGACTGAAACGGAAGGAGCAGGGAGTCAAGGTCAATGAGAAAGTTACCCGAGCCTGTGTGAATGCTGGTGTGATGACTATAATCCAGAATGATCACGGCCTATGAAAAATTACATGGAGGGTCTTTTAAAACCTATTCCTAGAGGAAAAGAAACAAGGCAAGAACAAACCTGTTTGGGAAGAAAAACTAATCATAATAGATTAAAAAAAAAAGAGAGAGAAACTCAGCTCCTATCTTGCTTTAGTCTTCTCTAGCTAGGAGAATGATTTTCAAACTGAAAAGGACAGAAGACAGACAACAGCCATTAAAGGCCCATTATGTGAGAAAGGTGTGTGAAAGTTGATTATACAAATTGGGTCATTCTTGTTGTAGCCAACTAAATTAGGGTTGAGGGCTGGGGGAAAAAGCACTCACCGCACAGAGCAACTGATCCAAGAATTAACATTTCCACAAACCCTGGTGCTGAAACAACCTGCTGCAACCCTAAGACCGGTTTTACCTAGCAGCTGCTGAAATGACTTGCCATGACTCTAAAACTGGTTTTACCTACCACCATCATTCACCAATCAGATCTTGCCAGCTCCAAAGAAATTCTCTAGTGCCAGTGAGCTTTCTTTCAAAACAATACTTAAGATTTCTCTTTCTAATAAAACTCCCAACCTCCTCTTTGTTATTCAGACATAACAAAGACCACTTGGTCTGTGTATCTCAAATTGCAATTCTTGCTTCCCAAATAAAATGCTAAGGATTCATCTGTATATTTTTATTCTGAGTTCAACAAGTACAACATAGTATCCAGCTACTTCAATTCAATCCAGCTACTTCTATTCAATGAATTACATTTCAAGATAGCAATGATTTTACAGACAAGAACACAGAATACATATGACTTATTTGGGGAAGTCATGGAGAATATGGAAATGCCATAAGAATACGGATGTGTTTACAACACATTCTTCTCTTGAATTGTGCTCTGCTCTGGCTAGACCATTCTGTTCTCTATTTCTCATGTACATCTTTAAAATTTCAGCCCTTTTCTACATTCTTTCACTATCAATATCCATCACTGCTTTATCAATCAGTGACTTTAATTTCTACACAAAGCTCAAGTTAGAATACATTCTCTAAGACTGCCCAGAGAAATGCCATTACACTTAATCATGAACATTTATTGAGGAGTTCTTAGGTACTAGACACTCTAAAACCTCCCAACAACCATGTAAGGAAGGTACAATTTAAAAGAAATTTTAATAATTTTATTACCAAGCTGGTTGGGGGCTTATAGAACTTAAGTAACTTGCCCAGAGTCACACAGATGATGACTGGTAGAGCTAGAATTTAAATTCTGTGAATCTAGAGAGAGGGTTCATGTTCTTAGTCCCATATCCTTATTTCAAACCTACAATCTTTACTATAGTTACTCTTAGAAGAGTATTTGTATTGCGTTGCTTTTGTATACAGTAAGTTCTCTCAACTAAATTTTAAGTGCTTCCAACATCAGAGATGTAAAATCGTTACATTTCTCTGAAGGGTTTACCTTCGTGACCAGTAATTTCTTGTTGGTTACAGTGAAAACATATATAAAATGTAAGTGATTGTAATGATGAAGACAATGTGGATTAAGTAATTTTTAAAGATGTCACATGTTCCAAGGAGACTCGTATGAGCCAAAAGCAGATGCATGAAATCAGTAAGCCTTTCACTCGAGTTCTTCTTCATCTTCATTACCTTTTTTTCTGGGGTGGGTACTAAAAGGGTACTCCTTTTCTAGGGTATTCCTTGGTTTTCGTATTAGAAAAATATGATATAATCATATTGAAATTTTTAAAAATACATTTATAAAATTTACGTGTATTTTCTACTCTGTGCAAAGCTTAAGGTTAATTTTAGGGCAGAAGCTAAAATGTGGAAATGTTGCACTAAATTGTACTATGTTACTTAGGCATTTTGTTAGCTGGATTTCTCTATGCTTCCAAACTCAATTTGACATTAATGTTCCAGACAGAAATGAAAATCATGCCCAAAGAATAGCCCTATATTACTTAAGCGGAAAGAAACGAGAAAAAAAGTCCAAGGTGTAAGGAGGCCTGTCTTAGCCTTTTCTCCTCCTTTACTGCCTGTATATAATAGGCCAATGTTTTACTGATTGCTGAAGAAAAGTGTGAAAATAGATAATAAGACATAAGAATACTAAAGCAAAGGCAAAAATAAACCAATTTTGGTGACTCTTAAATTCTGAGAATAAATAGAGAACTCATGTGAGCCTGAATGTTTAAGTCCAAGGCAGTTAGTTACAACTTGGCTTTTGCTAGACTTGGTTTGAACAAAGAGTGCAGCATAATTTAGTGAAGAGCACTGACTACTGGGGAAATTTCTATCTGTGCTTTAATCCTTAGGAGGGTTGTTAATATCAATCTCTTGATCATGTGATCTGCTCCCTAATTTGGAGTACGATTAGAGATGATCTAATTTTACATTTTAAAATAAGAAAATTTATGTGAAGAAAAGTCAACGGATTTGCCCAATGTCATTTAATGGGAGGGAGTGGTTGTTAATAGTATTACCAGAAATGAATTCTGGCTTTTTGGATTCTTGGTCTAATATTTTTCTAATATACTGCTGTATACTGTAACCTCATCACTGTAACTTATTTTAATGGTTTTTAAAAGAAAAAAATGAAAACACGCTAACTAGAAAATATATGCCATCTAGAAGAGCGTGCAGCATATGATTCATACCCTCCCTTTGCTTTGCTCTCTTACAGAGGAGGACACTTCTAAACTCTTAAAAGCTAAAGCCCTTCAAAAAAAATGAGACAATTTTAATTATAAGGAATCGTCCCCAAGTATGCCAAACAAAACAGCATTGCAGGCCACGCACAGTGGCTACGCCTGTAATCCCAACACTGTGGGAGGCCGAGGCAGGAGGATCACTTGAGCCCAGGAGTTTGAGACCATCCTGGGCAACATAGTGAGAAACCGTCTCTAAAAGAAAAAGAAAGAAAATAGCCTTGCAAACTGCATAAAAACTTCCTGTGCAAACACTGATGTCAAGGCAAAACGTAAAGCTAGTCTTAATGTAGCACCACGATTTCACACAACCCTAAGAAACAGAGCAGCAAAGAGCGGGGTGCTCTTTTAAAATGAAGGCCCTGACGTGCTTCAGACATTCACACCAGAAAATAAAAAATTGTTTGTCTGATTTTTTTTTTTTAAATGAGCACTTCATTTACCTGTTTTGTTTCTCTGAAAGTGATGAACTCGCACTGTATGGCTGTATGAGTTCCGCTTATACTCCAAGTGCCTCAAAACTTCCAAAAATCACTGTTAAGTTCCCCAAGTTGAGGGAGCCAGACAGGGGGACTTTTGCTATGCCTTCCCTGTTTGATCCTGTCTCAACAAAGACTTCAAGAACCCTGGATTTGGAAAACTGGGCAAAGCACTCTCTGAGAAAGAAAAGTGATTTTTATAACATTTTACATTAAAGAATACAATTATTTTCTCTATTGTATTCTTAAATCAGAATGAGCTTTCTAGAGCCATTCTGATTATGCACTCCATACTTATTTCCTTTAAATGGTAACAAATCTAACCCAAAGCTTGACTTAAGATTTAAATATATAAATCTTAAAGTTTATGTGCCTGCATAAAATTCTTTAATGGTACACTCAGAATAAAGTCCAAACTCATTATCATAAATTATAACTCCTTCAGGACCAGGAACCTGCAAGGCATCTGGCATTCGTCCCTCCTTTGGTACTTTCCTCCCTCCTTTTTGCCCGCCCACCTACCTCCCCACGACTCTGGGCCTGTCTCATCTCCCCTCTTTTTAAAGGACCTGGGCATGTTGTTTATTCTAACGAGAAGATCCTTTGCCAGGCTGCCCTCCCCTACCATCATTTAATTGCCACTCACACTCTCAGACTTTCCTCAGGGGAGCTTCCCTAATAGTGCCAAGAGTTTACTTCAACCACAGCCCCTTCCACGGTAATTATGATAATGTGTTTACTTCTCCACATCCCCTCCTAGACGGTGAGCTTCTTCAGGGGTCCTGGACGGTGAGCTTCTTCAGGGGAGCAACCTTTTCCTTGTTTGGAGAATTTATATCCTGTAACTGATAGGTGCTTAAATCTGTGTTGTATGAATGTTAATGAACTGCCTTTCTCTTAAAGCTAGTGGTGTTTAACCTGATCAATCTCACACATTTTTTGTTTTTTTTTTTTGAGATGCAGTCTTGCTCTGTTGCCCAGGCTGGAGTGCAGTAGCATGATCTCAGCTCACTGCAACCTCCAAATCCTAGGTTCAAGCAATTCTCCTGTCTTAGCCTCCCAAGTAGCTGGGATTACAGGCATGCGCCACCACGCCTGGCTAATTTTTTTGTATTTTTACTAGAGACAGGTTTCACCATGTTGGTCAGGCTGGTCTCAAACTCCTGACCTCAGGTGATCTGCCCACCTCGGTCTCCCCAGATGCTGGGATTACAGGCTGAGCCACTGTGCCCAGCCATTTTTGCTTGTCATTTAAATGGAAAAAGGGAAGAACTAAATTCTAAGGGTATTTCAAGTCGGTCATCTCAAATACAGTCAAGGCAGTCATGTGAGGTCACATTTCAATTAAATAGATGTGATCTATTAATGCATTATTCTAATAGGTAACTACTTACATAAATTCCACACAAAGTGGACATTTTATTTTCTGTATTATTACAGGCTTTACAAAGCCTAAATTTTTTTTAAGCCTAAATTTTTTACTCTTCCCAAAGTTTTGCAGATTATGCTACTACTTCCAGTAGGCATCCCCAAAATCAAGAAAGAGTAAAAGTAATTCACATTATCATTTGTTAATTCCAGAAAGTAATGAAGGCAGAAAACTGAAAAATTTTTATAAGTTTTAATGGTCTCATGGTATAAAGAGAAATGTAATAATGATAATTATACTTTGAAGTCAAGAGAATATTGAGAGGAAAAAACCCCACATTAAGGCTCTGCTGTAAAAATGCACTCCATACTTATTTCCTTTAAACGGTAACAAATCTAACGCAAAGCTTGACTTAAGATTTAAACTTTAATACCTGTTTATCAAAATCTAGTTTCATGTACTGGTATTACTCATACATTCTCCAAACACTTATTAGTGTATACATGTAGTTTTTAAAAAGCATGTTAATGATCAAGTAGGCTTTACTCCTAAGGTGCAAAGTGGTTCATGCCAAAATGTAAACACCACCGAGACTAGGAAGAAACTGCATCAACTAATGAGCAAAATAACCAGCTAACATCATAATGACAGGATCATTTTCACACATAACAATATTAACTTTAAATGTAAATGGACTAAATGCTCCAATTGAAAGACACAGACTGGCAAATTGGATAAAGAGTCAAGACCCATCAGTGTGCTGTATTCAGGAAACCCATCTCACATGCAGAGACACACACAGGCTCAAAATAAAAGGATGGAGGAAGATCTACCAAGCAAATGGAAAACAAAAAAAGGCAGGGGTTGCAATCCTAGTCTCAGATAAAACAGACTTTAAACCAACAAAGATCAAAAGAGACAAAGAAGGCCATTACATAATGGTAAAGAGATCAATTCAACAAGAAGAGCTAACTATCCTAAATATATATGCACCCAATACAGGAGCACCCAGATTCATAAAGCAAGTCCTGAGTGACCTACAAAGAGACTTAGACTCCCACACAATAATAATGGGAGACTTTAACACTCCACTGTCAACATTAGACAGATCAACGAGACAGAAAGTTAACAAGGATACCCAGGAATTGAACTCAGCTCTGCACCAAGCGGACCTAATAGACATCTACAGAACTCTCCACCCCAAATCAACAGAATATACTTTTTTTTCAGCACCACACCACACCTATTCCAAAATTGACCACATAGTTGGAAGTAAAGCTCTCCTCAGCAAATGTAAAAGAACAGAAATTATAACAAACTGTCTCTCAGACCACAGTGCAATCAAACTACTACTCAGGATTAAGAAACTCACTCAAAACTGCTCAACTACATGGAAACTGAACAACCTGCTCCTGAATGACTACTGGGTACATAACGAAATGAAGGCAGAAATAAAGATGTTGTTTGAAACCAATGAGAACAAAGACACAGCATACCAGAATCTCTGGGACACATTCAAAGCAGTGTGTAGAGGGAAATTTATAGCACTAAATGCCTACAAGAGAAAGCAGGAAAGATCCAAAATTGACACCCTAACATCACAATTAAAAGAACTAGAAAAGCAAGAGCAAACACATTCAAAAGCTAGCAGAAGGCAAGAAATAACTAAAATCAGAGCAGAACTGAAGGAAATAGAGACACAAAAAACCCTTCAAAAATTAATGAATCCAGGAGCTGGTTTTTTGAAAGGATCAACAAAATTGATAGACTGCTAGAAAGACTAATAAAGAAAAAAAGAGAGAAGAATCAAATAGATGCAATAAAAATGATAAAGGGGATATCACCACCGATCCCACAGAAATACAAACTACCATCAGAGAATACTACAAACACCTCTACGCAAATAAACTAGAAAATCTAGAAGAAATGGATAAATTCCTCGACACATACACTCTCCCAAGACTAAACCAGGAAGAAGTTGAATCTCTGAATAGACCAATAACAGAATCTGAAATTGTGGCAATAATCAATAGCTTACCAACCAAAAAGAGTCCAGGACCAGATGGATTCACAGCTGAATTCTACCAGAGGTACAAGGAAGAACTGGTACCATTCCTTCTGAAACTATTCCAATCAATAGAAAAAGAGGGAATCCTCCCTAACTCATTTTATAAGGCCAGCATCATCCTGATACCAAAGCCGGGCAGAGACACAACCAAAAAAAGAGAATTTTAGATCAATATCCTTGATGAACATTGATGCAAAAATCCTCAATAAAATACTGGCAAACAGAATTCAGCAGCACATCAAAAAGCTTATCCACCATGATCAAGTGGGCTTCATCCCTGGGATGCAAGGCTGGTTCAATATATGCAAATCAATAAATGTAATCCAGCATATAAAGACAGAACCAAAGACAAAAACTACATGATTATCTCAATAGATGCAGAAAAGGCCTTTGACAAAATTCAATAATGCTTCATGCTAAAAACTCTCAATAAATTAGGTATTGATGGGATGTATCTCAAAATAGTAACAGCTATCTATGACAAACCCACAGCCAATATCATACTGAATGGGCAAAAATTGGAAGCATTCCCTTTGAAAACTGGCACAAGACAGGGATGCCCTCTCTCACCACTCCTATTCAACATAGTGTTGGAAGTTCTGGCCAGGGCAATTAGGCAGGAGAAGGAAATAAAGGGTATTCAATTAGGAAAAGAGGAAGTCAAATTGTCCCTGTTTGCAGATGACATGATTGTATATCTAGAAAACCCCATTGTCTCAGCTCAAAATCTCCTTAAGCTGATAAGCAACTTCAGCAAAGTCTCAGGACACAAAATCAATCTACAAAAATCACAAGCATTCTTATACACCAATAACAGAGAGCCAAATCATGAGTGAACTCCCATTCACAATTGCTTCAAAGACAATAAAATACTTAGGAATCCAACTTACAAGGGATGTGAAGGACCTCTTCAAGGAGAACTACAAACCACTGCTCAAAGAAATAAAAGAGGATACAAACAAATGGAAGAACATTCCATGCTCATCGGTAGGAAGAATCAATATCGTGAAAACAGCCATACTGCCCAAGGTAATTTATAGATTCAATGCCATCCCCATCAATCTACCAATGACTTTCTTCACAGAATTGGAAAAAACTACTTTAAAGTTCATATAGAACCAAAAAAGAGCCCGCATCGCCAAGTCAATCCTAAGCCAAAAGAACAAAGCTGGAGGCATCACACTACCTGACTTCTAACTATACTACAAGGCTACAGTAACCAAAACAGCATGGTACTGGTACCAAAACAGAGATATAGATCAATGGAACAGAACAGAGCCCTCAGAAATAACGCCGCATATCTACAACTATCTGATCTTTGACAAACCTGAGAAAAACAAGAAATGGGGAAAGGATTCCCCATTTAATAAATGGTGCTGGGAAAACTGGCTAGCCACATGTAGAAAGCTGAAACTGGATCCCTTCCTTACACCTTATACAAAAATTAATTCAAGATGGATTAAAGACTTAAACGTTAGACCTAAAACCATAAAAACCCTAGAAGAAAACCTAGGCATTACCATTCAGGACATAGGCATGGGCAAGGACTTCATGTCTAAAACACCAAAAGCAATGGCAACAAAAGCCAAAATTGACAAATGGGATCTAATTAAACTAAAGAGCTTCTGCACAGCAAAAGAAACTACCATCAGAGTGAACAGGCAACTTACAAAATGGGAGAAAATTTTCGCAACCTACTCATCTGGCAAAGGGCTAATATCCAGAATCTACAATGAACTCAAACAAATTTACAAGAAAGAAGCAAACAACCCCATCAAAAAGTGGGCAAAGGATATGAACAGACACTTCTCAAAAGAAGACATTTATGCAGCCAGAAGACACATGAAAAAATGCTCATCATCACTGGCCATCAGAGAAATGCAAATCAAAACCACAATGAGATACCATCTCACACCAGTTAGAATGGCAATCATTAAAAAGTCAGGAAACAACAGGTGCTGGAGAGGATGTGGAGAAATAGGAACACTTTTACACTGTTGGTGGGACTGTAAACTAGTTCAACCATTGTGGAAATCAGTGTGGCGATTCCTCAGGGATCTGGAACTAGCAATACCATTTGACCCAGCCATCCCATTACTGGGTATATACCCAAAGGACTATAAATCATGCTGCTATAAAGACACATGCACACGTATGTTTATTGCAGCACTATTCACAATAGCAAAGACTTGGAACCAACCTAAATGTCCAACAATGATAGACTGGATTAAGAAAATGTGGCACATATACACCATGGAATACTATGCAGCCATAAAAAATGATGAGTTCATGTCCTTTGTAGGGACATGGATGAAATTGGAAATCATCATTCTCAGTAAACTATCGCAAGGACAAAAAACCAAACACTGCATGTTCTCACTCATAGATGGGAATTGAACAATGAGAACAGATGGACACAGGAAGGGGAACATCACACTCTGGGGACTGTTGTGGGGTGGGGGGAAGGTAGAAGGATAGCATTAGGAGATATACCTAATGTTAAATGACGAGTTAATGGGTGCAGCACACCAGCATGGCACATGTATACATATGTAACTAACCTGCACATTGTGCACATGTACCCTAAAACTTAAAGTATAATTAAAAACAAACAAACAAAAAAACAAATCAATAAATGTGATTCACCATGTAAACAATTAAAAACAAAAAACATATGATCATCTCAATAGACCTGGAAAAAGCTTTCGATAAAATCCAATGTCTCCTCCTGATAATAACCCTCAAGAAACTAGGCATTATGACCAAGTCTTCAAAAGCAATTGCAACAAACCGGAAATTGAGAAGTGGGACCTAATTAAACTAAACAGGTTTTGCACAGCAAAAGAAACTATCAACAGAGTAAACAGTCAACCTACAGAATGGGAGAAAATATGCACAAACTATGCATCTGAGAAAGAGGTAATATCCAGAATCCACAAGAAACTCAAATCAACAAGCAAAAAACAAGTAACCCCATTAAAAAATGGGTAAAAGACATGAACTGATACTTCTAGAAATGAGACATACAAGTGGCCAACAAATGTATGAAAAAATACTCCATCACTAATCATCAGAGAAATGCAAATCAAAACTACAATGAGATATCATCTCACACTAGTCAAAACAGCTATTACTAAAAAGTCAAAAAACAACAGATGCTGGTGAGGCTGTGAAGAAAAGGGAATGCTTATATACTGCTGGTGGGAATGTAAAATTAGTTCAGCCACTGTGGAAAGCAGTTTGGAGACTTCTCAAAGAACTTAAAACAGAACTACCATTAAACCTAGCAATTCCATTACTGGGTATATATCCAAAAGAAAACAAATCTTTCTACCAAAAAGACACACGAACTCGCATGTTCACTGCAGCAGTGTTTACAATAGCAAAGACATGGAATCAACCTAGGTGCCCATCAACAGTGGACTGGATCAAGAAAATGTGGTACATATACTACACAGCCATAAAAAGAATGAAATCATTTCCTTTGCAGCAACACAGATGCAGGTGGAGGCCATTATCCTAAGGAAATAAACGCAGGAACAGAAAACCAAATATCACATGTTCTCACTTACAAGTGAGAGCTAAACATGGACATAAAGATGGCAACAACAGACACTGGGTACTACCAGAGAGGGGAAGGAGGCAGGTGGAAAGGGTTGAAAAACTAACGATTGGGTGCTATGTTCAGTTCCTGAGTGACAGGATCATTCATACCCTAAATCTCAGCATCGCACAATATACACAGGTAACAAACCTGCACATGCACCCCCCTAAAACTAAAATAAAAATTGAAATACAAAAGAATAAAAATTTTAAAAAGTGCATGTTAATTTTTAATCACATTCAGAAACTTTAAAAGATCTCTTGAAAAAATGTTTAGAGCAAATCCATCACTGTGCCAAAAGAGTCACCCAGGGAAACTCTCAGGATTAGTCTTCTGTATGCTCCCCACACAATATTAAGGATCTAAGCTTGAAGGTACTTTAACCAAAGTGGTGTATAAAAACACCATACAAAACCTTGCACTGGCTTAACAAAAAAAAGTCAGTATAGTAACTAATGTTCAGACTGTTGCAGAAAGGCGTGAATGGACAAGGCCAAACATAACAACATAAAGACAGCATGTGGGGCTCACACAGCTGCTGCATCATGCTAGACAGAGACTAGACAGAGATGGGGGCCTTAGATAAGTTTAGCGATTTAATATACTAGATTTATGTCATGACATAAAGAGAAGCTATAACAGATAAATTTCCCAAACTTTACAAAACTCCCTTTCCATCAGAAATATAAAATTTTCAATTGAAGAGGTCAAAATATAATTTGTCCTGTATTTCCAGTGACTCATCTGCTTTCCCAATATTTAATACAGTATGCTTAAAATACGTTTCTCTTAATACACACAAAACTTGGCTCAAAACAAACACTACAGTGACAGAAATAGTATGATGAAAATATCACTATCATGAATTGAGTGACAGGCAAAGGGTCTAAGATAATTATGTTTAAGTGTTCAGAACATCTATGTATTTCTGCAGTTTCAATTACTCATAAGTATTTGAAAAGCTCATCTGTATGCAAACTACAGCAGCTGACATCTATAATTGGGGCTATAAACAAGACTAGAATGTTACTGGTTTCTTATAGATCCTTCCAAAGACAATCTCAAAAACCAGACATATAGGGCAATGAACTAGTTATATGGAGCTCTGAAACTAATCAAGCCATATTTTATAGAATTAGATTTGCTTATAATGAGTTTTATATAAGAGATACTGAATAATAGATTAAGTCATTTATCTGATGTCATGAAATTTGAAATTAAAATAGATTCATCTGATGCTATGAATACTGAGAAAAATTATAGGACCAAACGAGACATTATTTTTGTTTAAGTGTTTGTGGATAAACTTTGCTTTGAGATCTGAATTTGGATTTTAAAATGTGTTTTTCTTGAAGTTATAACTTTGTAAAGTGAGTTTATGAAGTCATAACTTTGTAAAGTGAGTTTACAAAGTCTGCCTTGTAATGTTAAATACATTCTCAAGCCTCCTCTCCTGTATCATAACTATTTAAAAAGTAGAATAGTACAGGCCGGGCACAGTGGCTCACGCCTGTAATCCCAGCACTTTGGAAGGCCGAGGCAGGTAGATCCCGAGGTCAGGAGGTCGAGACCATCCTGGCTAACACGGTGAAACCCCGTCTCTACTAAAAATACAAAAAATTAGCTGGGCGTGGTGGCAGGTGCCTGTAGTCCCAGCTACTCGGGAAGCTGAGGCAGGAGAATGGCGTGAACCCCAGAGGCGGAGCTTGCAGTGAGCCGAGATCGCGCCACTGCACTCCAGCCTGGGCAACAGAGCGAGACTCTGTCTCAAAAAAAAAAAAAAAAAAAAGTAAAATAGTACTAAAGAAAAGTAAATTTTTTTTG
The DNA here is from genome assembly GCF_000001405.40 of Homo sapiens. Lineage (NCBI taxonomy): Eukaryota > Metazoa > Chordata > Mammalia > Primates > Hominidae > Homo > Homo sapiens. Next base: position 143,442,979 of record NC_000004.12, on the reverse strand, counting down.
AATACTATGACTTCAGGAACCTCTTTACTGTTTTGCTAAGTCTATTCTTGATTCTGGCAAAAACTATATGGGTATTTCAATCTGGGTGCTCTTTTTAAGTTCATTTTGTATCTAAGCAAATATGCCAAATAAATAATGTGGCCAACGAACTCACAATTGTCTCTGAACAGTTCAGTTAAATTTTAAAAGAATGAACACAATCTCCAGAAATAAGAACCTACTTTATTCTGTTCTATTAAGTTCTTTTACGTTAAAGAACTAGTGTGATTAGTCTCTAGTGTACTAGAATAATAGTACTTTCACTAAATACATAGGGATGTATAATTATAAAATATGTAGTATACATGATACATAGTATATATTCTGATATATACATAAAATATATATCATAATAATGTGGGATACATGAGTGATATCAGACCTAGAGGATACTAAAAGCTAATCATTAATTGATCTTAGGTCTTTTCTAACTTATAAACAGTGGTGTTTCCTGATTTCATATTATGCTTACCACATGGAATCACAACTGTTGAAATATACTGGAGTTTTCAAACTGTGCTCTACAGAGCTCAAGGGGAGAAAAGAGCAGCAGAGGAGCAAGGGAGGTAGGACTTAAAAGCTTTGTAACCTCACCCAAATCTTACTCCCTCCACATTTATGCGAGACCTCAAAATATAAAACTGTTAGGTTTGGAGTTAAAAAGTAGAGATCTGCCACTAACATGCACTCGTTACTGGAAAATAAGGAAAGCACCAGTTTAACATTAAAAAAGATATTTCAATATTTCAAAGAGTTCATGACACTTATATCTCAATCCTTCAGTGATCTGTATGAACCAATTATAAAGCTATACATGTCCAAACATATTTTTGCATATTATATGCAAAGAAAATGACTAGTAGTTGTCTAAAATAGATTTAGAGACAAAGAAAAAGGAAACAAAAGGAAGCATTATCCGATAGAAAGCCTCTGATGCTCACATCCTTTCTGAGATCCACACCGCAATCACAGCCCTGCTGCCAGGGCAGACTGGGTCGTCGTGGGTGTGACACACATAGACCAATCACATCATCTCTAAGCAATCTAAAGTGAGTAAATAATAAGTAAGGCAATGAGAAGCTGATGCAGAAGCTGCAAGGGCACATAAAAAGCAGCTAGGAGGCAGAACTGAGGCCATAGAAGGGGAGCATTGGAGGCCAAAGCTCTTGGAAAGCAGAATCCATTTAAGTAGAGGATACAGAGTAAGAAAACAAAAAAGAATCAGAAAAGAAAACAGAAAAGAAGGGAAGAATGTGAAAGAGAACAAACCAGATGCAAAGATTTCCCATAAAACAGAAATGCACAGAGAGAGCAGGACACAGCAACAGTCCCCTAGAATTGCTTCAGTTCCTGATAACCTCCTTGTTGAAGGAGGTTAACCTCCTGTTGAAACGAGGAGGTTATCCTTACTTACAAACAAAACCAAATCTTTTTTCTTAAGATAGTCTGAGCCTCAGTCTCTTTTCCTCACAACTAGGACTTAATTAGAACTAATATTAATGATCTAAGCCCAGGTTAAGGAGAAATTGATGCCAACATTATGTGGTCTTAAAAAGCTACATATAGCACATGAGACTTTTCAAATGTGCTGAAACACCCTAATGTAAGCCAGATATTGTATCATTCATCACATTTACATTTATGCTAATTTACTTGGTTGTCAAGATTAAGCCACACTAACAGCATGGTGCAACAAATCAAATTGTCTGTGTTTTAACAACTTAAACCCCAATTTAAAAAACCTGGGTAGGCATTACCCAATTTGGCTGAACAGTTTCTTTTACAGACTTCTTAACAAACTATGTTACCTTAGAACTTAATGTTACTTATGAAGGCCAGCATGGAAAAAAAAATGACAGACTAGAAGCATGTATTACCCCAGCAAAGGCAAAGTAATTTTTAAGAAGTTGTTATATGAACAGAATGGAAAGATTATACAGTCTCACTGTTCTTAAATAATTATGTCAAATACATTAATAATCTTAAGTCTGATTTGATATTATATACTCTGGAGAAGAGGTTACTAAATAGCAGCTGAAGGCCATTATCTAGCTTGCAGAAGTGTTTGGGTTGGCCTGCAATGTTTTCTTAATAATTAAATTAGTTGATAGAACTTTAAAAATTGAGAGATAATACATATAAAATCTGAAATCTCTGGCTTTTCCTGATATACCAGAAGATTTGCCTGCATGGGTGCATCATTTCACAAGTCAACAAAGGATTGTAGCAGTGTAGGTTAGTTACTCCCATTAGATGGGGCTACGGCAGTCCAGTTTCTTCTAATTCTCCCCAGTTGTCCGCTCACCCCGTGAGTATTTCAGCTTGTAACCTCTGCTCTAGAGATAGGAGACTTATAAATATCACCTCACATCAACATGTGATATCATAATTGTTAATTTATAAATGGCAGTACTGCTTTGCTTAAATAACTTGATGGCTATGGAACTATGAAATATTTCAGAATTTCTAGTCCAAATTCTATTTTGGATTTAATGGCAGTTAAAGATAGATCTAACTTGGCACTCCCCAAGCCTTTTACTTTGCCATGCTCTCCTTACCTTTTCTGTCTGGCTTGAGGTTCCTATCCACGGGGGGTGGTTCACAGTCTGCAACAGGAACTGGCCTTCTGGGAGGGGTTTTTGGGCTGGACCTGAAGCCCATATGAGCAGGAGGAGGAACTTGCATTCCAAATGAGGAAAAATCAAATGTTCCTGGAGTCATTGGCACATAATTTGCTTCCTGAATTGGTTCTGTAAAACTGCTGGAATGTTGTCGTGGTGGTGAATTGGGATTCATTGGGACGTAATTTTCATCCAGTTCTTCACTTGAAACACTTCCCACTGTCAACACATTTTTGACTTTCTAAAACACATATATATTTCTTTTAATAAACAAAAACTCTTGTCACACATGAAAACACAATTGTAAGTCACACTCATTCATATGGATCTCAGCGTACTTTTATTTCATGATATCACTTAGTCTCATGGCACTAATTATGAAGATTTAGACAATGAAATACACTTGATGATGCCAAGGTCAATTATACTTACAAAGTGGTTATGGAAGCCTTCAAGTGAACTAGATCTATCACTTGGAAATGCTCGTGGAATATCATAGCAGTCTTGAGAACTAGCATCTAAAATAAAGAACAAACTATCAACATTTATTCCCATCTTTGCCAGCTCTCAGGGTCATTGGGATGACCTATTATCTTTCTCTCATTATACATATGCATACACACATGCACACACACAGAATTTTAAAAAGGATGCTCATAGAACTGTGTCTTGAATTGGCATATTAAACCACTAGAAAATGCAGACACTCACTCATATGCTAACCAATACCAATATCTAATTTTGAGTGTGAGTGAATGTCTAAGTCTGGGATAAGATAGGTTATCTAAAGATGAAGAGAAACACCTCTATTTTCTCATCGTTTGCACCACCTTGGGCATAACTTACATCTCACTAACTGATAACCAGGTTATACAGTCACTTCAAGAAAGGAGTTAGATACTGTTATTGAATGGTGAAATAAGTACTGATTTAAGTAATAATCACAGATACATTAAAATCTTGGAGATAGCTGAGGAAAACTCTACCACAAAATACAGAAATTTTAGCACATACTGTTTAGGATATGTGCATTAAAAACTTTAGCTTTCTATTTGTAGGACTTTGAGAATCTCAGAGAATCACCCAGACTCATTTTTTTCTTCTCCTCTCAAGGTCTGTAACTTTTGGATACAGACTCTAGGAGACAGTATAGGAAAGTATACTCACTAGCAATGAGTGAAGTGGGTAGTGATAAGGGGAAAGAAGATTCAGCTCTTTAAACACAAGTAAAAATCAAACAGCATAATGGCTTGACTGGAACAGAATATCACCTGTTAGACACAACATAAAAACTGCTTATATAGGAAGGAAGGAAATAGAGCCCAACAGATGTGACTTAGAAGCGGCCATAATGGCACACAAATACAGGAAAGGGTATGACTCGGAGAGGCTTTGTGGCTGGTCCATTTCCTGCCCTTCTGTCCCAACAGAGGGCCTATCCACCCAGGATTATAGAAAGTGGGAGAGAGAAGGGCACACTTCCTGAGGCAGGAAGGCATTACTAAGGCCATACTTCTTCAGGGGTGAGAAACTCCAACTCTTTTTCCCTTCCAGCAGAGCATGAATGCAATATACCCTTCCAGGTAGCTGTAGAGCTGGAAAAAAATGGACTGTATTTTGTAGCATAGTATATTTAACTACGCTTAAAAGAACAAATATTCAGAAAAATCGATTTTCTATCATTAACCTCTAATAGAGAAGAAGTCAACTAGAGCTGACCTTTTCGCAATTTGTTTAAATCCACAGTGGAAATGGTATTACTACGTGAAGGCGACATCCCTGCTGTAGGGATACAGTAACTACTGTCAGTGTCTGAGGCGGTGCGTGGGATACTACACGTTTCCACAGGAGATCGGTCATGAGCTGGATGTGGTTTCGGTGGCCGAGGTGGAGGAATATCTGGAATAGTGTCTAGCTTTGATGTCTGTCCCAAGGTTCCTTCTGGAAATGTTCGTGGAATCTGATAAGTATTACCAGGTGTTGGAGGAATGTCATAACTAATAGATACATGCCTCATTTGAGTCTCTACACTCGATGTCCCAGATGGGGTATTAAAAACATAGAGTTCTCCATCTGCTTCAGTACTTGATGGAGACACCTTTGGTAAAACATCATGGGAATAACTCCTGGGCAGGTTATAAAGGCTGGAGTCAACTGAAGCAGATGGGGCACGTGAAGGTGGAGAGTCGTATATCATTTGCTGCTGAAAAAAGCCATTCATTCCATGTTTGCTCTGGGAGGAAGCAGGATTTTTATGAGAAGGGACGTTATCATTGCAGTCTGTTTCAGAAGAGGTGGATTTTGCAGAATCAGCATGCGTTCTAAATAAAAATTGTTAATGACAGAATAAACAAGGTGGAGACTAAGAATACATTTTTTATAAACATGTTTATCGCTAAGCAATCAAAAGATAGGGCTTTTCTCATTAGATTTTTTGTGTGATCCATAGGATTTAAAGCACAAATGTTCTTTAGCCTTTATGATTATACATCAGACAACAAAACCGCCACCACAAAACCAAGAAAAGCATTCTCTCTAATTCTGTCCTATATCTGCCCACACCCCCAACTCCACCTATTAAATCTGCACATAAAAACACAATCCCTGAAGCACTGGAATTAAACATTACAAAACTCTGGGAAAGGTAAATGATTAATGCATAGACACAAGGAAAAGCATTTCCTCTGAAGAGCATGCAAAAACCTAGTGCTAGTACAGTTTATATAGTTGATCCATTGGTCTTAAACCTCCCCACGGCAAATTTGTTGTTCCGTAAAATTAAAAGTCTAATGATTACTTGGTATTGAATAAGGTCAATGTGACTTACAAGAAGGTAACATCTAATTGTTTTCATATATCTTCCTTTCCACTACTTTTCTTTAACAAACATTTAGCCAACATTATAAAGAGGATCGAAATACGTGATACAGAGTTAACCAACTCCAAACAATAACTCACTTTGAGAAATCTCATTAAAGTACATTTATGAACATTTTCGGTCTCTGCATTTTGAGGTATCACAAAATTTGGGTATACGACAAGATGAAGCTAACAACACAAGCACACTCTCACTTCCTTAATGCTAAACAAGATACCTGAACTACTTCTGCATGTTGTCCAAAGTCCTGTAGGAATTTAAACAATATTTCTTTAAATAACTATGATTTTTTTTTAAAGGGCTTACCTTCCCTGACTTCTTAGTAACATGTGGCACTACGCTCTGTAAAGTCTCCCCCTTTACTATCAGAAAACCCACATTGTGCCACATTGTGCTTTTGTTTTCTCCATCTTAAAAAGATCTTAAAACCCTTCTCCCTTGCTGATTATTTCCTTGTTTCACTTACTGGCTCCTTCCTCCCGTCTCTCTCCCTGGGAATGGCCAACAGAGTTCAGTCCTCTAACCTTTTACCATACACGCTATTAGAGATCATCCTCCTTTTTCAGAACTTCATTTTCTTCTCTGAATGCTGACAACTTCCATCATCTTACCAAATTCCAAGTCCCATATTCTCAAACTAATATTTCTACTTGGTTACTCCAGTATTACCTTGCTTGTGGGCCTCAAATAGAAATCCATTTACTTCTTAAGTTGACTGCTTTTCCTGGCTTGCATTGAAAGAAATGACTTTATCCAGATTCTCCAGGCTTAAAACTCAATCAGCTTGATTCCTTCTCTTTGATTTCCAGTCACGCAGGCACCGAGCCCTTCTTCTTAGCCGCGTACTTATTCCCTTGTTCTATTCCCATTGCCACCATCCCAAGTTCAGGTCCCCATCCCTGCTGAGATCTACATGACTGAACTCTCCTTAGTGGAATTTCCTCTACTGTCTGCCTCTTTCAATCTATTCATGGGACCAGACTTCTATAAGATCAATATTTTCAAAACACAGTTGTTATACCACTCATGTATTCAAGAGAAAAACCTAGTAAGGGCCCCTACAGGGTGTGGGAACTATAAGGCCTCACACTAATCCACTTGACATTGAGGTTACTAATAACCTGGCTCCACCTTCTCCATCCTATTCTTCAAGAGGCTCTCCTCCTCATTATCTTCCTCCCACCATGCTTGCTCACATCTCTCCTTTCCCTCAAGCTATTTTTGCACAAATTACTAATGATTTTCTTCTCTCACCAACTAGGTGTAGTTCACATTCCATTCTTCCTATGAAGCTTTTGTTTTCTCCATCTTAAAAACACTTGCACTGTCCCTTTGTGGAATTTCTAATGCACCTATGCATATTCTAAAATTTGTACTTCATTTAATTCAAATGCAGAGTTAAGAGAAGCTAGAGGAATTATGAGTAATAAGTAAAGCTCCTTGCTCTGACTAGCTTACAGTTAGTGAAGAGTAAGTAAAAACATCGTTTCTAACACTGCGATAAAACAAGATATGAAGGCATAACCAGGATGCTATAAAAACCCAGAAAGATATTTAAGCTAACTTGGGAGTTTGAGAGGAATGCTTCCTAGAGGAGCACATTCTAACTAAAGTCTTGCAGAACAAACAAGAGTTTGCAAGGCAACTCTGGTATATTATCTTCATCTCTAAATATTTAATGCTTGCATGTTTTCACTTCTTAGCAACTCTTACTTGTAAACTCCAAAGGTGACTATATCTGAGTAGACTATATCTTATATAGTTTGTACCTTCATAGCACCTAGCATAATATTGGGCACATAGTGGTTACCTCATAAATATTTGCTATTTAACTGTCACTTTTGCAAAATATAGATAGCAAAATACATCTGGGTGATGATTTTGAGCATAAGTTGTACTGCAAGAGGAAAGCTGTGATACCAGTGAAATCAATGAAATACACTATATAAAAATAAAATATACTGAGAACTGTCGCTTGGCTGTTGGCTTCTAAAAAGTTGCTAATGAAAAATAATTGTAAACTTTTGTAAAATAAAATATTAGTTAGTAGCATAGGTAACAAAGTTGCCAGTGTATAATTTTAGATACTCACAGCAAACAAGCAAAATCAAGTTAGAATTTGATATTAACAAATGTTGATTTATAAATTTTTTTCTGCTCTTACAGGTAAAATCCCATTACAACAAATACATAGAAATCCAGCTTTGGAATGAATATGAGCTATTTCCATCATCTCAGGGCATGGTTCACAGAAACTATTTCGTGAATCTTAACATATTCTACATTAAAATTTTTGAACAAGTGCTTTGTCTGATCCTAGCCCAGTAATAATCATTTTCCACATTAAAAAAAAATCTGTCATAAAATAATGCTTAATTATAATCTTGTTTAAAAAAACATTTTTCATGTCTATAAAGAAATATACTCTCTATCCAGACCCTAGCTGATTAATACATAAATAAAATGTACTCAGTTGACTGGTATCACTAATTGTCACATAGCTACTAATGGCAGAGATTGGCCTCTCAATCATCATTTTTCTGCTCCTTTTAAAAATAGTAAAACAACTGCTTCTTGACTCTTTATTGCCTTAACTCTTCTAACTATTCAACATCAAGTAACAAGGAGGATCCAATTAAAATGCCTTATAGCTTAGAAGAGGAAAGGGGTGTGGGGGCAGGGAAGGAGATGGTAGAGAAACCAAGAATTTGGGACAGGCTTGATGATTCATTCCTTCAGTCAAGTGCTGCACTCCATATACTTCTACTTAAAAATTTGTAAAGGGAGGCCAAGCGCAGTGGCTCACACCTGCAATCCCAGTGCTTTAGGAGGCTGAGGTGAGAGAACTGTTTGAGGCCAGGAGTTTGAGATCAGCCTAGGCAACATAGTGAGACCTCGTCACTACAAAGAAAAAATTAGCCAGCCAGCATACAGATGGCATGCACCTGAAGTCCTAGCTACCTGGGGGCTGAGGCAGAAGGAATACTTGAGCCCAGGAGTTTGGGGTTACAGTGAGCTATGAGTGAGCCATGGGCAACAGAGCAAGCCCTTGTCTCCTAAAAAAAAAAAAAAAAAGATAAATAAAAAGGCTTAGGGTAAGCTCTGCTTCATTGCTAGATATGAAGACTAAAAGTTTCGTAATTTTTAGGAATATATTTATTTGATCAAATTTCACTAACATCCAATTTGTATATTCCATGGAATTTGCTATATTGGGATTTTACCTTATGATTAATTTCTCACACAGATCCAAAACCACCACAACACACTCACTGCAATGGAATCGTTTTGCTTTCAAAATCTTCTAGTAGAAGGTATTCCTCTCCTTCTTCAGAAACAAAAGATGACCCTTGGCTGGTTTACAATCACATAAGAAATGGAGCAAGATCACCATTTATAAATCAGTGAAATCTGTTAAGCAAGTAATACTGTGAGTCTGTAACAAAGACTACAAAATAGGAGACAGATTTCCAAAAGAGCCTTGTAGGGAAAACTGCTCTTTGCCAAAGATGGCAGAGATTGTGTCTCTTCGATACAATCTCCTGAATATCGGAAATCAATAGGGGAATGTAAACCTGAAATATAAAGCCTGAAACATATGCCTATACAGATGGTCTCTTTCAAGCCTGCAAATCGAAATTTAAAAAGTTTAAAGGTAAGAATCTCAGTGTGTACACACATACACACGCCTCTGTCTCTCTCTCACATGGGCATATATAATTTACCTGGTGGGTTCGGGCTTCTTGCTTTGACAGTTGATGAGCAACAGGTAGTCTTGAGGATCCTCCTGAATGCCAAGAGTTTCCAGGTGTGGTGGAACATTGATTAGCTGATATGGAGGAGGTAGAGTAGCAGAGGATGAATCTGCCTGGGTGGATGGTGGTGCTGTATTTATAGCTAAAGGTAAATCAGCTGGTGCTTGTAAAGAGCTGCCAGGTGGCTTCACAGGATCTGCAACACCAAAGTTTAACTATCACGTCTATCACAGTTAAACAATTTTTGGAAAAACAAAGCTACTTTGGAGACAAATTGTTTCAACACACAAAAACAGAATAAATCATGACAATGTCAGCTAAAACAAACACTATCTAAATGGCGACCTTTATACAGGAAGTATTTTTTTATTCTTGTCAAAGAGATCTAAAGAGTAGGACTCTATATATATTCCAGATCCTCTAAAAAAGCCATGGCTAACCTTTGCTTGAACAGTCTTCAGTTTTGAGGCTATGAGAAGGAAGCTGTTCTACAACCTTAGCAGAAGAGAAAGATACTTTAAAACTCCATGATAATGAAGTGCTTCCTAAGCCAACCCAACCTTCCAAGGAGACCCATTTAATTACATAGTATTTACCAGGCCTGTGGTCCTGTGAGTACCAGGGCCAGCTCTTTACCCTGTTTATTTCGATGATCGTTCTTTTCTTTCTACCTCTTAGCAGACTACAGAGAAATACTTCTAATTCTGGGACTGGTGAAAATAAAGTCTATTCATGTTCAAGGAAACAGCTTCTTTAAGGCATCACCTCTTCCCTCAGCTCATAACTTTATTTGCCATTTAGTGGATTTTTGTAGTATTTTCATGGAAAGAGGTCCAGCAAGTAAATAAGTAATTTATTATTCCCTTAACTATGTTCTGAGAGAAATATGAAAAGAGCTAAATTGTGCAGAATGAAGCAATTTGAAAACCATGTGAAATTCTAGAATAAAATCCCGCTGTAGTCACTGACATAACCAAGTATATTAAAGGCTCAGAAAAAATGCTGTTAGTCTGTTTAGGAATAGAAGGCCATAAATAATGCAGAAAAAGGCAAATGCTCATACATGAATAAATTTGTTCTTAAAATTTGTTATTATAGAACAGAAAAAGCTGGGTTGAAACTGAAGTCTCTTCAGTTCCCACGTGGTGGCCTTGTATTCAATCTGTTAGAAAGACCCCATCTCGCTTTGCTGGAAGTTTATTTTTCTTCTTTTCCCTTTTTGCCCAATAAATTCTGTTTCCCTCAAAGTGTCCTTCAATGTGTTCCTAATCCTTCCTGGTCACGTGACAAAACCCAGTTTTAGCTGAACTAAGGAACAAAATTCTGCATCATTTTTGGTGCCCGAATGTGGGGCATGAGAAAGGGTAAGATGCAAACCAAAAAATCTTTTTACCTTTCATTTCTAAGCCTTTTTGTCTTCAGATTTCTTCTGAGGTTAGAGGGAATTATGCCTCCCCACAACTCCCGTCACTCCCAGGGATCAGGAATGTTGGCCTTTTCCTTCTTTTTTCGAGTTAGACAGCAGTGGCTAAGGCCAAAAGGCCCTGCGCAGTGGGCTGGCCAGCATTCCCCACCATGTCTCTCTCCCGGTAGAAGAAACCTATTTGCATATGACAGGTTCTTCCCCAGGCATCTTTTTCTTTTCTCCACGCTGTCAGCAGTTAACACAGCCTTGCATTTAAGCTGTCTTTTCCTATTCTCCACCAGGTCAGGAGTTAGCTTTAAAGCGAGGCCTTTTTTTTTTCTTTTTTCAGAGTTTTGCTAGACCAAGAATGATAAGGAAAACTGCTTCTTCTTTCTCTGTAAAGTTTTAGTTATGAAAAAGGATTTGTGAGGTTGGGCTTAAGCTTTAGCCAATCTGGTGTGCTTTGCATGTCTTTCTGTATGGTCAGTAGCAAACTTTGCTGCAGGCCTCCATCTTGTTTTACGTCCTTGGAAGTGTGACCTGTAACCATGTGGCAATGCTTTGTTTAGCCTCCGCCATTTTACAATGGTGGCCCAGGCTCAATCCTAGCTCAGGCAGAGTCCTTTCTGGTTTGATATCTATGTGACTTTTGCTATTTGTTTATTCTCTTCCTCCCCACCAACTGCCTTGGGTTTTCCTTTCTCTGAGCCTTTAGTAAAGTTTGAAAGCCAGAAACACTGACCACTTCGCGCAGCTAAAGTCGGATAACAAAGAATTTAAAAGAATTTTCTTAAAGAGCACTCAGCTTAATTAAAAGTGGATATCCAAATTATAGGTATATTTAAAAGGCCTTTATGTTTTTCTCTTCCTGGGTCTTGTTTTGCTGGAAAAGGGCTTTTTCTAGTCAACTGAATTATTTTTCTCCATTTTGCCTTGCCACCCTTAATTCTTGCATGAGAGGGGAGAGACCTCTGTTTTCCTCATGAAACCCCAGAAATTAAAAGTGAATAGATCCCTCTCAAAATCTGTTTTTGCCTCCCAGTTATAACTGTTTATTAGGCCTTAGAAGCTTCATGTTTTCCTAATCCTGTCTCTTTATGGGCTCAACCCGGAGGTTGGCAAATGAAAAATCTTGTGGTTACTGGATTTTCTTCTGCCTGTCTGTGTAGCTATATATGTGTTGTCTGGGTGATGTCTATAAAAAGAGCTCTAATTAATTAAAGAAGGATAGGTGCTTGGATCAAATATTGAAAGGGTAGATAAAAGCTGTGTGGTACCTTTTAGTTCACGTGACTTTAATCTTTGAGACATAGAAAAAGCCTAAAGATTATTGGTAAAATGCAGATGTCAAAATGTAAATTTTTGCCTGGGGTTAAAGGATTGTTTTGAATTAGATAAGATAAAGCTAGAAGTTCAAACAAGTTGTGAAAGGATTGTAAAAATTAATCTTGCAAAAGAAATTCCAAGTGTGAACATATTAACTAAATTCAAAAGCATATAATATGGTTTTTCTGTAAATTGAGCACTGAAATAAAAGCACAATAAGGTACTCTTAAGGCACTAATCTCTATGGCAAAAGTTTTAAGGGGTTATAAAAGGTTTCTGCTTTTTCAAGAATTTGAGTCATCATTTTGGCAAAATAAATAACTTATGGTAATCTGAAATTCTATTTCATAATATCAAGTGCTTTAACCCTCTAACATAATTAACAGGCTTCCCAAAATCAAACTTCAGTTTCAAAATTGTCTTTGCTGACACCTGGCTTTCTGGATGCTACAGAGGGCTCCTGGAGCACCCAGAAGACAGATAAACAGGACTATTTGACATGTTTAGGTACATGGGATTGCCAAAATGATGTTTAATCTTCTTCAGGTTATATCTTAGGGAATAATATTAATATATGTTCCAAAATTGTATGGGATTTCTAAAATTCTAATGTCTGAGTATATGCTATCAATCACAATTAAGGTTGTTATGTTATTGTAAACCACAGAGATAACCAAATTTCTTTTTCAATTGTGTTTCTGACTGTAACTACTGTAGACATTTCATTACTCACTGACAATTGTCTTGTTTTGATCCTCTTCAAAAGATGTTTATAATCAGCTACAGAACTTTGACAGGTGCTTTCAAATGTAGGTTTCTGATAACTTGGGAGATTGTGACATTGGAATAAAGGAAAAATGTACAGGATTCATGGAGGGCTGAAATGTTCACGAACATCAAGCAAAACGAGTTAACTAAATGGACTGAACTCACAGAAAACTGAAGTAACCTTTTTGACTTTTGCTTGGAACACTGCTGATCTTTGTTTATCAGAGTCCAAGGAAACTTATTTTGAGCTATTCATGGCCTTTAATAATTGAGTAAGGTATAATCCTGTGAACAAAATTTGGAGCATAGTTGTCTCTCTGCCTCTCTTCTCCAGAATTTGGAAACTAGTTGTGAGTATTCTTAACTTATAGCAATATGGTTGTTTGCATCAATGCAGTAAGAATCCATTTTCTTTTGCAACAGGATGCAATTGGAGAAACTGGTTGTTTCACCAAGGCTTTGACTAGAAAGGTATGCTTCCCTTTAAGGAGTCAAGCTCTACTTGCAGAGCTGAATCTTTATTCAGCCCCTTGGGAAAATTGGCCTCATAGCTCATCTACACAGTCCCCGTACAGGGTTCCTAACCTGTGGTGAGTAGAGAATGCCACTTTCCAACAGGCCCAGGACCCACATGTTCTTGGGATCTCAGGAAGAGAGGCGTTTACCCAACTCACAAGTATTTGAGGGTACAAACTCATGGATGGACTTGGCTTTAGAAAGTCCTATCTGAGACTCCTTGTGGAACAAAGTCGATCTAAAAGGCCTATGTTAAATTAATTATTCAGGCTGGGCACAGTGGCTCACACCTGTAATCCCAGCACTTTGGGAGGCTGAGGAGGGCAGATCACTTGTGGTCAGGAGTTCAAGACCAACCTGGCCAACATGGTTGAAACCCCATCTCTACTAAAAATACAAAAATTAGCCAGGTGTGGTGGCACGTGCCTGTAGTACCAGCTGTTCAGGAGGCTGAGGTGGGAGAATCACTTGAATCCAGGAGGCGGAGGTTGTAGTGAGCCGAGATTGTGCCACTGCACTCTCACCTGGGCAATAGAGTAAGACTCCATCTCAAAAATAAATAAATAAATAAAAATTCTTGCTGCACTTTATGCAAATAATGGGCCAAGTATAAGACTAAAGTCTATTTTGCAAACAACTCCATCCTATCATGATTTTTTTTATTTATTTTTATTTATTATACTTTAAGTTCTAGGGTACATGTGCACAACGTGCAGGTTTACTACATATGTATACATGTGCCATGTTGGTGTGCTGCACCATTAACTCATCATTTACATTAGGTATATCTCCTAATGCTATCCCTCCCCCCTCCCCCCACCCCACAACAGGCCCTGGTGAGTGATGTCTCCTTTCCTGTGTTCAAGTGTTCTCATTGTTCAATTCCTACTTATGAGTGATTTGTTTTTAACAAAAATGAGGACTGGAGAGAGAGAGAAATGTTTCAAAACTTCTCATACATTTGTCATTATATTCTAGACCCATTAGTTGTTTTTAAGTTCTTGCCTACATTTTAAACTTACCCTGCTTATTCCTGTGAACCAACCAGCAATCTCTGGCTGCAGCTCAGAAGAAGCTAAGGGGATGGATAAATCTGGATCAATATTCTAGTTCTAAGCAAATATCCTGCAATTCTTGTCAAGTGATGGGAATAAACAGGATGCCCATCACCCAGAGGTTTCCTTTTTGGAAAAGTAAGACCAAGGGAGCTAACCAAAGCCAGGTCCCATGCACCCAAATCTTAGCAAGCATAACTATAGCCACCAGTTATCTGGGTGTGTCACAAGACATCCTTTTCTCTCCCTTGTTGGAGGAGGACTCAATTCCACAGCTTCACCTTAGCATTCAGCTTATGATATAGAGTCCATACAACCCCCCAAGACACATTTTTGTCTCAAACTCAATTCTAAGCTTTGGGTAAAAGCCCTAGGAAATAAAACTAGATCTGACAGGTCCAGAGGCAGACAATAATGGAAGTTAAAAGGCACAGCTCAGGTGAGTGTGACTTATCCCTACCGATTAAGCCAGGCTTCTCCTTTCACGGATAAAGGTTATACCAATATCCATGGCATAAATGCAGTCTAGGGAATTCAAAGGCTACTGACAGCAGGGGAGATAGGGCATATGTGGGTAAGAGCACATATTCCCACCCCCATAGGCCCCCCTATTAACATAGGTGAAGGCCACTTTGATACCCATGGGTGGAACCCTGTAGAGGTTGCTGGGAATTGGGGATATAATGATGGAAGAAAGAAAGAGATGCTTCACTTTCTCTCCCTCACATACTCTGGGTATTCACTAGGAAGAGAAGGGAACCTGGGATGCTTTGCTCCCCTCTTTCTAGATGAGTAGCCATTCACCTTTAGTCTGTACCCCTTTCAAATGCATTCTGAATCCGTAGGACTCCTTTGAAAAAAAATCTTCTTTTTCCTCCTCTGTCCTCCCTTTGCTGATAGGTAATTTTGTCTCTGTACTATGGGACACGCCCCTCTGATGTAGCCTCCAAACTGGGAAAAGTTAATTTCCCAAACCTTAAACTGGTTGACTTAGGATTGTGCTTGGGGGAAGGGAACACAGAAGCCTGACATGCCGGAAAAAGGGTAAAAGGTTTTGTTGTTGTTGTTGTTTTTTTTTTTTACCAGTCAGGCTTTGGCCTCCCTCTCCCTGTGCAAACCGATAAAAGACCTTGGGATTTTTTAGCTGTATTTACCCGCAACCCCGTTCTGTTTTCATACATGTTTTTAATAACCCGGTTTGTCTATTCTCGCCTTCAGGCCATCAAACTCCAAACAGTCATGCAACCGGAGCCTCAAATGATGGCCCCTTTTGCCAGGAACCCTTAGATAAGCCTCTGAGGGGGATCTGACTGCTGTTTTCCCAAAACAGGGACCCTTGTCAGCAAGAAAAAGTTAAGATTGGTCTTCATCCTTATCCTTATTATAAAGGCAGTTAGATGCACTTCTTTAGAGTGGGGAGTGATAGATATAGGGAGGAGCCTGGCCTTTTCAGATCCTGGGTGATGGCCTGGAATTCAGTCTGTGAGGTGGGGAGCCTATTAGGAGGACCCCCTCTCACTTTCCTGAGAGTACTTTTTTCTTCTTTTCCTCTTTGGCCCAATAAATTCTGTTCCCCTCACCCTTCAATGTGTCTGTGTTCCTAATCCTTCCTGGTCTTGTGACAAGAGCCCAGTTTAGCTGAACTACAGAGCAAAGTTCTGCATCAGTAATGCATTTCATTTGGCTTGTTAATTTACCATAGAGAGGTGAAATATCTGCTCTATTTTCTCTAGATAATAAATTATAAGAATAAATCCACATGCTTTTGATAATGCCTTTATGTATTTAACTATAATATTCATAAATGTACCACAAGCATGTTTATTTAGCTCATTTTACAACCTTCTGGGCCTAAGAAGTCATATCCTAATAATGAAGCCTGAATAATAATGTATTAATATGGCTAAATATGACAGTTTATCTCTAATTGTGGTTCCCAATAACAAACAAGAAAGGATCAGAACTCCTATGCATTGTGCATTACACATTGCAGATGCTGAAAAAATGTTTCATTCACAGGGCAGACACTCACTGAGCGCTCTGTTTGTTTTATTATTTATTTATTTTTATTTTTTGAGACAAGGTCTCCCTCTGTGCCCAGGCTGGAGTGCAGTGGCACCATCTTAGCTTACTGCAGCCTGGAACTCCTGGGCTCAAGCAATCCTCCCCTCCTACGTAGCTGGGGCTACAGGCACACACTACCACATCTGGTTAATTTTTTAAACTTTTTGTTGAGACAGTGTCTCACCATGTTGCCCAGGCTGGTCTCAAACTCCTGGGTTCAAGAGATCCTCCAGCCTCAGTCTCCCAAAGTGCTGGAATTACAGACTTTGTGTCAAGTCAGAAGAAATTAAGGCAAGGGGCACTTCCAAATCTGTTAAGACCCATTCACCTGCATGTGCAGTTTTGGGATTTGCTCCTCAAAAACTCTGAGCACTCCTAGATGAATCAAGTTCAAAAATATTCTGTTAGAGAATCTGGCCTGAGTAAATAGAAGGTGAACCAACCTCTAACTTTTTATCTTTACTATACTCCATGTAATGTCAAGTCTTCATAGCTCATCTAACAAACTCTAACACCTTATACCTGGAGTTAATTTTTTCTTTTTTTGTAATTTTTAAAATTTTTTTTATTTAGATACTGATGTTTATTTTCCATGTTGCTTAAGAACCCGTGCAAGAACAGCTTAAGACCTTCCAGTGGTTGCTCCTACCCATTCAGTGGCCTGAGCAGTGGGAGCTGCAGACCAGTCTTCTATGGCAGGCTGAGTGCTCCAGTCTTCAGAAGGGAACTGCTGAAGAGGCACAGAAGGCACCTGCATGCCTTCAGATCAGTGTGCAACCTCAGGCTGAGTAGCAGTGAACTCAGGAGCTGGAGCAGTCCATTCACACTGAAATTCCTCCTTGGTCACTGCCTTTTCAGTAGCAGCCTGCTCTTCTTTTTTAATCACTTCAGGATCTCTGTAGAAGTAGAGTTCAGGCATGACCTCCCATGGATGTTCACGGGAAATGGTGCCACGCACGCGCAGAACTTCCCGAGCCAGCATCCACATCAAACCCACGGAGTGAGCTCCCTTGTTGTTGCATGGGATGGCAATGTCCACATGGCACAGAGGAGAATCTGTGTTACACAGAGCAATGGTAGGTAGGTTAACATAAGATGCCTCTCTCTATGAGAGGCTGGTCTTCAGCCCTGGGGTCAGTAACCACAAGAAGCCATGGCTCCCAGAAGGCTGTCTGCATCTGAAGGTTCCAGGAGTGAAGTGACCAGCAATTGGATTGGCTCCAGTGGCAGCAGCAAACTTCAGCATGGCTCTCTGGCCAGTATTCCTGGAGGATATAACACTGACATCTGCAGGGTTTTCAACGGCAACAATGGCATGAGCTGCCAGCAGAAGCTTCTCCCAGGTCCTCTTCAGATTTATAATGTAGATGCCATCACTTTTCCTTTTAGAGATGTACTATTCCATCTGGAAGTCAAGACTGGTGCCACCTAAGTGGGTTCCTGCTGCAAGGAACTTAAGGACATCCTCCTTCATTTGCAGGACATCAAGGGCTCTGGACATTGTGAAAGTTTCCCTTTAAGTTACAACGGGAATCCAGAACAACGCCGTATGGACCCCTCTGTGGGTAGCACAGAAAGGCCTTTTTTTTTCTTTTTTTAAAGTCGGAGTCTCGCTCTGCCACCAGGCTGGAGTGCAGTGAAACAATCTTGGCTCACTGCAACCTCCAACTCCCTGGTTCAAGTGATTCTCCTGCCTCAGCCTCCCGAGTAGCTGGGACTACAGGCACACGCCACCACGCCCAGCTAACTTTTGTATTTTTAGTAGAGACAGGGTTTCACCATGTTGGCCAGGATGATCTCAATCTCCTGACTTAGTGATCCATCTGCCTCGGCCTCTCAAAGTGCTGGGATTACAGGGAGCCACCGTGCCCAGCCTTTTCTTTCTTATATATAAACATAAGAATAAAAAAATGAATTTTTGGATATTTATATGACATAATGCCATAATTTCAGTGGATGCTCATAAGTACCTCTTGTGGTATCTAAAAATGTTGATTATAAAATGGTCATCAGATCCTACCCTGTGAAATGTTTTACTGTTTTGATTCAGTTGCAAATACAGAGATTTATTTAAAAGGATTTAAAATACCACAAATGGTGACTCAGAGTTAATCCTTGAGGATTTAAGAGAAGTATGAAAAATATTTATCTTTTAAAGAAGAGCTTAAGAAAAATATATACAGTATTGAGGAAAAAAGAGCAGCCCACTCAGAAAACTGTTAATGTATCCTACACACTGTATTCACAAGTGTATTCCATATACTTCCCCTTTCCTCTACAGTACAGGCATGGTAAAATGGAATAAACCAGCTCAATTTTTAGTTCTGACCAAAAAACACTACTCACTGGAAATACTTCCCTATATGAAACAGTATGAATTCTAGCTTTTCACTGCAACTACTAAAATAACTTTTTCAGGTGGTTGTTTTTACAGATACACTTTTAACACTTTTTTTAAACTTCATGGCTATACACTAAATGCACTGAGTAGAAAAGAAAATCACCTAGCCAGGCAATTACGTTTGTCTGACTTTGTTTTATTAACACAATAGGACCATCTCATTTTTAACCTTCCACTTCTCCCACCTGTAAATGACAGAAGTGTCTTACCCTCTTTATACCTGCAAGATCCTCTCAATTTTCTGAAAAGAGGACAGAGATTCAAAGTTTCCTTTTTTTTAAAAAAAAAATATCCTTTTCATAGCACGTGAAGACATATATATATATATATATATATATATATATATATATATATATATACACTTTTTTTTTTTTTTGAGATGGAGTCTCGCTTTGTTGCCCAGGCTGGAGTGCAGTGGCGCGATCTGGCTCATTGCAAGCTCCGCCTCCCGGGTTCACGCCATTCTCCTGCCTCAGCCTCCCGAGTAGCTGGGACTACAGGCACCTGCCACCACGCCTGGCTAATTTTTTTGTATTTTTAGTAGAGATGGGGTTTCACTGTGTTAGCCAGGATGACAGGCACCTACCACCAACGCCTGGCTAATTTTTTTGTATTTTTAGTAGAGATGGGGTTTCACTGTGTTAGCCAGGATGGTCTCGATCTCCTGACCTCATCATCCACATGCCTCAGCCTCCCAAAGTGCTGGGATTACTGGCGTGAGCCACCGTGCCCAGCTGAAGACTTACACACTTCTAAGAGGCAATAACTACAGAAAAACTTTCATTATGTTTGCTAG
Organism: Homo sapiens; assembly: GCF_000001405.40. NCBI lineage: Eukaryota > Metazoa > Chordata > Mammalia > Primates > Hominidae > Homo > Homo sapiens. Next base: position 143,423,355 of record NC_000004.12, on the reverse strand, counting down.
CAAGATCATGAAAAGACCTTTAAACAGCCATTAAAGAAACCCCAACCACTCCAAACCACATTAACATACAAAGGACTTTAAAAGGGAAGAGGGAACTACTTCACTACTTTGGCTCAGACAATGCACTATCTTCAAAGTTGTAGTCTTTGGGATTATTTTACTCATGTTAATTTGACTATGTACTCAGCTCTGCATATTTTAATACAAGCATTGCACTGTGTGTAAATATTCTCGAACATTGCATTTCTGACCAAAGCTAAGCAACTGGTCTGAAAAAATAAACTTCTGTTCTACTTTATAAAGACTTGTGATTTGCCTCTATTCTATACTACTGTACCAGTAATAGAATAGACCATTTTGCTTTCTGCCTTGAGTTTCTGACTTACTGCTCTTTCTAAGTAATGCTGGTATCAAGCTTCTAAGAACTAAACATTAGTTTAGGGTTTGCTTATGTGTGTAAAATTATTTCCCATTTCTTAAATCAGAAGGCATGAAGAGTATAATTAACATCCATTAAAGGCTAATAAGCTGCTGGAGCAAACTCCTAATTGAAATTTACTTAGGAAGCTATTAAGTACTGCTAGGGAAAGCCTTTCAGTGAACAAGCTTCCAGTGAAGAGTAGATTATCATGTGATGAAATCCACAAATAATAAACTGGCCCACATGACCCCTAGCCTAATGCACAGTTTATCCTATTTGAAACCATAATACCCTTGTGTTAGTATCCCTCACAAAAGTTGGGGTGCCAAGACAATGCCTCTAAACATTCAAAATAATTACTTAAAGAAACCCCAAATGGTAGAAGAGTTGAAGCCCTAGGAAACAATTCTACTCTTTCTTATTGGTAAGGTAGAACGTTTCAAACTTGATGTGATAGGCTCTTTGAGTTTGTAACCACTAAATTACTGTATCTGAGCATATAATAATAAAACTGTGGTGATCCCCATGTTCTTTTCAGGAGACCAAATACATTTATTTTCTCTGAAGATGGGCTATATCTACTGATAGAATAATTTTTTTGGTTTCTAGTGTAAAAGTTTACCTTTATGTTCACAATTAAATGTAAACAGGTCAGGGTTACTCTGCTTCTATTGATTAATGATTTATCTGGTGTGCTTAATAATTTTTCTTTCTGTAAAGAGAAGCATTTTGAATAGAACTGTCTAACTTAGCAAATAAGGGTCTACAAAGAGTATGCATTATCATTAATACTAACATACCATTTTCTTACTCTAAATACACCGTTTTTTATGGAAGAACATTTCAAAAAGGCAAATCTAACAAGTGGATACAAATAAGACATAGCAGTAGTTGCAATTTTCTGTGAAGCAGCCTGCATTGCAGTTTCTTCAATTTATTCACTCAACTACTGAAGACCCTTAAACATAGCATGATCTGTTTAATCTGTTTCAAGTAGAAAAACTTTTTATTTGTCATGACTCCCTCTTTAGTAGATTGTGAAATATTCTTGGAGACTTTAAATTAAACCTTTAGGCAATGCTGACAAATGCCATAATTCTTATCCAGAGGTTTGAAGGCCTAAGAATCACTTGTGGGGAATTTTAGAAATCTAGGTGACAGGGCCCCACCGCAGGAGACTCAATAAATCAAGATCTCAGGAGCAGTGGCTTGGAAATATGCAAAAAAAAAAAAAAAGAAAAGAAAAGAAAAGAAAAAAAGAAAAAGAAAAAAAACCTAAAAACTCTCTGGTTGAATTGGTTCTCAGGAAAATGCAAATTAACACCACAAGATACCACTAACACCCAATAGAATAGCTAAAATTAAAGACTGACAACATCAAACATTGATGAGAATGTAAAGTAAACTCTCACACGCTGCTGGTAGGTAGGCAACTGGTACACTAACTTTGGAAAACTAAAGCTGTTAAACCTATTAAAGCTAAATATACGTCTGTACTGTAACACAGTTATTATACTCATGGGTGTATACACAAAAGAACTAAGTGTTTATGTTCATCAAAAGACATATAAAGAAATGTTCACTACAGCTTTGTGTTAACTAAAAATTGAAAACAACCCAAACATCAATCAACACTAGAATAGATCCACAATTTGTGATATATTCACACAATGAAATGCTACAAGGAATGAAGAACTCTTGTTACATGCTACAACATGGATGAATCTCACAGGCTTAATACTGGAAAAAATAATGGTTTCAATGGTTCCTAAGTTCAAGAATAGGCCAAACTAATCCACAGTAATAAAAGCAATTTTTAAAAAAGTTAATTTGGGTGGAGGCTTTATTGGAAAGAGGCATGAGAAAACTTTCTAGGGGAGGGGAAGAGTACCATTCTTAATCTGAGGGGCAGTTACACAGACATCTGTATCTACATGTAGATATAGATCAATACATAAAACTACATTGAACTGTATACTTAAGATCTGTGCCCTTCACAGTAGTAAGTTATACCTCAATAAAAAAGTAAATAAAAAGAAATTTTAAAAAGTCCCTAATTGAGAAAGATTGCTTTACAGGAAAGGAAGTGTATGTATATTCTTACATGTTAGTTTATATCTACTTGACTCAAGGGGAGAATATCAAACAGAGAATTGTACTTTTTTTTATTAAGCCACTATGATCTGGGCATTTTGAGAAAAGCAACTCAGAGGCAACTTTCTAATCCTGCATCTAATTAGATTAGAGACCTTTATATGAAGTTAGTGAGCTGCTTCCCAATACTTGTTTAGCAGATCTAACAGCTTCCACCTTGTGTTGCAGAAACAAAAATAAATCTGTACATTTCCAAGAAAAACAAAATTAGTTTCTACCCTCAAATCTACTAAAGAAAAGCATTCATAGGAACCACACACAGTTTAATGAGCTAGGACTTAAAAACAGATATAGCCTGCCAGCACTTTCAGTATTCAATAATAGCAGTGGTCACCTGGGGCAGCGGAAATAACATGGTAACGATATTTTGAGAGGTTCCTGGAATCAAAACACAGGTCAGATTTTTCCCTTTTCCTTTTGTTTTCAGGGGAAAATTAGTTATTCTCACAGGGACTGGGGACAGTTATTTTCTTAGACTGTGATAACCAGTCTATAGAAATGGTCTATTTCTTCTCACATCTAGTCTGAAATTAGCATAGTAAAAAAATTATCTTGTGCTGTTAGCTAATTTTCAAGCCAACAGTAGGACAGTCAGCTCTCTCAAACAGGAAGAGCAGAAGGCTTGGGACAGATCTAGATAAAAACAAAAACAACTATTATTTAGTGATTGGTGGTGACATCTATTTGGACACAAGAGAATATAAAACAGGTAGTCAAGTCAGTGGAAGAACAAAGGCATTTTGATGTTTACCTTGTCATATTAAACTGTATGAATATGATTACAAAGGATAATAGCAGTATTCTGCTATTTAGAACTTAAATGGCTGAAAAACTTTGAGAGTCTTTTTGCAGTTTCGCCATTATGGATCAAAAACCAAAATTACAGAATAAAGTATGATTTTGGCTGCTTAATACTACATAATGAAGAACTGTTCATGCTTTACAGATTTATTCCAAGAAACTCAACAAATACTTCAACACAGTATATTAAGACACTTCTAAATGTGGCTATTTGGGGAAATAACCAGGATGAAGTTGTGAAAAATCTCAATCATAGAATTTAAAAAATAAATGCAGTTGCATTTAGATATAGCTCATGACCTCAATGTAGAACGTATTGGCAGATTAAAGTCCTTAGATACTTGTTTTATCTATTAATGAACACATAAAAATGACTTGTGATTAACACAGCTGTACTTGGTAGCCAACTCACAGACTATATATAAGAAATCTGATTAATCATACTGTGAATTTTCTTACAACCCTTTCCCAACCATGGATATTGTAAAGATGAAAAGTTCACAAGTCAAGAGTTACACTCAACCTAAATATACCTCTCATCTATTTTGTAAGGAATTGGGAGTTCTGCACTGAAAAGATCACTGCTGCTGCTAACTATGCTTATCTAGTTCTTCTTTAGCAGAGCGCTTATGAATCAGTAGTATAATTCCTGGATTATTTGTCCCTCCTACTAGACTGACTGTAAGCTCTATGAGCACAAGAACTATATTCATAAACTTCCATAGAATTATACTTTTACACATATATATATGCACTGTATATATATTTTAATGCATAATTTATATATACATATGTATATATAAACTTGCACTCATCAATTATTACAATGAATTATTTTGGATATTTCTCTTAATGACTCCTCTCCCATTAGATGCTCAGTCTGTGATGTTTACCTTTTGTCTCCTTAACTAATCACCTAATATATATTTGCTGAATGAATTCCCACAGCCTAGTAGAGTGTCAGCAAACTCAAATAATTTGGTGAACTAATCAATCAATTTTCTAAAAGCATACCAAGCTTTCCTTCCCAGAGCAGAGTGGGTGTTTGTCAGGCTCCCAAATGATAAGAATCATCCTAAGGTGGCCAAATAGACAAGACGCTGTGCCTTAAAACTTGCAAAGTTAATCTCAGACACTTGAGAATTAAAAATTCTTATTTTGGGTTCTCAACCCTACCCACCCTTGAATAGGCTTCAAAAAATTAGACTCATATTCCTTGACTGAAGAATGCACATCCTCTATGAGAACATCTCATTTCCTTTGTAAATATATTTAGGAGCATTGTAAAAAAAAGTAAGAGAGGTGGAAGAACATCTATGATTTAGCTTTTTGGATCAGCTCAATCTATACAGACAACCAACAGAGACAAAAGTCTGCCCTTATGTCCCCCCAAACAAATTCTACATTGAAAAGGCAATAGGCAAAGGAACAAGAAGAAGATAATAAAATGACAAATTATTTTAACTGAAAATCCATCACATAATAAAACTAATGTGCTGTCTAAATCCAATAATTATCATTGATGTCATTGACATCAACTGACTAGATGTTAACCATTAAAAAGAGCTACCTCATTTGTAATTTTAACTCTGAAACCCTCTGCTGCACTCAAATATAAACTATAAATGCAAACAGGAAAGGGTTTTAACTGAAGTTAGAAGTAGCACCCCCATGCCCACTTACACTGTGACCACGTTTAGTAACTTCACGAAAACAACTGAACCCTTAATTCCTCCTGTGAAACAATTTCTTGAGGTTTTTAATCACTAGAGCTCTGCTGAAGATCTCTATTTCATCAGCCCCCTCCCAGCTAAGCTGGACCCTTCCTTCCCTCTTAGACTGCTGTTCCCGTGAGATTCTGAACGCCCTCATTAAGGGGTTTCCCCGACCCCACTGGGCAAACCCCAGCCCTGGCAGGCTCCTTTCCCCAGGGCTGCTGACTGGCCAGAGAGGAAGCGGCACGCTGGCCTGAGCTCATTAGAGATGATTAGCTCCACTTCAATCCGAATCTTGGTGTTGATTATTAACACAATTTTCCACTCCTTATGGTATCTACAGCACTCCTAAATGTAGATGTTCGGAAATGCACGCTTCTAAATGTGAGTATAACCACAAAGACAAGAAGGTCAAAGACCACAGTTCACCTTTATTTCTGATTCTTGGCTCTACAAAACTACTTTGTACTGGAGTCCCCTACCTACATGTTGAGCGTTTGTTTAAAAAGGAAGAGCAGAGAGAAGAAGTGGTCAGCCAGCTATTAAAAAGTGCCCGAGGTCAGGTGTGGTGGCTCATGCCTGTAATCCCAGCACTTTGGGAGACTGAGGCAGGCGGATCACTTGACGCCAGGAGTTGAGACCAGCCTGGCCAACGTGGTGAAACCCCATCTCTATTAAAAATATTAAAAATTAGCCCAGTGTGGTGGTGCACACCTGTAATTCCAGCTACTCAGAAGGCTGAGGCACGAGAATCGCTTGAACCTGGGAGGCAGAGGTTGCAGTGAGCAGAGATCATGCCACTGTACTCCAGCCTAGACGACAAAGTGAGATCCTATCTCAAAAAAAAGAAAATAATAATAATAATAAAAAAGTACCCGAGGTAGAATTCCACTTGTAAAATTCTTGAGCCCTCTAGTCACTCAGCTCTTTCCAGGATAGGCACCCCAAATCTCAGTCCCTCATTCAAGATTTGTAAGCAACTGTCCCTGGGCCTTTTTCACTCAGAGCCTTACTGCCCCAGTCAAGTAAAATTCGATTCCTTCTCTGGGTCTGTTCTTTCCTAAGTCCCTAAGCCTGGAGGGTTCTGCGTCCCTCCTTTCATTTACACAGAAATACTGTTTCTTTCAAAAGCCTACATTTTGCAATTTATTTTCCTTTCAGAAGCTTTCCTTCACTACCTCTTACCCAAACCTTGAGCCCCTCTTTCTTCTTCCATGTTCCTTGTAGGACCTGTGCTAAGTAATTCATTTGTTTGGTACTTGTTCATTGTGTTTTGTGACTGATTCTCACTTGCATTTCATAGGTAATGATAATTACCTTGGCTATTTCCTAACTTCATAACCTATTTATGCTTGAGGTTGCAATTTTTTGAATGTTTGCAATCAGACCTTGGCGATGACCTTGAGCAGTGGGATATAAATAACTCCCACATGCTTAGCGTTCCAATAATGGAACACTAGGCATAAATGGGATAATCTAATATAGTTTTTTGAGACGGCATCTTGCTCTGTCGCCCAGGCTGGAGTGGAATGGTGCAATTGTGGCTCACTGTAGCCTCCGCCTCCTGGGTTCAAGCGATTCTCCTGCCTCAGCCTCCTGGGTAGCTGGAACTACAGGCGTGTGCCACCATGCCTGGATAATTTTTGTATTTTTAGTAGAGATGGAATTTCACCATGTTGGCCAGGCTGGTCTTGAAGAACTCCTTACCTCAAGTGACCCATCTGCCTCAGTCTCCCAAAGTGCAGGGATTATAGGTGTGAGCCACTGTGCCCGGCCATAATCTAATATAGTTTTAAAATATATTTTTAAATAGCACCTAAAGAATTGGGTTGAGCTACATAAAAGTGCTTTTTTTTTGAGACGGAGTCTCGCTCTGTCGCCAAGGCTGGAGTGCAGTGGCGCGATCTCGGCTCACTGTAAGCTCCACCTCTCGGGTTCACACCATTCTCCTGCCTCAGCCTCTGGAGTAGCTGGGACCACAGGTGCCTGCCACCAAGCCCGGCTAATTTTTTTTTGTATTTTTAGTAGAGACAGGGTTTCACTGTGTTAGCCAGGATGGTCTTGATCTCCTGACCTCGTGATCCACCCGCCTCGGCCTCCCAGAGTGCTGGGATTGCAGGCATGAGCCACCGCGCCCGGCCAAATGTGCTATTTTTTAATAGGTGAAAAATAGTAAAATATCAACAGTGTTATATGGTTAAACTGAATATTTATATTGGAATTCAATAAATGTTCTTAAAATGTCTTCTTGTCACCTTTTACTTCAGGATATTTAAAAACTGCCCCAATATGTCTAAGTCTGTCGCTCTAAAACTGGTAAACAGCTTCTCCCCAAACTAATTAAAGGATTCAGTGCTTTTTCCAAATGTCAAGTTCCTATTATAAAAATAAAACATTATATTGTGTAACTAAAATAACAAAGAATTGTATGACATTTCTGGAAATGTAGCAGAAAAGAAGAATTCAAGTTGAATAGTAATATCTTGAACTTACCTTCTTCTGTTGGATTAAACCCACAGATGTCACAAATACAACGAACCCACTTATTCATCTCCTCCTCGCTGTCTGCTACCAAGTAGAAAATCCGGTCAATAGTGTTGATATCAAAAATGTAGCTGTTTTCAAACTCTTTTTTGTTAAATGTCAATCCAGCATCTACTTGTTGACATAAATTTAAATCAATAATACGAATAGGCTTCTTGGCATGATCATTTTTGTAATATTCCAAAACATCTGGATCTCCAGTTAAACGGCCACTGCGTAACACGAACCATCTCCTCTTCCATGCCTAGAAACAAAACAAAAATATCCATTCAGTATTAACTTGAGATAATGTTTTCAAGAAGATGCACATTTATCAAACTGATTTTACAAATGCATTGTTTAGAGAAAGTCACAATATGTGTGTGTTTGTGTGTGTGTTTTTACCACAGGATAATCTGCCACTCTGAAAAGCAACGTTTACTCATAACTCAATTAACTTAATAATGTATATATATATTCAGTATGTTCGATTAAATCTCCTACTATATAATATTGAGGCAATACATCAAGGAGGATTCAGTTTTTACTAAATATGAAAAAGTCATGGTTTCAACAAATGGTGTTAGGAAAACTAGAAATCCATACGCAAAAGAATGAAGCTGGACATTATGCTAAGTGAAATAAGCCAGTCATAAAAAGACAAATATTGTATGATTCCACTTATATGAGGTAGTTCAAGTAGTCAAATTCATACAGACAGAAAGCAGAATGGTATTTGTCAGGCCCTGCGGAGGGGGAGGGGTGGGAAATGGAGAGTTATTACAGTATTTAATGGGCCTAGAGTTTGAGTTGAAGAAGATCAAGTTCTGGAGATGATGGTGGCCATGGTTGCAATGGTGCTGTGAATGTATTAATACTTAATGCTAGTGAATTGTATATTAAAAATAGCTAAAATGATAAATTTTATGTTATGTATATTTTGCCACAATTTTTAAAAAAGCAACAGATTTTCATGCATTAATATTATGCCATAAAGAATACACATAAAGCTGCTTCTTCATAAGACTCCTACAGATTTTAAACACTTAAAAGATTTCTCTTTTTTTTAGGTGCGGTGGCAAGGAGTAGGGAGGGGGAAAGGTTTTGAAGCTTTTCTGGCTTCTTGACTGGGAAGCAATTGATTGTGTCTCTCTTTTAGCCACACAGCCTGTTGTTCAAAGACTATACGAGTAAGACCTGTATTCTTGAGTATGGGATTTAACTCTTTCTAATATTTCCCCTCCTCTTCCCAACAAACATACATGGGCAATCTGTAATACACTCACCACATACCCCCTCCACAAGTTCTGGTAAATTTTGAGTTTAATACTATACCTAGAGAAGCCTAAAAAATTATTTTACTATCACCCTCCCTAAATCTATGGTCACCAAATAATAAAAGCAGAACCAAATGACAAACAGCCTTCCTTATCAGCCTTTAACCCCAACATGTGTGCCTGGAAACAAACTTACACCTTACTCCTCTTTGAAATTCTTCCTCAGGGAGGCAGCTAGACAGAAAAGAGGCCTATTTTAGCAAGTCTCAGTCATTTACTAAGAAACATTCTCTGCTCCAGATTCAACATTCTAGGTAAGACTACCTCAAGAGGACACTCTGGGCCTGGGTGCAGTGGCTCATGCCTGTAATCCCAGCACATTGGGAGGCCGAGGTGGGCAGATCACCTGAGGTCAGGAGTTCGAGACCAGCCTGGCCAACATGGTGAAACCCCGTCTCTACTAAAAAATACAAAAATTAGCTGGGTGTGGTGGCAGGTTCCTGTAATCCCAGCTACTTAGGAGGCTGAGGCAGGAGAATCGCTTGAACCCGGAGTTGGCAGTTGCAGTGAGCTGAGATCACTGCGCTCCAGCCTGGACAGAAGAAGACTCCTCCTCAAAAAAAAAAAAAAAAAAAAAAAAGGGCAGCGGGGTGGTGGGGATGCTCTGGGAAGTGGAAGGACTCGAAAACCCCCAGTGGAATAAAACATTCCCTTTGCTACTTGTGGGAAGAAAAACAAGTATATAATTCATTATTCCTACCTTCAAAGAATTGACTAATTGTGGAAAAAAATATTTAACATACATGAAAATACTTGAGACTACAGCAACCCAGGCAAAATGTCTGCAGAGGTATTGCTACATGAACAAGCATTCCTCTACAGAAAAATTTAGGCAATCCTTTAACAAGAGGATGACCAGAGATCACAAAGGCCTAAAAACATTATATAGGTCTTTAATCATCAACATTTTAAATTAACTTCTCATTCTTCACGCAGCTCAAAGGAATAAGTATATAATTTGTGTCCAGGGAAGGCAGGGTAGAGTCCTATAGATGTTTTAGATAATATTGAAAAGTCATAAAGTGTTGGATTCACATGATTTTAGCACTGTTTTCTGGACTATAAAAATCCATTCATTGAATATGCATCTACTTACTGCAAAATAAATAAATATCATCTCTTAGTAAAATTATCCCTCTATGGATACTTCCCTCTCAAGCAGTAAGCTTTAAAAAGTAATGCAGAAGTAAAGCAAAAGAATATAAAATATGATGTTATTTATGCAGGGCCCTCAAGAAATCATATCATTCAGTAAGTGATTTCTCCAGATAGTGAAGCTTCATCTTTAAATACAGAAATGACTTTTTAAAACTTTATTGTCTTGCACGCAAATCTTTCTAAAATGCTTTACTACATACTTCACCAAACATAATCCATTCCCCAATGATTCAGACTAAGTATTGTAAGCATCCATTTCTATACTGCACTTCAGGAGACTCTCAGAGGCTGTTGCACTGTATAGAGTGTCATTTGCCCCTATACTATTAATAAATAGTACCATATTGCTATGCTTGTATAGTTCATCTTTTAAATACAGTTTCCTGTCTTTTTTCTCTCAATTTCCATCAACTGTCACTTTTCCCCCTCCAATAATAGGGTTTATAGGAGGCTAAACTCTTACCTGCCTCAGGGACTTTGCACATGTTTTCCCCTAAATACATTATATTCTTTCCCTCACTTTTTGCCTGGCCAACTCCAACCTTCAGGGCTTCTCTTCCCTGACCACCCTCAATGCAACCAACTCCAGTGTAAACTAATAGCATAGTTTTAGAGATCCTATTACTTACCTACGTAGTGATTTGTGTAATTTTGCAATTCAATTTTTCTTTGTATTTATTTGTGTAGTACGTAACTCCCCAAACAGACTGAAAAGTTCAAGAAGATAGTGACCACGCCTGCTTTATTTGCCATAGCACAGTGCCTAGTACATAGCATATCTGTACAATAAATAAACAGAATTCTCCTGAGAGAGTAGACTTGTAAAATTTTTGAGATTAGATTTGATACATGGGCCACAATGAAGAGAGTGCTTTCAAAGCATCTTCCACTTGAGAAAAAGAGCTCCAATACTGAACATATACATAATAAAATAAACATAACTAAGACAACTTTACCAAAACACATGCACAAAACATCTTGGGAAAATGGCAAAAACAGAAAAGCACAGAACATGTCCTTTTGCTACAGCTTATGTGTCACTCTTTGTTTTCCGGCTAACTGTGGCTCCCCCCCATCCATTCCTTGGCTTCCCTGTTGAAATCACATTGTTACAATTCAAAAAGCCCTTAGGAACTAAAATAAATAATCAAGAAATGAGTAGCAATGAATTGAGGTGCATTAGATATATTGGGCTAGTGATTACAGAGGCTGAGTAGACATTATACAAGACGTGAACCCTTACGGCAGGAAATTACAGCATTAAAACACAGAATTTAGCCAAGCAGCACCTGCCATTTATTTATTTATTTTTAACATGGTCCAAATGTGAATGTTTGTCTCAGTCACAAAATGAGTCACCCTCATTGAATCTGGCACAGATTAAGCTGGAAAACAAAAGCAATTACATAAACTACACACTTTAATAAGGCAGATACAAAGGTTCTCTGGATTATGGTACAAAGCACAATTTAGCCACAGAATAAAGCTTGATGCTCGACAAGAGAACTGACATCAGCACCCTTGCTAATCACAGCACAAAAGCGTCTCTATGTTTTGTCAGAGCACAAAACGGGCCCACATAAATCAGTCTTTGTTATCTGAAAATATCTGAGATTCTTAAAGTTTGTCCTATTTTTATCCTTGCTGCCTTGGTAGCTCCAGAGAAAGCCGTACACTGCCTTGCCAATCCTGCAGAGCAGGAGCAGACAAAAAGGACAGGCTTTCTAGAAACCTTCAAAACCAAATACTCAAAGTAATTTTAAAAGAAATTCACACAAAAAATCATTTTAACGACTAGACTTCCATTACGAGCAGGTAATGAAGAAGCTGAAATTTGCAAGATGTCTGCATAGTTGAGAAGGACTATGTAAAAACTTATTTTGTAGCCATTTCTTATATGCAATAGTCACTCCAATTTTGAGTTGAACAAATAATTTGTTAACAAGAAGTCAACAGTTAAGTCTGGATTTTGGGGTAACTTAAAAGTACCAAATTCTGAAGCCAATTCCCTATGCTCAGTGACTGCCCCCTGTGCCTACAGGATAAAACCCAAACTCTGGCAGGGTACACAGGACCCTCCAATCAACTCCCGCCCCATCTCCACCCCTAAATCTCTCCAGCGTCACTTCTTGCCCCTCTGCCTTCCAACCACATTGGAAATACTTGTAGTTTCCCAAACACTCTGCTCTGTCCTGCCTCTCACCCCTTGGCACAAAATCTACCCCCTAGATTTAGCTCAGCCCTCTTCGGGGCACCATCCGAGTTGGCTCTGAGCTCTCCATTTCCACCTTTTTCCTAAATCATTTGACATCTGTGCATTTGAATGTACTGAGGGCTGGAGCCATTTTAACCTTTCTTCTTTCCTTTCCCATTGCCTAGCGCCAAGGAGGTGCTCAGTCAATGTCTGCTAAATACGCAATACAAAATGTTTGAGGCAAGGATTAAAAATACAGAAGTTCTCATACTATTTATGCATTGCAGGGATAGTGATATAACTGCGATCTGCCCAGCCCATTCAAGAATTGGTCAGGCAAGCATAGAGGTGTGTAAACAAATTAATTTGTTTTTAAAACTCTACAGACATAAGAGAGATGTTTTTAAACATCATTTTAAAAGAACTATTCTTTTAAACATTTCCTGTATTTAGCAAATTGGATATGCTCACCTGTAGAACTGTCACACTGAAGCTAGGTCTTAAGGCAGGCTTATCACACACCCTAGAGTATGGGTATGTACATACTGGCAAGAAAGTACAGATGGGAGTCCCACTATTTGGTGGGAAGGAAACATTTTTTAACCTGGATTAACCCCAAGCCATTAATGGCTGTAATATTACTAACAAATTCACAAATTTTGCCTATATGGCTGTAACGTTACTAACAAATTCACAAATTTTGCCTAATTAACCTAACTAGCAAATGGCTTCAGCTTTAAAGAAAAACATTGTAACTGCTGTACACCCTGTTTTGTGAGTTCTCTGTGGTATAAATGACAGCTCACATGCCTGGTGTGATGCTTGCCAAAATTCCCTCATCTTTTCCCTGTACCTTTACTGGAAGAGCTAATTATTGAGGAAGTGGCCAATATATGGGCAGGCAAGAGAGAAGATCAGAGAAGAGGTCGGGGGTAGTCCATGGGTTCTCTGCCCTGAATGCACATTAGAAATATCCGGAGAGCTTTGCTTAAAAAAAAAAAAAGCTTGGGGTTTCACCTTAAGCCAACTAAATTGTAGTGTATGGGGGTGGGGTGAAGATTGGAATAGGCAGGTTTAAACACTCAACAGATGATTCTAATGTGCCACCATGATTAAGAACCATAGATCCAATCAATAGGATTATATTGCTCTTTAAAGTAAAATTTCAAAAACAAAACAAAACAAAACAAACACAGGTCCTTTCAAGCTTACGTCTCATTCTTCATCTTCTTATATTAATATCTTCTGCTCATGCCAATGCTGTCTCTATCTTCCTATTTTTGTTCACAATATTTACCACTAGCAAATATCTTTCAAACCCAATTCATTCTTCAAGGTTCTTTTTTCCCAACCTTCCCCTTTCCTCCCCACACCCTACCTTCCTACCACTGACAATCAATTACTGCTCTGTAATATCTCTTGCATTGCTGTAGAATAGATTGGAACAGTCTATTATTTTACATTTCCAAACTCTCCAAATACTTATGAATTATTTTCCCAACTGGACATTAAGCTCCTTGAAAGCTAATTCCTTTTTTTTTTTCTATCTGCAACAGCACTTCATGCATTGTAAGTGCTCAAAGCCTTGGTGAGATGTTGTCCATCAGAATAATCATCACAGACAGCCACTGAGACTAAATGAAAAGATTTCAGAGCGGGGGGGGGGAAAGTTCAAAGTTGTTATTGAAGTCCAAACTCCTTCAGTAAGATAGCATACAAGGTTCTTCAAAACCATACTTACCTGTCTCATCTCTCCAATCTCTCACCTCCACAGATGGCCTCAGACAGCACCCACATGGTCCTTGTTTCTTTTTCAGTCTGAAATACCTTATTTCCCTCACCATGAGCTCCTACTCATCCTTCAAGACCTAGCTCAAGACCTGTTCTTTAAAGCTTTCCTCAACTTCCCCTGAGATAAGGCATCAGCTCCTGTTCCTTTGAGCTCTCAGCAACATCACGCAAGTAGTCCATTAACAAGCCCATTCCCTTAAGCACTTGAAAAAGAACTCTGCTGACTGCATCTTGGGGTCTCTTGGTAGTTGTTAAGCCCTAACAAAGTATACCTTGTCCAGATAGCTGAAGAGCAATACTTTCTACATTCCTGAGCCAACTTCCCTTCTACCAGGAAGCTCCACCACTGTAATTTTACTAACCCGCTCTTTTCCTGAGAAAGTGTGGGGAAAAAAGTAGAGCGGAATTTTTTATTTTGAAATCTCTTAAAAGGTATTTCACAACTGATATTTAAGGAAAGACCATTATTGTGACTTCTTTAGTAGAATTCAAAATTTCAATATACTCTCAGAAATCTGTAAAATGTCGGGGTTGAAGATGTGCGTTTCACAAAATGAAAATGCTATTTTTGATAAGATAGGTTGTAATCTAAATTTTATCAGCAGGATAATGGTCAAATAAATTATGGGACATCTACACAATAAAGCTAGGCAATTCATTCAAAAAGTGACATGGATATATATACATGAGCAATGCCCACAAGATAACTGTTAAGTAAAAAAAACAAGGTGCGGAATTGTACACATGGTATATACTTCCATTTGTGTGAAATAACTGTGTGTTTGTACAAACACAGCACAAACTGTGTGTTTATACAAACACACACTATGTTTAGAGAACAGGTCTGGAAGGACACATACTAAGTTGTTAACTCTGATAACTAAGAATAGGTCAGATGAAAGGGCCAGATGAGTCTCATATTTTACATACTTTGTTTTTTCAAAATGTTTCCATTTATTGCTTTTATAATTTTAAAAAATTGTATGTTTAAAATAACCTAGGAATGATGTGCACAAAACAAAAAGTTTATGTGTATATGGAAATGCTATTTTATTATTACTCTGCAATTAGTGAATGGATATTTAACCTTTCTTTTAAATATAGAATTCCGGGATACATGTGGAAGGAGTCTCAGCCAGGAAACAGCCTAGACAGATAAAGAGTCACGACTTTATTTTAAAGACTGGCACTTAGGGGGTTAAACAAACAAACAAGAAAAGTTGGGAACACTTAAAATAGAGGAATAAATTTATTTTTCTTTCCTTAAAGTCATTATAATATATTGCTTTAATTTTCTCTAAAAACCATGCAGTAAATGGTAATACATTGAAATATTTAAAAATCTAAAATAAGCACTTTAGGAATTACTTTGCCTATTAAAAATATTTCCATAATACTATTACTAGGGTAAATAAAATAAAGAAAAACAAATTAACCATGAAGCAGGGACAAAGGAAAACCATTTGCTTTAAAATACTTGAGTTGTTTTCCAGGAAGCACCATCTTTTCTCATAGAGCAAAATAAGGAAAAAACAGGCTCGGTGGAAGTTTCCACTCCACTGGCTCTATCATTATGATCATCTGTTCCAAACACACAGAAGCCTAAAATTTCCTGTTTTCAAACTGTTGTCACCATTTTCTAGCCTTGTGCTATCCGAGCTAACTTTAGCTTAGTAATATAAACAAAAGAATACACTGAAAATAATGCAGAACAATGCCTAGATCTAAGCTTTCAACTGTTCCATAAACTTAAGATATTAGAGTTTACGTACATTGCCTGGATACAACAAATTAGTTGGAAATAAAACAATTTCATAAGAGGAAAAAAATCAAATTTGACTCAGAAATACTATACTAGCTAGGGAAAGAGTTCAGGAATTTTGAATTCTCAGTAATAGTGCATATAATTTACTTGTTGAAATTACTGCTAAATTAATGCCTACCTCAAAGCCTAGGCATAAGCACTACATAAAATAAACAAAAAGCCAAAAAAAAAAAGCAATGACAAAAACCCCTTAGTATTTAATATACATAGGTGGTTCTTAAACCTTTTCTGGGTCATAGACGGCTTTGAGCATCTGATTAAAGCAATGAAAACTTTTCTTAGAAAAAAGGTATATAGGTAATATTGTATAGTTTCAAGGTTTCACAGGACCCCTGTTAACACGTTAAGAACCCTGAAAATAGGACTTGACTTTAATACATCTTACTACAGAGACAATTTGGTATGAGGCTGGTCTGCCTTGGACCCCAATTAGGTAAATTTATTTATTAGGTTCCACAGGAAAGTATGTCACCTCATGGCTGTATTAATTCTAAATACAGCACTGTGGGGCAAGCTAAGTATATTTTTACTTGAAAGTACCATTTCACTTCTGTCCTCATATTCCCAATTGTTGGGGCTGTGCCCACACTCTAACTCTGGTGGTTTTGCAAACTTTCTTACCCTAACCAAGAGGAGACGGAAAAAGTGAGAAACTGGCTGGGAGCCAAACAAAGTTAAACATGCAATGTTCCATGTGAGTCGGATGGTGCCCTGGGGTGACCCACAGCTGTGTGTACTGGGAAGAAAGGCCACTGGCCTTGGGTCCACTGGATCTCACCCTTTTCTTACCACCATGTGCAGTCAGAGTCAGTGAGCTCAGGTCAGGATGTGGGCAGAGGAAAATCGGGACACAGAGTTCACTCCATCTTTTGAGACTGGCTTTTGGCCTACTTCTGGCCAAGGCTCTGTTAGTTGGAGTTTACATGCAATCTGGCCAGCTAAAGATTTGGAACACAAGTTGCAGCTAGTGAAGAACAAGTCTTTGGCTCATCTCCCTAAGAACTTGCGGAGGCAGAGGTGGTGCAAATGTCCAGGCAGACTCCTGCCAGTCTAGCTGAATACAGCAAAAAATGCAATAAAGAACCATGAGCACTGCCATGAGCTCCAAAACATGTCCACAGTCATTGAGCCATTAATTCCATTTCTACGACTCTCACCTAAGGAAATAATGAAAAAAAAAATGTGGCTAAATACCTAGGCACCAAAATTTTCAGCACAGTATTGTTTCTGTAAGTAAATATTTGAAATGATCTAAATATTCAGTAGAAGGTAGGATGATCAACTATCCCAGTTTTCACAAGACTATCCTCGTTTTAGCTCTGCAAGTCCCACATCCTAGAAAATGGCTCAGTCCTGGGCAAACCCAGATGATTAGTCACAGTAGGAAACTGAGTAAATAAACGATGATATACCACCATACAGGAGTCTTACACAGCCATCAAAGTGATGCTTAGGAATGGCTTTTTTTTTTAAAGAGTTTTTTTTCTCCCCATGGTTTGCAAAATTCCCAAAATACTGAGAGATCATGGCAAGAAACTCATCTTTTCCATTTGGAGTAGATGGAATTTGGTGTGAAGGAATATTGGCAACACCTTTCTTTCTGCAAATTCTGGCTCCCCTGTCACCTCGGCCAGGTCAAGCTGACTACTCCAAGATGTCCACAGTACCTTGTGCAAACCTCCATCATAGCACTCTACCTTGGCATTTCAATCAACCCTTTGTACAACTGCTTTCCTCCCCCAAGATTCTGTCTTATTTCTCTTTAAGTGTTCAGCATAGTGTACAGCATGCAAGGACTTGGTGGTTAAAAGGCATGGGTGATAACTGTTGCCTGAATAAATGAACAAATGAATGAATGTCTTAATTCATTTGGTAATGATGCTGTCTCTGTTCTTCACTAACTTGGCCTTCAGGTATAATGGATGATACAACAAACCAATAGTGGGTTTTCTTATTGTTGTAAGAATTCAGCCATAAACTCTCAAATCTCCAGCCCACAAGGCTCAGTGAACAAAAAGTGAAACTAACTTAATCAGGGAATAAGTCAATTATGAACCCTGGGACTGAAACCGTGCCAATATGTTAATATTAGGAACCTACAACTTCACAGTGCCTACTATGAGAAGGCCCACACATTTCAGTCATTGAATATTATGTTAGCATTTTTATGTATATATACACAGTTACATAGTCTCTCTCTCTCTCTATATATCCATACATTTGTGTGTATGTGTGTGTGTAATGACTTCCCAGTCTCTCAGAGGGTAGAATGTAACGTCATCACAGAGAATAAGAACAAAATGGCATATGCTATGAAGTATAATGTCAATGTCCATTTGATGTTTAATAACGTCTTGTTTAAATAAAGAACAAGACCATGAAAAAATAAATATTGTTTATGCAGTAGAAAATTCATGTTATCTCTCAAATTAAAGACATAAAATTTTCCTGCACAGAGGCAAATTCTAATTGCAGTTTTGGAGCAGTGCTGTCCAACAGAACTTTCTGTGATAATGGAAATGGCTGTGCTGACCATCACAGGATCCATTAGCCAACATGTGACTACAAAACTTGAAAAGTGGCTGATGCAACTGAGGAACTGATTTTCTAACTTATTTAATTTAAATTTAGCCACATGTGGCTAGAAGCTATCATATGGACAATGCAGTTGTTTTGTTTTCAGTTTTGCAACAGTGTCTCGCTCTGTTGCTCAGGCTGTGTGCAATGGAGCAGTCATGGCTCATGGCAGCATCAACCTCCTGGGCTCAAGCAATCCTCCCACCTCAGCCTGTCCAGTAGCTGGGACCACACGTGCATGCCACCACGCCTGGCTAACTTTTCAATTTTTTGGAAGAGATGAGGTCTCAGTGGGTTGCCCAGGCTGGACAGTGCAGTTTTAAAGGATATTTCTTCAACTTAAGAGACAAGCAAGATCAATTGCTGAAGCAGGTACAGCTTTAATAATAAAATCCACAACAAATATTTAAATTGTGTAATGCTACTGTAAGCAGTTGTGCCTGAGATCCTAACAAGCATGTGGGTCTATTTCCTAGTTTCACTGTGTTCCACAAACTTACTCTACCCTAAAAATGTGTCCCATATGTTGTTATTGTCATGATTAGGAAAGGAAATGGTTGCTTAAATAAAACTGATCATTAATAAAATACGCCAATGACAATCTAGAATTTTTCAATGAAAATTTATCTTCAAAAAATGTACTGATTCTAAATTCCATTTCTTGTTCAGCTATCCAATCCAAAATAATTATTTCTGGGTTAGAACTACTGTTTTGAATTTCCAGCAAAACAAAACATTCCCATTTTCTTTTCTTAGTTTCTTATGAAACATTCACAATTTACAACAAAATAAAACACTGCTATATTAAGATTTGGATCACTGTTTAAAAACAACACTTTCACATTAAGAACTAAAGGGAAAGCACTGAAGTGTTACAAATCAAATTTCAAATTTCCATAATTAGATTTATATGTAAAAAGCCAAAATAACGCTTAAATATCATTTTCTTCTTAACATAAATCTCAGTCTAAAGCTTCCAGAACAAGATATATGGCAATGAAAAGTTTCTTTAGAAAGACATCCTTCCAAAGAGATAAATTATGCCTTCTGGAGCTACTGACTATAAACTACATTAAGTCCAATAAGCAAGAATGAATAACTTCATCTAAAGAGAAGGACTAAGTACAAGGTTGAATGCAAGATAAAAATTATGGCACAGATAATGAAATCAAGATCTCTGATGCAAACGTGGAAGGCTCAGCCCAAGTGCCAATAATGACATCTTCCTCTTTCCCCATGAGGGCTACGGGTGTCACCCTTTCATAAAACACGATTCTTGGAGGAAAACGATTCTTCATGCATGCACCATGCAGATAATGATCTCACCATACAAGAAAGACGATTGCCTATTTATTTCTTTTTGTTTTCAATAAATCCAAGTGCCATCTTGCCCATTTTATGGTGTTTTGCCCCTAAAATGAGCCCAGCTTTCTTTTTTCTGTCAACTTTTCATCTCCCTCTACACTACCCAAGCCTCATAACCTTCGGTCAACAGGAAATAGATACAATGGACTGAAAATAACAGCGGCTGTAAGGATTTGTATTGTATATGCATGATTTAATGCTTGAGGACAAGGAGAGAAGTGTTGAAGGAAAAGAGAAAATAACTAGCTACTTCTGCCAGAGAAATAACAGTGCCATCTGGCAGGACCCAACTCATCTTGAGCTCCAAGCAAAATTGTTACCAGTTCATAAAAGCTTAAAAACAAAAAAAAAAGAAAAAAGAAAACAAGTACACTATGTATAGTAATACAATCACCCATATAGATAGATTAGATAGACCATGTGCAGTTGACACAAGATAACTTACACACTCATCTGCTTTCAACATGTTAGAAACCCAGTGAGACAACCAGAGTCATTCAGAAAGTGCTGGCATCTGAGGTAACAGACAACAACCGACTGTGTCTGACTTGCCAACTTGGAAGTTCACTAAAGTCTGTAAAAGCTAAAAATAACCACATAAACATGTTTACAGCAATTTAAAAATACAGGATCTGCACTGTCTTCTAAATATAAACCTTCAGTTTGGAGCACAGGGATTGGCTTTGGGTTTTCAGAGATGTCATCTGGACATCCCACATTTCACCACAGAATTTCACATTTCAGTATTTTACTTTACATATCCAATTGCTGGTATTTAACTAGAACGAAGAAGGGTAGAACAGGGAAAGGTGAACAGGAAAGGAAAAGATGGTACCTATTCCCCTATTTAATTAGAGGGCTTCAAAATACCACAAATCTCCAACCCTTTGTGATGGGACCTGACCTTCACGAAATTCTGAAGGAAGTTATTTGGCCTGTATTTTTCCACTCAACACATCCCCTCTCTAATCCAGTGATCTCTTCCCCATTCCTCATTCCTAAGACTGTACATGCTGGTGAAATAGAGAAAAGGAGACCAGAAGTCAAGTGGAACACAGATATATATGCTATGAACACAGATAAAAGTCCTCATATCCCAGCTGGTACAGAAGGGTAGGCATGTTAAAGACAACAATTCTATTTATTGTTCTGTTCCTGAAAAAGCTAGATAATTCTAAATCAAACACAGGGAAAATTTTCCAACTAAAATCCATAATGCTTCAATCAACCTGGATCGCCTAGGGCAGTTATACTAAGATTATTAAGGATTCAAAGGAACATTTTATTAGTGTAGACAAAAGCCTATTTGGTCTCTATAATTTATGCGAAGTTATTCTTAGATATTAATTTTTGGATAGCATTGGTTTAAATTTTATCTCGTCTTTAATTCTAAGAAATCTTAAAATTCTAGCAGCTGTTAAAGAGAAAAAAAAAACCCTGCAAACATAAACTTAGCTTATACTTGTATATCATAAATTTTAAATGTCTGTGCCTCTTAAAGTACTGTGGTGGAGTCTATTATTTCTGAAGGTTGCCCAATATCCAAGGAAAGTGTTCTCCAGAAAAAAATCATGTAAGCTATATGGGCATTTACTTTAACAAATTTATTTTAAATAAATAACTAGCAACAACGTCAACTGAAAAGTGAAGGCGAAAATTATACATAATCTCGCCAGCATCAAAAAATCTATTTCTCCATATTCTCATCTAATCTTTATTCATATCATACATACTTTTAAGTAGCTAGTTTTTAAAATAAGGATGAATGTATCTTTGGTTTCAGGAGCCATACAACCTTCTGAGGCAGGTTTAAATTTTTAATTCCTTAATTTTCCACCTATTGTGACTTTTTCCAAGTCTTGCTTACCATGCTAGAATTACGGAGGGAAAGGTGAAGTCCTAACTGAAATGCTTCCTGAAACCCATAAAGAAAATGCATTTCATGATTATAAAAACACTAGATATTTATTTACTTTCTAACTTAACACAGCATCCCCAAAACATTGTAGCATTTAAGATATTTAATTATCACTCAATGAATGTTCTGTTAGGCCTTGCCCAATCTGGTACAGAATGCAGTTGATGCTCTAAGCAAATAATGACTAAAACAAATCTGTATAATCCTCTCAACAGAAATGTTATCACCTTGTTTACCAACAATTGCAATCTCACAGTGTGCAGAATGATTTATTAGATCTAACAGATGAATAATTTATTCCAAAAAAAGATCTCTTGATATTTCAATTTATGTTAAGCATTGTAACCTGAAGACAGTCTCAGAAAAAAAATTAGCTTAACTCCTAGGCAATTCAAGTGTTTATACTTTAAAACTTTACTAGACAATCTACTTATAGTTATCTACAAAGATAACTGT
The DNA here is from genome assembly GCF_000001405.40 of Homo sapiens. NCBI lineage: Eukaryota > Metazoa > Chordata > Mammalia > Primates > Hominidae > Homo > Homo sapiens. Next base: position 143,401,120 of record NC_000004.12, on the reverse strand, counting down.
TCCAAACTAGAGAGAAAGTTGAGAAAACAAAACATCCGTAGTTAAAATAAATTTTATGATATAAAAAAGAAATAAAAACAAAAACACCGTTCTGTATTTTGTTGAATAACTGACCACAAAGAGGCAAAGCAATGACTTTTTTTTTTTTTTTTGTGATGGAGTCTTGCTCTGTTGTCCAGGCTGGAGTACAGTGGTGTGATCTCAGCTCACTGCAACCTCTGCCTCCCAGGTTCAAGTGATTCTCCTGTCTCAACCTTCTAAGTAGCTGGGATTACAGGTGCATGCCACCACACCCAGCTAATTTTCTGTATTTTTAGTAGAGATGGGGTTTCGTTATGTTGGCCAGGCTGCTCTTGAACTCCCGACCTCAGGTGATCTGCCTGCCTCAGCCTCCCAAAGTGCTGGGATTACAGACGTGAGCCATCGCGCCCAGCCAAGCAATAACATTTTCATTTAAAGATTCTGTAACCCCAGGTTGGCTGAAGTAAATACATTTTTGGTAACTGGATTTGATTCTTGCTGGAGCAAAGATAAAGGAAGAATTAAAAATAAAAAATAAAAAGTCTTCAGCTAGCCTCCCTAGACATGGCATAGATTAAGAAGGGGAGCTTATTCTCTCACAAGTGAAGCCCCAACTCCAGCTCCATATGGCATTCTAATCATTATGAGCTGTTATAAGGAATAATTAGAAATAAAAACCACCCAGCATTAGCCATCAAGAATTTCTTCCGTTTCCTTTCACAGCCTAGTCTTTTCACCAAATGGCTTAGGAGGCAGCCATAACCACCCCCCTTTTCACACTCTACCATCCAGGCTCTTTCTCTTTGCTGCTCTGTTCTCAAAACTTGGACATGTGCCTGACAAAAAGTAGAGACTCAGGCCAGGCACAGTGGCTCACGCCTGTAGTCCCAGCACTTTGGGAGGCCATGAAGGATGGATCATTTGAGATCAGGAGATCAAGACCAGTCTGGCCAACATGGTGAAACCCTGTCTCTACTAAAAATACAAAACAATGAGCCAGGCATGGTGGTGCACACCCGTAATCCAAGTTACTGGGGAGACTGAGGCATGAGAATCACTTGAACACCCAGGAGACGGAGGTTGCAGTGAGCCAAGATTGCGCCACTGCACTCCAGCCTGGGTGACAGGTGAGACCCTATCTCGAAAAAAAAAAAAAAAAGAGCAAGACTCAATTTAGTGTGGATGGGTAAACAAATGCTCCACGTAAGATAAACCCTATAGGGATCATCATTACAGTCATCAATACACAACTAAGTGTTCGTTATTAAGTGGTTCACTGGTAGACATACCAGAAAAACCATAAAAAATTACTATGACAATGAATTTTAAAATTACCATTTAACTTGTGGAAATATGTTTATATTTTAAATGTAAAAATAAGACTGCTAAAAATCACTTTGAGTGCCCTTATAAGAAGGATGAATGAACAGAAAGACTTCCGCCACAGTATAGAGAAGGAGCAGCAAACATGTCATGTAAATGTATACTGGATGCAGTGTATTGATATGGGTTTCTTTTCTTCTCTATTCTTTTGTCTGCCCCCTAGTGGAGTGTTTATGAGCAGGGAAAATTTCAAAAAAGGCAAGCACTGCCAACACGTGGGAAAACAAACAAAAACACAACAACAATATAAAACACAAAGCACAAAGAGGTTACCTGTAGTTTGAACTGCAAATCAGTCACTCAAAAATAGAAAGGTTACTTGTGAATTCCTATTAAACCCTTTTGTCCTAAAGCCAAAACTTTTGTTTCAACTTAGGTAGGTTTAACTATTTCCTTGTGCACCTTTGGACTTTTGATCATTGCCTTTTAAGGAAAAGCTGACATCTTTGATTGCATCTAGGTAGTATATTGCTTTCTTAATATTTAAGAAGACAATTTACTGGCTGCTAGTTTCTAGACTGACATGGTCTGGCCACTTTACTTTTGGTTTTCAGATGTCCTAGACGTGAATAACTAAAACAAAATCATTTCCATAAAGACAACTCTGAAAATCTGAGAAATCATTTCCACAGTATTTCAAAATCAAAGAACAGGTAAAGTAAAAGACACAATGGTTCAGTGATGGCAGGTATGGCTGTGTGACTCCTATCAGAAAGCACACTCATCTAGATGGGGATCTTTCTATCTAGAAAGGGTATGGGTTTTGTCTGTCTCTCTTCTAAACCAACTGCCCATTTTACTTACTTACTTTTTTTTTCTTGTAAAGATGAGGTTTCCTCATGTTGCCTAGGTTGGTCTCGAACTCCTGAGCTCAAACGATCCTCCTGCCTCAGCTTCCCAAAGTGCTGGGATTACAGATGTGAGCCATAGCACCTGGCCAGCTGCCCATTTTATACTGGAGTTTTATACTAACATATACAGTTATTTAAATATGAAGATAACAGACACTACAACTAATTTATGTAAACAACCAATCAGATGACCCCCTCACCCACCTACCCCCTACCATGATTAGTGACATATATTTTCAAGACAGCCGGCCAGGGTTATACAAATGACACACACTGAAAAAAACATCAGAAAACCATCCCAAAAGGGAGATACAAGTAGTGGATATAGTTTCTGGCCTTAAATGATCCACTATTCTGTTTCTTGATTTCTAGAGCAAACAGAATGTGTAACTCATGATTATTACAAACAAAATGATTTGTAGAGGCAATTCTAGATTTTCTCTCATATTTAAGTACTTGAACATATAAAACTTCCCCCTGCAACAGCAGAAATTCTGCTTCTAAAAACTGTGTAAAAATCAAATGAGAGATCCATACAAAAAATATTCTGAAATGAATAAAGGTACTAAAATAAGCAGAGTTTATTTGCTTAATTACCATTTTAACACCCTTCATAGAAGTGCATTAGTATGGTAATTTTGGCAGGTTCTAAAAGCAGTGAGCTTCCAATGATTCATGACTACATCTTACATGTATATAGTATCAGCTTATAACACCCTCACCAGCTTTTTCATGGAGGAAAGAGAGTAGTCTGAATCAGAGTAGATGAAGTATTCAAAGGTTTATTTTAATAAGCAAATGCTCAGGATATAGGAACCCAGGACTTGAATTTGTCTGTTCTCAGACTGCTGTGAATGCTACGGAAGATGGGAGGCATGAGGAATGAGCCTACATCTATCTTCCTCTGTTCATTTATCTTTTCCCTTTGGACAAAACCCTTCAGCCACAGGAAGTATCAAGGAAGACAGAATAAAACTCTTCTGCTTCTAAGTCCTTTTCCCTGTCTCTGCCATTGCTCATATCTCCATTAGAAAGGCAAGAAAAGTCAAATTTCATGCAGGGACCTTGGAAAGATATATTTTAATTATCAAGGTTCATATGTCAGGAGGAAGAAAGTGGGGGAATTTCACAGCTCTCTATACTTGGATATGGATGCTTGGGTTGATTTTTAGCCCTTGTCTGTTTTACTGCCAAAGTATTTATAGAGGGTAAAATAGCTCAAATAATTTGTTTTCTTAAAATTTACTATATTTAGGTAATGACATCACCACTAAGTTTTAAATACACTAACATTATGATATAATCCTTAAAGTATGTTTATACATATAATTTAATGTTTTGGAGTCTGTTCAAATTATTCATTAAAATGAGTAACAGGAACAAAACAACGAAGCAGCAGCTGTTTCATCTGTACATCTGATTTGTAGCATGTAGTGTATTTATAGTTAAATAGAGCAAAATGGGCTACTCAAAAGAATTGTTCCCACTCCCAAATAATTAACTATATTGTAAAAATGCCTGCAGTATCATTATTAAAGAATTAAGTTTATACAAGCAGGATTAACCTTTTTGTGTGCTCTGAAATTAAACTTATAGCATTAATCACAATGTGTAATCATTTTTTTGTTTGTTTTTTGCTAGTTTTGGTAGCATCTTGTCTTTCCAATCAGACTATAAGCTACTTGACGGCAGAGATCTTGCTCAAGTCACTACTGGTCCACCAAGCTCCTGTCACATTAGATGAAATAGTAGGTGCTAAATGCAAATATTTACATTAAAATATTCCATCTCCCTGCAAGAGATTATCAAACTGTACAGAACAGTTTATCAGGCAACACGATCACCCCAACCCAAGTTCTACCTACCTTCCCTGCTGGTTATTCTTCTCTTACCCCTCCCTGCTTTACCTAACCCCCACTCACTCTCTGCCTTTCTCTGTGTTTGGGCAGAAGTGGGAGCATTTATTCCCTGTGCTTCCAGCAGGGGCTCCTTACATCCCTGACCACTGCACCCTTGAGTGGCCACTCTTCCACTGCCTCAGTGCTCAATAAGCCTGTGTACAGTTTTTAAAATTAGTATTTATTATTTCTTCCTCTGTCCCTCAACCCCAAGAATGTAAACCAGCCCATAATACCATAAGTAGTCCATTCATTAAAGTATGCATTTGAACCATCTGGGCTGAATCCAGTCTCTTATCAGGACACTGAAAGAGAAACCCCATATTTCCAAATAATATGCTTATATATGACTTACCTCTTTTAGATCTACTGAAGTCCTGTCTTGACATCTCACTTTCCTGCTTTATCCCAATATAGTGGCACCACATATTCCAGTCCCTCAACCAGAATGACATTAAGCCACCCGATCGAGCTGCTATTTTTAATCAGTCTTAGAGTGCATCTTCTAGCTCCTTGGAACAATCAGTTTTCATCCTTTCCCCCCATCTCTCCTCATGCCCTTCCACTGCCTAATTTCCATCTGCTGTATCTATAGTTTACATTTTCAAGGTTTATAACATTTACAGTCTGTTCTGTAACCAGCTTAACTTTCTATTGTTTTTCACTCCAAAGGGTGAGTTAAAGAGCTTAAAACCAATAAACAGCATTTACACTATCATGGCCATGGATGAGTCTTTCCTTAAGGTCCCAAGTAGGGCTAGGAGTACATTTGCTTCTCTCCTTGTCCAGAGTCAGGGTCACTACCCCATGCCATTCGGCGGAGAATGCTCCTAGGGTCAAGTTTTAGTGGATTCTCCTTTCTTCACCTCACCAACTACCTTTATCAGATCTTCAACTTTCCCCAAGCCTCCCATTACACTTCCTGTTGTCCCCACCCCCTCCCCTTTCCTGGGTCCCCTCTGCTGGAATCCTCCCCACCTCATCCATATGCCCTCTCCTTCAACAGGAATGGGTGCTGACAAGACTGGCACACAAATTTCATCCTGCAATTTCCTACGCTGCTCTCCCGGGGGCGGGGGGCGGTCCATCAATCTCGACAAGCTGTGCCTTCTTCTTTCTTCACTTACTCCTCATTTTGTTACCCCCAAGTCCTTAGAAAGGGTATGTGGAGGGATATGCTTTAAAAGAAGGGGCACAGCATAATGGCTAATAACAGAGTTCTATAATTCACCTCATTTAAAAGAACATGGTTTCAAAACTTCATATTTATTATAATGCCCTTTTATAATAGAATAAAGTGAACAACATTTTACAAGCTCTCACAAACATTTTAGGGAGAGTTACAACTAAAGGTCTTTAATTTCCAGAGTTATTTGCATCTAACAATCCTATCGTTCACCATTTAAGCTGCAAAAATACTAATCCACGAAAACATGGATTTTGTGTTCAAGGTCCCTTTTAATGTACTCAACTGTGTTATCTGTTAGATAGAACTCATTCAAATTTTAAAATACTCTTTTTACAAAAAGAAATAAAAAATGCCATCAACTGGCAATTTGTATGTCTCTGGAAAGGATAGTTCATTAAAAAATAAAGATTACATTTAACCTGTTCATTCATTCACTTATTCAAAAATATTTATTGAATATTTATTGAACATGTTCCACTGTTCTAGCCGCTGGAGGGATAGTGGTTCCAGAAACAAAACTGTCTACCTCAGCAAACTTAAATTTTAGTGGAGGAAGACAAAAACAAACAGGATTAATTTTAGAATTCTATAAATGCTAAAAATTAAAACTCAAGTTGATCTGAAAGTCCTAACCTTATCTAAACAATTCAAAAGACATAGGGAACTGTTATAACACTCTCATGCGTTTAAGTAGTAAACCACCACTATTCTTAACACAGTCCCTATGGGCAATGACAATGATCAAGCTCTTAGGATCAAATCCTGGTAGCTGTACAGGCTTGAAAGCCCTGCAATCTTGTCCTCTCAAACATCTCCATCAGCTAATAAGATGAGGTAATCAATGTGCAGCTTTACTGTGTAATCTTCATGCAAAGCCATTACTTGAGTCCCCTGGCATCATCAAATACCCATCCTAGAACACTCATCACTCCAGTCCAATATCCATCAACAGAATAAACAACCTGAGTACAAAAGAAGGAAAAAGAGAGAATGAATTACACTTCATTAAATTTTTTTCCTGTTTTTTAACCATCGTCTACATTTTGTAAATAATTAAGTTTGTCCTTTCCCTACTTGAAAGAACAAGCAGAATAAAGAAGTATTAAACATGAAGAAACATATTTAGGAACCCAAAAAATGTTTGATGATGATGATGAAACTAAGTGGCTAAGGGGTACAGAATTGCTTGACCTAAAAATAAAGATACAAAATATGATGCTTTTGTATACATGTGATCAGTTTTCTGAGGGAACACAAGTTACATATAATGTATATTCAGTTAATATTACTTGATGATAAAAATTTATTTCTGCAATAGAAAATAAACAAGTCAGGCTTTTCTTCAAATGGAAGCATTTAAATTGGACACACAGATTAACTGAGGTGGGTTCCCAAGGGAAGGAGGGATGTCAACACTGGACTTCCTTGAAAAACCTCCAGCTTCCCTTTTGATCCGAATCTTTCTCCTCTTCTGCTGACTACCTTTTTTTTGTTTTGTTTTGAGACAGAGTCTCACTCTGTCCCCCAGGCTGGATGGAGTGCAGTAGCACGATCTCGGCTCACTGCAACATCCACCTCCCGGGTTCAAGTGTTTCTCCTGACTCAGCCTCCTGAGTAGCTGGGACTACAGGCACGTGCCACCATGCCCAGCTAATTTTTTTGTATTTTTAATAGAGACAGGGTTTCACCGTGTTAGCCAGGATGGTCTCGATCTCCTGACCTCCTGATCTGTCTGCCTTGGCCTCCCAAAGTGCTGGGATTACAGGTGTGAGCCACAGCGCCCAGCTGCTGACTACCTTTCTCATTCCTGTTTCCCCTTCCTTCTAACATTATCTTCCACATCTTTTATTTCCACTTTATTTCTTCTTATGCTTGTCCTAAGTATGTAAAAGGATCTTTGTGCTGTTTTTTAAGTGTCATTTAATTCAAAGAGCTTTGATTGTCCTTTTCTTAAAAAGCAGCTGTGGTTACAGTTTTTTATGTTTTCAAGCATTTTTTTACATTTGACTATGGGCCTCTCTTTTCTTTTTTGGGTAAAGCAGGCACCATTAAAAAGAAAATGACCCTCCACTCTTGATGCAGAAATCAGAAAAATGGTCTTTAATAATGCGGACACTCACCACTGGAAAGCCAAAATTAGTTTACATGATCTTTCAAGATTTTTTCCAATGCAATAACAATTATTAACATTTATTGAATACTCATTAAGTACCAGACATTGTTCTATGCACTTTATACATTAATTTAATCCTCATCACAGCCCTATGAGGTAGGCTGTAATTTATTCCCATTTATAGATGAGAAAACGAGTCACAAAGACATTAAGTAACTTGACTAGGTCATACTGGAAATAGTAAAGCCAGGATCTGAACCTAGTAGTCTGGCCTCACCCAGAGCCTGTGCCCTTAACCACTTAACACTGTACTATTTGTCTATGACAGAGGACAGCAAACCTTTTTGTAAAGGGCCAGATCATAAATATTTTAGGTTTTGTAGGCTACACACATGGTTTCTGTCTCATATTCTTTTTTTTTCTTTTTTTTTTTTTAAAAAAAAAAACCTTTGTAAATGTGAAAAACCTTCTTAAACAGTATCAGGCCCACAGGCCATAGTTTGCTACCCTGGTCTACAATTTTATCATTTCATATGAGCCAGTCTAGTATTTTTCATCTAGACAAATTCAGACAGAAGCAAAACTGAAAGATTCAATGTAAGCAGCTTACAGCCCATAGTCCACATGAAACAGTAAAGAAAATGCAAAAATCAAAATCAAAGAACTGCAGGTACTTTGTGGACATATACATGGAAATATAGCCCATAGACATGAAAAAGGTACTGCTATCACTAATAGAAAGTAAAAATCTCAGTAAGCTTTAACAGCCTAGTATTTCAGAAGTAAAAAACCTCAGATATCCATCTTCTTTACAGATGGATAGCTATATACGATAGTAGTTGGGCCCAAGTACTATTGTAATCTACTGAAACTGATGTATAGTAACAGCATCTGTATACCACACAAATGCATTCTTCTTCAAAGTCCCTTATAAATACAAATTCGTTGTTGCATTATCAAAATATTCATTATCTTCAATGTCAGAAACTAAAGAGTAGGTTATTAACTATTAACTTAGGACTCCTGAGGAATTCAGAAATCATAAAAATATTAATGTCATCAACCCATATTCTTTCTGGTCATCTGGCAAGGTCCTACTCTTAACATGTCACCACCACCACTTACCACCCTCTTAAGACTTCAAAACTTTTGAAGTAAGTTTTGGTAGGTTTCATGTATCTTACCACAATTTAATTGTCTTTTAAAAATCAAAAGCTCTATTTCAACAATGCAGCAATCATTTTGATGAACGCTATCAGAAAGTAGAAATTTAAGCAATTTATATTGGCTTTCAACTCCACCACATCATATACTTCAATTGACAAATCCCCTCTCTCAGAAAGAATAACTTAGAAGAAAGCATTCTGATAGAATTTGTTCAAATTATATACTGTTAATTATTTTTACCATTTTTGTGGGGTAAAAATAAAAACTGGGGAAATAGACTCACTTCTACTTTCTTCCCTATTAACTTGGGACCATCTGTTTAAAATAACTGCAGCTATTTTTGGTAGTTAGGCAATGAACTACTTATAAAAACAAAAACAGATGCCTCCTCTTTAAGATCACTCCGTTATCAAACATCTGAGCATTACTTGCACACAAAAGCATGTAGTGTATGTTACTTGTCAAGAATAAAATCGCAGATTTTAAAACATACCATGTGGCAGCTCAGGACATTATTTCATTTCTTATAATTGTTTTCAACAGTTGCTAAAAACACAAGAATAAAGTAACGTAAGGAGGTAATTCATATATGTATTTAAAAATATCTGTTATAACACTAGCTCTCTAACTCACAACTTGGCTGTCCTTAAGAATTTGGGCATTTCTTCTGCTGAGAAAAGTTGCTTAATAGTTAATTTTTACCTGAAATACTTTCTTCTGAATGCAGAAACTCGTGTATTTTACCTTTGTTTTTTCTTTGGCAACAGTGACAAATCAGATAATCTCAATGAATATCTATGCAGTTTTCCTCTTTACGTGGGACAAAGTTTATCTTTTAAAAAGAAAAGCCAAGATGAATGTTTTACCTGTGCAACTGCCCCCGCTTCTCTGTGCTTCTCTGTGCCCCCCGCCGCCTTTTTCTGTGCTTTGAAATAACTACCTTGCTCCCAAGAAAAAGTTTCTTCAGAAGCCAGTGTACTTTGTCCTTGCCAGGTCAGAGAAGGGGTTAAATTTATCTAACTGTAGTAAGCCTTTCTTGTTGCCCAGATGGCTGGCTGAGAGGAAGGAAGAGCATATAGCTAATTAGCATTCATTCCTTTTAATACATTCCCATCCCTTCTACTGCTTTTTGTCCACTCTTTCTTTTCTCCCTCAAGGTTTACCTTGATTTGAAGTTCAATACTTAAAAGACTCCCTTCCAAAAAATAAAAATAACACTTATGGGAGATATGTGCTATGTAGCACAAATTCTGTGTTACAGAAGCTCTTTGATTCCTCTTCCCCAGAACAAAGACATTTAGACTGTTACTTGAAATGTTATTTTTAAATAAATACATAATGGTTGCATTTATTAAGCACTGTGGGGCAGACCATTACCTGCTCACCCAAATCTGTTCTTCTGTTCTTCCACAATGAATGAATTGTAACTGAGCACATGGTCATCCAGGTAGAAATTATACCACTCAGCCTCTCTGGCAGCCAGATGTGGGCGGCCATGTGACTTAATTCTCCCCAGTGCAAAGTACATGGCAATGATGTGTGCCTTCTCTAGGACTGAGCATGAAGACATTGCGCATGCTGCCTCCACACTTCTTCCTGTCCCCTCAAGCTGGGACACAGACATACCTGCGACCTATCTTTGACTATGTAGATGAACCCTGAGATGTAGGAAGCATGGAGCAACAAGATGGAAGAAATCTGGGTGCCTGAATTTCTGCAAAGAACATGATTCTTTGCAAGCCTGGAATGCTTACCCTTTTATATGAGCAATATAAAAAAAGTTGTATGCCCTTTAATTCACTGTATTTTGGGGGCTCTTTGGCCCAGCAGCATAGGCTTAATCATAACTGGTATGAACACTATTATGTAGCACTGTTCTGGGTGTTTTACATGAATTATCTTATTAATGAGTCTCTGAGGAAAGTACTGTTACTATTCCCAGTTTCCAGGTGAAAAAACAAAGATTTGGAGGGTTGAGACAAAAGAGTAGTGAGGTTGGTAAAATAATCAACTGCAGGTCTCTATGATGCAAAGTCAAAAACCTAACCACTACACTAGTGTGCTTCCTAAAAAAAAAAAACAAAAAAAACCCTACTTATTACTTTACAAATTATCTCACTCTAATTGAGATTTTTCTTCGGTGGTATCTCTTATAAACCCAGAGCAGAAACATTATGAGCTCAAAATTAAGGGATATAAATTATATTTGGTTTGCCCACAAACACCCTTAATCTTATTATTAGCTGAACACCTAAATTTGTGTTAAACTCCAAAACTTTGAAAGAAATCAGACTGCAGGCCAATGAGAAACAGCTTAGTGGATGAAACTTTTTACTCTACTTCTAAAATTCTATTCTGTTGCACACAAGGCCTAGATCTGTACCTCGAACCAGCACTATGAAATACTGGATTATTAATTCAAAATGAACTTACTTTGGCTGTGTCTAATATTATGTTTATTATGAAAGAGCCTGTGAAACACTGTTACACAACACTAGGGTTCTTCTTTTAGTAATATGAGGACACACACCTTCACTCCTCCCAAACTTTTAAAGCTAAATCCAGGAGAGGTGCCAGTGAGGCATGTATTGAAGGGGGCTGGCAGAGTCAAGTGAGGAAGGGGACTGGAAGATAAGCTTCTTTTGTCTTTACATCTTTAAAAAATCATTTTGCTTAAGAATCTTTTCATCTTCCAAAAAGCTCTTATAATTAAGTGCCAGAATCCACTTATTTAGTCATTCAACAAATATGTACTGAGCACTTACTGTTTGATGAGTACACTGCTAGACACTGGATATGGAATAGTAAACAAAAGTAGAGTTAGGAGAGGGAGGTGAAGCAGTAATGTTCACACAATGGTCATAGTTTTTATCTTGAGTAAAAATTCCAGAACAAATTGTCTTATGCTTTAATAACTTCAAAATGCATAAACCACAAGAAAAGAGACCCCTGCACTTTCCCTCCTTATCTCTTAGACATCCCTAGGTCAGAGGGGTCTGGAAGCACTACTATATTTTATGCTACAAGCGCCTGCTGTTGAACTCACAGGTTCAACTCCCGACCACACTGCCTACTTAATATCTTTCCTACCAATCCTTTCAATTTTTCTAAATACACATTTGAAATTCATGCTCATCCATCTGCTTCCCAACATTGCCACCAATCTCACTAGGTTTTAATTAAAAGGAGATGAGTGAATGACATAAATTCTTTTCCAGCATACGCAAGTATTTGATTATATACATTGGTCTCCTCATTCTATGCTTGGTTAAAAAGACAGAGGAAGGAAAAGGATGAGATTGGTACTCCATAAGCTAAATCATTCCTATAAAAATAAAAGCTCTTCTTACATTTGATTACCAACTGCGGAAAGATGAAGCTGTGAAAATACCACCTTCTGTGAGTATAATGTGAGTGATTTTAGATGGATCTTTGTGCAGTCAGGTGTGTCCCTGGCAGGCTGGTGTAGAAAATGCTCCAATCCTTCTCTGCAGAGTGGACTGGGCAGTTTTCCTGCAGGTGGCCCACCTCTTGCACTCACAGGGGTTTCTGCCCACATGCTCCTCCTTATGCCTTGCAAAAGCTCTGCCTGATTTCTGGCTCAGCCTTGGCTTTTCAAGGAACTGTTTAAAACTTCTAAATATGAATGTATTTAAATACTGCTTCAGGTCTGAAGAAAACAGTTAAATAGATTTTTTTTTCTTTTCTGCTAAAAACTACCTAAAAATTGGTGTTTTTAAGATCTTAAGTGGCATTTATTTTCAACACAATTATTAGAACTCTAGGCCGGGCGCAGTGACTCATGCCTATAATCCCAGAACTTTGGGAGGTGGAGGTGGGCGGATCACCTGAGGTCGGGAGTTCGAGACCAGCCTGGCCAACATGGTGAAGCCCCATCTCTACCAAAAATACAAAAATTAGCTGGGCGTGTTGACGCACGTCTGTAATGCCAGCTACTCGGGAAGCTGAGGCAGGAGAATTCCTTGAACCTGGGAGGTGGAGGTTGCAGTGAGCCGAGATCGCTCTACTGCTCTCCAGCCTGGGCGACAGAGCGAGACTCTGTCTCGCACACACAAAAAAACCTCTATTTGCATTTGCACTTAAATTCCTCCAGGTGTTAAGTTACATTTTTAGTGAAACACACTAAATTGTAGGTAGCACTGTTTGTAGACACCATCATTGCAACACTGATCAACAAAATAGCCACTAGGCACCTACTAGATGAAACTGATCAGTCAGATCTGGACTTGGCCTCAGATTCTTTCTCTGCAAGAAGATTAGAAACATACATGGAATAACTATAATCCCACACAGAAAGCAGTAAGTGCCTTGGGAGTTATATATAGTACTTGGTATAATTAAAAAAGGGAGCATTCAAAAAGGGAGCGCTTATCCTTAGGTTGTAAGGGAAGGGGGTAGGGGCTGGAGAGGGAAATACAGATGTAGAGAGATGCCAAAACAAAGTCAGAAACCCCCTCTGCCCAGCCATGAATGTTCTACCATGTGCTAAGCCATAGTCCCAAATCCCCAAACCCTTTGGACAGAAGCAAGGAGACAACAGCAAATACGTGGTGGTGGCAAAGTACAGCGCAGGCACAAGGTGTTTCTGTTGGGCTGGAATCTAGGGTGTGTGTAAGACTGTGAAGGAAGACAGGATAGGATCAAGATCAGGATCAAGGAGCGGGAGGACCTTAGAGGCTTGGCTTTACTGAGTAGGTAACAGGGACTCCTTGGAAGTTCTTGAGATGGGACTAATATAAGAGCCACACTTAGAGGAGGTGACTGTGGAGGAGGGTGAATGTCCAGGCAGGGAGACCCGTAAGAAGTCAATGGGAGGAAAGAGTCTGACCTACAGGGGTGGCACTGCTGATAAGCAAGAATCGAATGCAAGACAGAGCAGTGAGCTGCAGGAAGAGGGAAAAGTCCAGGAGTTAGGATGCTCCACTTTAAAGATGGAAGCTCACGTCAGTAAGCAGCCTTCTGTGCCTTCATCCCTTTACCTCCACCAGGCTACTTCATGCCTGGCTCCTCAAATCTGTCCCTGAACATTGCTTCTTCAACAATCACTTGCCAGGCATGGTGGCTCACGCCTGTTATCCCAGTGCTTTGGGAGTCCAAGGCAGGTGGATCACCTGAGGTTGGGAGTTTGAGACCAGCCTGACCAACATGGAGAAATCCTGTCTCTATTAAAAATACAAAATTAGCCGGGCGTGGTGGCGCATGCCTGTAATCCCAGCTACTTGGGAGGCTGAGGCAGGAGAATTGCTTGAACCCAGGAGGCAGAGGTTGTGATGAGCCAAGATAGCATCATTGCATTCCAGTCTGGGCAAAAAGAGCGAAACTCTGTCTCAAACAAACAAACAAACAACAACAACAAAAAACCAATCACCTGCATACCAACTCACTGCCCCATGGGCCACTAGTATGCCTAAGTACAAAGTTCTAACTCTACATTTCAAAGGCAGTGATTCACCCTTCTTATCATTCTCTTTACTGTGGCAGAGACTACCAGTTGCTCCTCCCATGTTCATTTCCCCATTGTCTACAGTAGACATCAACAAAAAAATCTTCTGTAAAGGGCAAGATAATAAATACTTTAGGTTTTGCAGGCCATATGATCTCTGCAGCAACTACATGTTGTGTATTACTAATCTGAAAATCCAAAATCTTCTAAAATCTGACACTTTCTGGGCACTGACACAACACTACAAATGAGAATTCACATACCTGACCTCATTTGACAGGTTGCAGTCAAAACACAATCAAAATTTGTTTCATATACAAAATTATTTAAAATATTGTATAAAATTGGGCCAGGCGCAGTGGCTCATGCCTGTAAACCTAGCATTTTGGGAAGGTGAGGTAGATGGATTGCTTGAGCCCAGAAGTTTGAAACTAGCCTGGGCAATGTAGCAAGACTTCATCCCTATAAAAAATCAAAAAATTAGTTGGGCATGGTAGTGCATGCCTTTAGTCCCAGCTACTGGGGAGGCTGAAGTGGGAGAATCACTTGTGCCCAAGAGGTCAAAGCTACAGTGAACCATGATCACACCACTGCCACTCCAGCCTGGGTGACAGAATAGGACTCTGTCTTAAAAATAAAAAATATTATTTATATAAAATTGCCTTCAGGCTATGCATATGGTGTACATGAAACATAAATTTCATATTAGACTTTACTCTCTTCTCCAAGGTATCTCATTACGTATTCACAAATATTCCAAAATCCCAAAAAAATCTGAAATCGGAAATACTTCTGGTCCCATGCATTTTGGATACTCAACTCTTCCACTGCCATGTGAAAGCAGGTAATTTATAAACAAATGGGCACATCTGTGTTCCAATACACTTTAATTTTTATTTATTTATCACTCTGTTGCCCAGGCTGGAGTGCAGTGGCGTGATCATGGCTCACTGCAGTCTTGACCTCCTGGGCTAAACTGATCCTCCCATCTCAGTCTCCCAAATAGCTGGGACGACAGGTGCGCACAGCCACGCCTGGTTAGTTTTTTTTAAATTTTTGTATAAACAGGGTTTCACCATGTTGCTCCGGCTTGTCTTGAACTCCTGGGCTCAAGCTATCCTCCTGCCTTGACCTCCCCAAGAGCTGGGGTTACAGGCATGAGCTACCATAACCGGCCAATACACTTTTATTTACAAACTATACTTAATTTGTAAATAATTTCTGGCTGGCTGACTTGGCACTCAGACCACTGTTTGCTGATCTTGTTCTATAGTAACAGAAGCTCTAGCAGGGTGTCTGCTGGCTAACATTTTATTTCCCAGCCTCCCTTGAAGCTTGCTGTGGTCATGTTCTGGCCAATAGGATGTAAATGAAAATGATCTGTACAACTTGTAGATCATCTCCTTTCCCTTGGGCTGAAATGAGATCATGGTGAGCCATCTTTGACTGTGAAGATGAGGGCAACTCTCTCAAGATGGCAGAGAAACGAGAGGAAGGAATTTTTCTATTGAAGTACCATGCTAGTCCTGAATCAGTATGGATCCCTTGAGCTCTTCTGAGAGGAGGAAAGCACCAACAACCTCTTAACTTGTTTAAGTCACTGTATTTTGGGCATCTTTTCATAAAGATTTGCATATTCGAGTTTAGCTCAGTACATGAGGCTGTAATTAATTCAGAAAAGAAAACACTGTTCCAGGGCTACAGACCCCCAGTGATCAATAATAAGCCTACACAGGGAGGTCAGATGACTTGGCACTAATCTATCATTTTCATAGGAACTAATTAATATCTAGTGAGGAACTAATAACTGTGCCACATACTTATATAAAATATAAGCTCTCACTTATGTTTTGAAGAATTATGATTATTTTTACAGAGGAGATTCAGAGAGGTTAAGAAATATGCCCAAAGTGATACTGCTCCTAAGTAGCTATGCTGATATATAAACTCAGGACACAGGACTCTCAGATATGTTCATTTCCCCAAATCAACTCCCTTGGGTCAAGGACAAGCCACTGTGTTATTACGAGTCAATGGCTCTGTGACTGTAGGTTTCCATTTTTAAACTGAAAACTGCCACTAAGATCTACTAACTAATGGCTCCCATTGGTTTAATTACCACTACCCTTTAAAAGCCAAGTAAACCAAAATGACACAAGGTTAAGTGACTTAGTCAGATTCCTTTGAAAGACTTCAAGGATGCCAAAATGTGGATTTCATCAGACAGCCCTACTAGCTGCCAACTCGGCCCCAGCTACTGCCATCACCTCCTCCTTCACTGCCCATTAGAAGTTAACTGCCTGGACACTTGCTACACCAGACTGAACAGAGCCTGCAAAAACTAGCTGCAAAATACACCAGCAGAAGGGAAGAGCTCTCCCCTCTCCAGGAAAGGGTGAGCAATCACCCTAACATGTGCTGTTGCCCCTAGTCTGTCGGGTGTAGCATTTGTCTCTGTTGGGAGCTTGGCATCGATCATGAGGACCATCTGGCTCCATTTCCCTGACGGCCACAGCCTTTCCTGTCCTGTACAGCCTGGAAACTCAAGGAAAGTCAAGTTCACCCTGAAATTATAGCACAGCCAATAGCACCAACTTACCATGGTAGATGAACCCCAAATTTGGTTGCAAAAAACTTTAACCTTACTTCAAATTTAAAGGAAAGAAATGTTTCAAAATTATTTCACTTTTTTAATGCGATAAAAGTTGATGTTTTGAAAACTTCATGAACAGCTAATTAAAAATTAATTATTATAACTAGTCATTGCTATACCAAGGATTATACAGCTGAAATGTTTTGTTATAGAAATGCAGCAAAGAATAAACAAGTCTATCTTGAATAAAGCACAAAGTTAGCATGTTCTCAATTTCCCTTTTAAGCCAATTATTTCTATAATTTAGAAGGAAGACCTTATCACCAAAGTGGACTTTTTAATTTCACATATCTTTTTTTTTTCTTTTTAGAGACAAGGTCTTGCTCTGTCACCCAGGCTGGAGTGCAGTGGTGCGACCATAGCTCACTGCAGCCTCAAACTCCTGGGCTCAAGCAATCCTTTGACCTCAGCCTCCTAAGTAGCTAGGACTATGGGAGTGTTACCACGCCCGGGTAGTTTTTTCACTTTTTTGTGGAAATAGCTCTTGCTAGGTTGACCAAGCTGGTCTCGAACTCCTGGCCTCAAGTGATCCTCCTACCTCGGCCCCCAAAAGTGTCAGAATTACAGGTGTGAGCCATTGTGCCAAGACTATTTGGCATATCTTGAACTTCTTCCAGAGCCAAATTATAATGGGTACAAAACTATGCAGATATTTAAAAGAAATATTTTTCAAAAATATTTGGGGATGTGGAAAATGTGCTCACATATATTGTTATGTTAAAAAAGCCAGTTTCAAAACAGTTTATAGTCACTCTTACAAAAGAATAACTATATATAGCTATATAAATATGTATAGAAAAATCAGTCTGGAAGTAAATACCTCAATATTTTAACAGCAGTTTTTCTCTGAGTAGTAGAGTTACAAGTAATTTTTCTTTTCTTACACTTCTCAGAATTTTCAAAATCTTCTACTATAACAAATGATAAAAGTATACATTTTTAAAGGAACTAAGCATAAAGAACATGACATTTAAGGCACAGCTTCCTCCTTTCATTGGGTTCTATAAGAGGACAAAGAATGTGGTTTTGGAAACAGCACAAGTTATTCTGTGTCCAAATCATATATAGAAATCTCAGAAACACACATTTTAAACTGCATGTCAAGTCTCAATGATCTGATGGTGGCCATTTCAGAAAGATCAGAGGGGTCCCATAACTTATGGAAATACAGAGCCTCTGGGGAGTGGGCCAGAGTCATTACAACACACAGCTATTATCTACATTTTATCTCCACTAAATTGACTTAAAAATGGAGAGGAGTGTGTGTGTAGCACTCAAACATCTGTGACATATCATTATGGAAGAAGAATATTTCTAGGAATTCTTATTCATAATTACTACTTTCAAACTGAGAAAACAGCAGAAAACAACTGTTAAATTAAAAAGAAGTGCATGCATGTCACAATTTAGTAATAGCCAAAGTCAACTAGAAATCAGTTTCTACTTCACAACAACAGTTACAAAAAACATAAAAATCCTCACGATTAGGGAACAGAGTCAGAATAAAGTTTAAACCTGGAGAACGTTACTTTCTCTGCACTCTCACCCATCATAAAGCATAACAGGGTCTGAGGCCACGTATTTACTTGCAGACATTGAAAAAAAAAAAGTCTTAACTGCTCAAGCTAACAAATCAGCGTCCTCAGTTTCACACTATTGGTCATATGATCCTCCAAGTGTTGTTTCTCAGACTTTCTCTGACAGTCTCTTCTTTCTTTAAAGCCAACAGATCAACAAAATAACCTCAACTAACCAAGCTCTTTCACTTTTTGAATGATGGAACCTCCTAACAGAGCAAAACAGGACTTTGAAGGTAGTATTTCAGGAAAAAGAGAAAGTAGGGAGTTTCAGGAAAATGTCTGATAAAATTCCATTGCTTTTCCAAAATAACAAAAGCATAGTTTCCCCAAGTCCCAAATACAAAAGCAAAGCAGAAAATAAAAGCAAGTTCTTTTTACACTATTCCTGAGGGAAACACACTTTCACTTGTTATTTCAATGAATACTTTCTCCACAGTATTATTTCATTTCCAAGAGAAAAAAATATATAGACTGAATAATCCCTAAATGTTTTAGAATATATCTATAATACCTAAACAAATATACAGCTTCACTGAGAAATTCTACCTGCCTTAAATAAATATTTAGTTAACCGAGGAAGAGATGTTTCAACAATGAAATAACAATGAAGAAAGTGCATAACAAAACAGCATTAGTCTGTCTAACCAAAGAATAAGCCAAATGACAGCCTGGCGGCATAAAGGTTGTAGAGTAAAAGAAAAAAATGCTACCAAGATACTGAATAAGATTCCAATCTATTAGTATAAAAATGATTGAGGAAAGCAAACACACCTTTCATGTGAGCGGCCTAAAAAGGCAGCTTCTCTGTACCTCTGACTTCCAACATCCTGTTCATGACTAGAGTCTAGGAAAGTAATATATGACCTCAGTAATGCTGGCCTGGCCTGCACCCAAGTCAGTGACTTCAACTGCTCCACATTAATAACAAAAGCCATACAGAGCGGACGTGCAGGGAGAGTGGAAGAGATGGAAGACTCTGGGGCAGGCTTCTAAAAGCAAAGCCATCTCCTGTTAAAGAAACTGGCCAAGTACTGTTCAGAAACAAGAGCTTCTTCAGTTGTCTTTATAATGCCTATAGTCATTCCACACGATTTTAAAAAACGGTCTTCACTGAACTCTAACAACAAAATGATCCTCCCTATAACAGACTGGAGCAAAATACCACCTCCCAGGGACTGTTCTAAGCACTTTATATCAATTAAGGTACTTGATCTCCAACGACCCAATTAGGTAAATGCCATTAGTCTCAGTTTACAGATAAGGAAACTGACTTAAAAGTAGGAGACATTTCAAGAGCACAGAGTTAGTAGACCCGAACACTGGCTCTTGGGCTACAGAGGCCAAGGGCTGAACCACTACAGCCGGTGATACCATACTGAATCTTTCTAGTGCTTACATCCTGTCTGCCTAACACCTTAAAGAGGCTGCAGACATAGCAACTCCCAGGGCTACAGTCTTGTTGCTGCCATGTGTTCCCTGGATTTGAAGGCAAGGGCAAAAGCTAACTTGCATTGAATACCTACTGTGTGCTAGCCCTTTCAGAAAGACAAATTCCCTGGTGATATAAGCATTATCATCATTATTCCTATATTACAGATGAAAACTAGATTCTGAAGGTTTCAGTAACTTGCTTAATGCAAGGGAGAGGTAGCACTGGCATTTGAACTAAATCTGTTTGTATGTGGCCCATGTTCCTCCCACTACAGAAAGTGTCCTGCCTCCTCAGTCACAGGTTGATCCCCTAAATGGGTGACTTCTCCAACAGCCAGAGATGATCTCCCATATTTTAACCAGTCATTTTACATATGAATGCTATTTGAACTACTGGGAAGAACATGGAGAGGGAGGAAAGATAGGTCAGTAAAATTCCAACACAACAGCAAAAAAACTCTCAACCCACAGAAAATCCCTACAATTAGTTAACGGAAAGCATATCTGGCATACACTCAGCGCTGCTGCAGAGAACCATGAACTGTAAATATACGTAACTATTTCTTTCTGGTGTACATAAACTAAACATCTGCAAATCATATTACATTTTCAGTGCACTAGAGGAACTCACTGTTGAAAAGAATTCTGTTGGCTGGGAGTGGTGGCTCAAGCCTGTAATCCCAGCACTTTGGGAGGGCAAGGAAAGAGGATCACTTGAGGCCAGGAGTTCAAGACCAATCTGGGCAACACAGTGAGACTCTATTAACAAAGAAAAGAAAACTGTGGTTAAATTCCTTTGTAGGGTCCAAAGTTCTTTTATAATAAACAATCCTCTAATTTACTTTCTAAGTCTTTGAATTTTCAAAAACAGTTATATTTTATTTGAGGCAGAACTATGGGAATATATAATAATTCAAATTATTTTACATAAGCTTGGGATGTAGTTCTGCCTTAAAATTGAAGAAATGAACCATTATATATGTCCAAACTTTCTCTAGCCTGTGGTTATATGAATTGCTAAGTTGCCTCATAACAGCATATAAATTAGTTTGATTTTATAGCTTGGCTAAGAATATCTTGAAATAAAAAGAGCACTAGAGATTCAAAATCTGATAAGTAAAATTAAAGATAGTACCATGAGACTTTTGTACACAGAATGTAAAAATAACAGGGTTTCAAGATTCAATATTCTCATTTTATGAATAAAAAAACTGAGGCCCATGTCAATATTCTCATTTTATGAATAAAAAAACTGAGGCCCACGATTTAAATGATCTCTTAGACTTAACCAGGGTCCACGTTAGAAATTCAATGGAAGAAACAAAATTAGAATCTAGTATGCTAATGCCTAATTCAAGGTATGGTTCAGAATGGACCCCCTCTGATGATATAATACTGTATTGTAAGCCCCAAAAGAGCAGAAACTGTGTCATATTGCTGGTTCTCTCTAAGCTCCTACAAATTACCTTACTTAATACATATTACTGGCCAGGCACAGTGGCTCACATCTGTCATCCCAGCACTTTGAGAGGCCAAGGCAGGATAGCTTGAGCCCAGGAGTTCAAGGCCAGCCTGGGCAACATGGCAAAATCCTGTCTCTACAAAACATACAAAAAATTAGCCGGGCACTGTGGTGTGCACATGTAGTGCCAGCTACTCAGGAGACTGAGGTGGGAAGATCACTTGAGCCCAGGAGGTCGAGGCTGCAGTGAGTGGAGATCACTGCAGGCTAGCTTGGGTGACAGAGCAAGATCCTGTCTCAATCAAGCAATCGATCAGCCGGTCAATCTAATTCTCCCTGTGGTGGGAGAAGGGAATCAGAGGTGGCTGATATAGTAGGCTACCTCATATTTCATTTCTAACCTTTATAGTTTGTTAGATCCTAGGGTCTCAGCACATAGTTATGCAAAATCACTGCTAACCGTACCTGGAGAACAGAGCATCGCAAAACCCAGATGTATCATCTTAAGGATATCCTTAAGGATGCAGGATTGGAAGGCAGGAGACACTTGCAAATCAGTTAACCTATCCGGCTTAAGATTTCTCTGCTCCAGAATGAATAAACTCTATTTTTTGTATCTCTAAGTCCTCTTCCAACATTAAATGTTATTGCTCTGCCTGTTTCCTGAATTTTATACATTTGACACAAACATTAATACTTTAATAAACCCTTTTCAACTTGCCTCTTTGTTTGCTGAATTATATGCATAACTCTGTTACATATATAACTCTGAATTGTAGTCCCCAGCAACCCCTACCCCACCTCAATGAATGAGGCTTTGGTCTGCAATGGCCACTGAGTCCCCCTTTTTTTCATAACACATTTTCTACCAGAAAAGCTCCTCGGGTTTGGGGGATTTGGCCCCTATCACATCTAGTTCCTGGCTTCGGGGCCTAAGGCTAGGCCACTGACATCAAAAATACTGTTGGGAGGCCATGGTCTCTCCAGAGAGGCTGCCCCTGTTTGGTCTCTGGTGAGACCTTGAGCAAATGAATGCTGCTCAGACTACTGGGAGATACAAAGGGTCAGCTGCAGAGTCTGGCAGTGTGAAGCTTGTCCCAGGCCAGAGGCACAAGGTCAGAGAGAGGCCAGGGCTTGGAGTATGAGCTCTGTCGTATAACCTGAAACTTGAGACGGTGGTTCAGAAAGATACTCAGACAAAGAAAAAACAAGAGAGGTTTAGAGACTAGAAAAACGAGAGAGAGAGAGAGAGAGAGAGAGAGAGAGAGAGAGAGAGAGACACTTTGGAAGTTCCAATAGGCTGTCACAAAAAAGCAAATGTTTCTATCATCCATGTAGGTCAAAATAACATGCATTTATTGTATTTGTGAGCGAAATAGGACCTTACTAATTGTTGCTAAGCATAAAGATTTTTGTTACTAATATATGAGTGTCAAGAAAAAGGCCAGGATACAAGATTTTCATAATTAAGAAAAGAACCAGAACATATATTGTATATTTGCATAGGACTTTACAGTTTGCAAATCACCTTCACACAAATTCTGCTCTGATCCACACAACTATCCCCATGACATTAAAAGAAACTGAGGCTTGCGAGTATGATTTACTTGTCCAAGATGCCCAAACTGCTATACATCTGCTACATCTTCAGGTCTGCTGGGAGTTCTTCTACCACACCACCAAGTCTCTTTAAAACTACTTTTCCTCAAAAGCAACCTTTTCAGAGAAACAAAATTTATCCTTATGCATTTTTACAATTTTTCAATTTTATTTCATTCTTAGTATTGAAAGTTGCTGTAGGTTGAGTATTATTAAACAGTGTTTTTATACGCTATACATCATTGCCCCTTGTACGGCAAAGCGTGTGAGTATATGATGAGTTAAATAATCTTTGAGGGCTAATATGGAAACTTTGCCACCACGTGTACTATACTATCATTTCTATGGGACGTTCTGTTCCAAGCTACATTCAACAGACCTAAAAGGGATTGTTTAAAACACATGAACGTGGCTAAAAATAATCACCACTGCAAACCAGAAATTTCTTGGATTTCACTTCTCTTTTTCATTTCATTTAAACATATACAGACATACACAGAGCTTGTTTTCACTGAGCAGCACATACGGCCTAAAAAGCTAAGTATTTCTGTATAACAGAAGAAATTTCATAAAACTCCCACATTATGATGGTGGATTACATAAAGAAGTGGGAAAGTCCCCTCTGTCCCCAAACTGTGCCAAGACATCTGACATGCTCTTATCTGCCAGGACTATACAGTTATTCAACTTAGAATCCATTTTTTAGATAAATTAGCATAATATCATAATGATCCAAAAAAGTTCAAAAAGAACTTCTTGCCAGAATAATTAACTTCCTGAGGTCCTCCAAAAGATCTGTTCTGAGAAAAACGTCTCCCTGCCAAGGCATTTCAAATACTAAAAGCAGAGTGGCAGATTTTCAGTTATAAATTTCAACAAATCACCAACCATACATGGTTGAAAGTTTTTTCAATGAGAATCAAGGTGTCAAGTTTAAGATACAAGAAACAAAAACCCTCCCCCCAACAAAAGCCAGCTTCCAAAAAGGAACTAATCAAAGCATTGTTGCAACCACTATGTCTATTAAAAGAAACAGGTGATCAGAACATTAGGATAAGTTCAGTTAACAAGTTCTTCTGATGCTTTTTATAGTACTTGGCTTATTAAAAATGGATTCATCCACAACTTTTCGGAAACATTTTTGTTGTGTAAATTCAGATGTGACTGTATTGAGCTTAAACCAAAGCAAACAAAACAAGAAAAAAAAAAAAACCACCAGACTAAATCTAAATATTATTCTGGAAAACATTCATCAGTTAGCTTTTACTCTACCTCAAAGAGCAGGTATTATGAGGCCTGGTGGCTCGAGACCCTGCCATTTTCTCCTTTGCCCTCAACTCACAACAGTCCTTCCAGTAGAATATTTGAAAAGACAGACTAAGAATGATAGGGATCAAAATAAAAGCAGCTTACATGCATGAGAAACTCTGAATTGCCTAATTTCAGTCCCAATGCGTCTCAGTCTGCAGATCCTCTATAATTTTTGATGAAGTACAACATAAACCTGTTTAAAGCTGTTTACAATCAAAAGGTACAAAGTGTGAGAACCAAATTCTCTTGGTTATTGAGATGAGTCTTAAAATAACCACAAGAGCTAATATTTAATTTGGTGTTCTTACTTTTATGTGAGATTTCTTAGTAAGACACAAAATGCCCTTATAAAACAAAACAATCTACAGAGGAAATATTAATATCTCAGCTATTTCTCTAGTATCATGATGGCTATTTTTCAGGTTTAGAAAGCAAGTCATTTTTTGAAAAAGGCCAATTATCATTACTTTAAATACTCTTCTATATCTCTTTTTTGATGCATGTACTTAGAATAGCCTCATATGAAGCCCAGATAGCTCCACAGGGCGATACTAGCAATCCAGCCACATTCCAGTGAGTTCTTTTTAATCTGAAAAATGTTCAACATACACCTTGAATTCTTTTTTAGTAGTGCTGCACATTAGTTTTTCTGTGTTTTTCTCCCTGACCTATTTCTATAAGCTTATGCTTTCTTATTTTGAGTAACCTGAAAGTAGACACATGTTCATGATCTGTAAGCAAACTTAAAACAAATAACCCTACAAGCCCTAAACAGTATTACCTCATATAGTTGTATTTTTTTCTTTTTTATATTCATTCCTTCCCTTAGGTTATAGTTCTGCAGGTATAAAGCATAAGTATAAAGGTGGAGGTGGTGTAGGGGGTTGGGGAGGGGTGCTGGCGCTGGTGTGGGGCGAGGAGTTCTCCAGGATACAACATTCCAGATGATTTCTAAGTTCCCTTCCAAAGCCACATTTCTATTACTTGCTGGTTTCTCTGGTGGGCATTTGTCCCAGACAGGAGCTCCTATGCAGCAGCGGTTCTCAATCTCAATTAGGGGGCGGCTATTTTGCCTCCAGGGCACACTTGGCAATGCCTGCAGACATTTTTGTTGTCACAGCTGGGGATGGGGTGCACTACTGGCATCTAGTGGGCAGAGACCAAGGATGCTGCTGCTAACTAAACACCCTATAATGCACAGGGCAGGCCACACAACAAACAATCATCCAGGCCACAATATCAACAGTGCAGAGGTTGAGAAGTCCCACTGTAGAGTAACAAGCTTAGGAAACTAAATGATTTGTCATATTCGGAAAACTGCAGAGGCCATTTCCTAGATTTGCTTTCATACTCCTAAACAGGTAGCTGAAGAGACTTTTAACTCCTAAAAAGGAAGCAGAAAGCAACAGCGTTTATTCACAGCCCCCTTTCTTCCCTTATCTCCCTCTTTCTCATCCACACCTACTGCATGATCAATGTTGGGAGGCAAGATAAGTCAGCAATGATCCCTGACTTCCAGGTGCTACCATCTAGTGAAGGAGATGGAATGGTCTCCTTACCACCAGGTGGCAAGTGCTCAGATACGGCAAGAAGCAATGGGGTTTGCAAAGTGCACACATTCTTTAAAAGGTCCGTTAGGTATAAAAACTGCATTTAATTAGCAGATACTACTAAGGAGCTTTCATTGGCAAGTTTTAAAATAGATCAATTCAGCTAGAAAAGTTTAGTCCCATTAAGAAAATGTGTTTTCAGGCCGGGTGCAGTGGCTGATGCCTGTAATCCCAGCACTTTGGGAGGCCAAGGCGGGCACATCGCCTGAGCTCAGGAGTTCAAGACCACCTTGGGCAACATGGTGAAACCCCGTCTCTAGTAAAATACAAAAACTTAGCCAGGCGTTGTGGCGGGCACCTATAATTCCAGCTATTCAGGAGGCTGAAGCATGAGAATCCCTTGAGCCCAGGGGGCGGAGGTTGCAGTGAGCCAGGATCACACGACTGCACTCAAGCTTGGGCTACAGAGTGAGACTCCAAGAGCATTCCTGGAGGAGCATTCTTGAAAAAGTATTCCAAGAATCACTGGGTTTACCAGCCTTACAAGTCATTCTGGATTCTTTCTGTAGCAGAGGTAAGTAAGGAAGGCCAGATGTCAAAGCAATAACTGCACAATGGGAACAACTTGCTTCCTAGAATACTTTGAGACGTATCCATAGGAGCCATACAATTTTTCCTCCAAACCCAGACACTCGTGAAAGTAATTCTTCCAGGACAACGGTAAAAACTAGGACAAGTGTTCATGAGAGCCAAGACTGTATGGCAGCACTTCAGAAGCAACTTTGGTTGGACAATGATGCCCATGTGAACCCTGTGATAGCCACAGATAGTAAACCTAACTATGACTACTACTTTTTTAGTCAACTAAAAGTCAGCTATCGTCAAAAGGCAAGAAATTTGACACTCAGTATAAAATACACACCGAACACATTCAAGCAAATGTCAAATCTAGAAAATCTGAACATACTGTGTTTATGAATCTAAAGTATAAGATTCCCACAATAGTGTGCACCAGATGGGATTTAGCCTTTTCTCTGCAGCACATGAAAAGCAAGAAAAATTGTTGAACAGGTTTTCCTTTCCTTTGACTAATATCCTGATTCCCCAATCGGCACAGGCACATTTCTGGTACTTGCAACCAATACAAACCCTCAGTGACAAGTCACCTGACTTGACTTGTTTAATCACATTCTGATCCATGGACACTTTGTACTAAGCAAGAGAAGCAACTCCTCTTGAAAGTCATGCTGCCACCAAAATGTATGGGTTCTTGGGCATTTGAGTGGAGTCAAGATGTTATACATATAATCTAGAAAATCCTATAAAATACGACACCAAACTCCTTGGAAAACAAAAAAGATCTCCAGGAAGAATGAGGTCAATACTCTCCCTGTCTTCACTCCAACTCATAAATAAGGAGGCATCTGACAAAAAACCCACTGTAGTCTTACATGGAGCTTGCAAATTAAAAACTAAACCAAAACATATACCAATGCTTTGGACACATAACTGAGACTGAATGAAAAAGAAAGGTCACTCCCTGCAATGTTAGAAAGGTAAAAATATATATATATATATATTTATTTATTTACAGAGAGAGAGAGAGAGAGAGAGAGAGAGAGAGAGGGTTTCACTCCCATCACCCAGGCTGGAGTGCAATGGTGCAATCTCGGCTCACTGCAACCTCTGCCTTCCTGGCACAAGCAATTCTTGTGCCTCAGTCTCCCAAGCAGCTGGGACTACAGGCGCATGCCACCATGGCCGGCTAATTTTTGGATTTTTTGTGGATTTGCATTTTTGCCATGTTGCCCAGGCTGGTCTCAAACTCCTGAGCTCAAGTGATCTGCCTACCTTGGCCTCCCAAAGTGCTAGGGTTATAGGCGTGAGCCACCAAGCCTGGCTTCTAGTATGTTTTTTGTTAAGCCTAGTACCAGATAGAAATGCCATCATGAAATGAAGACTGTATCTTCATTTTTCAAAATGTTTGGATAAAATGCAGAAATGTAAAATGGATGACATATTAAGGCTGTTCACAGTTATTTGAAATGTCATACTAAAACAGGATTAATTATTGAGCTGCTATAATCTGAAGGAAAGGTCTGGTGCTATTATTCTTTTTTAATTAAACAATTATATTAAACACCTAGATGAAGTTTGAGAATATGCTTGTTAATTATGTAGACAACACCAAGTTAGATGAAAGACAATATTCCAAAGGATCTTAATGTAGAATACTGCACAGACAGCGATGAGATGACATTTTAATAGAGATGCTGGGTAACATATTTATGTACATAAATTGTACGAACAGAAGTGCTGGAGACCTGGCTTTACAGCCTAGCTCAACACTGAGAGTCAAGTAACACAGATGTGTGTGTGTGTGTGTGTGTGTGTGTGTGTGTGTTTTTAAAGGAAATTCAATCCTCAGATGCGTTACTAAAATTAAATAACCAGATCAAGGGAAGAAATAGTCTAATAAGCATTACCTAAGTTGAAACCACATCTGGAAAGATGAGTTGAATTCTGGGAGCATCATTTTAAGAGGAAATTAATTATCTGGAGGAAGACCAGGACAGTTAAAGAGTATAGACATCATACCATTTGAGAAACTGTTGGCAAAACCAGAAAGGTTTGGCCTAGGGAACACTCCATGCAAATATGATGGCTTTCTTCAGCTGTTTACAAGGCTATCATGGGGATACCCCTGAACAAGTTTCCACTTGCCAATATCTCTTCAAAAAGTAAATGCTATACACCAGGCTCAGCTTGACAATAAGAAAGCAAACATGACCTCTCTAACATGGCCATTTGATTCAAATAGTCTAAGATGAATTTAGGCTTTTTGGCCACTGCATTACACAGTTGACTCAGAATGACTTCAGACCCAATTTAAGCCACAGTTTTCTCTTGTGACCATGGTTAACTGCTGTTAATCTCAGTAGTTATCACCTACAGAGACCATATTATGTATTTGCTTAATGTCTGTCTCTACCTACTACAATGTAAGTTTCATGTAAGGCAGAAGCTTTGTCTTGTTCACAGCTGAATACCCAGCACCAAGAACAAGTCCTGGCCTACAGCAAGCATTCAATAAATAGATGTTGAATAAGTGAATGCCTGTTAAACAAACACCAAAAATGTCATAAAGGGACCAAAAGACAGAAGGCAAGAGAATAGCAAACGGAAGAACTAGCAAGCAACAGAAGGTACAGGAAGGAACATTTCAATGCAAGAATAACCTTCTACAGTTGTTCAACAATGGAACAAGATACATCTTTTTTTTTTAAACTGAGATGGGGTTTCACCATGTTGGCCAGGCTGGTCTTGAACTCCTGACCTCAAGTGATCCACCCACCTGGGGCTCCAAAAGTGCCAGGATTACAGGCACTAGCCACCGTGCCCAGCCAAGATGTTTCATAATGTAAAATTTTGCTCTCCATAATTGAATACATTAAACTAGATGCTGAATGAACAGGAAGTCTGTATTTTTGGATGCTTGAACTGGGTAACCTCAAGTATTTTTGAAAGTCAATGATTCTTCATAAAAACGAGTTCTGTACAGAGCCCTCAGAAATAATACCACAAATCTACAACCATGTGATCTTTGACAAACCTGACAAAAACAAGAAATCGGGAAAGGATACCCTATTTAATAAATGGTGTTAGGAAAACTGGCTAGCCACATGTAGAAAGCTGAAACTGGATCCCTTCCTCACACCTTATACAAAAATTAATTCAAGATGGATTAAAGACTTAAATGTTAGACCTAAAACCATAAAAACCCTAGAAGAAAACCTACGCAATACCATTCAGAACATAGGCATGGGCAAGGACTTCAAGACTAAAACACCAAAAGCAATGGCAACAAAAGCCAAAATTGACAAATGGGATCTAATTAAACTAAAGAGCTTCTGCACAGCAAAAGAAACTACCATCAGAGTGAACAGGCAACCTACAGAATGGGAGAAAATTTTTACAATCTACCCATCGGACAAAGGGCAAATATCCAGAATCTACAAAGAACTTAAACAAATTTACAAGAAAAAATCAAACAACCCCATCAAAAAGTGGGTGAAGGATATGAACAGACACTTCTCAAAAGGAGACATTTATGCAGCCAACAGACACATGAAAAAATGCTCATCATCACTGGCCATCAGAGAAATGCAAATCAAAACCACAATGAGATACCATCTCACACCAGTTAGAATGGCGATCATTAAAAAGTCAGGAAACAACAGGTGCTGGAGAGGATGTGGAGAAATAGGAACACTTTTCCACTGTTGGTGGGACTGTAAACTAGTTCAACCATTGTGGAAGTCAGTGTGGCGATTCCTCAGGGATCTAGAACTAGAAATACCATTTGACCCAGCCATCCCATTACTGGGTATATACCCAAAGGAATATAAATCATGCTGCTATAAAGACACATGCGGACATATGTTTATTGCGTCACTATTCACAATAGTAAAGACTTGGAACCAACCCAAATGTCCATCAATGATAGACTAGATTAAGAAAATGTGGCACATATACACCATGGAATACTATGCAGCCATAAAAAAGGATGAGTTCATGTCCTTTGTAGTGACATGGATGAAGCTGGAAACCATCATTCTGAGCAAACTATCGCAAGGACAGAAAACCAAACACTGCATGTTCTCACTCATAGGTGGGAACTGAACAATGAGAACATGTGGACACAGGGCAGGGAACATCACACCCCGGGGCCTGTTGTGGGGTCAGGGGAGCGGGGAGAGATAGCATTAGGAGATATACCTAATGTAAATGACGAGTTAATGGGTGCAGCACACCAACATGGCACACGTATACATATGTAACAAACTTGCACGTTGTGCACATGTACCCTAGAACTTTAATTTAAAAAAAAAAGAGTTCTGTACTATCAATGAGGACAGCAGGGATATCCCACTCACTATAACATCTGCACAGGACTGTTTCCACTTAACTCCAATCTACTCCCCACCTATTTGTACTCTTTGAGCCTGAAGAGTCTGATCTGTCAAGGACTGCAACAATCCTTGTTCTACACTGGTTGTGTTTAGTCAAAAGGGACAATGGCTGGAGACAGAAGAGCCCAGGGTCAGGGAACAGAACTGCTGGCTGTGTCCCTGTATGTTCTCAGTGGACAGTCTCCCTTGACTGCAGACCTCAGCTCCTATAAGGCAGCCATTTGTACACAGCCAGTGGTTTGATAACATTTCCTCCTCTTTCTTCCTCACGTACAGATATTAGCCCTTGCCCCATACCCTTTTACTTGCCCTTGTATATTCTTACTATACCCTACATTTTTACTGTCTTTTTATGAAATGTTCCCCAAATTATCCAACTTGTGTGTGCCATCCGCCTCCCACCAGGTCCCTGACCAATGCAACACCTAAGTGAGTGCTTATGCCATTTTTGTTTGACCACTTACAAGGACAAAGAGGGAGCACACTAGGTTTTGGAGAACTGTAATTGTTAGACATATCTCCTTTATATTCAGCCAACTCTGTAACTCTTATTCATTAATTTTAGTGCTGCTATGGAAATAACACTAGGCCTTTTGCTTATTTGAAGCCAGTTTTCAAAAGCAGTTATAAAGATGGGGAGACATACAATAGGCACGGGTCACAACGTATGAGTCTCATGTCTCAGCACAACTGCATAGGCAGCTTGACTTCCTGTGCCTTCTGTAATAGCAGCTTCCCGGTTTAGCAAGCATGTTGGCTTCAAATCCAATCATTCCTTCAGAAGCAGGAAGCAATGTCAGGTTATCATGCAACAATATCAAATCTGGGGCACCAACAGCAGTTATGAGGAAATCATATATATATTGTGTTCCTTCTCCAAATATGAGTTTATAAAACAGCAAACACCACAAAACTTTTTTCATCTTCTATTATTGAGGCTGACCTTCTGTGGGAATTACTAGAGCAACAGGATATTTTCATCCTGCATTGATTTTTTCTTATAAAAAGTATATCAAGTGTAAAAACATTGTCTTTTCTCACTGTAGCCAGAGTGAAAAACTAAATGAATTAAAGTGCTTGGTAAGAGCTGGTATTTCTTGGCCAGCTGCGGTTGTTCACACCTGTAATCCCAGCACTTTGGGAGGCTGAGGCAGGCAGATCACTTGAGGTCAGGAGTTTGAGACCAACCTGGCCAACATGGTGAAACCTCATCTCTACTAAAAATACAAAAAAATGGCCGGGTGCGGTGGCTCATAACTGTAATCCCAGCACTCCGGGAGGCCAAGGTGGGTGGATCACCTGAGGCCAGGAGTTTGAGACCAGCCTGGCCAACACGGCAAAACCCCGTCTCTACTAAAAAATAAAACAATTACCTGAGCGTGGTGGTGCACACCTGTAATCCTAGCTACTCGGGGGGCTGAGGCTGGAGAATTGCTTGAACCCAGAAGGTAGAGGTTGCAATGAGCTGAGATCATGCCACTGCACTCCAGCCTGGGCAACAGAGCAAGACTCCATCTCAAAAAATTGGCCGGGTGTGGTGATGGGCACCTGTAATCTCAGCTACTCGGGAGGCTAAGGCAGGAGAATCGCTTGAACCTGGGAGACAGAGGTTGCAGTAAGTCAAGATGGCGCCATAGTGCTCCAGCCTCTATCTCAAAAAGAAAAAAAAGAGTTCGTATTTCTTTATATGGCCTGCTGTCACAGAAAGCACCAAGTATTTCTTTATACAGCCTTGTATCGCAGCAAGCAAACAAAAGAGCAGGTGAGAAAAATGCACATTGAATGAGTTTAGACAAAAGAAAATAAATATAACTTTATAAGTATTATAAGCAAAGAGGAAAAAATCTGAAGAACTCTATAAAATATGAAGAAAAATCTCCGAAGGAATCTACTGCCAAGAACTACTTGTATATTACAATTAAAACATTTTAAATTGCATATATTTATAAAAATTAGGCATATTTGTAGTAACTTGGAAGAGTGGGAATGGAGAAGATAATGAAAACTATAAAGCTTTTATAATTCCTACTCCAACAAGTTTTCAAACTGTTTAAATATCTAAGTTTTAGACAATCACCACCAGCATCATCCACTCCAAATACAGCACAGTGTAAGAAAACTGACAATTGTTATGAAGAAAACAAAAATTAAGAGATCCCTAAGAGTGTGGTACCAATACTGGGCTGCTGTCCTGCCTATGGCTCCCTTTCTCTGATCTTTGACCACATAAATTAATTATCATTAGAATAGAAGAAATTATTTGCCAGGTAGTTAGGAATGCTTGTTTTTTTTTTTTCCTCAAAAAACAGGACCTATCAATAATATATTTTTTCCCTTTCAAAGGCCTGTGGATGTGACTAAAAATACTAGTCCACGATCAAAGTCCTTTCCACTCTGCACCTGAGAAGAGTGCTCTGTGGACTGCTCCATGATTTGAACTTAAGGACCCTGGCCGAGCAGCAGTGGCTCACGCCTGGAATCCTAGCACTTTGGGAGGCTGAGGCGGATGGACTGACTGAGGTCAGGAGTTTGAGACCAGCCTGGGCAACACGGTGAAACTCCATCTCTACTAAAATACAAAAAATTAGCCAGGCATGGTGGTGGGCACCTGTAGTCCCAGCTACTTGGGGGGCTGAGGCATGAGAATTATTTGAACCCGGGAGGCAGAGGTTACAGTGAGCCAAGACTGTGCCACTGCACTTCAGCTGGGGCAACACAGCAAGACTCTGTCTCCAAAAAAAAAAAAAAAAAAAAAACCCTCATCTGATTTGCACTTCTATCTCTGACTTAAGGTTGATCCAAATAGGGCATCAAAAAACATGGAAGACATACCCTCAGCCTTTGCACTTACAGGAGAATTTATTACAGATTGTTTCATTAAGGTATTGGAACTTATACCTCTGTAAAGAAAAAAAAAAAAAAAGCAAACATTTACTGACCATATCCAAATATGGCATGTCCAATATAAAAGTGAAAAGCAATGGCTCTGGGGCTTTCCTGCAAAGAGGTACTTTATATACATTTTCTTCGTTTCACCAACATATGTTCTCACTCTCTCCCTTTTAAACTTAGGACTTCTAAGTATATTGTATAAATAAATATCGAATTTCCTTTCCAGGGACATTGAAAATGCCACCAGTCCCACTACCAGATATTGGGTCCATTTCAACAAGCATTTATTGAGTTCCAACTACATGCACAACATTAGATCACTGTATCAAGGATGGGAAGATAGGTTTTCTCCCAAAATGTAGTTATCCTCCTTAATTCCTGAGACAAAGTTTTGTAGCTTCCCAATTAGAAATAATAACTACCAATTTACCCTACATTCCAGCCTTTGCAAGGCTATTTCTGATACCAACAGAAATGTCCCTGTCTCATGGTTAGAATCTGAAATGAGAGACAATTATACAAGTAACAAAAAGCACAAGCTAAAACTGTGGCCTGGACAAAATACAGTGAGAATACAGTAAACACTGTTATTCAATCAAGGGGAAAAAATTTGGGAAAAAAGTACCATTTGAGATAGTCCTTAAAGAAGGAATGGCACCCAACCACGAAAGACATGAGACGTGGACAGAGACAGGTAAGAGAAATGAGCCTGGGAAATTATGGAGGGTCTTGAGGACCATGTGATTTTCAATTCAAAAATTGAATTGAAAATCAATTTTTTCAAATTGAAAATTTTCAAATTGAAAATTTCTAGCCTGGACGATAGAGCCAGACCATGTCTCAAAATAATAATATTTAGTGTAGTCCATTTTGGATAAAGTGTGATATATCCACACAATGAGATACTATTCAGCAATAACAAGGAAGGAGTGTGCCTGCGTATGTATGTATGTATATGAGGTGATAGTGAGGGAATAACAATAACAGTGTTTACTGATAGTGAGGGAATACCTAATATAGAAACTTTGAAAACTACAGAAATACATTTAGAAAAAACACAAAAATATTTGCAATCCCAACACCCATATATATTATCCTTATGGAATAAACTTTTAAAGTCAAGTCTCTGTCATTCTATTTTTATGTCAATTTCATAATGTATGTGGCTCTACTCTTTTTATAATAAAAAGCTAGAATTAAATGGTTTGTTCCTGGGTTTTTCATTTTTATAAATAACAACAAATTTAGAATTATTTAAAAGCTATAATGGTGGGGTTACTGCTCTTAATTGTTATTAATGAATGTAAATATGCTTTCTCTATTATCTAAAGATAAATTTGATAACAGAACCACATACAACAAGGAAATACGCAAATGAATACAGCATAAAAATCACAGAATTACTGAATTTCAGAGCTGGAAGTGACCTTGTGGACTATGAGGCTAATTTCGATTTAAACAGAAATCTGACTATGACCTCACCAGGATAGGGTCCCTATTTTATTCACGTATGATTCCTTTGTACAAAGCCCTACATGTGCCAGGCACCCTATAAATACATTTGAAATAAACTAGCAATGTTTGTTGGATGAATGAAATTCATTTTAATGTAATGATTTATAATCTCAGAAAGAAAGACTTCTGCCTCTGGTCTTTCTCCAAAAAAATGGCTTATTGTTCATTTATGTATTAGTAATGAATAAAAGCCTGACAGGAGAACATGTAATGGTAGTCCCCAACTAACGGAAAAGTTTTAATCCAAAAGTCTGCATGTAAGTAGATTCATTTGAACTCAATGCATTTTCCCATAAAAACAATGTTGTACATTATGGGTACTATGGCCAGCCACGAAAGCTCCCTTAAGTATACAGTATAGTTCCAACAGACACTAACCACCATGTAGAAAAATGCTCTATGGGAAAATGTGTTCAGCATCCATTGTGGGAACCATGTTCTTGCTGCTGGCCAGGAGGCAGGCCCCTTCAAGATCAGAGATTGGGGGATACACAGGTGAAAAATCAGAACAGGGTAAAGTTGTCAAGAGGGGTATAGAGAAAAACAGTGTACTCCCCCAATCCCCCTTTCATGCCTCACTCATTCACCAAGCAAGCACATCTTGGTGTCTTCTATATGTCAAGTCTTGTACTAGACATTGATGGGGCACATTAGAGACCAACATTGACATGGCTTTTATCCTTCTGGATCTTACAGTCTAATAGGGAAGAAAGATACTGAAGGATTAGAAAAGAGAATGGGGATGAGGGTGAATGGAGAGTAGGGGTATGATGAAGAGAAAAGAATATTAGTAATGTTAGGTATCATTTCCCCCTCCTTCTTCCTCTACCTGCATCTGCTTCACAAATGGGGTAGAGAGGATGAGGAACCAATAACTAAAAAGTAGATGCAGGGCCGGGCGCGATGGCTCACGCCTGTAATCTCAGCACTTTGGGAGGCAGAGGCGGGCGGATCACAAGGTCAGGAGATCGAGACCATCTTGGCTAACACGGTGAAACCCCGTCTCTACTAAAAATACAAAAAATTAGCCAGGCGTGGTGGCGGGCGCCTGTAGTCCCAGCTACTCGGGAGGCTGAGGCAGGAGAATGGCATGAACCCGGGAGGCGGAGCTTGCAGTGACCCGAGATAGCGCCACTGCACTCCAGCCTGGGTGACAGAGTGAGACTCCGTCTCCAAAAAAAAAAAAAAAAAAAAAAAAAAGTAGATGCAGGGAGAGCTTTAATTTTTGTCTCCCCTGCTTCTACTCCTTTTCACAGATCTCGATGCCAACTAGTGCAGGCCAGAGTTGACTGGCATTGATGTGGGACGCGGGGAGTGAACAAGCAAACACTGGGGCTGTAGGAGTGAAGAGAAAGGAATCAAAGGAAGGAAATTCCCATCCCCCAGAACAAAGGAGAAACATGCTCTTGTGATGAGCACGCATAGGATGAGGCTGCACCTATGTCAGGAAAAAGCCGTTCTGCTGAAGGCCCATCCGAGACAGACTTGACTCTGGACACCTAGCCCCACAAACATTGTCTGCTCCAACACATATCCAGTTTTCCCCATAATTTTATGTAAACTACTCAGGTATACTCTCATTCTTACTTGAAACTAAATTTGTATGTCTATGCCTGTGTACTCTAGAAGTTCTCTAAAGAGGGAGGAATTAAATAAACTGTAATCACTCATCCTTTCTTAAGTTTAATTACCATGATGCTTTAAGGTGACATTAGGCTCTTTTGATTTGCAAAAAGACAAACAAATAGCATAAATGGTCAGGAGATTTCACAAGCCCATGCACGTAGGAAGGAAAGTGACAGATTAACATCAATGTGGGCAGATACAAAATAACAGACAGAGAGAATGAATCTAAGTCATTCTTTTTTTTTTTTTTTTTGGAGACGAAGTTTCCCTCTTGTAGCCCAGGCTGGAGTGCAATGGTGTGGTCTCAGCTCACCGCAACCTCTGATTCCCGGGTTCAAGCGATTCTCCTGCCTCAGCCTCCCAAGCAGCTGGGATTACAGGTGCCTGCCACCATGCCCGGCTAATTTTTGTATTTTTAGTAGAGATGGGGTTTCACCCTGTTGGCCACACTGGTCTTTAACTCCTGTCCGCCCAACTCAGCCTCCCAAAGTGCTAGGATTACAGGCCTGAGCCACCACGGCCAGCACGAATTTAAGTCATTCTCGAGGGATGATGGCCTCTAAAGCAACAGATGTAACTCTAGGGTGGGATGTGGGGAACATCCTAGTCCACCTAGGCTGCTCACTGCCTGGGTGTGGCCCCAAGGACCACCAGAGCAAAGGCAGCATTAAAAAACAAGAAACTAAAAATTCAAACACAAAATTGCATGTGTCCACTGAGTATATGAACCTAAAACAGTGCAGGGGTTCTATCACCGCACCTCATGGCATACTCACAGAGAAGGTAAAGATTCTGCAAATTTGATTTCAAACTACAGAGGCGAGCATAACTTCCCGCTTGGCCATCCACTCCAATGGCTTATTTTCCACCTTATCCTATTTTGGTTCCTGGCTCCCAACCACACTTTCCTTCTTCAACTATGCTCTTGGGCTCCCCTAACAGGTTCCTATTCAGGTTTTCCTTCTACCAAATAAAAACCACTCTGTCTCTTTCTAACCCACCTCCAGCTCATGTTTCATTAGGTCCTATAGTACTACTTCTCTTACTCTGCAAGTTCTTCCCAGGACCACCTCACCAATGCCCACAGCACCCAGGAGCTCTTAAGGTCTTATGACTCCTGAGTCTGTAGCTCTGGTCCCAGTCACTCTCCTGAACCTAGCAGGATCTCACAACTCATGATAAATGATAAGTAGTGGATTATTAAGAGAAACAATGCAGGACTCTCAAAAATTTCTAGTTTAAATCAAGGAGGTTATCTGTGCTTTTTCACAAAATTTCTATGAGGAGGAATGCTGGTATGATAGCAGGAAGAGAGGTGTTGAAGCAGATACATGCGGGTTTGAATTTCAGCACTGCCATATGCACTGTGTGATTTTGGGAAGTTACTCTGAGCATCAGTTCCTTTACAAAATGGGGACAATAATGTCTACTTTTCAAGGCTGCTGTATGAATCAGAGATAAAATTATAAAACAAAGAACTATCAAGCACACAGCAACTGTTCAACAGAGTATTATGCCTATGTGTCAGAGGCATTTGAACCAGAGTGACTCCATCTTGAATGGGGCTGGGTAAAATAAGGCTGAGACCTACTGGGCTGCCCTGCCAGGAAGTTAGGCATTCTTAGTCACAGGATGAGATAGGAGGTGGGCACAAGATACACTGTCACAAAGACCTTGTTGACAAAACAGGATGCACAGAAAAGGCTGGCCAAAACCCACCAAAACCAAGACGGTTATGAAAGTGAGCTCTGGTCATCCTCACTGCTCATTATACACCAATTATAATGCATTAGCATGCTAAGAGACACTCCCATCAGCGCCATGACAGTTTACAAATGCCATGGCAACATCAGGAGTTACCCCTTAGGGTCTTTTTAAAAGGGGGAGAAACTGTCAGTTCTGGGAATTGCCCATCCCTTTCCTGGAAAACTCATGAATAATCCGCCCCTTGTTTAGCATGTAATAAGCATAAAAATAGCCAACCAGCAGCCCTCGGGCTGCTCTATGGAGTAGCCATTCTTTATTCCTTTACTTTCTTAATAAACTTGCTTTCACTTTACTCCACAGATTTGTCTCGAATTCTTTCTTGCAGGAGATCTAAGAGCCCGTCTCTTGGGGTCTGGCTCAGGACCCCTTTCTGGTAACATATGGATGCTGCTATTACGAAAATACTGAGAAACTATGGGTTCTGTTATAACATTTTTCTCATAACTATTATTAGCATCTTAAGTAATGTAGGAAGGTAGCTGTTGTCCTTATTTTTCTATCCTTCCACCTCCACCTCCAGTATGCCATGTAGGGTGGACTTATGTGATTCTTTTAGGTTACCCAGCATCTGAACTTTCCTTCCTATGTTTGGAAAATCATTAACAATTAACACTACAGGCCAGGGGTGGTGGCTCACACCTGTAATCCCAGCACCTTGGGAGGCCAAGGTGGGGGGATTGCTTGAGCCCAGGAGTTCAAGACCAGCCTGAGCAACATAACAAGATCATGTTTCTTAAAAAAAACAAAAAACAAAAAAAAACCACACACAACACTTCAAAAGCTGAAAACTCCAAGTAACTGCTTTTTCAACCACCCCTGCAATCAGACTGCAGTCACATTACTAGGTACACTGGCTCCACCAAATAATCCATCCCAGATTTAGAATCTCAAGCAGTTACAAATAGTAAGAACCGTACAGAAACCTGGGCCAGAGGTAGGGGCAGTGATGCAGTTCCCAAAGGCAGCGGTGGTGGCATTTGGGGTCTCGTGTGACTGTGCTGGTGGTGCAAGATGCAGGGCCTATGATCATGTGCCAGGAGGCAGTGGCAATATATTCCCCAGATCAGTTCAGCATCATTGATCCTGGCTGATAAGCTGCCAAGGTGAGTTCTCAGCTTTTCCAGAGAAACTGTGGCTACCTAATATTCTTAATAAACTCCTTTTATGATTAAATTAGTCAGAGATGTCTATTGCTTGTAACTGAGAATCCTGACTGATACTGCAAGTCAGGTAACATTTCATTGCCTTTGGTCAAAGGCCACTATAAGATCTGCAGAGCAAACAAAACAGTGAGATCTCCCCAGTAAGAGTAAGTCAGGGTGTCAGAGTGAGCTGCTGAGCAAGATGTTACTAGCATTTCTGAAATATATTTCTTAAAAGGAAGGACAAGATGAATAAATCAGCATGCTGTTTTAATAGTAATCTAAAATATGATTTTGCCTATCAGACTGAAAGATGCAAAGGACACTGGCTATACCCTAAAATGCATCCACAGTTACTTTCTGGAATGTCTGAAGGTTGCGTATTGCAAAAGAAATCCCTCCAAAAAAAAAAACTCCTTCCCAAAAACTTGAATTTTTAACCCCCTGCTTAACTATGCCAACAGAAACAGTGATGCCATTCCATTAGGCTGGCTCAGTCAGTAGCAGCACTTTATGTTAGCCTGATAGCAAAAATATGTCTTGTTGGGGAAAGGATGAGGTAGAAATTAAAAAATGTAAGTTTTGAAACTGGAAATAAGCACTCACACTTTGTTTTTAATTAGAATTGATATTTCTCCTACAATAATCTGACTTCAATTACCTTGGGCAATGCATTTGATTTCCCCTAGTCAATAAAAGTAAATTGTATAGAAGTTCACCTTAAATTCTCCTTTTGGCTTATTACCAGTAACTTTTACCATGGTACTTAAAAAAATATTTTCAGTAAGACCAAAATTGCCGCAGAAGTCACACGAAAAACAAAACTTTGGCACATGAAAAAAATTCTTATTAACAACAAGCATCAGGATTCTGAGAAAAATCAACCCACGAGACAACTTTTTTTAGCATGATGGCAAGAATTTGGGAAAAGGGAACTTACAGGAAAAAGAGTTTGTTTTGCCAATTATTCATTCACCTTTTTTTCCTTCTATTTTTGTAGTGTCCAAGTAGGATTCCTTACCCCAAACCTAATTTTATTTTCCATTTTGTCCTTTAAAGATCTCAATCTTCTGATTATAAAATCTAACAGTTAACCACTGAAAAGGCAACAATTCCATGAATGCAGGTTTTTTAACCTTTAGTTCAAAAAACAAAACTTAGAATGGAAACAAAGTATTTTTTATCTCAAATAATAAAAGCAAATTTAAAATAGAAAAATAACGTAAGAAACAAAATCAGAATCAGGAGAATGTAAACTGAAAAATTTCCCAGTTCTTGAATTCCGGTTTTTTAAAATTGATGTGATATATATGGGATTATTCTCCCCCTCATTATTTCAGAGTAGGACACAGAGTGGTGAATCTACTTATACAAAAGAAACATCTGTCTTCAATCCAGGATTCATATAAAGTTAGA
The DNA here is from genome assembly GCF_000001405.40 of Homo sapiens. Taxonomy (NCBI): domain Eukaryota; kingdom Metazoa; phylum Chordata; class Mammalia; order Primates; family Hominidae; genus Homo; species Homo sapiens. The sequence continues at coordinate 143,360,117 of NC_000004.12, read as the reverse complement.
TCATTTGCACAAGGCCATATAGTTTTATGCAACATACAATAAACAGCCATTTCCTCTTCTACTCTCTAAAATCATTATAAACCAAAGACACTAAAAAATCAAGCAGGCTGCAACTTGCCCAACCTACAGAAATGAGAATCTCTTTTTGGGTATTTTGAACTAACAGTGACTCATGGAAAAAGGCAGGTTGCTGTCAAATTGAGATCTTCAAAGTTAGGGTTCCCCAGCGTTCCTTTGAACCAAGGAACCCTGAAATTGGAGCAAATGCACAGTATAACACAATAGGGAGAAACCATCACCATCACTTTAGGGGTTAACAAACACCCTTTGCCACTGGCAACCCCTGAAAATCTCAGAGAGACCCAGTAGGGAAGGAAGAGGTACTCTAGGAAAGACTTTGACATCCACCATTAGATTCCAATCTTTGGCTGGCCTGATTATAAATGAATATGAAAAGGACATACTCAACAATGACCAGGGCACACAGCCTTACAGAGAGCTTAGAGCACTCACACAGGGGATAAGGCACAACTTTTCATAATGTTAAACACTGAAGAGCAGTGATGTTTTGGGAAACCCAATAATCCTACAACTGGACACAGTATCATGCAGCCACTAGAAATGGTCATCACAAAGCACATGGAAATGTTCTCTCATTATACACCGAGGGAGGAGGAGAACAGGACTTGTCTAGCCTTTACTGTTTTCATATTGGGTAAAGACAGATAAAAATGCTTCCGTGGGTTTTTTGTTGATTTGTTCTGCCTGTGTACAAAACTCATTAATGGAAATAGTTAATAATCTACTTTCAGTATCAAACATTTTCAGTATCAGATCCAGCATGCTACATCTCATCTGGATGAGGGGGTCATCATCTGACCAGAATTTACTATAGTTTCACATTTATTTCCTGTTACTCAGAGAAAACGGAAATGGCCCCAAAGGAGGCCAACCCTGGGGCACCTGACAGCTGGGGTTCTTTACGACATCACTCCTTAAGTACTGTTTAACTTCTCATACCATTTAAAATGTTATCACACATTTACTTAGCTCTGCAGTTTATAACCAACCTACCAAACGGGACAAGCCAGTCTGGATTATACAATATGTAAATAAGCCAGGGAGCTAAGGAGCAAGCTGACAGCAGGACAAGTTGGAACCGGGATAGAAGTTAAACCTTACTACACCTGAAGGCAGCCTCTTCATTCACTTTCTCTTCATAGTGCTTTATAACTAAAACATGGAGAATACAAACACCAATTCAAAAAATTCTACGTATCCCCACAAATACCAATTAGTAAGTCACCAAAATTAATTAAAGGAAACATACAAGTCAATATTTAAATTTCATTTAGCTTTTTTAATCTGATGAACCTACTGAATACTCATATTTGGGCCTGAAAATATTAATGCATTCTAAAGAGATTATCAGTAATGTGTATCTTCTTCTCACACACACATGCTGTCAGCTTAAATGTGGGCACAGTGGCAGAACTGAAGTTTCACTAACGTTGTTTTAGGACTTGAATAAATTGTTTTAGTTTCATGTGTGTACTTGTTTGAAAAACAGATTTTATATTCACCACCTTCAGAGATGTTGAACGCATATCACGAAACTGGTAACACTGCATGAGTATTCCTATTGTGTCAAATACAACAAATTGACATGAGAGAAGCTCTACAAATGAAATATTTAACATTTTATAATAAAAAAGAAAAATACCGAAACAACATTCAAAGGTATTCATCAACTCACATTGCTTCATGAAGATTACAATCGCCTATAAATTTGTCTTTTAAACAGGCTGTTACAATTCAACTGGAAAAAAAGCTATGAAACTTAAAATTGTGTCTATACAATTAATTATGAGTAGATGGTGATCATGTAAGAATCACTGACAAAATTACATGTAAATCATTTAAGAGCAACAAAAGACAGGTGAAATTTAATAACTTCAATCTAAAAACTTTAAGGCATACACACACGTACACACAACGTATAAAATATATAATCATTAAAATGTCTGTTGAAAATTTAGGGCTTGGTTTAACGTACCGGAGTTCTTTCCTAGGTTCTTAGTTTTTAAAAGTGGTTTTTTAAAATAGCAATTTATATAACAGACACATTTCTCAGCATAGTTGCATCCTCTTTCCCTTCCACTAAAGGAGAGATTTACAAAACATGTATAAAAAAATAGGAATGCTCAAATTTATTCTTCCCTCTTTCTGATAATTCATATATATATATATATGATTTAAAACTAAGTCTTAAGAACCATCTTTGAAGAGATAAAGGAAAGGAAAAAGCCCTTAGGGTAGAAGGAATCATTTCCTGGAAATACTACTAAATACACACTTAAGGAGGGGTGAGAGTTGGCATCATGAGACTGTATCTTTCTATTCCAAAGGGTAAGTACAAGACAGGTTGCAAATTGGCCCAAACTATGGAAACTACCACACTGTGGTCAGCACCCACAGCTTCCGCAGATTCTAGATTCAAATGCCACCTCATCACACTGTCATCCCTACCCACCCTTCACAACAGGTAAACAGGAAAAAAATAATCAAGGTGAATGATTTTCAAAGAGTTCCCTGGTGATTTTGATACTCCCCTCACCTGTCCCCCAGAATGAAAACTAGAGAGCTAAGTGTATGCTGCCTCATGTTCTCACCCTTAAAACCCTGTATATTAAAATATCTGATAACCCCTGGTTCCAATGGACTCCTCCCTTGCCCAGTTTTAGAGTCCAAAGTTGTGGTTTCAGCCAGACAGGTGTCAAAGTCAAAAAAGTATTTCTGAACAGATACAGATGTCAGGCCACAAAACTGAAGGCTTGTAAAAACAATGTCTATACTATATAGAGTTGAACCAGGCTGGCATCTTTATGATCTGGGCATCCACTAGGTAGGAGTTTACAGATACCCTAGTTTATCCTATCTGTTCTGTTCCAACCACTGGTATTCACACATTAAGTTTGCAGAAGAGGTTCTCCAGCTAGACTCACAGAAAGAGCTTCAGGACTAAATTCTGCAAAGACAAAAAAACAGGCTGAGTAGAAACTCAAACCCACCCAGGATAGATTACCTAAAGGTATTTCAGAGACATGTCCTAAGGTACCTCTTTTAAAGATATATAAAAAGGTGGTAGAAAGAGAAAGTCCAAAATTTCTGCAGAATTAAAACACACACAAAAAAGGTTGTTCTTTTGAGAGGGTATGGAAAGTATTCTAAATAGCATCATCTAAAATCTTTCCCCTCAAGAAGAAAAAGTAAAAAGTTTACAAGCTCAAATCTCTGCACTCCTCGCAGAAACCCCCATTTTGTTTGGCAGGCCTTCAGATGGCCTAGCTTAGCTGGCAAATATTCAAATACAGTTATTCAAAATATGTTAATGAGGCTAACGTGGTGTTTGCATCACATAACCCAACCCTCCCTTTCTTTGTGTGAACTGAACCTGTGCAGGTTAAAACAGGCGTGCCAAACACTTGCTAACTGAGATTACTGACTGTTGGCTGAGCAACTGCCAATTTAAAATAAGCAGTTAGGGAGAAGGGCTTTGCTCAAATGCATACTGTATTTAAAAATGGATACAGAGTTTCATTTTGATATTCAAGTGACTCCCACTCCCATATTCCTCTATGGGTATGAAAGCAAGCATTAACCATTTACATTCTTTAAGCACCATGTTCAAAGTATCCTAAAGATTCCAATGTACTTTACAAGTACTTTTTTAAAAACAATTTTCCAGTGAAATGTTTTTCATTCCACAAATGAAGAAATGGAAATAGCATTTACACATTGCATAGATAGGGATAACTGGAATCAAAAGTAGAACTCAGTTATTTTATCTGAGTTAATATACCTATTCAACAACATCTTCAGCACAATATCAAGTATTTCTTTTGTGGGTAAAATAAAATCACAAAGCAACTAACTGCTTGTCTTTGATTTGCACAAATTCTCAAAATTTGAATATTTCCCCCACAAAATCAGACTATCTTAACATTTTCATTCATCTTTCTCCCAGTCTCCCCCCGGCCCCGACCCAAAAAAAGGCATTGGCTTGTTTCTTCATCCACACAGACATTCCATACATAGCCTGAATTTCAGAACTTAGGCCATGCAGCTTCATGTTCAGCAGAACAGAAAGCACTGGTTCCCAAAAAAAATCTCAACACCTCGCACTCCCAAAATTAGTCTCCAAATCACCAGCCCTTATGTAGGAAAGCAGGATCCAGTATCATAAACTTAAAAAATTAAAGGAGGGTTGGAAGAAAGGTATAAATGAGATTACACTCTTACCCATGGTGACTCATTCTCATATGCTCAAGATTAAACAGAGCACTGAATCTAGGATGAGGAAAGAATTTTTTCCTCAGGGGAAGAAAGGGGTGTGGGATTTCCAAATGTGCACTACAGTAGGATCAGCTGTGTGGATCAGGTGAGCAAATCCCACATAATTAACTTCCTACTACTGTGAAGGAGCAAACACAGGTGAGGCGCACGCCTTCCTGAAAGGTATTTGCATAAAGACCCTTCTGTTGTTTCCAATGCTACTGAGATTGAACGGTGAAGCAGGAGAGATTGGGCTGGCACAACAATCTGAATACTTAACCTACTGTGCCGTGCACTTAAAAATGATTAAGATGGTCAAGTTTATGTTATGTGTTGTTGTTGTTGTTGTTTTGTTTTAAACACAATTGAAAATAAAAATTAAAAAGGCAGCAATTGGGATGAACTGCTCCACGAGACAGCTAAAAGGCTCTGGAAATGTGCAAGGGTTTGAATGCTGGAAATCACAGCAACCCACTAAAGATGGAGGTGGATATAGAAATGGTAATGAGAACAGCTCTGGTCTGGGCATCAGGAAGCTGTGTTCTAGTCTTATCTCTGCATGCTGAAACCAGCTGGCCTTGGACTCAGGGTATTTCCTAGGCCTAAATTAAGAATAGAAAGAGTAAAAAATGTTTTTCTTCTTTCATTAAGAAAAATTAGCCTTTATCCTCTTTGAGTCATTTTCTTCTCCTTGAGGTATTTCAATAAAAATCTCGAAGAAAATCTGTTCTGCTTTGGAAGTACATGGTTTAGAAAAACAACAGATCCTGTTTGAAAACAAACAGATGTTTTCAATGCTAGAACTTAGTTGAAGGATGAAAAATATTTCAGTATCTATGTTTCAATTTCACTTAGTAAAAGCATGGGCTTCTCAACATATAACTAATTCTCCAACTTGGGGCAAAGCACATTTGCTAAAAAATGTATTGTGCATAAAAGCTACTATAAAAGAGTATTTTTTAGTTATTTAAGAATCACTGGCATAAGCAGGTAGATATTAAAGATTTGGAAATCTCTGAGTATTAAAAATTATAACTTAAAACAAAGAAATAATGAATAACAATGTACTACACATTTTAAGTGAATCTATGCACATTTTCTATTCAAATATAAGTAAACAAAAATATTACAAGGTCAAATATGTATATTATAGTTTAATGATAAATCTTCTACACTAAGTTTTTTTTAAAAGAAACACTTCCCTTTAGTAACTTAGGCAAAGGGCAATAAATCTGCTTACCTAATATTTTGTAACCCTTTTTTTCTCTATACTTTAAACTCAAAATGGAAAACTGTAAGTTAAAATACCCCCACTGAAAATTTATAAGTGATTTCTCAATGTTGCATTTGGATAGCTATTTAATGTTATGCTTCTCTCTAAGAGCATTTACACTTGTTTTCAGAAAATATAAATATTCATTGGAAACACCCATCACTATGTTAAACAGTATATGAGTTAGAATAAATAACAAGGAAGAAAAAAAAATCTGAAAAAAAGTTAGGAATACTCAGAGGCTCATAAAAAGGAGATACACCAAGATATATACCAAGTGTACGATTTTAAAAACAAAAGAAAGCAAGAAAATAAGGTCACCTGAAATGAAGAGAGCAAGTCCTGAGCCCAGTCTTCAAAGTGCAGGGTACAAGTCACAGGAGTCTAGCCTTCCTTGATTGAGTAAATGGAAGAAGCTGGTTTTGGGTCTCCACCAGCATACAGCAACAACCCTTCTATTCACTTCAGAGCAAAGTGATCTACTAACTAAACTTACTCGGACTCTCAGTGCAATGAGAGGGTGTGGTAGACACTTCGTACAATAACAATAATGATCCTCAACACTTACAAAGCAGATATGAAGATTCTATAAAATCTTGTGAGCAGATGGCAGGGAGAGAACATGAAAGACAGTAAAAAGGATTAGCAAGCTAGTTAATATACTATAGTGGTGAAAAGTTCTAAAGTACAACCTGGGTTTCTAGAGCATGTATGTGGAAAAGTCAATACTTTAATACAGAGATAATTAGAATAAAGAAAGAATGATTTAACAAATGCTGGTGATACTCATCATTTTATAAGTAACTTCCAAAATTCTCTCTCTCTTTTTTTTTTTTGGTCAGGATCTCTCTCCAAGGTTACTGAATTGAACTATAAAGTTCCCCTATGGAAATAATATGTCAAAAAAAAAAAATAAGAATAGCTGTCTAGTAGCAGAGTGCATTCAGTAGGTAGCTGGAAATCAAGTACTTTATTCCTCTGCTAGGATTAAGTAACCATTCCCACCTGGTCCACTTCTTGACCAATTTTCTAAAGTGGAGTCAGTCTGTCTCTATTGCTCTTTCTCTAATGTGGACTTTAAAATCAAAGTTTAGGTTAAAAGAGATAGATTAGAAAACATACATTTAACACACACATACACAAACACAAAGTTGGAAAGCAAGAGAGCTTCTTCAGTCAAGTAGACCCACTTTTGGTGTTCTTTTACAAATCAACCACACCTCAACTAACCAAAAATTAGGGCAAATCAGACATGTATTATAAAAACAATGGGAAAGAATATTAGAAATGAGAACTATTCCAGGAAATCTAGACAATACTTTAATAATATGCTTTCAGATCCAATAACCAGAATAACCAGAACTTCTGGTGAACAGCTAATCCTCCTTCATCTCTCCTCTTCATCTTTAAGCTATTCATAAACTCTTGATTCAGGAATGCACATTCTTTTTTAAACAGATACCTACAAAACACTTTCTTTGATTTAATCATGTCTTTTGAGTTTCTTGGCGACAGTTAGGTACTTTCTCATATTCTAACCTTTCTAAAAATTCCTTTTCACTTCTGTAATCCTCTCAATATGTCGTCTTTGGAGGACAGTTTGATCTCATTCACTGCCAGAAAAAACTAAACGCTTATCTTTTTAAGCAGCACAGCATACTCACTCCCTTCATCTCACAGAAGAGAGGTTAAAGTTACTCTCTCAGTTTTGGTTCTTGCTTTCTTTATAAGTATTTACTTCTATTGAATTTTATTTCTTGTCTCTTTTTCCCTCTATGCCCAACTCAGGATTTCTCCAAGAATAACCTAAGGACCATCTACTTCAGAATCAGCAGGGGTTCAAGTTAGAAACTGCAGTTTTCTGGACCTCTACCCAGACTTAATAAAAACATTAGAAGGAGGGTAGGGCCCAAGAATCTTCACTTTAGAAGTTACCCAGTGATTGTTATGCACACTGAAGTTTAAGGACCACTGACTGCTCTAGACCCTTGTTTTTTCCCAACCAAATGACACAAGGACTCTGCCAAGCTATAAGTATCTTAAGATCATCTGAAAAGAGAAAACTCCTTAACAGTTCTCTCTTTGCATTCCTTCTATTTGCCTTCCTTCTAAAATACACATGGAAGAGGAAAGAAAGCTTGGAGAGTGGGCTGAATATGAGACATCAGCATAAATGCAGACTTGTCAGCCCTGCTCTGTGGCTGCTGCCAATTACAGTAGCCAGACCTGCAAGAGGACTTGATTACATGTAATTTATAAAAAGTAAACAAGCTGGGTGGCTTGTGAACAATGAATGGTGATATTGCAGCCAAGAGGTAATAAAATGCATGAATAAATGACTCAGCATCCCCCTACCAGACAACAATTGGCTGTACTCTAAGCTAGGAGAGCAAAGTAAAAATGAGTATTTTGGTAATGATTTAAATGACAACAGATCCTTGGAGAGAGAATTTGCCTATCACCTAAACCCTCTAGTGATCAAAGGCTCAGCCATCTCAATGACTGTTTTTCTCAAACATTACTTCAGTCAGAAAAATAAATGTTTGCTTCCGGTGCTATGACACAATCCAACTGGCAACATAGGGAAATATACTAAATGAATAAAATAAATGTAAGAACCAAGCTTTATGAACCCCTCTATATGAGGATTTCTCAACTTCAGCACACTGATATTCTGAGCCAGATAAATCTGTGCAATAGAGTGTTTAGTAGCATCCCTGCTTCTACCCACTAGATACCAGAAGCATTCCTCCCTCCAGCTGTAGCAACCAAAATGTCTCCAGAAATTGTCAAATTGTTATGGAAGTGCTGGGACGGGAAGAGCCTGGTCCCTTTAAATGATATGGAAGTGGGGAAGGGAAGTGCCTGGTAGAGGAAGGCGTGGTCCCTGACTAGGGATCCATCCCCACGAACCTAGGTGAGGATAGGCACTCCAGCCTTGCCGCCGAAAGGTCACCTTTCCAAGACCACCCTGGCCGGCCACGCCCCCATCCTGTGCCTATAAAAACCCCCCAGACCCTAGGTGGCAGACACAAGCGGCTGGACATCCTGACGAACTCGTTGGCGGGAGAAGACACCGCGGAAGAGCACCCGCAGGCAAGCTGACCATCGACTGGCCGAACAACTCGGGGTATGGCCGGAGAAGCTGGAGAAGAGTCAGGCGGCTGAGTGGCCGGACTCCAGGGGAAAACCATCTGCCTTCTGGCTCCCCCATCTGCTGAGAGCTACTTCTACTCAATAAAACCTTGCACTCATTCTCCAGCCCCACGTGTGATCCAATTCTTCTGGTACACCAAGGCAAGAAACACTGGGATACAGAAATCACTCTGTCCTTGTGATAAGGGAGGGGGTCTAACTGAACTGGTTAACACAAGCTGCCTATAGACGGCAAACTAAAAGAGCACCCCGTAACACACGCCCGCTGGGGCCTCAGCTGTAAACTTTCACCCCTAGACACTGCGGTGGGGTCAGAGCCCCTCGGCCTGCCGGTCTGTATGCTCCCCTAGAGGTTTGAGCAGTGGGGCCCTGAAGAAGTGAGCACATCCCCATTGCATGCCCTGCGAGGGGGACAAGGGAACCTTTCCTGTTTCAAAATGTCCCGTGGAGGGGACAAATCACCTACCCACCTCTACTAAAAACTGCTGTACACAGAAACATCATGAAGAAATGTGCGTAGTAGTCAAACAGCTCATAGAACACATTTTTTTACATAATCAATTTTTGCTCCTAAATACATATTTTTAAATATATTTTATATAAATCTATACATAATTTTTTTCCCATTACCAGGGCCTAAAATACAAAGTCTTTCTTTTTTTTTTTTTTTTTTTTGAGACGGAGTTTCACGCTTGTTGCCCAGGCTGGAGTGCAATGACGAGATCTCGGCTCACCGCAACCTCCGCCTCCCGGGTTCAAGCGATTCTCCTGCCTCAGCCTCCTGAGTAGCTAGAATTACAGGCATGCACCACCACGCCCAACTAATTTTTGTATTATTAGTATAGACGGGGTTTTACCATGTTGGCCAGGCTGGTCTCTGTCTCCCGAACTCAGGTGATGTGCCCGCCCCGCCTCCCAAAGTGCTGGGATTACAGGGGTGAGCCACTGCGCCCAGCCTAAAACACAAAGCCTTAAGAGTGTTTTAGTGAGCTAAGCCATGATAACAGTGCCACATGACAAAATAACTGAGTAACTCCTCACCGTTCTTAGTCCCAATCAGGCAGTTGACATATGCTGTCAACTTTATCTTAAAAGTATTTCTGTTCATTTAACAGGGCCAACGTATCCATCAGACAGAAGGCACAGTGCTTGGGGCCCATGATACATTTAGGAGCACACAAAAAGTGTCTTAATATTTTCTTTTAAAAATCAGCTTCTTTTCCGAGAAAACACCAAATGGCGGATGACGCCGGTGCAGCGGGAGGGCCCGGAGGCCCTGGTGGCCCTGGGATGGGGAACCGCGGTGGCTTCCGCGGAGGTTTCGGCAGTGGCATCCGGGGCCGGGGTCGCGGAGGCAAGGCCGAGGATAAGGAGTGGATGCCCGTCACCAAGTTGGGCCGCTTGGTCAAGGACATGAAGATCAAGTCCCTGGAGGAGATCTATCTCTTCTCTCTGCCCATTAAGGAATCAGAGATCATTGACTTTTTCCTGGGGGCCTCTCTCAAGGATGAGGTTTTGAAGATTATGCCAGTGCAGAAGCAGACCCGTGCCGGCCAGCGCACGAGGTTCAAGGCATTCGTTGCTATCGGGGACTACAATGGCCACGTCGGTCTGGGTGTTAAGTGCTCCAAGGAGGTGGCCACCGCCATCTGTGGGGCCATCATCCTGGCCAAGCTCTCCATTGTCCCCGTGCACAGAGGCTACTGGGGGAACAAGATCGGCAAGCCCCACACCGTCCCTTGCAAGGTGACAGGCCGCTGCGGCTCTGTGCTGGTGCACCTCATCCCTGCACCCAGGGGCACTGGCATCGTCTCCGCACCTGTGCCTAAGAAGCTGCTCATGATGGCTGGTATCGATGACTGCTACACCCCAGCCCAGGGCTGCACTGCCACCCTGGGCAACTTCGCCAAGGCCACCTTTGATGCCATTTCTAAGACCTACAGCTATCTGACCCCTGACCTCTGGAAAGAGACTGTATTTACCAAGTCTCCCTATCAGGACTTCACTGACCACCTAGTCAAGACCCACACCAGAGTCTCCATGCAGCGGACTCAGGCTCCAGCTGTGGCTACAACGTAGGGTTTTTATACAAGAAAAATAAAGTGAATTAAGCGTGAAAAAAAAATCAAAATAAAAAATGAAAAATAATATATAACTACTCCAGGTTAGAATATTTTAATCTAGGAAGGGGGGGACCTATGAAGGCAAATGTACCTGGGGCTCACAAAAGTCACAACATGGCCCCACCATGGGAGGGGAAATAAGCAAGTAAACAAGCAAATATCAAGTGTGGCAAGTGCTATGCTATGAGAATAACAGAGCATGACAGGAGGACAAAACAGATGCTCCCAGCACAGTATGTCTGTGTGTACATGTGGCAGTGGTGGTGGAGTTCAGAGAAGGTTCCCAAAGTTAGCCTGGTTGTGAGACAGAAAAGAGAGTGTCAAGGACTCCTGGAGGAGAGGAGAGCATGTGCAAAGGCCCGGAGAGAGAGATCTCAGAGCTGATCTGGACCATGAAAGTTCAGTATAGCTGAAGGGGAGAGACTGAGTGGAGAAGGAAGCAACAAACACTACTGGATGGATGTGCTGCTGCCACATAAAGGGCCATGCAAGCCAAGGGAAGAGGCAGAGGCACTCCGAAGAGCAAAAGAGCGCGGCAGAACAGCTTCGAGCTATGGAATGGCATTATCAGATTGGTATTTCAGAAAAGTCACTCTGGCTGCCTTGATAAGACAGCTAAGAGGGGCCCAAGAGGAGGCAGAGAGCAGCAACTGCAACTGGCTATTGCAGCAATCCAGAAGAAAGGCAAATATCGCCTAGGCAAGAGTGGCCAATAAATCAAGATACTTGGAAGGTAAAACCGACAGGGTTTGGTCACTGGGTGTGGAGAATGAGAGAGAGAGAAAAGTCAAAGAAAACCTTCTGGCTGAGCCACTGTACAAGGAACAGCCAAGAGGACCAGGTTTAAGGGAAAGGATGATAAGATCTGCTGTGGGCATTCTGACTCTGAGTTGCTGTGGGCTATATAAGCAGTTTTGGATTTAAACCATTAGAGCCATAGATCTGGAATGAGAAATGGGCTGAGAAAGAGTACTCAAATTATCAACATATAATTCAGGGCATTTAACTAGGTGTTAAGAGCCATAGATGAGCTTTAAAGGTCAGAAAACATCCAAGATTATAATAATGTTTGTGTATAAGTTAGTAAGAGTTCTTATGGGAACTGGGAGCCTCAAATTTTCAAAGGAGTTCACGATTTCACAACAGATGAAGAACCAACTAACAAAGATGAAAAGAGGAGGAGACCAACCAGGGCTAGCACTGGAACCCTCAAGAACTCCAACACTTAGGAACATCAGAGACTGGTGTTTAAATAAGGGTGATGGAAAAAGGACCCAGCTGTATTCCATTATGAAATGAACAGCAGGTGAAAAAGAGGAAGAGCCAAATGTAAACAACAATGCAAGAGTCTGGCTGGGAAAAGGAGAAACAGAAATCAGATCTTACTCCAGCCTCATCTTTGAAAACTGAATCCATCTTTTAAGGTGCTGGTGAAATGCCTCTTGCCACCTTCATTAAGCCTTCACAGAGTACCTGAATTAACCTCTCTGCTGGATTCTTCTACCAGAATGTCTCACACATCACTGATCATGATGTAATTTGTAGAACTAAGTGCAACCTATGTCCCCTAGCAGCACACAGCTCTCAAAGGTGAAAACAGTGTTCACTTGGTCCTCTTCTTTTGCATTCTTCACAGTGCCCTGTTCATGTGGGCATTCACTCTGACGGAAAGGATTTTATCTGGGAGGGGAGAGATGGACCCCAACAGAACAACTGGTTAAGTAATATGACTTTGGACTAATCAATTCACCTCCCTTAGGCTTATTTTCATTCCCTGTAAAAGGAGTGGGTTGGATTCTTGACTGGTGGAGAAGGAGATATGTGTAATTAGAAAAAAGTTTCAATATAGCTATTGTTTTTGTAATGCAAATCATAGAAAGTAAAACTGGATTAAAAGCCAAAGGACACTCAAACAATACATGAGAGAGGAGTGGGTTAGAAAAGGTTAAGAAACATTGGACAAGAGAATTTACAATTTTAGGCTCAAAATTCTACAATTATTTGATTGTGCTGTTCAAGAGTATATGCAAGGCACCATACTGTATATTTGAGACAAGAGAACAAATGCCATCTCTGTCCTCTGGAAATTAATATCCTATTACAAACACCGAAGAATGATAAATGAAGCCATAATTTTCACAGATTCCTGTGTATATACCTTTTTCTCTGTATACTGTGGGTCACTATGAAAATCAACTAGAAAAATATATTACGCTTGCTTTTCCCATTTGAAACAGTCAACATTTATAAATTTGACTCTCAACTATTTGACTGCTTAAAGGAATAGAAAGAAAAATAATACCGTTCAACAGCACCAGTTTAATTGTGTGCCTTTTTCTTTGGAGGTAAATGACCTACATACCCAGCAAAGATTACTCAGAAGGCTTTGGTTTTATGTAACAGCATCACTAGGAACAAAGTACCTTCCCAAATATTTTACATTATTAGGAGTTCAATATTTCCTTTTACCTTTTCTCAACACTTCAAACATTTAAACCTGAAACTGTCAAGAACATGTAAAGTAAATAATCCTACATAACTTTGGGGTCAATTATAACTTTGCCAGAGGGTAGAGGGTTCAAAAAATACCTCCCTAGCTGAATGAGGTAATCGTTCCTCATCAAGCTCTACACAACAGCACTGGAATTCAAAACGCTGAAGGTAGCTTTTACCTAGTATCTCTCTTACAAAAGTCAAAGATTAAAGCACTTCTCTCTCGATAATCAAGGAGTCATCCCTCCACCAGCACCTTAGTCTTGGCAACTCCAACTCTGGCCACAGCAGTGATGGGAATGTGCTAAGGACTGGAACTGGGAAGGCACACAGGCAGGTAATTCTTTCATCAGGTAGTCATCTCAGGGAGGAGTTCTGCCAGTCAGAAAGTGGCCTAACCACATTTCCCAATACAGCAGTAACTAAAAGCTGCATTTCAGGAGAGAAAAACATCTACATGCTAGTTGGAACATTATTATTTCTATTCTTGATTACTAAGTAAGAGTGACACAAATTAACACTCTCTTTTTAGAGAAAAGTTTCGTGAAAGAATGTGTGTGTAAAGATTGGGACACAAATATTTTGTGATTTTTGATGTCTAGGCTTATATCACAGAGAAGCAGAAATGAATAGGAAAAGAGAGAGTAGGGAACTATGGCACAGAGTGCTTTTACCTTCCTCTCATTTAAAAAGTTAGCAAATAAAATGTTACAACAACTGGCTGGCTAATGAGTTAAATACAACAATAAAAACTACAACGAGGCAAGAGATCACTTGGGGCCAGGAGTTCAAGACCAGCCTGGGGAATGTAGAGACCCTGTCTCTATTTTCTATTTAAAACAAAAACTACAACAAAATGAGTTGAGTTCTTCCAATGCTTATGTCCAGGATTTCGTTTCACAAAAGCAAATGTGAAACTTGCTTAACTTAAATTACATTTACCTGCTTATTTCATGTTTAAATAGCTAAATATCTCTAGGCAATAATGATAAATAACCAAGCAATGTAAAAGTAAGTTAGAAGACCTTGGTATTATTTGACATTTTGCCCCTCTTCTGACAGGAGGATGGCCTCCTCTCACTTTTCTCTTGAAATGTAAAATGGAAGTTTGATGCTTTCCCCTACGTGCAGTATTCTTAAAGAAGTATGTATAAAGCTGTTTTCAAAATAAATTTAAACTACATGAGTCAAACCAAAAGAAAATAAATAAAAAAGGGAAAGGAAAAACAACAGGATAGTTAAAGCAAAGTTTAATATTTGTCTTCCTAAAAAAAGAAAGGCTTAATATTTTTACATTGAAATGTTTGGACTCTTGGTATGTTGTTTTTAATTCATGAGACAATGTGGCCATTTGTTTTTTCCTCTTAGGACATTGTTTTTTGAACACATAACTTAAGAGAACTACCTAGGCCAAGTATGAATTCAAAGTAAAAAGCTGGGAGAAAAGAAAACCACCATCAGAAAAGCACTTGGTAAATTTGGCATTCTTTCTAATATATAAAAATAAAAGAAAACTCAGTTTAGAAAGATGATAAACATTATTGAAACACACACTAAGAGGTGAGGAAAGAATGATTAAATGGTAGAAAAAAGTTAACTCACATTTCTCCTTCTAGAAGCTCTATTCCTTTATAACTTATATCCTTCACGTGCAGTTTGCATATAGTAGCTCTGCTAAAAACAACCACATGGAAAATTTTTGTTCCAGATAATACTGCAGGACAGGGCTTGGCAGCTACAAGTTGTAATCAGAATGCTTCAAGAGCTAATGTAACAGAGATAACAACCAAACATGCATTACAGTGCATAGTCTTAATTCTTTTTAAAAACGGGCTGGGAGAAGGTCAAAAGCTCTTAGGTTATAGTGTACTTTATTCAGTAATGCGACCTTTTAAACTAGGGAGAACTTCGCTCCTATGAATAAGTGAATTGCTTAAAAGAGAAATGATTCTTTTTTCCAGTTAGGGCATTCTTCTATTATTTAAGATGCTCAAACATAGAAGCCTAGAATGAGCAAAAAATTCCAGTTCCTAAAAATGACTTTTCTCAGCAATTCTACAGGCCTAAATTGTCATCTACAATTTATTGAGGCTCCTATAGCCATCCCACTGGCAACGGAAGAGCCTAGTTATTTAATAAATATGGAAATCCACAGTACAATGGGCCACTTTTTGCCAGGGGTAATATAAAAAAGAAAGAATGCTAATTTTATGTGTGTTATACCCCAAGAGGGGAGAATAAAGAGAACTGTGACTTGATAAGTTTTCTGTATTAGTTGGCAGACTGAGATAAAAGGAGTCACAGAAAGATCGTGACTTCAATCCAAGTTCAAATGGCAAATTCAGATGGAGCTCTAACTTGGTGGAAATTAGGCGCCATGTTGATGCGAGGAATGTGAAATGAGAGAAACCCCTCCATCCACAGGGAGAGGGGGTTTCATGTGATCCGTTGGTGTTATTCTCTCCCCCCCAACACGAGCTGGCACTCACACAGCTGGGCTAAGATGGCTTCCAAAGTCCGAAATAAGACGCTAGCCCAAGGCAGCCCTGGTCCTGCTGCTGGAACTCAGAAGCAAATGAATCAAAGGCTCTTTTATTCTCCCTCCCACCAGAACATGCTCCCTCTCTGTTGTAAACTAACTGCTTGCCAGAATGAATTACTTAGCTTAAAACAGACATAAAGAAATCTTAAACAACTCATGTCCCTTGGAATTTTAATAAGTTCAGGTGACCAAACAAGTTGTTTTGTTCATTTCTAGTTTGATGCAGAAAATTCACTTGTGCTCAGGAACCCATGAGGAACATTAGATCTTAGCAGAAACAAAAACTTCTCAAACTAGAAGATACAGCTGACAGCCAAACTCCTCACATGAAACTGGGGTGCTGGGAAGCAGTTTTTTTCATGAGGACATCTAAACTCAACACAAATCTTTGTTCTTCCTTTAAAACCAGCCCTCCCTTAAGATTTTGCTGTTGCTGCCAGCAGTACACCAGCTCTTCTAAAAGCAAAGTGTAAAATTCATTTGCGGAGTCTTCCCTGGCATCTCGTACCCCTGCATCCCCTGTTCTCACTCTAAACTTTCATTTGGCAACTAATCATATATCATAGCTCCTATAAAATGACTGACAGCTTGTCTTCACAAACAGATTAGAAACTCCTTAAGGGCAGAGAGTGGGCCTTTCCTTCCTTGCATTCCACACATGGCACATAACAAAAGCTCCTGCGATACCTGTTTATTATTCAGTCAACAGGCATCTGTTGAGCTCCTACTCTGAGCCAGGCATTGCACAGGGGCTCAAGACACAGCACCCAGCCCAGGAGCACAGCAGCCAAAGGCCCTGCATGCAGGTCTGCCTTCAGTTAAAAACCAAGAGTCCCCAAAGAATACTGCTTAAGCAGTCACTAAACTATTTAAGATAAATAGTAAAGATTTCCCCACAAGGAAGATTTATGTCCCCCAAAAATTTATGTTGCAGCTTATTGAAGAGCTCCCCATTTGTCCCTTCCACCCAAGAAAATGTCTGAGAAGAGGAACGCTAAACTGCAACAGGGCTTCTGCTGAAGATCTACAGCTCCTCCCTCCCCCATTTTACAGGTAAGGAAACTGAGGATCAGAATGGTCAAATGCTCCTGTGGGTGGGTAATGGCAAAACCAAGTAGAATCCGGGTCCTGACACTCAGTCTGAGTTTCCTTCCACTATAGCAAAACATCCCCACTAAAAGCATCAGTGGGTGCATCAAATTACATTTTAATACAAAATTCTTCAAAAGTAAAGTAGTAGCCCATCTACTACAATGCTCCTTCTGGCTGTCAGTCTCTGTAAGAAAATTAGGACTGCTGAGTACCTAACACATGTTTTGAATCTATCACCTCTGGCTGGGCACGGTGGCTCACACCTGTAATCCCAGCACTTTGGGAGGCTGAGGCGGGCGGATCACCTGAGGTCAGGAGTTCGAGACCAGCCTGGCCAACATGGCAAAACCCCATCTCTACTAAAAATACAAAAAAAAAATTTGCCGGGCGTGGTGGCAGGAGCCTGTAATCCCAGCTACTTGGGAGGTTGAGGCAGGAGAATCAGTTAAATCCGGGAGATGGAGGTTGCAGTGAGCCATGAGCCAAGATCATGCCATTGTACTCCAGCCTGGACAAGAGCGAAACTCCATCTCAAAAAAAAAAAAAAAAAAAAAAAAAAAGAATCTATCACCTCTGAAACTTTCTCAGTCTGCAAATTGTCAATAGCTTATCTACATATTTTTATGTTAAGTCTAAAATATGGGATTTTACTTACTCTCAAAAAACGCTGTGTGTTTTACTCCTTACATTTTTAAGCAGGTTATGGCAAAATACACTGAAATAACCAGTCACTTGTCAAACAGATTATCCAACTATAACTCTTGCCACTTTTTGTTCCAAGATGATCTCTTAAAAAAATAATTTTAAAGAGCCAGCAGAATTCTCAAACTACCCCCTCCAAACTAATGCACCTTCCTAACAGTAATTCTGAATCTCAAAAGGTAGCAATCAGATTTGGAGATTCAGCAAGTTGCACGTGGAGAGTTCTACACTTATCATTCAGCCCAGGCACAACAAATGAACTATCATTAACCATCATAAAGGCTTAATGTAATTGCAAGTTGATGATCTCTGTTAACAGAAAAAACATTCTTGCTACACTTGAAAAGGTAAAAACATTGGGAGTCTGAATTATGTTTACTAACATGAGGATGGCAAGAAAAAATTTCCTTCAATAGAATAATTATGCTTATTCAGTCACTGTAAGCAGAAACATCAGAATCCATTGATTGCTAGTGGTAATTGTCAAAAAAGGATAGGAAGAGCTTCTAGACATGACAGTCCTCTTTGTTGTAGTGACACTATTGAGCAGGGGTTTCATGCTTAGCACAGGTCCTGGGTTGTCCTTGAACCAAGGAGATGCTGACACTTGGCCTGCCCACGCCCCTCTCCTCCATGTCAGATGTCAGGTGCCCACCCAGTAGGAGAGGCTATTTCTGTTTCTAGGCCCATTTCCAGAACCAGGGGTGTGTTTTTGAAGTCCAGACAAGAGTTGTCCTGTTAATTGACAGCTGCAGAGCAGACAGAGAGCCCACGCTGGGTACAGATTACCTACCTAAGAACTGGCTGGGGCCTTGCTACCAGGCTGGCTGTCAGCTAACAGGCCACCTTGCTCTGGCCTCAGAAGCAGGTTCTCCTGCTGAGATTGTGCACCTGCCCAATGCTGACAGCTGGGCTATGGAGGAGCCCAAACTTAGTGTTTGGGCTTCAGGCAAGGAAGCTCCTCCTCCAGAGCGATGGTGGTAGCCAGCTGTCTTGAAACAATACTTTATTTACAGACTTGCATCTTATTTCAGCTAAAATTTCAGGTTCTGATGAAAATTTCACCATCATTTCTTTAAATAATTCTTTAAAAATCTGAGCACCATTGTTGAGTGCATACTACCAAGACTTTACTTGTTTTCTGTAATCCTAGTGACAGTAATCTGTTTATGATTCCATCAGGTCCTTAACAAAGTAAAAAAGCAGCTGTTTAATATATAACACAGCATGAAAACAGCAACACCACAGTAGCAACCCTGAAAAGAAGCATTAAAATTTTCACCTACATTTTAAGTAGATTTTAAAAACTTCCAGGAGAATGAAACACATACAAGAAAGAACCTTTTGCGAATATAGAAAAAATTAAAAAGAGAAGGAAAAGCTGGGGAATCTGCTGACTACTCTTGACTTTCATTTTTTTGTGTGTCATTCTTTAGAAAATTCAAGAAAAGCTTACACATCAGACTAACACACTAGCGTGTACAAAAAACAATCCTGCTTGAGTTGACTATGAAACAGTAAACATAAAACGGAGCTGTAAATGGAATACATTGGGGGCCATATATGAGATGGCTTTAAAGCTAAAACTAAAACAATTTAAGGCCAGGCGTGGTGGCTCATGCCTGTAATCCCAGGACTTTGGGAGGCTGAGGTGGGTGGATCACCTGAGGTCAGGAGTTTGAGACCAGCCTGGCGAAATCCCATCTCTACTGAAAATACAAAAATTAGCTGGGTGTGGAGGGGGATGCCTATAATCCCAGCTACTGGGGAGGCTGAGGCAGAAGAACTGCTTGTATCTGGGAGGCAGAGGTTGCAGTGAGCCGAGATAGTGCCACTGCACTCCAGTCTGGGTGACAGAGCAAGACTCCATCTCAAAAAAAAATTAATTAAAAAAAACTAAAACAATTTTTTTGTCACTTAAAAGCCCTTATGGATCATCTTAATCAGTGTTCGGACTACCCTATAAATGCTGTAAACAGTGAGACAACTGTCAAAGTCCCATGGGCCAAATATTTCCAAACAGAATCATGATGCTCAAACTCCCTGAAGTCTCATTTAATAATTATAGTATCAAGCATCCAAGATATCTTTTCATAGCAAATCCATTCATTACAAATCATTATCCACAAACATTTTGCCTACTGGGTGGCCAACAATGTTTCCTTTATCCAGAAAAATAAACATTCTACATAAAAAAAACAAGCATAGGAAATGCACGTATACATGTCTATATCTTTGATGGTCAAAGCTACTTTAGCAAAAACCATCTAAACTGGACAGCAAAGCCAAAAGATCAATAATCTGGGAATGTCAAAATCTTCTGGGCCACCAACCTGACAGGTAAAATACAAGCCTTATTTAACCTGACAGTTAAATAAGCCTTATTTAACTCATTACACTCCATGCTGGTTTCCTCTATTCTGACAGCCGCCCTGTCTACTGTCTTCCAGGACTATCTCCATCTACTTTATTCGTGGGTAAAGAAAACACCAGTGCTACACCAGGCAAAGAAAATCCTAGTTTCTCCCAAGCTATTAGGCACATTCATCCTCCTGTGGAAAACACAATGTAGGCAGCCCACTGTCTCTCTCAAATGTTCCCATAGTTTCAGTCTACATTGAACTTGTTCCTCAGAACAGCCAAAAAATACCCATACCACTCAACTTAGACACACAGTCATATACCACTTTGCACTGTTGGCTTTTTCACATATACTTGTCTCGTGGTCCCAAAGACTCAAAGAGCTACTTAAAGGCAAAGACTAGGTCTTACATTTCTTTAGCACTGTGCACCTGATCCATAGTCCACCTCATTCTTGTATTCTCAACTAATATTCAGAGTCAGGAAAAGTTATAATCTGAAAGGACCTTTATTTTGTTGTTGCTATTTTTGAGACGGAGTCTCACCCTGTCATCCAGGCTGCAGTGCAATGGCACAAACTCTGCTCACTGCAACCTCCACCTCCCAGGTTCAAGCATTTCTCCTGCCTCAGCCTCCCCAGCAGCTGGGATTACAGGCGTACACCACCACGCCCGGCTATTTTTTGTATTTTTAGTAGAGACAGAGTTTCGCCATGTTGGCCAGGCTGGTCTCCTGACCTCAGGTGATCCACTGGCCTCGGCCTCCCAAAGTGCTGGGATTACAGGTGTGAGCCTGAAGGACCTTTAGAGATAACCTAGTCTAAGCTCCACATTTGAAATGAACTAGGTGAGAGTCGTTAACCTTTTACAGTCCAATCAATCAGGCAGATCTGGGTTCAAATGCAGGACTGTTTTCTGTAAAATAGAGATGACACCTACCTCAGAAAACAGTTGTAATGATCAAATTATACTTTCCTTTTTGTTTTTCTTGTTAAGACATAATCTTTTTGGCTGATTTCTTTCCTGGTTAATAGTTCAATTGAATTCTAAGCCCAAGAGGCAGGGCTTTTTTCCTTTTTCCTACTGTATTTTGTGACCTTATGGTTGGTGTCTAATACAGTGCCTGGCGTCTTTTGAGTGAGCCATGAACTAACCATGTGAAAGAATGAATTAAACCTATATTATCACTTTCACGTTCAGCAAATATGTTATTCTTTAATTCCTCCAAGAATCTGTTTTTCCTAAATTGGGCCTTCTCAAAACAAATATATTTATCTCCCTACCCCTTTCTCCCTTCCTTCTCTGTCACATACACACACACACACACACCCCTACCTTTCTCTTTAGAACAGCTGGAAAAAAAAACACTGCCTCGTTCATATTTTTGGAATAAAGTTAGCATTTTTACTAGGATATTCAGGAAAACTGATAGATGGACAGGATTTGGAGGCATTACACATCTCTGGAGAGCTTTCTTATGATTTGTGGCATCGAGTCTTTCAATAAAATTACTTGTCTATAATAAATTCTGGCAGAAAGTAAATCAGAAATTCACTGGTGAGTTGTCAGTGAAGTTAAATACTTCACTCTGTGTACTTCACTCTGTTCTATACAAGCAAACAGTGACTAACAGGATTAACCTGAGCTCTAATACTGGGTGTAGATATTCCTCAACGACAAACGGGTTCCCTTCGTACAGGCATTAAATTTATATTATATTTAAGGGGGCATAAATTTTGCTTTTGCAAACACATTTTACTAGAAAAATATTTGATCCAGATGTCAGCACAAAAGTGTCATTTCTTTCCTTTGCAAGGGAGCAGCAACAAAACAACCAATGGGGAGGAAGAATAAGATCCCAGACCTCTGAAGAGGACACAGGTTTCCACTAAAGCAAGGTTGATACTTTCAAGGAATATTTTTCCTAACAGCTAAAACGGTTTAACACATAGCATCTTGTATCAATTACACAAACACCATTAAAGCCACTCTGGTTCCCTGGGAAAGGACCGCAACTGAAATCCCTTCTGGCTTCAGCTGTCCCCTCCTGCCGAGTTTGACAGCACATCCAAGGCGCCCAAACACCAGCCACTAGGCTCCCCCCCAGCGCCCTCCTCTCGCAGCAAACCGCCAAGGCTCCCGGGCCAAACTCCAAAGTCCCTCAATTCAAAACCGCGAAAATGTGAACCCTGCTAAGCAAACGGCAGGGCGCGTAATAACTTTTCTTTCTTTCCCTTTTGCGCGCGTTCGATATGCTTGTCTCTACTACCAACTCCTCAGCTCCACAGCCCGCTTCCCGCAACCCATCTCGAGGGGCGGAGGAGAGGGAGCGCCCACCAAAGAAAGGGCTAGTGAGCCCTAAAACCTCGGCAGTTTTCCCGGTGCGGGAGCTTTAGCACACATCAGCCCAATAATCAGATGCAGGAATAAAGCAGGAAGAAGGCTCCTCTCTCCATCGCACCCCATCCTTCCTAAGGAAGAAAAAAAGCATGCAGCAGGAGTTTAGCTGGACGTCTAGGTCCTTTTATGGGGCGAACAGGCCCGCAAAGCAGGCTGTCTGGAACCTGGAGGAAGAAAGTTGTCCGGCCAAGTGGATGCCTGGGCGTGAGGGAGTGCAAGGCACCCTGTCCCGAGCCCGCCAGGGGTAGGGGCCAAGGGGAAAGAGACCGGCATTCGTTTAAGAACCAGCCCCGCGCGCGGCCAGCTGCAGCCGCCGGCGAGCCGACTGGGGAGGGGTGTGGACGCCGAGGCCCGCGGAGTGGTGCCCGCAGCTCTACTTACATAACGCTTCAACTTTTTCTCCGGGGGGGACTTGCGGAGCCATCCGGAGCAGACCACTTCACCACCGCTCATGGTGCGCGCGTCTCGGGCTCCGGGCCGGGCAGCTGAGGGGCGGCGGGCGCGCTCCCGACACAGCCGACGCCTGCCGAGCGCGCAGTGGCGAGAACCTAGCTCTCCTGGTCGCGCACCCCGGACGGACTGGGCGGACAGACTCCACGGTGCGCGGGTTCCACGAGTTCGAGTCTCTCCTCTGCAGGCCCACGAACCTGAACAGAACGCGAGCCGGGGCCGCGGGCGCGCCGGCCTCCTTTCAGTGCGCCCGCCTCGCCTCCAGACGTGCCGTCTCGCCAGCTGCCTCAGCAGCGCTCGGACTCAGCGGGACTCTGCCCCGACTCGGTGCCGGAGCTTCTGTCCTTTGCGCTCCGCCCCCTAGGGACAAGACCTCCCCAGAGCGCTTTCCGAAACAGACACAGCGCTGCTCACACACACACACACACACACACACACACACAATGCCCCGCGCGGTGCCCGCTCGCCCGCCC
Source organism: Homo sapiens (assembly GCF_000001405.40). NCBI lineage: Eukaryota > Metazoa > Chordata > Mammalia > Primates > Hominidae > Homo > Homo sapiens. The sequence continues at coordinate 143,336,718 of NC_000004.12, read as the reverse complement.
ACCCGCCCTCGGTTTCGATGCGCCCGGAGCGATCCTCCTTCCCTCTCCTCGGGGGAGGGTGGGTCACTTCGCGGCGCTCGGTGAACGCCGAGGAAAGGGGAAGCCGCGAGCCGCCTACGGGCAGCGGGCGCGGGGCTGGTCCCGGGTCACAGAGGGAGCCGCAGGGTTGGCAGCGAAGCGCGGGGCGTTTCTGAGCGGCGGGCGCAGGGAGGTCGCAGGTCAAGCCGGAGGGTGGGTCCGCTCTCGCGGCCGCCGAAGAGGGCGGGGAGCAGCAGAGGAACGAGGCGCTTGGCGGCTTGGCTCCTGGGAGGGATCCCGCTGTCCCGTCCCCTCGCGCTCCTCCCCCGCCGCCTCCCCCACCCCGGGGCTCGCGGCAGGTCCTGAGCGGCTCGGCCCCAGATCCCGATCCCTCCCTCCCTCTCCCGGCCGCCGGGCTCCTTCTTCCTCCCTCTCCTCCTCCCCTTCCCACGTTCAGGCCCGGCTCCGGTTTCTGCCCAGACTTTCTCTGAAACTCCGCCGGAGTGCTTCCAGCCAAAACAACAAGGGCCGGGGGAGGAGACGGACGAAGGGAGGGAGCAAGGGAGGGAGGGAGCGCGAGTCCGAGAGGCACCCTGGGATCTGTAGTTCGGGAAGCAGGAGCAGGGTCCTCCGCCGTCCGGCGGCCCCCAATCGGCTCCTCGCCCGGGAAGACCGCAGAGGCCTCGGCTAGGGCAGAGGCACCGGGGCTTGGGCGCGGGGAAGACTGAGGGACATTCGAATGTTCAGTCCGGGGCTTGCCATCTTGACTCAGCCCGGTGCCAGCTCGGAGCTTGTGCTGTGCTCGAGATCAGGAGTTTCGAGGGTTTTCTTTACTTGAGAGCCTGAAAGGCAAAACCGCGGGGAGACCACCATCCTGCCGGTCCCCGCCGCGCGAGATTAAAGGACAGACCAAGAGGGCGCGGGAGCTACCAGCTTGGAGGGGAGGACAGATGGGGACCCAGGGCTGGCCAGGGCTGGTCTCTGGAGCTGTTCTGCCAGAGTGATGGGGGCGCTTGGCGAGGCCAAGGATTTGGTTGGGTCCTATCTCTGAGACATTTTGAAGTCTCACACCCCTTCCATTTGTTGCCTATTCCACTTAACTTTGTATTTGTTTGAAATCTACTGTTCGGATGCTGGACTAGAAGAGGGACACTTGGCCGGGCGCGGTGGCTCACGCCTGTAATCCCAGCACTTTGGGAGGCCGAGGCGGGCGGATCAACTGAGGTCGGGAGTTCAAGACCAGCCTGACCAACATGGAGAAACCCAATCTCTACTAAAAATACAAAAATTAGCCGGGCGTAGTGGCGCGCGCCTATAATCCCAGCTACTCGGGAGGCTGAGACAGGAAAATAGCTTGAACCCGGGAGGCGGAGATTGCGGTGAGCCGAGATCGCGACACTGCGCTCCAGCCTGGGCAACAAGAGCAAAACTCCGTCAAAAAAAAAAAAAAAAAAAAAGAGAGAGAGAGAGAAAGAAGGAAGGAAGGAAATTTACTGGGTACCCTAGTTCTATTTGCCTACTTCCTTGTGTGTTTCACAATTATTATACTGGTCCTGAGTTTAACATGATTCTGTAATAAACATCTTCTCCAATTTATTTGTGAAAAAGCCCCAAAGCCAATTTCAGCAGATAATATAATCAGATAAAAGTGCTAAAAATATGACGACATAAATGAGCATTTCTGGAAAGACATAACTTCAGTCATTTTCTTATTAACACAACATTCATATTCTGAAGCTCCTCTGAGTTTGAAAATGTTAGATGATTGTAATAAGAAATTAGGTGCTGGAGTGGTGACAAGACAAAGATCCCTGCATATATGGAGGTAGTGGCATAGGGTAGTAAGCAAATAAAGAGTCAACAAAACTACAGATTGAGACTCAGTCTCAAAAAAGAAAAATCTGAAAAAGCCTGGTTCCCACTGGGGTTTAGAGACCGTCATCTTTTGGCAGGCACTTAACAGTATCACAAGGGCGGAACTTCTTGCAGATCTGGATGCACTTTTCAGGTCATCAACTGAGTAGTCGTGACCTTGGGTAAATTACACAATGTCTCTGAGTCTCAGTTTCCCGATATGTGAAATGGGAATTGCAACACCGATTTTGCAGAAGTTTAATGAGAAATAGAAATGGTAGTGTTGGCCAGGTGCGGTGGCTCACGCCTGTAATCCTAGCACTTTGGGAGGCCTAGGTGGGTGGATTGCCTGAGCTCAGGAGTTTGAGACCAGACTGGGCAACTCAGTGAAAACCCGTCTCTACTAAAATACAAAAAATTAGCCGTGGCGGCGTGCGCCTGTAGTCCCAGCTACTCGGGAGGCTGAGGCAGGAGAATCGCTTGACCCGGGAGGCGGAGGTTGCAGCGAGCCGAGATCGCGCTACTGCACTTCAGCTTGGGCGACAAAGCGAGATTGTGTCTCTAAAAAAAAAAAAAGAAAAGAAAAGAAAAGAAAAGAAAAGAAAAGAAAAGAAAAGAAAAGAAATGGTAGTGTTGGTCGGTTAGTCGGGCGCGATGGCTCGCGCTTGTATTCCCAGCACTGTGGGAGGTCTAGGTGAGCAGGTCACTTGAGGCCAGGAGTTTGAGACCACCCTGGCCAACGTGGTGAAACCCAGTCTCTACTAAAAACACAAAAATTAGCCGGGTGTGGTGGCACGCGCCTGTAGTCCCAGCTACTCGGGAGGCTGAGGCAGGAGAATCGCTTGAACCCAGGAGGTGGAGGTTGCAGTGAGCCGAGATCGTGCCACTGCACTTCAACTTGGGAGACAGAGCGAGACTGTCTCTGAAAAATAAATAAATAAATAAAAAGGAAAATGGTAGTGTTGGTTGGGCGTGATGGCTTGCACTTGTAATCCCAGCACTTTGGGAGGTCTAGATGAGCAGGTCACCTGAGGCCAGGAGGTCGCGACCATCCTGGCCAACGTGGTGAAAACCCAGTCTCTTCTAAAAACACAAAAATTAGCTGGGTGTGGTGGCGCGTGCCTGTAGTCCCAGCTACTCAGGAGGCTGAGGCACAAGAATCACTTGGACCCGGGACAGGGAGGTTTCAGAGAGCTGACATAGGGCCACTGCACTCCAGCCTGGGTGACTGAGTGAGAGTCTGTCTCGAAAAAAAGGAAAAAAGAAATGGTAGTTTTAAATATCAGGCACATATTAGATATTGTAGGATTTTTGCTGTTTGTTGCTGTATTTCTTAATGTTCTTTCTGAAACATAAACAAGCGTAATTTTTATGGCAGCTAATAAACCAAAGCACTTCTTTTTAAGTATGTGAATATAAATCATGCCACAAATCTTCCAAATGAAAATAAACCATCAAATTTGTTTTCCTCTTCTCCCATAGGCAGCATGTAGCTACATTGAGCCAAAAGTATAATTAGCATTAGTAAGACTAGTATTGTTGAGTAGTTAACTATTGGCTTTAGCAAATTTACCATTTCCTACACTCTTGTTATAAAGTTCTTTGTAAATGGAAAATTGTAATATATCTTGTATTATTTAGCTTTGGGAATTTCCACAAATTTTTTTCTTTATTTCAAATAAGGCATTCAGTTATCTCATTCCTATGTAAAAAATCTTTAAGTGTTTTTCCTATCTTCTACTGAGTTGTTTTAGGCTTGTATTTCTAGAAATTAAATCAGGGTTGAAGAGAAATTGAAGATAGATATGTCTCCATGTATATATTTTAGAAAGGAAATTTGCCTTATTTTTATATGTCATGTTTAGATTATTTGTTAAATCATATTTTATATCTTTATGCCTTAAAAGGCACGCTGGAAAAAGTTATTATATGTTAGTATCTTAAATTTTATTCATACAACGAATATTTATGGGATGCCTATTATATGCCAGTCCCTGAGGACCCAGGATACAGTAGGGGAAAGCCAGACCTGTTCCCACACTCCTCTTTCCTAGAGAAAAGCTTTTGCAGATAATTAACCCCATCATTTTGGCAATACAGTTGATAAATGCTATGGAAGAAAATATAGTGTTGTTTGGGCATATAACAGAGGATGTACCCCCCAGGAGTAGGGCGGTAGGTTGGGAAGGACTTCCCTGAGGAAAAGACTTTTTTTTTTTTTTGAGACGCAGTCTCACTCTATCTCTCAGCCTGGAGTGCAGTGGCACAATCTTGGCTCACTGCAACTTCCGCCTCCTGGGTTCAAGCTATTCTCCTGTCTCAGCCTCCCAAGTAGCTAGGATTACAGGCGTGCACCACCACGCCCGGCTAATTTTTGTATTTTTAGTAGAGGCGGGGTTTCACTGTATTGGTCAGGCTGGTCTTGAACTTCTGACCTCAGGTGATCCACCTGCCTTGGCCTCCCAAAGTGCTGGGATTACAGGTGAGAGCCACAGCGCCCGCCAGGAAATTCAGGCTTTAAATTGAGATCCTCAGGATAAGAAGAAGTTGGCCTGGTGGACATAGTAAGGGAGAGTATTCCAGACAAAAGAGAAGGTGCAGGTGTACAGGTTTTCAGGCTGGAAGGAGCATTTAATGAACTGAATGAAGGCAGCAGTGGGGTGAATGATGGAGACATTGGCACTGGCTGAGGTACAGAGGCAGGCAAGGGACAGATTGTGCAGGTCCTTGGAGATCTTCAGATTTAGACATTTTCTTGAAGCAAATGACCATTTCATCTCCTATGACATTCAAATCTATCCAAATCAGGCCGGGCGAGGTGGCTCACACCTGTAATCCCAGCACTTTGGGAGGCCGAGGCTGGCAGATCACCTGAGGTCAGGAGTTCGAGACCAGCCGGACCAACATGCAGAAACCCGGTCTCTACTAAAAATACAAAATTAGCCGGGCATGGTAGCGCATGTCTGTAATCCCAGCTACTCCAGAGGCTGAGGCTGGAGAATCACTCGAACTCGGAAGGCAGAGGTTGCGGTGAGGCGATATCGCACGCCATTGCACTCCAACCTGGGCAACAAGACGAAACTGTCTCAAAAAAAAAATAAAAAAAAGAAAAGAAAAAAGAAAAATCTATCCAAATCACCTCAAGCAATCATCTTTGTGCATTTTGTTATTCCCTTCCAGCATCCCACTTTAGCTATACATCTTTCAACTTGATTTTTCAATATCTCCCTATGTAATTATTCCTTCTTCTCAACAGCTTTTCTAGTCTATTAAGACTTGTGCTTTCCCGTGATCTATCAGACATTTCCTTTCTTCACTCCCTTCTCCTTATCCAGCTTAAATTCTGTGGTCCACATTTTCAGTAAACATTCCTATCTCACAAAACCCCAACTCTGGACAAACCTGACTGTCCTTTCTTTCTTTTTTTTTTTTTTTTCCTTTTTTGAGATGGGATATCACTCTGTCACCTAGGCTGGAGTGTGGTGGTGCTATCTCAGCTCGCTGCAACCTCTGCCTCCTGGGTTCAAGTGATTCTCCCACCTCAGCCCACCCAGTAGCTGGGACTACAGCTACACACCACCATGCCCAGCTAATTTTTGTATTTTTTTGACAGAGACAGGGTTTTGCCATGTTGGCCAGGCTGGTCTCAAACTCCTGGCCTCGAGTGATTCACTTGCCTTGGCCTCCCAAAGTGCTGGGATTACGGGCCTAAGCCACCATGCCCAGCTTGACTGTACTTTCTTCTGCACACAACCAGCCAAGTGCTGTTGGAGCAAGTCGCAGAACAGGATGAGTGACATCACTGTAAATTCATGTTCAGTGACCTCAGATAGATACAAAATTATTCTGCAGGGGCAAATCTTCATGTCCTGGGACCAGAAGTTTATATAGTTTGGGGAGTCTTTTTAACGAAAATAATGCAATTACAAATACGAAATTTGGATGAATATGTATTTAGAATGAGGAAATAAATCACCAACAAATTCCCGAAGCCCTGGAGATGCAGATGTCTTTCTTCTAAGATTTATAGGTAATTTACCAGAATCCTTACATATTCTTCCTGAGTACAGCTTGACACCCCCTCTCCACTAGGACACTCCACTTCTCCTAGAAGCTCCCCACTCTCACAAGAGGCCTGTGCAATGACAGGCCCTGAGCTGAAGCTTCATTAGCTTTATGGATGTCTCTGCCACCCAGTGACCTAGACCATTCAAGCTGCTGTAACAAAATACCTTAGACTGGGTAATAGATAAACAATAGCCATTTATTGCTTATAATTCTGGATGCTGGTAAGTCCTCCATCAAGGTACCAGCAGATCCAGTGTTTGGTGAGGGCCTGTTCCTCATAGATCGTGCCTTCTTGCTGTGTCCTCACATGGCAAGAGACACAAACAGGCTGCCCTAGGCCTTTTGTATAAGGGCACCAGTTCCATTTATAAGGGCAGAGCTCTTGTAACCTATTAGGTTGGTGCAAAAGTAATTAGGGTTTTGGACTGCGAATTTTAAATCATCATAACTAGTCTCCAACACATCTTTATTAATCAAAAGAGGAACCATAACAATCAACACATTTTTGCCAACAAGAAATAAGTTTGTTTATTCCTGTAGCGTAAAAATTCGTGCTCCAGGATTTGACGAACTCTTGGAAAGCATTTTCTGCCTCCTGCTGGTGTGGATGCATTTTACCTGCAAGTAGTTGTCAAGATACTTGAAGAAGCTTGCCAGTAGTCAGTTGGTGAGAGGTCAGGTAAATACGATAGATGAGGCAAAACTTTGTAGCCCAATTTGTTCAACTTTTGAAGCATTGGTTGTTTGACGTAGGGTCAGCCATTGTTATGGAGAAGAATTGGGTCCTTTCTGTTGACCAATGCCGGCTGCAGTCATTGCAGTTTTCGGTGCATCTCATCGATTTGCTGAGCATACTTCTCAGATGTAACGGTTTTGCCAGGATTCAGAAAGCTGTAGTGGACTGGCAGCAGACCACCAAACAGTGACCATGGCATTTTTTGGGTGCAAATTTGGCTTTGGGAAGTGCTTTGGAGCTTCTTCTCAGTCCAATCACAGAGCTCGTTGTCAATGGTTGTCATATACAATCCACTTTTCATCGCATGTCACAATCCAATTGAGAAATGCTTCGTTGTTGCATAGAATAAGAGGATGACACTTCGAAGTGATGACATTTTTTCATTTTCGGTCAGCTTATGAGACACCCACTTATTGAGCTTTTTCACCGTTTCAATTTGTTTCAAATGCTAAATGACCACAGAAGGCTCAATGTTGAGTTATTCTGCAACTTCTTATGGAGTTGTAAGAGGATCAGCTTCAATGAGTGCTCTCAGTTGGTCACTGTCAACTTCCGATGGCCAGCCACTACACTCTCCACCTTCAAGGCTCTCATCTCCTTTGCAAAACTTCTTGAACCCCCCGCTGCACCGTACCTTCGTCAGCAGCTCCTGGGCCAAACGCTTCGTTGATGCTGCAAGTTGTCTCCACTGCTTTATGACCCATTTTGAACTCAAATAAGAAAATCGCTTAAATTTGCTTTTTGTCTAACATCATTTCCATAGTCTAAAATAAACATAAAATAAACAGCAAGTAATAAGTAGCAAAAAATAAATAAAGCGAGAAATGCCCATTAAAATGATGTATAACATAACCATATTTATTTAAGAATGTATTTCAATATCAAATGGCAAATTCCAACAGTGCAAAAACTGCAATTACTTTTGCCCTCACCAAATAATTACCTCTCAAAGGTCCCACCTACATTTTAGAATTTGAAATGTTTACACATTTAATCATTTCTAAGGAAGTAATGTTTAAATCTCAAAATGAAATATCCTTGCAATAAGATTTATATTGTTATAATGTGAAAATGGTCCTTCGACAAAGGAATAAAATATTGCTTATTTTTAGAATATTTTTGAGGACTAAGCTCTGATTTTTTATCTTGCCCAAATTCCTACCTAAGGAGTCTAGGGAGTCATGCCCTACAAACCATATATTCTCATCAGATGGGTTTTATTTGATCCTATATATTTTGACTTACTTTTCAATCTGACTCTGGGATAACATTATGAGACAAGGAAAAAAATATTTAACCCCAAAAATATATTTCCTTGCCATACCTCAAAATTGCCTTGCAAAGTCTCTTGCGGGAAAAATCCACATTCTATAGAGAATCCCTTTCCCCTTTGTTTTCCTTCCTTTCTTTCCGGATCTAGGAGATAGGAGCCAGGCACCCTTTTAGGTCCCATAAGAAACATTTTACGGCTGTGCACGGTGGCTCATGCCTGTAATCCCAGCACTTTGGGAGGCCGAGGCAGGTGGATCACAAGGTCAGGCATTCAAGACCAGCCTGGTCAACATAGTGAAAACCCATCTCTACTAAAAATAAAAATAAAAATAATTAGCTGGGCTTGGTGGCAGGCTCCTGTAATCCCACCTAATTGGGAGGCTAAGGCAGGAGAATTGGTTGAACCTGGGAGGCGGAGGTTGCAGTGAGCCGAGATTGCACCACTGCACTCCAGCCCAGGTAACAGTGTGAGACTCTGTCTCAAAAACAAAAAAAGAAACACTTTACAACCGATCTCTCTCTCTGAAGTCTGCTATCTGAGAGATTCCTCTGCACAATAAAACTTGGCCCCCACAGTCCTTTATCTTAACCTGAGCATTCCTTTCCATTAATCCCAGGTCTTCAGGTAAACTCAACCAATTGTCAACCAGAACATGCTGAAATTTACTTATAGCCTGGAAGCATCCCTTCCTGCCCTGCCCCCAGCTTTGAGTTGTCCTGCCTTTCTGAACAAAACCAATGTATTTCTTAAACATATTTGATTGATGTCTCATGCCTCCCTAAAATATGTAAAACCAAGCTGTACCCTGACCACCTTGGGCACATATTCTCAGGACTCCTGAGGGCTGTGTCACGGGCCATGGTCACTCATATTTGGCTCAGAATAAATCTCTTCAAACATTTTACAGAATTTGACTCTTTTCATCGACATTTTAATTACAATCATTACAGGGTAGATTATGATAAATGTAAACACATTATGGAATCACTGCCTGAGCTGCATAATTTTATCTCTAAACTTAATTTTCGAAATTTAGGTTACAAAGTGGGCTAAAAGAGAGTTTTTATTTAAAAACATAAACGAATCCCTTTGTAATTGTGACATGAAAACACTATATATAAAATAGTATTAGAGCTATTTTATATAGTTATTACCTTTTCACACTTCTTGAATTTAAACTATTCTTTTTCTCTTTTGCATGAGCAAAAATATTCCATTAAATTAAAACTTAGATTTACTTAACTCAATTTTCTTTTAAACTCAAAATGATGAGCCAGACATGGTAGCTCATGCCTTCAATCCCAGCACTTTGGGAGGCCAAGGCAGACAGATCACTTGAGGTCAGGAGTTTGAGATCACCCTGGCCAACGTGGTGAAACCCTGTCGCTACTAAAAATACAAAAATTAGCCGGGCATGATGGCACATGCCTATAATCCCAGATACTTGGGAGGCTGAAGCATGAGAATCACTTGAACTCGGGAGGTGGAGGTTGCAGTGAGCCAAGACCATGTCACTGCACTCCAGCCTGGGCGACAAGAACGAGACTCCATCTCAAAAAAAAAAAAAGAAAAGAAATTTAATTTGAGTCTTCATAATATCTTCCATGTCTCTACTTACCATGCTAAGTCATTCCTCTAGCTTTCTGAACATATGGGATATAGCTATAATAACTGTTCTAACGTTTTTGTCCACTAATGTCATCGTCTGTAATTTCTAAATTGGCTTCAATGGATTGATTTTTTTCCCCCTCATTTTGGGCCATATTTACCTAACTCTTGCTAATCTCTGATTGGATATCACACATTGTAAATTTTATCTTGTTGAGTGTTGGATATTTTTGTTTTTCTATAAATATATTGAGCTTTGTTCTGGAACATAGTTACTTGAAAACAGTTTGATTTTATGGGGTGTTGCTATTACGTTTTCTTAGGCAGGACCACAGCGTCATTTAATCTAGGGCTAACTTTCCACCACTACTGAGACAAAATCCTTCAAGGAACTCATGAATGCTCTGTGCATTATGGTGTTTTCTGCTCTGGCTGGGGAGAAGAGGAACTATTTCAACACTGTGTGATCCTCAGCGAGGATTTTTTTGTACTAAAACTACAAAAAAATTAGCCAGGCATGGTGGCAGGCACCTGTAATCCCAACTACTATGGAGGCTGAGGCAGCAGAATCACTTGAACCTCCTGGGTTCACCATATCCCACTAATTTTTTTGTAGTTTTAATAGAGATGGGGTTTCACCATGTTGGCCAGGCTGGTCTCAAACTCCTGACCTCAGGTGATCCACCAGCCTCAGCCTCCCAAAGTGCTGGGATTACAGGCGTGAGCCATTGCGCCCAGCCTGACTCAAATTAAATTTCTAGAGATGAAAAATACAATGAATGACATGAAAAATATGCTGCATTCAATTAATAGTAGATTAGATATCACAGAATTAGTGAAAATGAATACATAGCAATATAAAACAAAGAGAGAAAAAAAGATTGAAATAAATGAACTGAGTAATAAGGAAAATAAAACCACTTTTAGTAGCCTAATATATATGTAATTAGAGTCCCCAAAGTGTGAATGTTGAAAATTCTTGAAGAGATAATGGCCAAAAAATTTGATCATTGTAAATCCATAGATGCAAGAGACAGCATTGCTGGAAGAAATTTAAAAAGACTGTAGTAAGATATACAGAGTTGACGAATCAAAAGACCAAAAATGACTGGGCACGGTGGCTCACGCCTGTAATCCTAGCACTTTGGGAGGCTGAGGCAGGTGGATCACCTGAGGTTGGGAGTTCGAGACCAGCCTGGCCAACATGGTGAAACCCCATCTCTACTAAAAATACAAAAATTAGCCAGGTGTGGTAGTGCATACCTGTAATTCCAGATACTCGGGAGGCTGAGGCAGGAGAATTGCTTGAATCTGGGAGGCGGAGGTTGCAGTGAGCCAAGACGGTGCCACTGCACTCCAGGCTGGGTGACAGAGCGAGACTCTGTCTCAAATATAAAATAAAATAAAATAAAACAAAATATTTTTTAAAAGACCAAAAAAATTTTCTTGAGTTGGAGTCTCTCTCTGTATTGCCCAGGCTGGGGTGCAGTGGCATGATCATGGCTCACTTCAACCTTGAATTCCTGGGCTCAAGGGATGCTGCCACCTTAGCGTCTCAAGTAGTTGGAACTATAGGCATGCATCACCATGCTCAACTAATTTTTTGTAGAGATGGGGTCTCACCATGTTTCCCATGCTTGTCTTAAACTCCTAGCCTGAAGCAATCCTCCCATCTTGGCCTCCCAAAGTGCAGAGATTATAGGTGTGAGCCACTGTGGCCAGCCAAAAGACAAAATTATTAAGTTGTCAGTTTTTCTCCAGATTGATCAATAAATTTAAGACAATCACAATCGACACCCCAGTATCACAGTCAGCAACTTTTTTTTCAAAATGACAAGCTGATTCTAAAATTCATGTGGAAATGCAAAGGACCTAGAATAGCTAAAACAACTTTGAAAAAGAATAAAGTGACAGCATTTACACTACCATACTTCAAGACCTATTATAAAGCCACAATACAGTGGCTCATTCCTGTAATCCCAGCACTTTGGGAAGCCAAGGTGGGTAGATCACCTGAAGTCAGGAGTTTGAGACCAGCCTGGTGAAACGCCGTCTCTACTAAAAATACAAAAATTTGCTGGGTGTAGTGGTGCATGCCTGTAATCCCAACTACTCGGGAGGCTGAGGCAGGAGAATCACTTGAGGTTGCAGTGAGCCAAGATGGCACCAGCCTGGGCGACAAGAATGAAACTCCATCTCAAAAAATAATAATAATAAAATAAGGCTGGGTGTGGTGGCCCACGCCTGTAATCCCAGCACTTTGGGAGGCCGAGCGGGGTGAATCACCTGAGGTCAGGAGTTCAAGACCAGCCTGGCCAACATGGCGAAACTCCATCTCTACTAAAAATACAAAAATTAGCCGGACATGGTGGTACGTGCCTATAATCCCAGCTTCTTGGGAGGCTGAGGCAGGAGAATTGCTTGAACCCAGGAGGCAGAGGTTGCAGTGAGCCGAGATCGAGGCACTGCACTCCAGCCTGGGCAACAAGAGTGAAACTCTGTCTCAAAAAAGTAAAATAATAACCATAATTTAAAAAAAAACAAAGCCACAATAAAGAAGACAATGTAGTGTTGACATCAAGATAGACAAATGGATTGATGGAACAAAATAGAGAGTCAAGAAATAGACCCACACATATATGGCCAATTTTCTTTTTTGGCAAAGGTGCATAGACAATTCAAAGGAGAAAGGATCATTTTTTTCAATAATTGATGCTGAAATAATGGGATATCCAAATGCAACAAACAAACCGAAACTTTAATCTATTCCTTGTAGCACATGCACAAATGTACTCACAGTAGATTACAGACCTAATGCTAAATCTGATTAGAATAAAACTTCTGGAAGAAAATATAGGAGAAAATCTGTGTGACATTCTGTTATGGCTTAAATGTGTCACCCAGAGTTCATATGCTGGAAATTGAATCCCCATTGCAACAGTGTTGAGAGGCAAGAATTTTATTAGGGCTCTGCCCTAGTGAATGGATTAATAGCATTATGGTTTGAATGAGTTAGTTTTTGCAGGAGAGGGTTCCTGTAAAAGAATGCATTCAGCCCTCTTTCTTTTGCTCTTGTTCTCCCTGCCTTTCTGTCTTCCACCATGAAGGTGCCCCCCACCTGATTCTAGCACCATAGTCTTGAACTTCCTAGCTTCCAGAACCACGGGCCAAATAAATTTCCATTAATTATAAATTACCTAGTCTGTGTATTCTGTTATAGCAACAGAAAATGGGTTAAGACACATTGTTTGGCAAAGATCTCTTAGATATGACATCTAAAGCAAGACTCAAAAAAGATAAAATAAAGGCCAGATGTGGCAAATCACATCTGATAAAAGACTCGCATCCAAAATATATAAAAACTCAATAATGAAACAACAAACAACACAATTTAAAAATGCACAGGGCCGGGCGTGGTGGATCACGCCTTTAATCCCAGCACTTTGGGAGGCTGAGGCAAGCAAATCGCTTGAGCCCCAGGAGTTCAAGACCAGGGCAACGTGGCAAAACCCCATCTCTACAAAAAATACAAAAAATTAGCCAGGCATGGTGGAGCACACCTGTAATCCCAGCTACTTGGGAGGCTGAGGTGAGAGGACCACTTGAGCATGGGAGGTTGAGGCTGTAGTGAGCCAAGATCGCGCCACTGCACTCCAGTCGGGGTAACAGAGTGAAACCCCATCTCAAAAAAAAAAAAAAAATGCAGAGAAGATTTGTACAGACACAACAATGACAACAACAACAACAAATGCAAGCTGGTGCCAGGTGCGGTGGCTCACACCTGTAATACTAGCACTTTGGGAGGACAAGGTGGATAGACTGCTTGAGACCAGGAGTTCGAGACCCCAGCCTGGGCAACATAGTGACACTCTGTCTCTACTAAAAATACAAAAATTAGCTGGGCATGGTGGCATGCGCCTGTAGTCCCAGCTACTTGGGGGGCTGAGGCAGGAGGATTGCTTGAACCTGGAAGTCGAGGCTGCAGTGAGGGTGACAAAGTGAGACCCTGTCTCAAAAAAAAAAAAAAAAAAAAATACAACCTGGGTGTGATAGCCCATGCCTATAATCCCAGCATTTTAGGAGGCCAAGGTGGAAGGATTGCTTGAGCACAGGAGTTAGAGACCAGCCTGGACAAAATAGGTAGACCCTGTCTCTACAAAAAATTTAAAAAATTAGCCAGTTGTGGTGGCATACCCCTGTGGTCCAGCTACGTGGGAGGCTGAGGTGGATTGCTTGAGTCTGGGAGGTTGAGGCTGCAGTGAACCATGATCACTCCACTGCACTCCAGAGTGGGCACAAGAGATCCTGACTGAAAAAAAAAATTAAAAAAGAAAAAAAGGGAAAAAATGACGAATTGAACTTTCTCAAAATTAAGAATCTCTGCTCTTTGGAGGACACTGTTGAGGCAACGAAAAGACAAGCCACAAACAGTGAGAAGGTATTTGCAAATCACATCTGATAAAGGACTTGTATCCAAAATACATAAAGAACTATACAAACTCAGGCCGGGCGCAGTGACTCACGCCTGTAATCCCAACACTTCGGGAGGCCGAGGAGGTTGGATCACTTGAAGTCGGGAGTTTGAGGCCAGCCTGACCAACATGGAGAAACCCCATCTCTACTAAAAATACAAAATTAGCCGAGCAGGTTGGCGCATGCCTGTAATCCCAGCTACTTGGGAGGCTGAGGCAGGAGAATCACTTGAACCTGTGAGGCGGAGATTGTGGTGAGCTGAGATCACGCCATTGCACTCCAGCCTGGGCAACAAGAGCGAAACTCCGTCAAAAAAAAAAAACAAAACTATAAAACTCAACAACATAGCAACAAACAATCCAACTTAAAAATGAGTAGAAGATTTGTACAGACAACAACAAATACAAGCTGGGTGTGTTGGCTCACGCCTATAATCCCAGCACTTTGAGAGGATGGGGTGGGAGGATTGCTTGAGTCCAGGAGTGTGAGCCCAGCCTGGGAAACATAGTAAGACCTTGCCTCTACAAAAAATTTTTTAAAAATTAAACAGGTGTGGTGGCATGTGACTGTAGTCCCAGCTACTCAGGAGGCTCAGGTGGGAAGATTGCTTAGGCCCAGGAGTTAGAAGCTGTAGTGGACTATGATCATGCCACTGCACTGCAGCCTGGGAGACAGAGCAAGACCCTGTCTCAAAAAAAAAAAAAAATGGTGGCAAGCATATCAAAAGATGTGCTCAAAATCACTAGTCAATAAGAATATGCAAATTAAAATCACAATGAGATATAATTTAACATGCGTACACATATTAGAATGAGGAAAATTTTAAAAGACTGATCATATCAAGGGTTAGTGAGAAGACTCAGCAAGTAAAACTCACTGTTTTTGGGAATGTGAAATAGAAGACATTTTGACAGTTTCTTTTGTTTTTTTGAGATGGAGTTTCGCTCTTGTTGCCCAGGCTGGAGTGCAATGGCATGATCTCGGCTCACCGCAACCTCCACCTCCCAGGTTCAAGTGATTCTGCTGCCTCAGCCTCCTGAGTAGCTGGGATTATAGGCAACTGCCACCATGCCAGGCTAATTTTTGTATCTTTAGTAGAAACAGGGTTTCATCATGTTGGTCAGGCTGGTCTCGAACTCCTGACCTCGGGTATCTGCCTGCCTCAGCCTCCCAAAGTGCTGGGATTACAGGCGTGAGCCACCACGCCCAGCCGACAGTTTCTTATAAAGTTAAACACACACCTACCATATGACCTAGACATTCCACTCCCAAATATTTACCCACGGTAAATTAAAGCATATGTCAATACAAAGACTTGTGCACAATGTTCATAACAGCTTTATTTTAAATAGCCCCAAATTGGAAACAACCCAAATGCCCATCAGCAAGTTAGTGGATAAAAATAAAGTGTGGTGTATAATGGGATACTACTCAATAATAAAAAGGAATGAACTTGTGTTACATGTAACAACATGAATGAATTTCAAAATCATGATGCTGAATGAAAGAAGCCAGACAAAAATAAGGACATATTGTAGGATTCCAGTTACATAAAATTTTAGAAAATACAGACTAATCTGTAATGACAGAAGATAGATCAGTGGTTGCCTGGGGATGGATATATTCACTATATTGATTGTGGTGATGGTTTCACGGTAGGTATCTGTGCCAAAACTTATCAAATTATATGCTTTAAATACTTGCACTTTATTGAATGTCAATTATTCCTCGATAAAATTGCTTTAAAAAATAAAAAGATAGTCAACTCAACTAGGAGAAAAAAGGCAAAAAATTTAAACCGGAATTTTAGGCAATGCTATTCTCTGGAAGTCCAGAGAATGGTTACTTTGGGTGTGTGTATGGGCGAGGGGGTTGCTTCTAATAGGATGGTAATGTTGATATCTTGATCTGGGTACTGGTTACGTGGGTGTGTTCACTTTTGGAAAAATCAGCCAGTTGAACACTTACGATTTGTGCACATTTCTGTATGTTATACCTCAATAAAAAGCTGTTTATAATAAAAAGTCAATTATACTTACATCTGTGTTCATGGTGGAGAATTTTGCAAATGTTGTCAGCTCTATTTCAGGATAAATTCTCTGCCACTCCTATTCTGGGAGATGAATCCTCTCACTGTGCTTTTCCAGGTGGTAGAAAAATTTCCTCAGAAGTTTCTCAGAAAGCTGTTTATTATTTTTATAAGTGAAGGATGTGCCTATTTTAGCTTCAAAGAAATCAGCAACCTCTTCCAGACAGGAAATTGCTTTGGAAGTGCAATTAGATTGTTCAGAATGTTAATGCAGATAGATTCCAGTGGGATGGTGCCTTGGTGTGCTAGCCAATTTGCCTGTTCAGCCCGTGTGCATCCTCCCTCAGAACTACCTCCCTTCAGGAGCCCAGCAGGGTGGACTCTTTGGTCATGGTTTCACTCTCTGAGGCTGTTGTCTCTGGTGACAGCATCACTTGAACTATGAGAAAACAATTGATAAGAGCTGTGCCAAGTCAATCAGTGAACCTTGAATGTAACCATTGATCCCAGAATAAGAAACTCTGAACCTTGAAGAATTTGGAATTGAAACAGAGAGTCTAGTTTGTTAGTGATGGGCCCGGGAGCTGGGAGGTCCTGTGGCTGGCCAGTAAGGAGAAATGAGATGTCTGCTGAGAGGAAGAAATGAATGCTCATGAAGCACCAGAAGGATTGAGAAGCCATCCTGGTTTCAGCCCTGCCAGGGGACACATTGGAGTTTCTACCCTGAGTCCATGAGATTTCACATGTTAAATTAAAACTTCTCTTTTTATTTAATGTGACCTGAGTGAGTTATCTTCCTTTCATGCAAATGCTTCCTGTCTAAGACATGTGGCAAGCAATAAATCTAAGCAAAAATCTGGGTTATGATGGAGAAGGGAAGAGTCCTATCATAGAATCTTAGATTTGCAGTAAAACTTCTAAGTTATCCAAGCCATACTTCTCTCCATTTTAGGAATTCCCTCTGCTTGGCCACTTGCAGTCTTTTTTCCCTTCCTCTTTCCTTTGCTCTATTCTTCTGGCTTACTCCCCTTTTCTTTCTCCCTCCCTCCAACAAACATCCATTCAGTGTTTACTATTAGTCAGAATCTATTCCAGGTGATTAGCATTCAGCAAATCAGACAACAAATTCAATGGAGCTTACTATTCAGGTGAGAAAAAACAGGTAATAAGCAAGACATCAGAAAGTAATTTACATTAGTATGTTAGAAGGTGATAAGTCCGGTGGGAAAAAGAAAGTGAGTAGAGTAAGGGGCGTGGAGAGTAACAGTGGTGATTGGGGAGGGGGACTGCAATTTAAAATAGGGTGAACCTCACTGAGAACATGCCATTTGCAAAGACATAAGGAAGTGATGGAATTTAAGGAACAGAGAGGAATCAAAATGAGCTGGAGGGAAAGTTATGGGAGATGAGATAGGAGGCATAACAGAATCAAGTTCATATGAAGCCTTGTAGGCAAATGTAATTTGGCTCTTAACTTGAGTAAGCTGGAGAGCCTTGGCAGGGTTCTGAGTAGAGAGACTTACTCTGACTTATATTTTAACACAACTGACTTTTGAGAACAGATTTTAGTAGGGCAAGGATAGATACAGGGACAATGTGATTATTCCTGAGACAACCAGTACCATTGATTCACAATCTGTGTTCTTGTTAATTACATCCACTGTTCTAAACTCCATGTAGAACAGTTAAAAACTTAGTTTCTTTCATTAAAAAAAGGTTATCTCATTATAAAAGTAGCCAGATATGTTCTCAGTAATATAATTGGAAACCATGCAAAAAAAAAAAAAAGAGCCATTCATTATACCACTTCCAGAGAGAACCATATTTTCATTTTTACATAGCATTTCAATTTTTTTTTTACTATGCATGCATTTCCAAATTGTCATCCCCTTTCCCAATAATTCTTTAGCTATTTGATTGCAGATAATCATATTTTCTCCCTTAAGTATTTCATTCTATAGGTCAGGGTTTCTTATTCTGGGATCAATGAATACATTTCAAGGTTCTAGGGACCTGTTATAAAAGCATGGACAAAATTGTGTGTGTGTGTGTGTGTTTTGTGTAGAGGAAAAGATAAGTTTCTCCAACTTCTTTTTTTTTTTTTTTTTGAGACAGAGTCTTGCTCTGTAGCCCAGGCTGGAGGGCAGTGGCACGATCTGGGCTCACTGCAACCTCCACCTCCCTGGTTCAAGCAATTCTCCTGTCTCAGCTTCCCGAGTAGCTGGGACTCCATGTGCCCACACCATGCCTGGCTAATTTTTGTATTTTTAGTAGAGACGGGGCATCACTATATTGGCCAGGCTGGCCTCAAACTCCTGACCTTGTGATCCACCTGCCTCAGCCTCCCAAAGTGCTGGAATTACAGGTGTGAGCCACTGCACCTGGCCTTTTTTTTTTTTTTTTTTTTTTTTGACATGGAGTCTTGCTCTGTTGCCCAGGCTGGAGTGCAGTGGTGCAACCTCAGCTCACTGCAACCTCTGCCTCCCAGGTTCAAGTGATTCTCCTTCTTCAGCCTCCCCAGCAGCTGGGATTACAGGCACCCGCCACCACGCCCAGCTAATTTTTGTATTTTTAGTAGAGATAGGGTTTTGAC
The DNA here is from genome assembly GCF_000001405.40 of Homo sapiens. NCBI lineage: Eukaryota > Metazoa > Chordata > Mammalia > Primates > Hominidae > Homo > Homo sapiens. Next base: position 143,318,066 of record NC_000004.12, on the reverse strand, counting down.
ATGTTGGCCAGGCTGGTCTTGAACTCCTGAGCTTAGGTGACGCCCCCCACCTCAGCCTCCCAAAGTCCTGGGATTACAGTCGTGAGCCACCACGCCCAGCCAAGTTTCTCCAACTTCTTAAAGGGGCCTGTGACATCAAAGAAAATTAAGAAACTTATATAAAAAGTTTTGGGGTATTTACCTGCCATGGAATGATTGTATTAATCATCCCCATCTCAATCCACAGGAGTGGGTTTCCAGCAGTCATATTTACCTAAGGTACTCCACCCACTTGGCCACTGTTGATAGGGGAAGGCACTTGACCCATACTCTCCCAGAAAAATCCCTTCTATTGGGAATTTGGAACCAGGATTGAGTGAAAGCCAGTTCTGACAAGCGGAGTAGGGTCTGGAGAAAGCTGTCTCATACAAACAAAGAAGAATGAAACAGAAGGGAGAAACCAAGAGCCAATATTGCCAGCCTTTCCAGTGACATTCCATTTCCTGGCTGTCGCCTTTACTAAAGCTCAGCAATATTCCTAACCTTGGATTGTACAAGACATTCCTGTTTCCAGGGGTGATAGTCAAAATATTTAAAGGCAGCACTCTATGGGAACCAAAGAACCGGAGCAGATGCCAGAGATAAACAACTAGCACAGCAATACCTGTGCATCTCATCTGAATGGCAGCTCTTTCTATATCATTAGGATCCACATCCCACTTTGCCTAAACCAACTGAACTATTTATTGAACCAAAAGAGTTTTAATTTTGATATAGAGTCATTGCTCTGGCTAAACAGTTATCCCAACAATTCCCTGTACAATGGAAAGCCCAGACCTCTCCTTCCCCTGTGTTGTCTGTGGTTGTTAATGACCCTTTTGTAGAATGGAGGTCACAATGGAATAGTCAGCTGCTGCCTGACCAGTTGAAGGTGAGTATATTGAGATTATTGCCTTACGTGATTTGGACACAATCCTATTAATGCAGCCTACAGGAGGATTAGCTTTTAGAGCAACTAAGTCACTTTATACTGAACTCATGATCAACAAAAACACCCAGGGCTCTTCACATAAAATAGTGAAGCCATTTTTTCCATCATCTATATTTATGAGATGGTATTTGGAACCCAGACTCAGGGCTGTTAAATTTCATTCTGTTGCTCTTGAGCCAGCCTTTTAAGCTCTCAAAAGCCTTTAAAAGTCTCCATCATATTAGCCATCTCTTTTAGTTTGTTTCATCCACATATTTGAAAATTTTGCTCTATTGCACCCTCACGTGTTTAGGCTTATTTGAAACCCAGTCTGGGGTTATACTCACTCAGTGACCAGGGTCCTAGTTGGATATCAGATCTTGCCCAATATCTGGAAGGCTGTATTGTGGTGAGGCAGCTGAACTGGCAACAGGTATTCTTATGAAAGGCTGTTTATAAATCTGTTTATGTTTTCTTGGGGTTCCTTTTAAAAAATGTACTAAGGTCATTTAAACTGAAATAGGTTTTAGGAGGTATCAGAAATCTGTAGCCAGGAGCAAAGCTAAATTGAAAACCAAGTGGAATAATTGAGATTGGGGTAATTGATGATATAAATTTCAGTGACCCAGGAGGTAAGAATGGGGAACCCAGTTATACAGATAGAGGGCTTAACCCAGAACTGCTCTTGTCTACTTGAGCAGGTGACCTCCACTGCCTCTGACCCCACTGACCAGGCCATGATGGCATAGCCCTCTTTTGGAGCATGGTGTGGACCCTTCTTAGCCTTCCTCCAGGTTGTTTAATACAAATGCCAATCAGAATAGTGTCAAAGACAAAGACACCGAAGATCTGGATATTGGTGGACCTATAAATCTACAAAGAGCTGAGGTCAGGAAGCATGAGAGAAAATGAGATGACAATTCTAAATAGGAATGAGAATCCAAGGTGCAGAATGATAATCCAGAAGTGCCTGCAGACGACCCAGCAATATTTTGTTGCAATGTGGACATTTGCGAGTGGCAGCTCTTTCATACCAGGTTTCCAAAATCCTCCTGCTTTAAAAAGGATAATTTCCTAAACCCAGTGTCTAACTGTCTTCACTGCAAAAGTTATTTTGCACAAATTATAGCTAATGGCCAGGTGAGGTGGCTCACGTCTATAATCCCAGCACTTTGAGAGGCCGAGACAGGTGGATCACCTGAGCTCAGGAGTTTGAGACCAGCCTGGGCAACATGGCAAAACCCTGTCTCTACTAAAAATACAAAAAAATTAGCCGGGTGTTGGGGCAGAAGCCTGTAATTCCAGCTATTTTGGAGGCTGAGGCATGAGAATCGCTTGAACCTGGGAGGTGGAGGTTTCAATGAACTGAGATTGTGCCACTGCACTCCAGCCTGGGCAAAGAGTGAGACCCTGTCTAAAAAGATAACAAAACAAAAAAACTATTTTAATTTATTTATATTTTCTCAGGATTTCTTTTTAAAAATTTGCTAAGGTCATTTAAACTTAAGCAATAACATATTCCACCAAATAGCATTCTTTTTTTGCTTTTCTTTTATTCCTGCACTTAGATACCTAAATAAAAATGTCCAGGCATGGTTGCTCATGCCTGTAATCCCAGCATTTTGGGAAGCTGAGGCAGGCAGATCCCTTGAGCCCAGGAGTTCAAGACCAGCATGGGTGACATAGTGAAACCCCGTCTCTACTAAAAATACAAAAATTAGCTAGGCATGGTGGTGCATGCCTATAGTCCTAGCTACTTGGAAGGGTGAGGTGGGAGGATGACTTGAACCCAGGAGGTGGAGGTTGCAGTGAGCCAAGATTGTACCACTGCACTCCAGCCTGGGCAACAGAGCAAGACCCTGTCTCAAGTAAATAAATAAATAAAATATCTAGTAAGTTGATGGAAACACCTACAATACTAACAGTATACAAAGACAAAGGAGATTCAGTGAAGAGACTTGGTCCATCTCCTTTTGGTGCCTGGGAGAAAAGTAGGAACTCCTTTTGGAGACTCCAGATCAAGATCAGGAATTTCCTTCTGGACAACTGGAGAACACGATTTATTCAGTTATTCATTTACTTTCTTTTTTTTTTTTTTTTTTTTTTTTTGAGATGGAGTCTCGCTCTGTCGCCCAGGCTGGAGTGCAGTGGCGCAATCTCAGCTCACTGCAAGCTCCGCCTCCCGGGTTCAAGCAATTCTCCTGTCTCAGCCTCCCAAGTAGCTGGGACTACAGGCGCCCGCCACCACGCCTGGCTAATTTTTTTGTATTTTTAGTAGAGACACGGTTTCACAGTGTTAGCCAGGATGGTCTCGATCTCCTGACCTCATTACCCGCCCGCCTCGGCCTTCCAAAGTGCTGGGATTACAGGTGTGAGCCACCGAGCCCGGCCTCATTTACTTTCTTGTAAAAGACACCACCCTAGGCACTATGTGAGAAGACACCACAAGGAAATTTTACAAAATCTTGTCCATCAAGAAGCTTATAGTCTAGTAGGGTTAACCTCCATGTTATCCAAATTCTAGGGAATGTAAATAGTGCCAAGATATTGGAAAAGGGCCCATCTGTTCCTTGACTGATTTGTCCATGAGGCATCCACTGCTCCAATTGTTTTTGCATATAGATTGCCACTAAGATGTCCTTCATTCCTGAAGGCTCTGCATGGCCCCTTCAGGCCCTACAAACCTCTGGAACACTCCTGTGCTATATCTGGAAGGCCCAGGAATTATTCTGCTTCCTTCTTGCCAAACTGAGGTTAAGAGTATTTGTAATGTTCATATCCTTATCTGCTCAGACACATATTGCAGACAAGTTCTCTGGGACCTGACTGTCTCCCTGGAGCTCTATCCAGTTAGCATCATACAGACACCTGTTGCTTTCCATCCCCACACCTCTCAGAGGTCCTGGCCCCTCCCTAGAGATCTGCCCCAAAACAGGTTGAGAAACTGTCAGTGGAATGCATTGGTTTCTCTTGGCTCCATATCTTTCCTTCCTTACTCCTCTCTTCTCCACCCAGTCTGGGGGAAACTTCTGTTAGTCTCTTCCTCCCTTTGATCTAATTTTAAAAATTGCTCTGGCAATTCTGGCTTTTGGGACACAAAACACAGATTTTTTTTTTTCTTGCTTCCTTCTCCGTGGCCAGAGCTTGGCCCTGACCATGTTGCAGGGAAAGGAAAGAAGCAAGAAAATCTAAGGAGAAAACAGTAGCTAATTATTATACAATAATGTTCTCCACAACTGTGAAACAAGACCACCATGAACGCTAGGTGTGATATCACTGGTATAGACTTCTAGTGGTTTACAAAGTATTCAGAGAAGGGAGAAATTAGTGTTTATTGTAGGGGTAGGGCAGGTTCCTTGGAGGAGGTTGAATCTGAGCTAGGCTTTGATGGGTGGTTCTGTTTTGGGCAGATAAGAGGCCAGTGTCTTACATTCCAGACAGAGAAAATAAAATCCCTAAGGCCCAGATGCAAAAAGATGAGACTAGGGATCATTGATTAGGAAGGCTGGGAAGATTCTGAAGAGCCTTGAAGCCAGATAAGGAGATTGGGCTTAATATATGAAACTGTATATGTATATATACTTTTTTGTTTTGTTTTGTTTTGAGACAGAGTCTCGCTCTGTCACCCAGGCTGGAGTGCAGTAGCATGATCTCGGCTCACTGCAACCCCTACCTACCAGGTTCAAGTGATTCTCCTGCCTCAGCCTCCTGAGTAGCTGGGATTATGGGCATAGATCTCTTATTTACTTTGAAGTCCCACTTACAACTAAAAAGAACCCTGCATACCCTAGGCCCTTAAGAAATATTTGTAAGAATTTGTGAATTATTTGAATTAATTTGACCATATAAGTAATTATTTATTTATTTATATTACCCTAACCTGTATTTAAAAATATTGTTTCGGCAGGGCCCGGTGGCTCACACCTGTAATCCCAACACTTTGGGAGGCTGAGGTGGGTGGATCACCTGAGGTCAGGAGTTTGAGACCAGCCTTGCCAACATGGCGAAACCCCGTCTCTACTAAAAATACAAAAATTAGCCGGGCGTGGAGGTGTGTGCCTGTAATCCCAGCTAATAGTGGGGCTGAGGCAGGAGGATTGCTTAAACCTGGGAGGCAGAGGTTGCAGGGAGCCAAGATCGTGCCACTGCACTCCATCCTGGGCAACAGAGCAAGACTCTCTCTCTCTCTATTTCACAGCTGGACATGGTGGCTCACGCCTGAAATGCCAGCACTTTGGGAAGCCAAGGCAGGTGGATTACCTGAGGTCAGGCCAACATGGCAAAACCCCATCTCTACTAAAAATACAGAAATTAGCTGGGTGTGGTGGCACTTGCCTGTAATCCCAGGTACTCAGGAGGCTGAGGCAGGAGAATCACTTGCACCTGTGAGGTGGAGGGTGCAGTGAGCCAAGATCACGCCACTGCACTCCAGCCTGGGTGACAGAGCGAGACTCCATCTCAAAAACAAAAACAGAAAAACCCCAACACATTTCATTTCCAGGGATGAATGTGATGACAGGAGATGTGCAAGGGCATCTGTGGGAATCTATAGCCAGGAGATGTAATCTGACCTCCAGGTCATGGTTGAGGGAAGATTTTCAACTGAGACCTGAAGAATAAGTTGGAGTTGGCCAGATAAAGGAGTGTAGGAAGAGTGGGCCAAGTGGGGTGATTGGTATACAGGAAGATGGGCAGGAGAGATGGAGCAGAACATTGGAAAATGTGAAAAGATTCCTATGTGATGCACGTGGCATATCAAGGGTTTTAGGCCAGAGAAAGGCTCTGGGCCAATTTAGGGACTCTGGACCTTGTCTTAAAGGTTTGCATAGTGAGGTGATTTACATATTTAAGATCATCCTTGATATAATATGGGGGATAGATTAGAGGAGGGGAAAGACTGGAAGCAGGTGAATCCAATTTGTTTGCTGCTACAGAAGGACTATAGTGACAGAAGCCAGGTGACAGGCAGTGAGTATGTAGAGATGGGCCGAAATACAGTATGTGTGTGGTGGGGTGGGGAGAGGCTGGGCGGTGTGTCTGAAAGTTTCTGATACGGGTAATTGGATGGAAGATAAGATAATACCATTTACTGAAACAGGGAATATTTTTTAAACATGCTAGATTAAACTAAATTAAACCAAATTATTTGCTGAAGGATTTTTGTGCACTGAGAGTATCAAGGAAGGGAGTATAACATGCTGTATTTTCTAAAGGCAATTGACCATTAAACCTTTTTTTGTTTTCTCTAGAGAATGAACAGTGTGACACAAAGCACCACCATCATGTCATGATTGTCATTATCAACAGATACTAAAATCATGCCTGAGGCAATAGTTCTATAAGAAAATAGAAGCAAGGATGCTGAGCAAAACTGCTGGAGAAAGAATTTCTGTGTCTTGGCCAAGTCAGGTGGCTTTATTGGATCTCAGTTTATCCACCTCCCAATGGGTCAGGCTCATTTTTGCTTTGCCCAGAACCCAAGGGAAGGGCATGGAAGCTGGTCCATGGTTACAGTGAAGAGCTGAGGCCACAGAAGGAGCTCGACTTCACCTTCAATCTCAGCTCTGCCTCTTCCTAGCTGAGTGTCCCTGAGCAAGTTATCTAACTTCTCTGATCCTCGGTTTATTAATCTATACCTTGAGGGTTAAGAATATCCACCTCACTGTTGTGAGGATAGCATGATATAAAGAATATAAAGCTGCAAACACCTTATTCCTTTAAAATAGACACTCTGTGTTATTTTCTTTTCCTCCTCCCTTCAGGAAGAAAGGGGCTGTTCAAAGCCCTTTGAGAGAGTGGTAGAGCCAGTTCAGACCCAGAATTCTGCGTCCAGGGTTTATTTGACAGTAACTGCCTTACAGGCATTAAAAAAGCATCAGCTCATAGTGGACAGTGATACTGAGACATGTTCAAATTCTACTCTCTAAAATTTGGAGAACTCTGTCAAATCAAGGCCTCTGTTTCCTGCCAATACCCTTTCTCCTCTGTCTCTAAAAATCATATTGTGTTTTCATACCAAGGAGATCTGACAGGTCTCCTAGATTCAGCTCTCTTCTGGGCTTTCTGGGTGACCCTTCCTTCTCTCAGGACCTCAGGATTCAGGTCCTTTAGAGCTCCAAGCCTTTGCAAACATTATGTTGGGGAAGGAAAACGGCTCTTGTTCCAGGGGCCAGAGCTGCCTATCAAAACCTATTCTTCCTGTCTTCCTCAGTAAGAGAACTTTTTTTTTTTTCTTCAGACAGGGTCTCAGGGTCTCCCTCTGTTGCCCGGGCTGGAGTGCAGTGGTGTGATCACGGCTCACTGCAGCTTTGACTTCCTGGGCTCGATTGACCCTCCCACCTCAGCACCCCCGAGTACCTGGGACTACAGGCACATGCCACCATGCCTGGCTAATTTTTGTATTTTTTTGGTAGAGACAGGGTCTCACTATGTTTCCCAGGCTCATCTTGAACTACTAGGCTCATGGGATCTGCTCACCTCGGCCTGCCAAAGCTTTGGGATTACAGGTGTGAGCCATTGCACCCTGCCAAGAGAACTCTTAAAAGACTGTATTTCCAGCCTACTTTGCAGCTAGGTGTGGTTGTGGTCATTTAACTGTGTTCTGGCTAATGACACGTAAACAGAAATTTTAGCTGAGACTCTGGGAAGGTTCATTGAAGGAAATAGAGCCTGTCTGTGATCTGTGATTCAGACATAATGGCTGGAGCTCCATCTTCCACTATGAAGTAACCTTAAGGAAGGAAGCCACATGAAAGGAAGCCTGAGCAAACAGTGGCAAGGCTCTGGGATCCTGATGATTGTGAGACGCCATACCTACCCTGGGCTGCCCACTGCTACTCTTATTTTTAAAGCCAGCCTGGCTATGTTGCCCAGGTTGGCCTCGAACTCCTGGGTTTAAGCAATCTTCTGCTTCCTGAGTAGTTGAAATTGCAGATGTATGCCACCATGGCCAGCTTACTCTTCTTTACAGAGAGAGAGAGGGAGAGAATATGTCATCTGTTTTGTTTAAACCACTGTCATTTCAAGTCTCTATTATCAGCAACCAAACACAATTCCTGATGCCAGCTAGCAGCCACACCCATGTTCCCACCTAGAGAGATGGTCTTTTCAAAGGAATAACAGATAAAACCTATAGAAGGATTAGGCAGAAACTGTGCTAAGCACTTGACATGCATTATTAGCTCATGTAATTGTTGTAACTTATAATAATAATGAGTTAAGCATTATTATCTTCATTTTACAGGATTAAAAAACAGAGATTATGGAACTTTCCTGAGGTTATATAGGCATTAAGTAGTAAAGCTGTGGTTAAAACTCAACTTCTACTGGACTATAGAACTCATGCTTTTAATCTCCATAACCAGGGTATGCTACCTGCCTGCAATTATCCTGATTTGATATTTATAGATCATCCAGATCATAACATCTTTCTCCTTGTCTGTGTACTTTATTTAGAGGAAAAAAATAAAAAAATAAAACTTTATCAAGTGATGATCTGGGTATTTTTATTTTTTATTTCTTTTCTTTTCTTTCTTTCTTTCTTTTTTTTTTTTTAGGCTAGTCAAGTGAAGCAGGGGGCATGGAGAAGGAACAAAGAAATCTGTACCTGGTGTGATCAATTAGTTGCAAACACCACTGCACTCAGACCAGATAATCTGAGTATTTCAATATGCTTGGCAATCATATTTTATATTGCAAATTAAGTAGGGCTCTTGGGTTTGTAAACTAAAAATAAAATTCTAAGCCTCTGAACCAACTGAATGAACCCCCCTCTAGGCCAAGGGCATTATAAAGTTAACCCAAAGAACTAGTTCAGGCCATGACGGGAATGGGGAGTCAGGCATGACTCATTATACCTTCCTCCCTGTAGAATTCAGGCACAACTGACCCACGTTAACGCTAAAACAGTCCGAGCAAGGTGGCTAACACCTGTGATCCTAGCACTTTGGGAGGCTGAGGCAGGAGGATAACCTGAGGACAGGAGTTCAAGACCAGCCTAGCCAAATAGCGAAACCCCCATCACTACTAAAGATACAAAAATAAGCTGGGCATGGTGGCGCGTGCCTGTAATCCCAGCTACTTGGGAGGCTGAGACAGGAGAATCGCTTGAACCCAGGAGGCAGAGGTTGCAGTGAGCCGAGATTGCGCCACTACACTCCAGCCTGGGCGACAGAGTGAGACTCTCTCAAACAAAAACAAAAACAAACACAAAACACTAAAACACGGACATTAAGATTGACAAAACAGACTCTTTGTAGCAATAAGATACCAACATGACCAATAGCAGGTCCTGAAATAAATGGAAGTATTTTAGCCCAAAATAAATTTATTTGACACATTTTGAAATAGCCCTGCAAAGCTGTCTCTTGTGGGGAAAATCTATATTCTGTAGAGCATCCCCTTCCCATTCTAGGTCTTTTCCCTGGTCCAGGAGGGAATTAACTAAGAGTCTGGCACCTTTTTAAGTCTGATAAGAAATTTACAATCTGTTCTCTTTGAAGCCTGGCTTTATCTACATACCAACCTTGGTCTCCATAACCCTTTATCTTTACCCAGACACTTTCTTCTGTTGATTCCAGGTCTTTAGCTAATAACTTAACTCTTTCAACCAATTACCAGTCAGAAAATCTTTGAATCCACTAGTGACCTGGAAGTCCTGCCCACCTTTGAGTTGTCCTGCCTTTCTGGACCAAAACAATGTACACCTTACATGTATTGGTTGATGTCTTATGTCTCCCTACAACGTATAAAACCAAGCTGCAGCACAACCACCTTGGGCATATGTCCTTAGGTCCTCTTGAGACTGTGCTTCAGTCCATAGTCATTCATATTTGGCTCCGAATAAATCTCTTCAAATTTTTACAAAATTTGACTCTTTCTGTCAACAGATTAGCCATTTGATTTCAAGATTATGCTTCTCTGATCATGAGGAGTGTTGACTGTACAGATAACTGAGGTCTAGCTCCTGGATCTGTTGCTGTCAAGTCAATGCACTGTGTCTCAGAAGTCCTGAGTTACAGAAAAGGCCCCATACTTTCTTCTCTTTCCACCTCTGAACTATAACACCTAGATCTTTTTGCTATTCTTTTGTATTGTCAGTGGACAAAGTAGTAGGTGCAAATCTAAGTAGCAACAGAAACCCCAGGATTAAACATCATGATAGAAAAGTGAAATGGAGAAGATGATTTTCACAGAACTCTGAGAGCTTTCAAAAAGGCAGACAGGCCTGGCCAGGGATCCAGCCCTCACCTCCCAGGAAGCTTCCTCTTGTGAGAGATGTCCCTGAGGTGGAGTGTGAGGGAGAGGCTGTGGGAAGACAGAAGGCTCCAGGGTGGAGGCTGTGCAGTCACTGCTCTTGGTAATTACTGAGTGAACTCAGGAAAGGTGTGGCATGAGCAGATTTGTTGGTGCCCCATGTGCAAGGGGTGGAGCTTTGAGCCCAGGCCAGTAGAGTATACTTGCATTCATTTCCCAGGGCTGCTGTAACAAAGTACAGAAGCCACATGGCCTAGGACAACCAAAATGCCTTTTCTCACAGTTCTGAAGGCTAGAAGTCCGAAATCAAGGCATTGGCAGGGCCATTCTTCCTCTGAAGACTCTAGGGAAGGATCTCTCTTAGTTTCTGGTAGCCTTAGGCATTAGGTTTATAGGTGGCTATCTTTTCCCTTTGTCTCTTCACTTCACCTTCCCTCTATGTGTACCTGTCTCTGTGTCCAAATTTTGTCTTTTCATAAGGACAGCAGTCATACTGGATTAGAGCTCACCTTAATGACCTCATCTTAACTTGACTGCCTCCAAATAAGGTCACATTCTCAGGTGATGGGGGTTAGAACTTCAACACATCTTTCTTCAGGCACACAATTAAATCCATAACAGGATGAAACCCAGTTTACAGAAGCGTATGTAGGAGCAAAGGTAGAGGAAACCATGAAGTTAAAAGGTCAGGAATTCTTGGAAGCGTGTTTGGGGCATTGGACTCACACAAGCTGCTACTCTAGAAGTTCAGGCCAAGTTTACCTAAATCTCCAAGGGTCAGGGAGACTTTCATATGAAATCTGGACTGCAGAAGAACAGGAAGAGGCAAGGACACTGCCCCCGGAAGGGAACACCCTCTTTGATGGAGCTGTGAGAATCCTCCACTGTGAGGTGGATTCACTGTCCACAGGAAGGCCTTCTCACAATGCAATTTCCAAGTATTTTTAATACGGATATTAAGGTGCCTTTCCAGCTGCCACCAGGAAACACTAACCTAAAATATAATCTTGCATCATGTTACAACAACACTAAAGAGTGAGGAGGGGAGATGTAGATGATATTTTTTACTTACACAAATAGAAGAAAATCTTGAAAAACGACAGTCAGAATACGATTTTTTATTTTTTTATGAGATGGAGTTTCCCTCTTGTTGCCCAGGCTAGAGTACAATGGCGTGATCTCCGCTCAGTACAACCTCCGCCTCCTGGGTTCAAGTGATTCTCCTGCCTCAGCCTCCTGAGTAGCTGGGATTAAAGGTGCATGTCACCATGCCCGGCTAATTTTTGTGTTTTTAGTGGAAACGGGTTTCATCGTGTTGGCCAGGCTGGTCTCGAACTCCTGACCTCAGGTGATCCACACACCTTGGTCTCCCAAAGTGCTGGGATTATAGGTGTGAGCCACCATGCCCAGTGTGGTTTTTCTTTAGTGCTATCAAAGGTAGGGAGTGATGATTCTAGATCAAGAGTCTCAATTACCCCCATATTGAAATAGTTAGGTTCATGCAGCACCCTAGTGTTCATTTTCTTCCTCTACTGATCCCAGTGATTTTCAGATGTGCTGCTGATCTCACCGCACATGGCTTAGTTCCCCTCACTTGCCAAAATAATTGACTTGAGGCAGGATCATTTCAGCCACTTTAGGCTCCTCTCAAACCAGTGAAACATTGTTATTTAACTCTCTTGCAGGTTTACTCCAATGCAATATACAAAGTATGGCTCTGTGCTACAAATCTGTGTTGAACACTAAGTTTCCTTGATTTGTAGTGTGCTCATCTTTGGTGCTCTCACCCTAATTATGGGGTTCCTGCCTTCAGTGTTTGAATTACACACAGATGAAGACACATACACACACACACACTCAGACACACTCACACTCACACACTCACCCTTGCCCATCGCCTTGTTTAGATGCTTATTTGGAAGAACCATGCATCTACCTTGGCTTTCATTGTGATATCTCATCCAAGTCACCTGTTTAATCCTCTAATCCTGCTGTGAACTCTGAATTACAGCCCTGCCCTTGTGATTTCCTTTTTCCTAGTGGCCATGGCCCTATAACTTTGCAGATGCCTATGACCTTGTGCATAGATTTTAGGGTACATTTGTTTTTTTTATCACTTGCTTTGGTGGTTGGGACCAGTATAGGGATCAGCAAGTTTTTCCAGGTTGGGCTCAACTGCAAACATTTAGGTTTTGCAAGCCATATGGTCTCTGTTGCAATTAATCAATTCTGCTGTTAGCACACAAGCAACCATAGACAATGCATAAACCAAAAAGCATCACTGTGTTCCAATAAATCTTTATTTATAAAAATAGGCAATAGGCTGGATTTGGCCCAAAGTCTATAATTTGCTGACCCCTGGTCTAGTCTATAACTTATCTCTTTATTGCCTCATTGTTTTTTTTTTTTTTTTTTTTTTGAGAAAGAGTCTCACTCTGTTGCCCAGGCTGGAGTGCAGTGGTGTGATCTTGGCTTACTGCAGCCTCTGCCTTCTGGGTTCAAGCAATTCTCCTGCCTCAACCTACCAAGTAGCTGGGACTACGCGCATGTGCCACCAAGCCCAGCTAATTTTTGTATTTTTAGTAGAGATGGTGTTTCATCATGTTGGCCAGGCTGGTCTCAGACTCCTGGCCTCAAGTGATCTGCCTGTCTCTACCTCCCAAAGTGCTGGGATTACAGGTATGAGCCACTGCGTCCAGCCTATTGCCTCATTTTCTATTTTCTTTTTCTTTCTTTTTTGAGACGGAGTTTCGCTCTTGTTGCCCAAGCTGGAGTGCAATGTTGTGATCTCGGCTCACTGCAACCTCCACCTCCCGGGTTCAAGTGATTCTCCTGCCTCAGCCTCCCAAGTAGCTGGGACTATAGGCGCCCACCACCATGCCTGGCTAATTGTTGTATTTTTGGTAGAAACGGGGTTTCACCATGTTAGCCATGCTGGTCTCGAACTCCTGACCTCAGGTGGTCCACCCGCCTCGCTCTCCCAAAGTGCTGGGATTACAGGCATGAGCCACCTCACCTGGTCGCATTTTCTATTTTCTTACTCCCACCTCCTCCAGCTTCATTCCTTTCCCTTAGATTGCTGAGAGTAAAGTATCATGACTTCCATGTAAAATCCCAAGATAAGATACAAATCACCACTGGATAAACCAATAAAAATGAGTCTGTGTACCTGAGTAACAAGTCTGCTTTGGTGCCCATGAGGGCTTCTTAGAAGAGGCAGCACACAGATTTTGGTCCCAGATGGCTAATACTTTAATCAGATTCTATTTCGGTAATTTATGCTATTTCCTTCCTAAGAATTAGAACCTCGCCTTGGTTTTTTGATACACTCTGGTGTTAGTCTCCATTTGTTGCTTTATCCAGTACTGTTTTGTCCTCATTCCTTGCATAAGAACTCTGGATTTTGTTCAGCTATAACAACAGTGTGTGCAGGGAAGACATATCTCTCCCAAGTTTAGGGAATGCATTTTTGTCTGGAATTTGTATTGGATATGTCTGGGACCCAGTTCTAGGCAATAGTATCTGAGGGAAGTCTCCCTGGGGCTTCTAGGAATGAATTTTTCTCCACAATAGGGAAGAGAAACACAACATGAAACCCCAGCACCTTTCTCCTGGCTGTTGATTATCACTGAATGAAAACAATATTCTTGTATCTGCTGTACCCATCGCCATCTTGGGACCATGAGCGGGGACATGATCAACACTTTAACATTGGCAGAAGAAAATAATGAAAAGAATTTGTTTAGTAATAGGGTGTTTCCCCATCCTCTCTTAGTTATAGAGTATATATACCCTATATTAACATTTTAAATGCTAATGATAACCTGAGCCTTCAGCAAGTCTTAATTTTTTTTTTTTTTTTTTTTTTTTTTTTTTTGAGACAGGGTTTCACTCTGTGCTCAGGCGGGAATCCAGTGGTGCGATCTCGGCTCACTGCACCTCAACCTCCTCCTGGGCTCAGGTGATCCTCCCACCTCAGTCTCCCAAGTAGCTGGGATTATATGCGTGCACCACCACACCTCGCTAATTTTTTGTATTTTTTTTATAGAGTCAGGGTTTTGCCATGTTGCCTAGGGTAGTCTCTAACTCTGGGACTCAAGTGATCCTCCTGCCTTGCCCTCCCAAAGTGCTGGGATTACAGGCATGAGCCGCTGCCCCAGCCCTAACTTTTAAGAATTGGAAAGATTCTATTTTATTTTAACATTTTTAGAGATGGGGTTTTGCTCTGTTGCCCAGGCTGGAGTGCAGTGGTACAATCATAGCTCACTGTAACCTCAGACTCTTGGGCTCAAGCAATCCTCCTGCCTCAGCCTCTTGAATAGCTGGGACTACAGGCATGAGCCACTGTTCCTGGCCTTAAGAAATGAAAGATTTCAAATTCTGAAACACATCTTGCCCCAAGGGCTGTAAATAATGGATCCTGGACCTGTACTACAATTTGTATCCTGTGTTGTGTAATAAAATCTTATTTTTAGGGGACTAGTACCCCATGCTCCAGGAAAAGCATATTTTCCAAAGGAGAAGATTTCCTCTATCCAGCACCTCCCTGGAGTCTCTGCCTCACTGAGGTCTAGTCTACAAAAAAAAAAAAAAAAAAAAAGAAAAAAGAAAAGAAATTACTGGCTTCTTCCCATGAGAATTTAGTGGTAGCTTCTCTCTCAGTACACATTTGTTTTTATGAAGAATATCCCATACAAAGGTACAACTAACCTAAAGTCTCCTTCCTTCTTCAAGATACTGGATTGGAATATGGTGAAGCCATGTGGAGACACGGAGATCAGTGCGCCTCTGCTGCGACCCTATGTGCAAATGCTCACCAGAATATGCCATGACATTGTGCAATTTATCATTTCTCACCAAAGCTGCTCATTTCATCAAATTTCCCCCATTTGATAATAAAAAACACTGTATCTGCTTGGCCGATAAAAGCTGCTTTAATAAGGCCCATCTACTTTGGGTGGCCCACATGAACCTCTAAGGACAGTAAATTACATCTTGGAAATGCAGGCTTTTTGGAAATGTGTCTGCATCAGGACTCTGGGGGATTTAAATGCAGAGGGATTTGCAAGGTTTGCATTTTTCATTCATTAGGGCAGTGTTGCTGCCAAACTTCTCTTCCTGTTGGTCATACAGGGGGGTGGGCTCAACACAGCGGGCTGGTTGTAAATTACCCTGTGGCTTGGAGCAGCCCAAATGTAATACCAAGGGAATCATAGATTTTGGCACAAGTTTTGTGAACAATTTCTGAGAAATCCAAATGTATTGAAAAATCACATGTTTACAGAGGAATGAAACACTGAGCTTATCTTAAGTTCAGCAGGGCCAAGAATTAAGTTTGTCCTTTACCTAGAACAGTGTGAGAACCCCAGAATTAGATGACTGTGAGTACTCTACTTTTGTAGCATTCCATAGAAAAATTACTATAATTCAATGATTCTTTAGTCTTGATCTGTGATTCTTCATCTTTTCTTTTTCCTTCTTCTATTTTTTTTTAATCCTTTTGAGATTCTGAAGAAAGCTCTGGACATTCTGAAATTGCCCACAAGTACACACACAATTGTGTACACAATTTCTGGAGGTTGGCGGGTCCTTCAAGGCTTGTCCATAATTCTCAAGTTAAGAATCCCTGCTCTTTATACCAGAAGCTCCTTTTTTTTTTTTTTTTTTTTTTTTTTGAGATGGAGTTTCGCTCTCGTCGCCCAGGCTGGAGTGCAATGGCATGATCTTGGCTCACTGTAACCTCTGCCTCCTGGATTCAAGCGATTCTCCTGCCTCAGCCTCCCGAGTGGCTGGGATTACAGGCATGCACCACCACGCCCAGCTAATTTTTGTATTTTTAGTAGAGATAGGGTTTCACCATGTTGGCCAGACTGGTCTTGAACTCCTGATCCCAGGGGATCCTCCTGCCTTGGCCTCCCAAAGTGCTGGGATTACAGCCATGAGCCACCAAACCTGGCCAGAAGCTCTCAATGGCAACAATTATGTCTAATCTCTGTGTCTAATTATGTCCAATTGGCACAGCATTTCTCCTGTTTGTGCCTAATACCCCATTACATACTCAGACATTCTAGTTAGTGTTTCACATGAACTTACAATAATAAAGTTATTCTCTATTTTTATAGTGTTCTTAAAAAAATTTGAGGTGTTTGTTTGGTTACAAATGCAAGTCTGTACTTAAAATAAGTTCTGCAATGTATCATTCCCTTGATGCAGGAAAAAAATATTTTTTAAAGTTTTTGGCTGGGTGTGGTGGCTCATATCTGTAATCCCAGCACTTTGGGAGGCCGAGGCAAGGTGATCACTTGAACCCAGGAGTTCAAAACAAGCCTGAACAACAAAGTGAGACCCCCCGCACCGCCCCGTACAAAAAAATAGAAAAAAAAATTAGCTGGGCATGGTCATGCGTGCCTGTGATCCCAGCTACTAGGGAGACTGAGCTGGGAGGATTGTTTAAGCAGGGAGGTCGAGGCTATGGTGAGCTGTGATCCCACCACTTCTCTCCAGCCTGGGCAACAGAGCAAGAACCTGTCTCCAAAAAAGAAAAACAAATTTTCTCCTCTTTATCTCCAGAATTGCCCTGAACCAAGTGTATGCTTGGTGTCACTGCTGGGAATTGCCCGCTCTGTGTCTAACTTCTACTTCATGTGAATTTTTAAAGGTCCTCATCTTTACTTCTTCCCAGAACTGTGGGGTAAAACGTTCCTGCAGTCATTGCACTGAGCAATTCCAGGGAGCACCATTAACACATATGACTATGTGGACCTGAGCCTTCACCCAATATGGGTAATATCTGCCATTGTTGAATACTTACTGTGCTAAGGACATGTAGAAACATGTATTATCTTCCCAGTACCTGGCAAGTTACCTGTTGTCTCCTTATCTCCTTTATTTACTTGAGGAAATGAAGGCCAAGAAACCCAAAGTGATATGCTTGCAGACATAAAACTGTATGTTACAAAGTCACAATTTGAACCCAGACTTTTCTGACTTTAGAACCCTGAACTTATCTACTATACTAACACTCTTCACCCTGGATCTGCAGTTTTGTAAAACAAAGTCAGATTAGAGAAATGGGCAAAGAAGAGATCTATTATTCTTTCTTCTGTGCCAAGGAAAATCTCCCAGGAGATGTGTCTGAGGAGCTTCAGGAAACTGACCTGCATGCATATGAACCAGTGTCCCCACTGAAGTGCGGAGACGCACCTGGGTGCACAGCTTTTTTTTTCTTTGTTATGAACTGTTATATTTTATTTTATTTTTATTATACTTTAAGTTCTAGGGTACATGTGCACAACATGCAGGTTCGATACATAGGTATACATGTGCCATGTTGGTTTGCTGCACCCATCAACTCATCATTTACATTAGGTATTTCTCCTAATGCTATCCCTCCCCCAGCCCCCCCACCCCCTGACAGGCCCCAGTGTGTGATGTTCCCCACCCTGTGTCCAAGTGTTCTCATTGTTCAATTCCCACCTATGAGTGAGAACATGCGGTGTTTGGTTTTCTGTCCTTGTGATAGTTTGCTGAGAATGATGGTTTCCAGCTTCATCCATGTCCCTGCAAAGGACCTGAAATCGTCCTTTTTTATGGCTGCATAGTATTCCATGGTGTATATGTGCCACATTTTCTTAATCCAGTCTATCATTGATGGACATTTGGGTTGGTTCCAAGTCTTTGCTATTGTGAATAGTGCCGCAGTCAATGTACGTGTGCATGTGTCTTTATAGTAGCATGATTTATACTCCTTTGGGTATATATACCTAGTAATGGGATTGCTGGGTCAAATGGTAATTCTAGTTCTAGATCCTTGAGGGATCGCCACACTGTCTTCCACAATGGTTGAACCAATTTACACTCCCACTAACAAGGGTGCACAGCTTTTATCATTAGAGAAGGGTTGAAGATAAACTGGTGAGGGGTACATAGCATGGCCTCAGGAAAAACTGTGTAGCAAGTGGGAATTTTCGTGGGTCCCTCTAGTTTCTCTTTCATCCTTCTTACACCTGAGTAGCCCTACTCTTTTCAAAGGTGAAAGTAGGCAGATATGAGAAGTTCGGGTGTTTTTTCACCAACCTGTAAGAAAGTGGCAGCAGCTTGCTATTCTGGCTTTCATTGACAGGTAACAAAGGGTGGAACATGTGGAAAAGGATATTGAAGTTTAGAAGTTCAGAAGCTGATTCAGGGTGACATGGAGGTGGGGATACAGGAGTGGCACGTGCAAACTAGCTGAAAGGAATCACTTTCTCTTTTTTCAGGTCTGATTCATCCGGGAGGTGTCCCTGGGGACTCCTTGTTGGAGACATATTCCTTCTCTCAGGCTGAAGTATCATCTAGGTCTCCCAACTATGCTCCTTGAGCATCTCTAACTGGCCTGTTCCCTAGGATAAGCAAGAGGTCACAGGCAATGACTCAATCTAGACTAGTCAGTGAAGAAGCTGAAGAAGAAACAGGTTCTATTCAGTTTTATACTTCCTAAGTCAACCTTAGATAATAAGAATATACTACTGAGATTGCCCTGGAATTTACAATCTAACAAAGGGATAGTACAAGAGAGTTACCTGGCAGAGCCAAGGTGGGCAGGGCACACAGGACAGTAGGAAAGGAAGAGGAGGGGGATGTCTTAGAACACGCTTATTGGCAATGTCCAGGCCAGAACCACGGGCACCCAGGGCAAGCCTTTCCCTTTTTTTTTTTTTTTTAAATTCCCCAGGCTGGAGTGCAATAGCGCCATCTTGGCTCACCACAACCTCCGCCTCGCGGGTTCAAGTGATTCTCCTGCCTCAGCCCCCCGAGTAGCTGGGATTACAGGCATGTGCTACCACGCCCAACTAATTTTGTCATGAGCCACCACACCTGGCCTGCCTTTCTTTAACCTCACAGCACACCTGGAGAGGCACCAAAGTCTCCTGAAAACTGCCATGCCTTTGTGCAAACTGCTCAATGGACGGTTCTCATCAGCAGTTCAGGCCATCTGGGAGCACTGTCTCTCTCTGCCCAGAAGACTGGGATCATGTCCTCTGATGGGCAGTAGTGGCACAGAAAGAAAAAAGCCTAAGCAGCTTTTTTCTTGGGTGAGGTTGGCTGGTGGGAAAAATACCCTTGCTGTAGAACAAATTATTAAGTGACTTAGTAAAATGAAAATGCTTCTAGAGTAATTCAGGCAAAATTTAAAAATTTAGCATGGGCTGAGCGTGGTGGCTCATGCCTGTAAGCCCAGCATTTTGGGAAGCCGAGGTGGGTGGATCACCTGAGGTCAGGAGTTTGAGACCAGCCTGGCCAATATGGTGAAACCCCGTCTCTACTAAAAATACAAAAATTAGCCAGGTGTGGTGGAGCATGCCTGTAATCCCAGCTAATCCGGAGGCTGGGGCCGGAGAATCGCTTGAACCTGGGAGGCGGAGGTTGCAGTGAGCCGAGATCATGCCACTACACTCCAGCCTGGGCAACAGAGTGAGACTGAATCTCAAACAAAACAAAACAAAACAAAACAAAACAAAACAAAAACAAACAAACAAAAAAACCCCTTAGCATGGAGAACCTTCCAGATTGCTACCTAAACCTGCTTTTTGATTGAGGCTTAAAAAATATGCTGTTCTATACCATTGCCCAGAGGAGACTACGAAGCCACAGGACACTAGACCCTATTGTTGATGGTCTCTCCAGATGTTAAAAACGTCATAAACTTTAATTTTTTTTTGCACTAGATATAAAGCCTTAATATAGAAAGTGACCTACAAAGCCACTAAGCAAGTCAGCATGGGAGATGAACAAACAAGCCTGCTTGGCCGGGCTTCTGATCTCCTATTACTTCTTTTTCATCATGATGGGCCATAGCCTGTGCCCACTCTTATCCCTCTAGATGAGTATTGTCATCTCCTGGTAGGATCACAGCTAACTGACAGCAAAGTGTGAGAACATGAAACTTAACCTCATATTCAAAGAAAGGCAGGGGAGGAGTCCAGGCAGATGGGAAGTTAAAAAAACTGAAGAAGGAAATAGTCTAGAATTATTTATTTTCATTGTCTGTCTGAAATTTTCATCTTATTTCCATTGGAAAACACATTTACTGAACACCTCCTCTGCTCTAGACACTGTAGCAACCCTTTCTAAAAGTACAAGCATAAACAAGCCCTGCTTCCTTTTCTGGTAGAAGTTCTAGTAGGGGGAATCTGTTATAGAACACAAATAACTATCACACAAGGCCCATTCAGTAACACAAAGGTAATACCTGAGAGGTTCCGACAGGGAGAAATGTGCCACCCTTGGGAAGAAACAAGAAAGGGACCTTGAAAAAAGGAGCATTTCAAATGGGCCTTGAGAAATGAATAAAACTTAATTAAAGTTTAATCTACTATTAGTTTAATTAGGAGGGAGATTGAGGACTGGGAGAGTATGTGTTTGGAAGAGAAAAATGGCTTGAGCAAAGGCCCACAGACAGAAGGGCCAGGGTTAAGATGGAGAAATAGTGGGGTGGCCTGTGGGCCTGAAGTGATGGCATATATAGATGTGGGCCTGGGAGGAATAGTCTGTAATTATGCCATCACTGACATAAACTGTCCCCTATAGTAGATGTCCTAAGAGTGGTGACTGGGAAAAACAGAGATCTATATTAGGTGATAAAGAACAGATGGCAGGGTTTCGAAGCCCTGACCTACTTTTTTCTTCTTTCCACTATTCATATTTCCTCCTCCTTCTATTTTCAAACATTGTAGAAAAGGTGAATTTTTAAGCAAGGAGTGTTTGCCTAAGACCATTAAGGCAAGCTTGACCTTCTGCACCAGTAAGGGGGTCTCCATCCATCCTTCTTTAGAAAACATAGCATTGAATTTTTAAATATGCAGGCAATTTTTTTCTTAATAATAGTCCAAAGATATTTTATGTAACTTTTGCTTTGAAAGCAAATATGTAGTTTAATATTTTAGTTTCTTAAAATTGCTATGCTATACGTATTCTGATGCTAAACAAGACAGGACTTACCAGCTATTCAACAATCCTAGGCAAGTGGCATGTCTGAACAAAGAATATTTTGACTACTATACATTAAAAAAATTAGTTTCTTTTCTTTCTTTCTTTTTTTTTTTTAGACAGGTGCTTGCTCCAGCAGAGTCATTGCTGCTGGAGTGCAGTGGTGTGATCACAGATCATTGCAGCCTCGAACTCCTGGGCTCAAGTGATCCTTCCACTTCAGCCTAAGTAGCTAGGACTACAGGCACATAGCACCACACTCAGCTAATTAAAAAAAAAAACTTTTTTTTTGTAGAGATGGGGTGTTGCTATCTTGCCCAGGCTCGTCTTGAATTCCTGTGCTCAAGACACCCTCCTGCCTTGGCCTTGCAAAGTGCCGAGATTACAGGCGTGAGCCACCACACTTGGCCTAAGTTTTCTGATATGTAATACTTAATGACATATTTTCGGGGAAACTACACATTTCAATTCTTCTAAAATTTGGGCAAATCACATAGGTCTTTGAACTCTGAT